>NC_000009.12:113845552-114470552 GCF_000001405.40 Homo sapiens
GTGCCAGATATCATGCTAATCATTGGACATATATTTTTCTCAATGAATCCTCACAATGACCTTGTGAGAAAGAGATTATTGTGTTCATTTTGTAGGTGAGGAAGAAGATTCAAAGGATTTAAGCAAATTCCTCAGAAAGAGAATGGGTTTATGGATCCATTTTGGGAGAATTGCCATGATGACAATACTGAGTTTTCCAATCCGTGAACATAGGATGTGTTTTAGTTTATTTAGATCTTCTTTAATTTCTGCTAGCAGTGTTCTGTAGTTGTTAGTATACATGTCTAGCACTTCATTTGTTAAATGTAATATAGTTTATTCTTTATTTTATTTTATTGTGAATGAAATGTTTTTTTGTTTTAAATAGAGACAGGAGCTCCCTATGCTGTGCAGGCTGGTCTCAAGCTCCTGGGCTCAAATCATCCTAGCACCTCAGCCTTTCAAGTAGCTGATACTACAGGTGCACACCACTGCACTGGGCTGGAATGTTTTTTATTATCTTGTTATTTTATTGTGAATGGAATAATTTAACTGAGTAGCGTGTTGTTAACATAAGGAAATACAATTCATTTTTGTCTATTCTTCTTGTATTTTCATTGCTAGCAGTTTTTCTGTGGATTCCTTGAGGGATTTTGTACATAAGGGTTCATGTCATCTCTGAATAAAGGCAATTTTACTGTTTCCTTTCCAATTTGTGTGACTTTGTTTGTTTTGTTTGTTTGCCTTATTGTATTGGTGAAAACTTCCATACAATGGTGAATAGAAATGATGAAAGCAGACATCCTTCCCTTGTTCTTGATCTTAACAGTAAAGCATTCAGTCTTTCACCATTAAGAATGATGGTAGCTATGGCTATTTTATAGATGCCACTCTTTTCCTAATTTGTTGGGATTTTATCAATAATACTAGTTGTTGGATTTTGTCTTGTTTTTTTCCGAGTCTACTGAGATGATTATGTGGGTTTTTTTCTTTTTATATTACTAATATGATGTATTACATTAACTGCTTTTCGTATGCTGAACCAACCTTGCATTCTTGTGACAAAACTCATATGGTCATGATGTATGATCCTTTGAATATGCTGCTGGATTCACTTTGCTAGTATTTTGTTGAGGGGTTTTGCATGTACATTCATAAGAGATAGTAGTCTGTAGTTTTCTTGTGATATTTTTGTCTGGTTTTGGTTTCAGGATAATATTATTATTATAGAATGAGCTAGGAAGTGTTCTCTTCTGTATTTTTAAGAGTTTATGAAAAATTGATATTATTTCTTTAATATGTGATCAAATTCACCAGTGAAGTCATCTGGGTCTGATCTTCATGGGAAAATTTTTCATTTAGTTACATTATGATTGACACAAAGTTTTCATAATATTCCTTTATAATCTTTTTTATTTATGTTAAGACTCTAATAATGGCTCCTCTTTCATTCTTGATTTTGGTAATCTGTGCCTTCTCTCTTTTGTTCTTGGTCAGTCCAGCTAAAGGTTGTCAATTTTGTTGATCTTTTCAAAGAACCAAATTTTGGTTTCATTTTCTCTATTTTTAATCTTTTAAAATGTTACATTTTATCTGATCTTTGTTATTTTCTTTTTTCCTGCTTGTTTGGTTTTTATTTACTCTTCTTAGTTTTGTAGGATCAAAGTTTAGGTTATTGATATAATCACAATGTGAGGCCTTATTAATGCACCCCTTATTCCCTTCAATTTCATACCTGTTATAGGCATTTAAAGCATTAAATTTCTCTCTAAGCACTTTTTTAGCTGCATCTCATAAATTTTGGTATATTATGCTTTCATTTTCAATAAGTTAAAGATATTTTCTAAGTGCCTTTGTGATTTCTTCTTTAACCAATTTGTTATTTAGAAATGTTTAGTTTCCTAAATTTTCCTCTATTGTTGATTTCTAATTTAATTATATTATGATAGAGAACATATTTTGTATAATTTCAATCCTCTTAACCTTATTGAGACTTGTTCTGTGGTCTGTCTTGAAAAATGTTTCATGTGTGTTCAAAAAGAATGTGAATTCTGCTGTTCTTGGGCGAGTGTTCTATAGATATTAAATACTTCAAGTTGGTTGATAATGCTGTGTAAATCCTACTGTTGTGAACACTCTCAAACCCAGGGCCACTTTAAGGATATACCTAATCCCATATTTCTGTCTCTAGACACAAATTATTGAAATTTCTGATTTCAGTCCATTAAATCCAGATGTGGCATGGACCTGCCACCCAAACTTTGGTTTGGGGATTGAGTCTGATGATGCCATAACATACTAAGAGAGTAGAAAAAGGTTTATTACTCTCCAAATGAAGTTTTCTGGAGAGATCAGGAAAGGTTCTCACACTGGTCCCACTCCCCCTCCACTTCTCCCCACCAAAAAAACTGCTTAAGAGAGCAAGCAAAGGAGACTGAGCTGGGGTTTTATGCTGTGATTAAAAGATGGGGACGCAGTGAGGGTTCCCAAGTGTGTAGGCTGGAGCTTGCATGGTATGTATTCTCCAGTTATTGTTATTGAACTGTGTTTTTCTTTTCAATTCTTTAGTTTTTATTTCATGCATTTTGGGCCTGTGTTATAAGGTACACATATAAGTGCTATATTTTCCTTGTGTTTTTTCTCTTATATTATTATGAAATATCCCTCTTTGTCTGTAGTACTATTTGTTGTTGTTGTTGTTAGATACAAGGTCTCACTGTTGGCCAAGCTGGAGTGCAGTGGCATGGTCATAGCTCACTGTAACCTCAAACTCCTGGGCCTGAGTGATCCTCCTGCCTCAGCCTCATGAGTAGCTAGGACTATGGGTACATGCCATGATGCCCAGCTTAGTTCTTGTCTCATAGTCTATTTTTGTGATGTTATTATGGCCACTCTAGCTCTCTTTTGGTCACTGCTTGTAGGGCATATATTTTTTCTTTTCTTTTCTTTCTTCCTTTTTTTTTTTTTTTTTTTTTAGATGGGGTCTCACTCTGTTGCCCAGGCTGGAGTGCAGTGGCGTGATCTCGGCTCACTACAACCTCCAACCTCCGTCTCCTGGGTTCAAGCGATTCTCCTGCCTTAGCCTCCCAAGTAGCTGGGATTACAGGCATGCACCACCATGCCTGGCTACTTTTTATATTTTTATAGAGACAGGGTTTCTCCATGTTGGCCATGCAGGTCTCAAACTCCTGAACTCAGGTGATCCACCCACTTCAGCCTCCCAAAGTGCTGGGATTACAGGCATGAGCCACTGCGCCTGGCCAGCATATCTGTTTTCTATCCTCTATATTTTAACTTATCTGTGTCTTTGAATCTAAGGTGTGTCTTTTAGACAGAGCATGCAATTGAATTGTGCTTTTTTAAAAATAGAATCTGACCATGTCTTCCTTTTGATTGGGATAATTAGACTATTCACTTTTAATGTAATTGTTGATAGGTTGGATTTATATTTGTCATTTCATATTTTTTCTATATATCTCCTATCTTTTTATCCTGTTTTTTCTTTACTTTCTCATTTTGTATTAAATATTTTTGTATACCATTTAACACCTATTTATTTCTTAGTTATTTTCTTGTTGGTAGCTCTAGGATTATAATATGCATGTTAACTTACCACTATGTACTTCATAATACTAACTCCATTCTAGTAAAATATAGAAACTTTGCTTCTATGTAGCCCCATTCCTTCTTTTCCTCCTTTGTGCTGTTATGTATGTGTATGTATGTATATACATACACACATTCACATACATACATACTTATATATGTATATGTATATACACATATAATGTATATATATGTGTATACATATATATATTATATACACACACACACACATATATATTATCAGGTTATAAACCTAATAATATAATGTTGATATTATTGTTTTATGAAATTTTTTATCTTTTTAAGAAGGTAAGAGAAACAAAAATATATAGCGTGAGTGCCATATGGTGCTATATTTTCTTATAGCATTTACAGGTTATTATAAGACTCTCTTAAATTAACTTATGTATTTACTATTTCTGGTGGTTTTCATTTCTTCCTGTGGATTCAAATTACAACCTGGTGTCAATTCCTTTTGGCCCAAAGGACTGTTTGTAGCATCTTGTAAAGCAGATCTTCTAGCCACAAATTCTCTCAGCCTATTTATTATTTATCTAGGAATAGCTTTATTTAGCTTTCATTTATGAAGGACAGTTTTGCTTAATATAGAATACTTTAATAGTTTTTTTCTCATATATTTGTTTTGTTATGTTTTGTTTTGTTTTTTTGAGACGGAGTCTTGCTCCGTTGCCCAGGCTGGAGTGCAGTGGCATGATCTTGGCTCACTGCAACCTCTGCCTCCTGGGTTCAAGTCATTCTCCTGCCTCAGCCTCCTGAGTAGCTGGGATTACAGGCATGAGCCACCATGCCTGGCTAATTTTTGTATTTTTAGTGAAGACGGTTTCACCGTGTTGGTCAGGCTGGTGTCGAACTCCTGACCTTGTGATCCGCTGGCCTTGGCCTCCCATAGTGCTGGGATTATAGGTGTGAGCCACAATGCCCAGCCTTTTTTTCCCAGTATTTTTAATATGTCCTTTTGGTCTTCATTATTTTAGATGAAAATCAGGAATTAAAAGTATTGTACTTCCCTGTACAAAGTGAATCATTTTTCTCTTTCTGCTTTTAAGATTTTCTTTGTCTTTGAACACTTTGACTATGATATGCTTAGATGTGGATCTTTTTGTATTTATCCTACTTGAAATTTGTTGTGCCTCTGTGCTATCTTAATTTTTTTCTCGAAGTTGGAGTTTTCTACCATTATTTCTTTTTTATCATCTTTGCAGATTTATTTCTGTGCACATATACATATACAAATATTTTTACAAGAATAGGGTCATACCATGAATACCACATATAATGGTATCTCGATTGTCAATATAGGTGTGTATAATTAAGACTGTGTAGCCTTCCACTGTGGATGTACCAAAATGTATTTAATTCCCTGTCACTGGACACTTTTGTTTCACTAATATGAAGACACTGTGTAAGCAATGTCTCAACATCTCTGCACCTCTATTTTTGGTATAAGTATTTCCTTAGGATGACGTCCCAGAAATGGAATTGCAAGGTATAAAAGATTATTAACTTTTTTTAAGGCTCTAAGATGCCTTTACAGTGTATCTGTTACATCCTGCTTCCACACAAATTATTCTGTATAGCCGGTATGCAGCTCTCAGCCCAGGTGAAGACAGCCAGGATGCCCCAGTCAATGCTCTCGCTCAGTCTGTCAGCCTTCAGGTAGTTTAGGAGCTGAGGCATAACCTGGAATTCAAACATTTTCTTGGCATCACAAAGGATATTCTCTGGAATATCCTTTTCTTGAGGAATATTTTCACTAGAATCCAGGTGGGGGCAATACCTCTGCCATATCTGAGAATCTGTTCTGGTTCAAGGGCTATCTGAGTTTTGAACTTCTGAAAAATTTTATCTTCCCTGGATTCATGTTTTGCCATGGAATCCAGTTCTTCTTCAAGTGCCTCACCCATGCTCCCTATAATCTCTGAGTAATCTTCCTTTTCCACAACCTCAGGTGTAATCTTCATCTTCTGTTTCTACTACAACTGCAAATTCTGGAAAAAGGAAGTCGTGGTCTGGAATTATATGGTCCAAATGATCTGGTTCTGTACAAGCCTGCTTATGTGCCAATCTCCGGTCTAGGGTCTTGATGCTCCTTGCTGCAGTAATACGCTTTGTGGCATCTGGAGCACGTTTTGGGTCCTAAACAACCACAAACTCTGCAGAGATGAGCACCAGACTCAAGTTAGAGACACACTGATTGTCCTGTTTCTGGGAGAGGATTCTCAGAAGGTGGCCTATATGAGGAAAAATCATTTTTCCTGGGTAGCTGATTGGTAAAAACTCGCAGGCCGGCACAGCACGGCGGCTCTCAGCAGCAGAAGAGGAAGATTCCGGGGTGGAAGGCGTCGGCGCGGCGGGGCAGCAGCGCGTACACCTGTAGCAGGAAGGAGAGCTGGCAGCCGCACAGCGCGCAGGCCAGGGTCCGGGTCCCGGCAGCCCGGCCGCGCCCGGCCACGCCCAGCCACGCTGGCCGCCCGCCCCTCTAACATTAGTTCTTCAAATTTTTTCTTCCTTTTTCTTCTCTCCTCTCATTCTGGGACTACCATTGTATGTGTGCTGATATACTTGATGTTGTCCCAAAAGTCTTTAAGGCTCTATTCATTTTTCTTCAATTTTTATCTTCAAGTTCACTGATTCATTCCTTTGCCATCTTGAATCTTCTGTTAAAGTCCTCTAGATGAATTTCTCATTTCAGTTATTATATCTTCAACTCCAGAATTTCTCTTTGGTTCTTTTCAATAATTCCTGTCTGTTTATTGAGATTGTCTATTTGTTGATTCAATGTTTCCATACTTTCCTTTAATTTTTTAAATGTGATTTTTTTTAGCCCTTTGAACATATTTAAATAGCTGCTTTGATGTCTGTCTGATAAACCTAGAATCACTCAGAGGGAGTTTCTATCATTTCCCCTTTTTCTTTAGCATGAGTCATACTTTCTTTGCATGTCTCATTTTTGTTGGTGGTGTTTTTGAAAACTGAGGATTCTAGTTATATATTGTAGCAACTCTGGATTCTGTATTTCCCCCCCGAAGGTTTGTTCTTTTTAAAATTTGTTCATTGTTTAGTAACCTACCTGAGTTAAATCTATCTCCCCAGTGATATGGAGCTGCTGATATCTCTGCCCAGATTTTTTTTTAATTCTTGTTTTCCTTTTTAAGACTGACTTCTTAAGGCTCATCCCTGTGTCTGTGTAGCCCACTAGTCAGCTAATGATAGGACAGAGGTTGTGCTGAAGTGCCTCAAGCAAGTAAGGATTCTGTCTTGTGCTGAAATCTGTGTGTGGGTAAGGGAATAGATTCAAAGTTTAAGCCACTGTTAAGTCGACTCCAGCATTTTAATTTCAGCTAGGCCCTTCTGGGTCTCCTGTGCACATGTGTCCAGCCTCAGGGTCAGCCAGGATTGTGTATACAGTTTGTACTCTCTTTGGTCTCGGCTGCTCATATGCGCACCCTCAGCCAGGAATATGCTTGCCTTAACCATGACTGTAATCTCAGACAAGAAGAGCCATTGGCCCTCCCTCCTCACTTGATGCCAGGATAATCACTTTCACCAGTGCTGCTGGATATGGGTACCTATTGCTCCAAATTGAATAAGTGTAGCTGTCTGTCCTCATGGACCTGCCATATCCTGACAGAATCTCAGCACCAACTAAGCTGGGAAGAAGGTGGAAGTTAGGATCAGCCCCAGGTAAAGACACCACACTTCCACTGTTCTTACCCAAAGTTCAATAGTTTTTCAAACATAAATGCTTCTGGAATTGTTGTGTGCCATTAGTTGATTTCAAGAGGAGTGAAAGGGTTGTTTTATCAATTTTGTCCAGCTTTATGGGTATTTTTTGGGGAAAATATTTGCTGGTCTCCTTACTAGACCGTAGCCAGAAGTTTGAAATTTCAGGCTATAATTTTATACCCAGGTTAACTAACTCTGGTCATGTGTTCTTACTATGCCGTGTGGCCTCCCTTATGTTGCTTTAGCATCTGAAAATTTACAAAGTTTTTTTTCACAAGTATTACCTAGTACCCGGGACAATTCCATAACATTTTTGTTTCTGTTTTTGTTTTTTCTAGTTTTAGAGCTGAAGCTATTGAAGTATAAGAGATACTGGAGATAAATATTTACAAAGAGAAAACTTGAGTTTGGAGAGAAGGACATTAATCAAGAATGTAAAACGAATCAACGACTGTGCCAGAATAGGAACCTAGGTCTTCCATTTCCCAGCTGAGGGTCTTTGTGCATCACCCACTTGCTTTCTTTTGGAAGAGGACTGGGGATAAAAATATTCCTCATCCCTCCTCCACCCCACCTCCATCATGACCTTACTGGTATGAGGAAAAAGCCCAAGTCAAAGGGCAATAGACCATTGGCACTCCCTGCCCCTAGAGGGTGCTACTCTTTCTATAACATGGACACAGGTTGCCTAGAAAGGTGATTTAAGTGTGAAAGCATTTTTGATTATGGCAATTGCATACATTCTTTCAATCGAATTCTAGCTGGATTAACCTGTCTTTAGTATATGGCTATGAATAATTTATATTATTATCTTTCATAATATAATTCTGTTTAAAGTGTCCATTAACATTGCTTTTTCTCAGGGACTTTCCCTCAACTCCTGAGTTTTAGTTGTAGTTTGTAGCAGCCTGTTGAAGCATTCATGAGTGAGGATTTAATCAGGCAATTTTTGCAAAAATGATCAGTTTTCAATGAAAGGAGATGACAAAATATTATAGTATTAAAATAAGTAGATATCTGTGTATCGTAGTTACAAAATGAAAAATAAAAATCCTTCCAAACTGCTCTGAAATTCCTCCTGCTTCATAAATATGGGCTTTCTGATTCTTCTAGGGGGCAGATTTCTTTGTTTTGCTGCAATTTTTTTTGACGGGGAAACTTATTCTTTTTGTTTAAGTACAAATGTCAAGTTCAAAATGGAATGTGTGGTGGACATTCTCTGGTTGCCCCCTAGACTCTCTGCCCTTCTCTGCCTTACTCTGTGCCCAAAGAGGTGACCTCTAAGGACTGTAACAATTAGCTCCCCTGCCCTTTGGCTTCTGGATGATTTGACCAATGAAGGTACCAGCAGGAAAACAGCATAGGAGGAGAGAGAGATCTGTGGATTTGCTCCCCTAGCTCTCTTGCTGCTAGCCGTGGTTTGGCAGTGCCCTGATGCCTCCCCTAAAGACACAGGTCCTGTTGGGGGCCTTCTCCTACAGCTACAGGTCTCGTCAGGTCCAGGTAAGTGCTCTTTCCCTCTACCTGTTCTGGCCCAGGGTGGAAATGGCTTTGTACTGTTGCTAGTCCTTGGTGCTTGATCGGCCTCTGTTGCTTTGCCCTAGTCCTGCTCTCAGGTCTGTAAATAAACACTTGATGAACTTGCATACCTTTCATCCTGTTTGAGTGCTGGGAACTGCTAGACTCAGCCTGATACAGCAAGCTAGCATTTGGAGAGAAAAAAAAAAGAAGAGGGCCCAAGAGGGTGTCCTGAGACCAGCTTTGGTCTTAGCTCAGGCACTATTTTGCCATATGACCTTGAGTAAGTCCTTTCTTCTCTCTGACTTTCAAATGGCTCATCTGTAAAAAGAGCAGCTGGGCCAGGCGCAGTGGCTCATGCCTATAATCCCAGCATTCTGAGAGGCTGAGGTGGGCAGATCACCTGAGCTCAGGAGTTTGAGACCAACCAGTTTGAGGTCAACATGGTGAAACCCCATCTCTACTAAAACTACAAAAATTAGCCGGGTGTGGAGACACACTTGTAGTCCCAGCTACTCGGGAGGCTGAGGCAGGAGAATCGCTTGAACACGGGAGGTGGAGGTTGCTGTGAGCTGAGATCTTGCCACTGCACTCTAGCCTGGGTGACAGAGTGAGACTCCATCTAAAAAAAAAAAAAAAGCAGTTGGACAAAACCAGAGGCCTTTGCACAGTTTTTTGCTCATGTGCCACCGAACGCATTCTGAAAAAATACACAATCAAATATTTTTTAAATTTTTCCTCATGGTTTTAAATAGTTGTAAAGGGTGTAACATCCTATGTATTGTAAATATTAATGTTTAAAATTAAACTGCTAACATCACTCCTTTAAATATATCCAATGGAATTTAAATATCACAGTAATTTTATACCCACCATCATCCATTGAAAAATTGATGAACAAACTCTCCTTTAACAGTTAGAAATTTTACAATGTTCCTCTTCCTCTTTTAAGTCATTATTTCCATTCTACTTCCCCCATAGAATTTTATAGGAATGTCATATCTTTTTTCTGCTGGTAAGTCTCATATGGATCATCATGTCATAGTGTCTAAATCAAAAATATGTTTGTAGGCAAAATTTTCAGAATTTTTATATTTCCTGGGATAATAAGGCTTTAAGGGTTAAACATTTCTCTGAATTGAGATATCAATGCAATAAATTTTGGGATACAACTGATTAAAATTTAGATAATTGTTAAACAGAAAATGTAAAATTAATGGGAATTCATCTCTCACTGAGATGACTGGGGAAGGGTCTGGGGAGTCTTGATTAAAAGAACGTTTACTTTCCAACATTTGCCCTCAGCCCTCTGTTTGGTGCTCTCTCTCCCCCCACCCCCAACTCAGGTTTTTTTCCTCTCCAGGCAATGTCTCGTGGTAAGGTTTGGGATGGATAAGACATACACCTTTACTGTATCAAAGGGGAGAAGGGTAGCTGAGAAAGGGAAGGTGAGAAAGGAAATCCAGGTTCACATCTTCACATGGGAGTTCTCAGGCCGGTCAGTTTTTTTGTTTGTTTGTTTTTGTTTTGTGTGTGTGTGTGTATGTTTTGAGACAGAGTCTTTCTCTATCACCCAGGCTGAAGTGCAATGGCACGATCTTGGTTCACTGCAACCTCTGCCTCCTGGGTTCAAGCAATTCTCCTGCCTCAGCCTCCTGAGTAGCTGGGATTACAGGCATGTGGCACCATACCCTGCTATTTTTTTTCCTTTTTTTTTTTTTTCCTTTAAGTTCTGGGATAAATGTGCAGAACGTGGAGGTTTGTTACATAAGTATACCTGTGCGGTGGTGGTTTGCTGCACCTATTAACCCGTCATCCAGGTTTTAAGTCCCACATGCATTAGGTATTTGTCCTAATGCTACCCCTCCCCTATGCCCCCACCCCCTGACAGGTCCCATTGTGTGGTGGTCCCCTCCCTGTGTCCATGTGTTCTCATTGTTCAACTCCCACTTATGAGTGAGAACATGCGGTGTTTGGTTTTCTCTTCTTGTGTTACTTTGCTGAGAATGATGGCTTCCAGCTTCATCCATGTCCCTGCCAAGGACATGAACTCATCGTTTTTTATGGCTGCGTAGTATTCCATGGCGTATATGTGCCACATTTTCTTTATCCAGTCTATCATTGATGGGTATTTGGGTTGGTTCCAAGTCCTTGCTATTGTAAATAGTGCTGCAATAAACATACGTGTGCATGTGTCTTTATAGTGGAATGATTTATAATCCTTTGGGTGTATACCCAGTAATGGGATTGCTGGGTCAAATGGTATTTCTGGTTCTAGATCCTTGAGGAATCACCACACTGTCTTCCACAATGGTTGAATTAATTTACACTCCCACCAACAGTGTAAAAGCATTCTTATTTCTCCACAGCCTCTCTAGCATCTGTTGTTTCCCGACTTTTTAATAATTGCCATTCTAACTGGTGTGAGATCACAGCCAGCTAATTTTTGTATTTTTAGTAGAGACAGGGTTTCACAATGTTGGCCAGGCTGGTCTCTAACTCCTAAGTTCAGGTGCTCCACCTGCCTCGCCATCCCGAAGTGTGGGATTATAGGCATGAGCCACCACGCCTGGCCTAAGGCAGGTAAGTTTTAGGAAATTGTACACATGGAAGCTGAGAATCTAGAAATGGAGTATCTTAAAACTGTGTGTGGTGACTCTACCTTGGAAATTGTAAACCCTGTGGATAAGCCCCCTAATCTTGAAGGCCACTGGGCTTGGTGGTGTCTGAAGGGCACCCCTGAACGGGTAGCTTCACAGAGTCATGTCTCAGAGGGCCAGTTCTGGAGTTAGACTGATGCCCTGAATGACTTGGGCAACTTCCTTCACAGAAACTTCGTGCCTCAGTTTCCAGTTCTGGAGTTAGATTGATGTGCTGTATGACTTGGATAACTTCCTTCACTGAAGCTTCGTGCCTCAGTTTCCTTATGTGTAAAATGGAGATATATACAGCTCTACCTTATAGGGGATTCTTTAGGAGTTAAGTGAGATATTGTTTATGAAGCACCTGGTATATGGCAAATGCTCAAAACAGATTCAAAGGATTCAAAAGATTCCTCCCAACTCTAACACACTCTGGGAAGGGGCCCAGGGATCCCTGAATCACCTGTTCCTCCATCGAAGTCGTATTTTAAGGCAATGAGCTGCCATTATAAACATCTTGGTGTCCCTGTAACGAAAAGCAGAGTACTCCAGAATCTTTGGCTCCTTTTTTTTCATTTGGTGTTTTGTTTTTGGTTTTGGTAAATTTTACTGTCTACTGAGGCTTTTCTGATTTTTCAACATTTATCCACAGGTCTTGACATTTACCATCTCAGGGAGGTTGATATTTCCACTGATTCATGCGGTAGAAGCAATGGCTCATGGATCTCTAAGTCTGGAGACCAGCTTGGCTGTCTTAACAGGGCTCCCCCATTTCTCAGAGAAAGAATTATAACCAGGCTATATGTGCAGGCTGTGTGAGCCCAGAAAATGACAGTTACTGCTTTCCAGGAATGGGAATAAACAGATATTCACTGTACTCTCCTGGAAAAACTGAGGTTGCCTAGGGGTCAGTTTTGAATCAGGCAATCCAATATTTGAGCTTTTTGCCAGAGAAACAAAATGAGACATTGATATGCTAAGAAGTTGCTAACTGAGTCAGTTTTGCTGGCGGCCTGCTCTGATGTAACTTCTGTGCTAACGTTATTGCTTAGACACCAGGCCCACACAATGGCTACCCTGCTGACTGCCACTTTGCCACCAGAATGCGGGGCCTCCCTGACACATCAGCAGGCTGAGTTCTGAATTCTCAGTTTCATTTCCTACTGATACAGTAGAATGCCGCTGTGTTCCTTTTATAAAGAAACCATTGGTTTATATTGCCCCTTATTTGGGTATGTTCATTACCATCTCTCAGAGCACAGTTTTAATTTACAGAATCTTGGCAGCTTTATCTAAATGATTTCTTATTTTGAAATTTAATTTTATTCTGATATTTTTGAGAAGAATGAAAATCGGTGATGAGTGTGGTAGATTGAATGTATTCATGGTCCCAGTTCTGTATCTCTTCCTGTATTCATGCCTGATACCATGTCATTGTGGGTATTCTACCAATCTGACTCAGGGTCAGCTATGGGACTTGTCTTTACCAATGGGATGCTAGCAAATGTGATTTAAACAGAGATTGAAAAGTGTCTGCACAATTGAGCTTGTCTGCTTTTGTTCTTCTGCCATTACCAAGTGCAGGTGCCTGTGCTAGCCTGCTGGAGGTTGAGAGACATGTGGACCAGAATCAAGTGGCCCTACTTGTCCCGGTCAAACTAGATTAGCTAAGAACCAGCTAAGCCCAGATATGTAAGCAAGCCCTGCTAAGACAGAAAGAACCTTTCAACAGATCTGTGGACTCGTGAACCAAATTCTTGCTCATTATTTGAAGCCACTGAGTTTTGGGGTTGTTTGTTATATAGCATTGTTGTGATAACAGATAGTGGCTTAGAATACGCAGTGGCAGACCTGCCCTTCCAGAGCAGAATCCAAGGGAACACTGCCCATGCGCAAGACCTCCCAGGGACTCTGGAAACAGTGATAAACAGAGAAGGAGGGAACCTCACTAAGGAGACTCAAACACTTCCACCGTGTAGGTAGGGGATCCACATCAGTGAGATTCAGCAGAGTAACGTAAATAGAAGTACAGGCTCCAGAGTTGGGCTCCTGGGTCCAAAACCCAGATTCATTTATGAGCTTCATGTTCTTCAGCAAGTTACTTTACCTTTTTGTGTCTCCATTTCCTCCCTTGTAAAACAGATAGATACGTCATAAGGTTGTTAGAAGGATTAGATTTAAAAATTTTTTTCAATTTATTTTTAATAACATGTATATATATTTATGGTATACAGCATGATATTTTGAAATGATGTGGAGTGGCTAAATTGATCTATTTAACATATGCATTATCTCACATGCTTTTTTTGTGGTGAGAATACTTAAAATCTACTCTCTTGGTGATTTTCTTACCACATTTTCTTTATCCATTCATTTGTTGATGGACAGTTAGGTTGATTCCATATCCTGGTTATTATGGATAATGCAGCAGTGAACATGGAAGTGCAGATACCTCTTTGACATACTAATTTCATTTCTTTTGGATCTATGTCCAGTTGTGGGATTGCTAGATCATATGATAGTTCTATTATTAATTTTTTGATAAATCTCCATACTGTTTTCCATAATGGCTGTACTGATTTACATTCCCTCCAACAGTGTACCAGGGTTTCTTTTTCTCCACATTCTCACCAACACTTATCTTTCATTTTTGTTTTTATAGTAGCCATTCTAATAAATGTGAGGTGATATCTCATTCTGGTTTTAAGTTGCATTTCCCTGATGATTAGTGATGTCGAGTATTTTTTCATGGACCTGTTGCCCATTTGTGGGTCTTCTTTTGAGAAATGCCTAGGTCCTTTGCTCTTTTTTTTTTTCCTTTTTTTTTCTTTTGAGACAGAGTCTTGCTCTGGCGCCCAGGCTGGAGTGCAGTGGCGTGATCTCAGCTCATTGCAACCTCCACCTCCCAGGTTCAAGTGATTCTTCTGTCTCAGCCTGCCAAGTAGCTGGGACTACAGGCGCGTGCCACGACACCTGGCTAATTTTTTGTATTTTTAGTACAGACGGGTTTTCACTGTGTTGGCCAGGATGGTCTCGATCTCCTGACCTCGTGATCTGCCTGCCTCAGCCTCCCGAAGTGCTGGGATTACAGGTGTGAGCCACTGTGCCCAGCCCCCTTGCTCATTTTTTAATAGGGTTATTTATTTTATAGCTATTGAGTTATTTGAGTTCCTTACATATCTGGGGTATTAACCCCTCATTGGATGTTTGGTTTGTAAATATTTTCTCCTATTTTTTAGGTTATCATCATTCTGATGATTGTTTCCTTTGCTGTGAAGGAACTTTTAGTTTGATGTCATCCCATTTGTCTATTTTTGCTTTTGTTGCCTATGCTTTTGGTTTCATATCCCCAAAAAATTATTATCCAGACCAATGTCATGGAATGTTTCTTGTTTTCTTCTAGTAGTCTTACAGTTTCAGGTCTACTTTTAAATGTTTAATCTATTCTGAGTTGATTTTTGCATACGGTGTGAGATAAGGGTCTCATGTCCTTACGTATGTGGATATCCATTTTCCTGACACCATTTGTTGAAGAGACTGTCCTTTCCCCATTGTGTGTTCTTCGCATCTTGGTCAAACATCAGTTGATCTTAATGCACTTGGAATGGCTCAGTGCAAGCCCTAGGTAAGTCTTTGTTAAATAAATAAATAAAGTGTGACCTCATTTCTATCCACAGGCTGATCAAGACTGGGGGACGTCTGGATTACATTTGTCTTTTGGTAGGAAGGATATATTTGCATCATGGAGGGGCTGTTTCTCATTTCATGTAGTCAAACATTGACTTCTGAAGAACTGAATGCATAGTCAATAGCTTTCAAAAATCTGGGGAAAGACAATGTTTTCCTTTTGAAAACTCATGCTATTGTATCAATATCCTGGGCTCAGTTAATTCATCTTAATATGTTTGGGGGCAGTGCTCAATGTGAGATTTCAGGAAAGGCAGGGGGAATAATGTTATCCATTCTTTAAGAGGCAGGGAAGGGTACACTACATTTCAGAAAGATATCCATTCCAAATTACTGAAATAAAAGTTTTGATGCTTAGAGAGGTAATCCTCAACTACTTGAAAAAACTCAGCTAAAAATATTTCTTTCTTTGAAGAATCTCCAAAGCCATGACTGTATTGCATTATTATTATTATTATTTTGAGACAGAGTCTCGCTCTGTTGCTAAGGCTGGAGGGCAGTGATCTCAGCTCACTGCAACCTCCATTTCCCGGGTTCGTGTGATTCTCCTGCCTCAGCCTCCCAAGTAGCTGGGATTACAGGCACATGCCACCATACCCAGCTAATTTTTGTATTTTTGGTAGAGACGGGGTTTCACCATGTTGGCCAGACTGGTCTCCAACTCCTGACCTCAGGTGATCCACTCGCCTTGGCCTCCCAAAGTATTGGGATTATAGGCATCAGCCACCGCACCAGACTCCATTATTTTTAAAAGTAACAGATACAAGTCAAAATCTCATTGTCCTGCTATGGGAGGGAAGGCACAAGGAGTGTGTGTGTGTACATGTGTGTGCAGAGAGGTCCTTTCTCCTGAATAAGAGTCTCTGCTGTCCCAGAGAGAAAAATGAGATTGTGCGATTTGAACAAGAGCTTAACCTCCATCCTCCTGCTGAGTTCTCTGACCACGCTTTTCTCCCTCCATCCCTCCCCTCCTTCTCCCCAGTAGACATAGGTCCTTAACCAGAGCCTTTTGGGAACAGGTAGAAGGTAGAGAGATTTGAATTGAGTAAAATTGGAAGAATGTAACCATCCCCATGTACCTAGATAATGGAAAGAGGAGTAGCCATTGTCTAGAACTTAATTAAATCCTTGTAAGCAATAACATGAAATCTTTAATAGGAGCTCTAAATTGCTAAGAAATTTACTGTTGGTGGGCAACCAGGGGCAAGACTACACCCTTGGCACAAGAGTTGACAAAAGGTCCATGGAAACTGCCTGGATGCTCTTAAGGAACACGAAGGACCTGAAGACCCAGCTGTGATGTTAGCTACTGGGGGGTCACTTATGTCATGGATCATGAAAAGGTCATATTTAACGTACAGTTTTAAATTGAGACGGCACTTTGGGAGGCCGAGGTGAGCAGATCATCTGAGGTCAGGAGTTCGAGACCAGCCTGGCCAACATGGTGAAACCCTGTCTGTACTAAAAATACAAAAAAAAAAAAAAAATTACCTGGGCCTGGTGGCGGGTGCCTGTAATCCCAGCTATTCGGGAGACTGAGGCAGGAGAATCACTTGAACCTGGGAGGCAGAGGTTGCAGTGAATGGAGACTGCGCCATTGCACTCCAGCCTGGGCAACAAGAGTGAAACTCCATTTCATACAAAACAACAAAAAAAGAGACTCTCTGGTTCATTCTTTATAGCTGTCTTAAAAACTACCCCAAAATATAGTGGCTTTAAATAATAACCATTTTATTATGCTTCTGAATTCTTGGCCAGGAATTTGGACAGGGTGTGGAGGAGCTGACTTGTCTCTGCTCCACAATGTTTGGGACCAGGGGACTTAATGGCTGGGAGGTGAGTCAAAAGCTGAGGACTAGAATGATCTGGAATATCTTCACTCACTGAGTGCCTTAGCAGGGAGGACTCAAAGACTAAGACTGTGAATTAGTTCTCTAATTAGTAGCAAATTATCACACACGATGATTTAGAACAATACACATTTATTATCCCACAATTTGGATGGGGAGGACTCTGCTCATGAGGTTGCAATCAAGGGCTAGTGTTTCATTGCAGGCTCAACAGGAGAAGGATATGCTTCTAAGCTCACTTACATAGTTGTGGGCAGGATTCAGTTCCTTTTGGGTTGCTGGACTGAGGGTTAAGGTTCCTGGTTGCCTGTTGGGCAGAGGCTGTCCTCAGTTCCTTGACATGTGGAACTCCCATGTATGGCCACTTGTTTCATCAAAAGTGGCAAGACAGAGTCCACTAGGCAGATGGGAGGGATAATCTCATGTAACATAGTCACAAAAGGGACATCCCCTCACCTTAACAGTATTCCACTGATTAGAAGCAAGTTACGGTCTCACCCTCACTAAGAGGAGAGGATTATGCAAGGGTGAATACCAGGAGATGAGGATAAGGGGAGGGGGGCATCTTAGAGTCCTTCTGCCACAGATGCCCATCAGAGTGGCTACACGTGGCCTCTCAACATGGCTTAGCTTCCTCACAACATGGCAGCCTCAGGGAAGTTGGATTCTTATAGAACAGCTCAGGGATCCAAGTATGAGCAATCTAATGAAAAAAGTGGAAGCAACATTGTCTTTTCCTAGACTTCCACAGTCTAGGAAGTTAATCCTTATCACTTCCACAGTGGTCTATGGGTTGAAGCAGTTGCAGGTCCATCCAAATTCAAGTGGAGGAGAATTAGATTGCAGCCCTTGAGGAAGAAAGACGAGGTTACATTGTAGGAGCATGTGGAATGGCTGATGTTGTCCCAGCTATCTTTGTTCTCTGCCAGTCAACTTTATGTGGACAATAAAAGGATGACACAATAAAAGGAAGTATGACCTGCTAAGGTTGACTATATAAATGATTACTCAAACAATGACACTATGGATAGTGAAAGGGGTGCTATTAGTAAATACGCTGAGACAATAGGCATAAACCAGAACTGGCCAGGGCAAACTAGGATGCCTGGTTAGCCTAGATCTGCCAATATTCTATCTGTTCCCACAGGCTGTGTGGGAGTAGTGTCACTTTATCAGGTGGACTTAGCTTGGGAATCCCAAGTGTTATCCAGCAGGGATAAGCACAGTGGTTCTTCACAACAGTGGGGCTAAGAGCACTGTGGAGAAGCCCATTATGAGAAGGAACATGCAGTCAGGAAGGTGACTGAGGAGGAATGCAAGACAAATACTTTTTCAGTTACAAGCAACAGAGTCTTTCCTTAAATTATTTTAACACAAGCAAAACAAAACAAAGCAAGCAAAAAGAATATGGATTGACTCACATAACTAAAAAGTTCAAAGGAACTACAGCTTCAGGTCTGGCTGGATCTAGGGGTTCTAACCATGTCATTGGGACTGTGTCTTCCCATAGCTGGGTCTGCTTTCCTCTGTGTCAGCTGAATTCAGGCAAGCTCTTTCCACATGGCACCGTTTGGCTCCCCTAAACTTAAACTATATCCTCACAGTCATCTCAAAGGAAAGGAAAACTTTCCATTCAAACTCTTAAATCTGGATCTCATTGGCTTGGCCTGTCATATGACCATCTTGCCAAGTCAATGGCATATATGAATGGCCTGGCCTGGGTCATTTGCTGATGGCACTCAGGGGTAGAGCAAGTCCACCCAGAACACATAGACTGAGCATGAGAGAAGGCTTTTTCTCTAAGAAAAATTGAGACACTGTCACCAGAACAGGGGGAATGGAGAACAGATGCCCTCTATAGCCCTCTTTCCCAATAAACTAAAAAAGAGGGTAACTTTCAAGGAGGAAGAGAGAAATCCACCTTTAGATAATAATTGCCCAGACGCTAGACCTGGCCAATTCTGGCATTTACTTCTCATGCCAGCACTAGGAAGTCAGTAAAATTAGTTGTCTCATCACCCTTTGACAGGTGCAGAAAATGCAGCATATTCGCAGAGGAAGAGGGTAGATGTATCAGTTATCTATTGCCACAATAACGCTGTGTAACAAACCACCTCCAAAACTCAGTTACAAAAAACAATAAGCATTTACTTAGCTCTTGAGTCTGTGGGTTGGAGATTTAATCTGGATAGTTCCTCTAGTCTCCTTTGAGCTCTCTCACTCTCTGGGGGTAGCTGGCTCTTGGTGAAGGGGTCACACATGTGGTGATCAGCTAGAATAACTCTGTTTCACTTTTCTCTCCTATTCTTCCAGCAGACTAGCTTGGGTATACAGTTGTCCCTGGGTATTCATGAAGAATTGGTTCCAGGACCTCCACAGAAAACAAAATCTACAGATGCTCAAGGCCCTTATATAAAATGTTGTCATATTTGCCTATAACCTATGCACATCCTCCTGTAAATTTTAAATCGTTTCCAGATTACTTACAATACCTAACACAATGTAATGCTATGTAAGTAGCTGTTATTCTATATTGTTTAGGGAATAATGACAAGAAAAAAATCTGTACGTGCCCCATACAGATGCAAACATCATAGGCCTAACTATATTTTCAATCCATGGTTGGTTGAATCTACAAATGTGGAACCCATGGATACGAGGCCAACTGTATTCTCACGGTGAAGGCATAAGTGCACGAGCAAGTGCAAATTCAGTTGCACAAGCACTTTTATTTTTATTTGGTTATTTTTTTGGAGATGGAGTCTCATGCTGTCGCCCAGGCTGGAGTGCAGTGGTGTGATCACAGCTCACTGCAGCCTCAAGCTCTCGGGCTAAAGTCATCTTTCCACCTCAGCCTCCTGAGTAGCCGGGACCACAGGTGTGCACCCCTATGCCTGGCTAATTTTTAATTTTTTTGTAGAGACAGGGTCTCACCCTGTTGCCCAGGCTGGTCTTGAACTCCTGGCCTCAAGCAATTCTCTTGCCTTGGTCTCTCAAAGTGTTGAGATTACAAGTGTGAGCCACTGTGCTTGACCTGCACAAGCACTTTTAAAGTCTCTTCTTATGTGAAATTGGCTAACATCCCACTGTCCAAAGTCACATGGCCAAACTGGGATTCAAGGAACGGGAAATAGAGTCTATGTTTTTAGTGAGAACTGCAAAGTCACATGACAAAAAGGGCTAGATTCCAGGAGGTGTGCAGAATCGGTGCCTTTAATGCAGTCAATTTCCCACAAAACAAAGAGGGTAGGGTAACTTCTTATGGCTCTTTAAGGTTGCTAAAGATAGATGTATGGATTTTGTTTCTCAACAGAGTTAGCATGAAATTCAGAAAGGATCAATCATCATTCTACCTCTTTTAAAGCAGCTTTTAAAAACAGGCTTTCTTTAGCCACTGTAGAAAATGTTATGGTGATTCCTCAAAAAATTAGAAATAGAATGACTGTAAGATCCCACAACTCAACTTCTGAGTATCTACCCAAAAGAATTGAAAGCAGAGAACTGAACAGATACTTATACATGAATATTCATAGCAACATTATTCACAATAGGTAAAAGGTAGAAGCAACCCAAGTATCCATCAATGGATGAATGGATAAATGACATGGGGTATAGCCATACAATGAAATATTATTCAGCCTTAAAAAGGAATGAAAGTCTGCCAGGCGCAGTGGCTCACGCCTGTAATCCCAGCACTTTGGGAGGCCGAGGCAGGTGGATCACGAAGTCAGGAGATCGAGACCATCCTGGCTAAAACGGTGAAACCCTGTCTCTACTAAAAATACAAAAAATTAGGTGGGCATGGTGGCAGGCGCCTGTAGTCCCAGCTACGCGGGAGGCTGAGGCAGAAGAATGGCGTGAACCCGGGAGGCGGAGCTTGCAGTGAGCCGAGATCATGCCACTGCACTCCAGCCTGGGTGACAGAGCGAGACTCCGTCTCAAAAAAAAAAAGGGAATGAAATTCTGATACACACTACAACATGAATGAATCTTTAAGATTCACTGTGCTAGTGAAATGAGCCAGATACAAAAGGACAAATATGGTGTGGTTCCCCTTATATGAGAGTGCTTAGAATAGTCAAATTCATAGAGTGATAGAAAGTAGTACAGTGGTTGCGAGGGGCAGGTAGGAGGAATGGGAAGTTAGTGTTTAATAGGTGTAGCATTTCCGTTTGGGATGATGAAAAATTATGAAGATGAATAGTGGTGATGGTTACACAACAGTGTGAATGCACTTTGTATCACTGAACTGTACACTTACAATGTTTAAAATGGTAAATTTTATGTATATATATTCTTGCACAATTTTTTTTTTTTATTTCGAGACAGAGTTCCGCTCTTGTTGCCCAAGCTGGAGTGCAGTGGCACGATCTCGGCTCACTGCAACCTCTGCCTCCCGGGTTCTCCTGCCTCAGCCTCCCTAGTAGCTGGGATGACAGGCGCCTGCCACCACACCCAGCTACTTTTTTGTATTTTTAGTAGAGACGGGGTTTCACCACATTGGCCAGGCGGGTCTCGAACTGCTGACCTCAGGTGATCTGCCCACCTCAACCTCCCAAAGTGTTGGGATTACAGGTGTGAGCCATCGTGCCCGGTCTCACAATTTTCTTTAAAGTTCCTTCTCTTGATGTTGCTATTCAAAGTTTTGGTTGCGCCAACAATCAATCAACTAATATTGTTTTGCTGCCTTACCTAATAATTGTAGAGAGCTGTGCTGGCCAGAAAGAAATCATTTGCTTAGTCCCTTTCTTCAATGACCTCACAGTTAAGTTGGGAAAATGGAATGTTAAAATAGAATAGCAAGGCCCAAAGAGTTTAAGAACCAATAACACAAGGCAAGGTGGTAACCACACCAAGTGATGGGCCAGTGACTACCACAGAACCTGAGAGGCAGGGAGCTTTTAAAATTTCAAATATCCAGATTCCGCCTGGATCAGAATCTTGAGATTGAAGAGAAGCTGGAAAACTTGTACTTTTCAAAAGCTCCCAGGAAATTCAGATGCCTAGCCAGGGTTAGAGAATCCCTCTAAACTATACACAACAAAGTTAATTTTACGGGGGGAAAAACCTGTTTGAAGAATTACAGCTTACTGGGAACACTGGAAATTGCAAAACTTAAAATAACTTTTACCTGGTAGAAATAAGCAACAGAAAATAAAACACAAAGACTAACACTGCGTCCAGTAAATATTGACTAAACATGGATGGGAAGACCCTACATCTGCATGACAAAATTGAGATCATAAAATTTGCCTAGGAAAATTGGACCTCATGGGAATAACAGCTACAAAAGAACATATTCATGTTACGAAGAAAGATAATCAGCAAATTTTGATGTTGACAAGCCACTGATCAATGAATCAAATTTTTTTCCGTTGAATATACAATGAAAAGATTCCATTCCAATGAAAATAGTTTCAGTGTAGGCTTCTAGCTTTTTCAAACATATTAAATATTTCACTTTTGTTAACTTGTTATTTTGAAATAATTTCAAAATTATAGAACAGTTGCAAGAATAGGACAAAGACCTTTTGCATACCCTTTGTTCAAATTTGCCAATTCATATTCAGTCACATATAATTGCTTTATCTTATATATATAATATATGTATGCATACAGACATATACATATGTATATATATTTTTCGAGAGTTGCAGATAATCATGTGCCTTTCCATCAAAAGTGTGTACTTTCTAAGAGTGAGAAGATTTTACACAACCAGAAAATGATGATCAATCCAGAAATTTAAAATGAATACATACTATTCTCTAATATACAACTATATTCAAATTTCACCAATTGTCCCCAAAATGTCCTTTATAGTAATTTTTTTCCCACTCTGATCCAGGAGCCAAAAAAAAAAAATGGTTCAAGATCACTTTTTGCATTTAGTTGTCATACTTATCTCTTTAGTCTCCTTTAATTTGAAACAGTTCCTTGGTCTTTCTTTGTCTTTCATAACATTGACATTTTTGCAGAATACAGGCCAGTTGTTCTGTAGAATGTCCCTTGATCTGGATTTGTCTGATGTTTCCTCATGATTAGATTTGGGTTATGCATTTTTGGCAGGAATTCTGTGTAAGCACTGTTGGTTGTCGGTGCATCCCATCAAGAGTCACATGCTGGCAGTTTGTCCAATTACTGGTGAAAGAAACATTCCATTTTACTTTTCTATGCCTCACTCCCCTCATCTGCTAATGGAGATAACTGAGGGACATAGTTGGATGGCTTCATGGCTGAGCTGTCATTCCAGACATGCCCCGCCCACTGGATAGTTTTGCAGATGGAAGCCGTTGAGATCATCATCATCATTAATATCATCATCTCGACTATCTAGGATACCTACTGTGTGCTGACATTATTGCTTTTTCTAACCCTCATGTAAAACATGCACGTCTGTGTTATCATCCCCATTTAACAGTTAAGGAAACTGGGGCTCAGAGACAGTGGTGTGATGTGCTCAGGAAAACACGGCTGGAAAGGGACTCAACTGGGATTGGAACCCAGTTGGGTCTGAGTCCAGACAGAGCCTGAGCCCTGTACTATGACACATTGTAATTGCATTCACAAGTGTGTTTCTCAGCAGAAAGGATGGATTATTAAAGCCTCCTTTGGGAGCACCAGATGGTGAAGGAGGAAACGAGGTGGACAAGCTCTTGCCATCTTTATTCCTTTTCTTTTTTTCTCATGGCCTGGGCCCATCTCCATTCTGAGATCCAGCTGAATTAAAATCAGGACTACTGCCATAGTGGGGGGCACTGCCAACTGGATTTGGGGAAGCTGCCTTCAAAGCTGACTTTGCTCCATTCTCGGCTGTCTAGCCCTGCTCAAATGAGGTGACTCCACCCTCATCCCATCCCGGAGCCTGAGTTTCCTTATACATGTTGAGGTCGATACGGGCTGGAAATGGTAATCATAATTGCCATGCATTGAGTGCATAACATGAATTAAGGCTTTAAATAACTCTGTGGTGTTACGTACCTTATTTTGCCCAATTTTACAGATGAGAAAAACTGAGGTTTTTATAGTGGCTAATGTTACAATCTGCACAGGTCTAAGTGCAGAGACTAGATGAGATCTTTACTAGGATGCCAGGCTTTCTCTAGGCTTCATGGGCTGGCAGGTTCCATGGAACAGGTTTATGAAACATAAGGAGCATTTATTGTTGACTCCTGGGACAGGCTACATAGATTTTTGCCTCAATGCTGATTCTTTATCTGGGCGATCACTTTGATCTCTTTCTTTCTTTTTTTGGAGACAGAGTCTCGCTCTGTCGCCAGGCTGGAGTGCAGTGGCACGATCTCGGCTCACTGCAACCTCCGCCTCCCGGGTTCAAGCAATTCTCCTGCCTCACCCTCCCGAGTAGCTGGGACTACAGGCGAGCGCCACCATGCGCAGCTAATTTTTGTACTTTTAGTAGAGATGGGGTTTCACCATGTTGGCCAGAATGGTCTCGATCTCTTGACCTCATGATCCGCCCGCCTCGGCCTCCCAAAGTGCTAGGATTACAGGCTTGAGCCACCGCATCCAGCCTGATCTCTTTCTTTCTATTTGCCAGTATCTTGTCCTGGATCTTCTTTCTCTCCGTTTTCGCTCCTGGACTCACCTCCCTGGGGGACTGCCAAGGCCTAAGGTACCTGCTTCTCTGGAGACTTCACCATGACCTGCAAGGTCCCTCCTTGAGGAAGTACGTTGCTGCTGGTTGATCCCAACTCCTTCCCAACTTCTCCCTGTGCGGGGATGGGGAGGTAGAGGAATGGAAGAAAAGAAGAAAATTCCAGAGCAAAAGTTGGAATTTTGTACCGGATCAAGACACTTGAGCCTTAAAATGGGGGTGACTGTCCCTTCTCTGCCCACTTTGGAGAAATAGTCAATCAAACGAGAAAATGCTGCCAACTTGTTTGATAAATTGCTAAGGAATTTTCTAAGACCAGATCGTGTGATTTCTTCCCCCCCCTTTGTGTAGAGACTTGAAAGCCCAAGTCACCCTGGCTGGGCTGTTACAAGAGAGCATTTCCCTTGTTTTTTAGGCTTAAGGAAAAGTAACTCAGCTTGAGGAAGAAAACACCATTTCATGAAGTCTTAGCCTTCATTCTTTTCCATGCCCTTTTGAGCCGACTGTTTCTCTATAAAGGCAACTTCTCCACCAAGACCTACCCAGCAGATCTTAGCCAAGCCCCCAGGTTCTGTCTGGGACCCAAAGGCTTCTGCTGAGGCAACTCCCACCACCTGCTTGTGACGCAAGTTTGACATCTGCCCATCACCTACTAGAAAAAGCCTCAGCATCTTAACTTCCTGGGTTTTCCAAATGTTGCCAGACTCTAGCACAAAGAAATGCAACTTTGGTGTATCTCCACATCACGTCCTCAGTCTCAGCGAACCCTCACCAGTCCTCCAAGAGGAACATTGGAAGGTTCTGCTCAGCCCCCCACGTCCCTTCTCTCAAGGCTGGGTCTCAAGAGGCTCTATGTGTTTTGTGACCCTGCCATCTTTGGCCATAGAGGATCAGCTCCTGGTGGCACCTAAGCCAAGCTTGACTCACTCCATTCTCTATTCTGAGTTTGGATTGAGCGCAGAGACTCCAGTCAGTACTTGCTGCACTGAGAGGATGGTATGCTGACCATTTTGACTTCGTGTCCAGGGAAGCAGAGACGACCCCTAACCCGGAGAGAGAGTGGGAAGGAGGGAGAAGTTAGGACTGAGATGTCAAGAGATCTGTGGCCCAGAGTGATGGAGAGAGAAAGCCCAGGTCCTGAAACTTTTCTAGTTCCTGGCTCTGAATCCCCTTGAGGCTTTGTTTCATTTCCTGCCCTTGGATACCATGATCCACCTTCTAATTTTCCATTTTTTGTCTGTTTAGCGTGATTTCTTTTCTATTGGTTACAACTGAAAGCGTATTGATAAGACTGGTAGGTTTTAGAATCCCCATTTTTCAAAGACAGACACTAAAGCTCAGAGATGAAGCCCTGAGGCCAGGATCACCCGGGTAGTGAGGGCACCGGAAATTCCACCTGCCGACGTGTGCGCTTTCTCTACACGAGACACTTTCTTTTTTTTTTTTGAGACAGAGTCTCGCTCTGTCGCCCAGGCTGGAGTGTAGTGGCGCGATCTCGGCTCACTGCAAGCTCCGCCTCCCGGGTTCACGCCATTCTCCTGCCTCATCCTCCCAAGTAGCTGGGACTACAGGCACCCGGCTAATTTTTTTATATTTTTAGTAGAGACGGGGTTTCACCGTGTTAGCCAGGATGGTCTTGATCTCCTGACCTCGCTACACAATACACTTTCTAAGGACTTCACACATTACATCATTTAATCCTCAGGGCACCCCATGAGGTAGATAAAACTGTTAGCATCATTTTATTTATTTTACTTTATTTTATTTCTTTTTATTTTATTTTATTTTATTTTATTTTATTTTATTTTTTGAGATGGAGTCTCGCTCTGTCGCCCAGGCTGGAGCACAGTGGCTTGATCTTGGCTCACTGCAACCTCCGCCTCCCGGGTTCAAGCGATTCTCTTGCCTCAGCCTCCTGAGTAGCTGGGACTACAGGCGTGTGCCACCACACCTGGCTAATTTTTGTATTTTTAGTAGAAATGGGGTTTCACCGTGTTAGCCAGGATGGTATCAATCTCCGGACCTTGTGATCCACCCGCCCTGGCCTCCCAAAGTGCTGGGGTTACAGGCGTGAGCCACCGAGCCTGGCCTATCATTTTAAAGATGAAGAAGTGGGGGCAAGAAGTTGAGCCATCTGCTGGAGACCACACCGCAGGGGAAGAGGACCAGAGCCAGTGAACCTGGGAACTGACGCCAGAGGCTGGGCTCATAAAATGATGTAGTAATGCTAGTCCTGGAGGCAGTGGGCTAGGCATGGAAGGAGTAAAAAGTTTCCAGAATTTGATAAACTCAGGCACGCCGAGTTGAACCACAGACCCTCAGAAGATGGGAGAGCCTGTGGGTGTCCCTCCCGGACCACGCTTCCACCGATGTGAGCATCTGTTCTTCCACACCCCTGACCAACAGTCATTTTTCCAACGCTGTATCACAGAGCCTGCTCCATCATAGAGCAGGTCTGGTCTTGTCCCCTGGGCGATCACAAAATATGTTGGCTCCTCCACCCACACACCCTCCCCCTTGAAGCTCTGCCCAGAGCTCGCCTGGTGTTTGTAGGGGTCCTCCCCTTCTCTTGGCTTCCCCACACTGGTCACAGTGTCATTGCTCTCGAAAGTGAGGGGGCTAAGATATGACCACAGTGCACCTGATGGGACCATAGCCACCTCATACAGTACCTAGCCACTTTCTTGGGCAGGTCCTCAGGACACTCCAAAAGTTCCACAAGGTGAGTATGCCCTCAGTTAATTCCTGAATGGAGACAAACCACAGCTCTGAGTGATTGCATAGTTTCTGCTGTGGTTTGGGAAATATGTGGGTTCATTTATAAGCTGGATTTTGTCAGGAAGACTTCAAGCTCAGCCATTGTCCCCTGAGGATACCCTTCATGGCCCATCTGATACAGAATGAAGAAAGGAAGCACTCTTCAAGGCCGAGACCCCTGGGGAGGAGATGCCTCTATGGTCGAGATGTGCTGATAGAAGGCCCAGCTCCTGGGACCCATGGGTGGCGAAGAAACGGAAAGGGCTTGCAGTGATTCTAGAAAAAGAAGGCTGAGAAGGACCATGAGCTTTTATAGGCCAGAGGTGCCTGAAGACAGGCTGTGGATTATTTCAGGTTGGTGGTCACTGATGCTCTTGAGTGAAAGCCACAGATTTTCTCCCCCAAAATGCACATACAGACATACATTTGGTTAAGGAGTAGTTCTTGGTTCCCCAAACCAATGCAAAGTCCCCATTTAAGAATCCCTGCTCTAGAGAGAAACTTCCATCTAATTAAGACCCTCCTGGAATCTTCGCTGACCCACGCCCGGGCTGGGTAGGACCCTTCCTTGAGCTGCACTGAGCACCTCACTGTTGGCACTGTACTGCAAAGGTTTGAAGAAGGTGGCCCTTAAACCAGCAACATCAGCATCACCTGGAAACGCATTAGAAATGCAAACTCTTGGTGCCTAACCTAGACCAAATGAATTCAAAACTCTGGGGTGGGCTCAGCAATCTGAATAGGCTCTCCTGCTGATTCCAAGGATCACTTGCATTTGAGAAGAGCTGCTGCAAATAGTTCTCCTCTTCATGGTGTGTGTCTGTCCTACTAGATACAAGGCACCTGGCACATAGTAAGTGCTCAAATGAATAATTATCGTATCAAGTTTTCCCGACTCCCAGGGCAGGAGTTTTTCCTTGGTACCATACAGCTTTCAGCTGTGGTGACTGAGACCCCATGTCATTTTGGATCTAGTTTCTACTCTAAGGCCTAAGATCAGGCTTGGCTCTACTAGGCAGAGGCGGGGACCCGGCCTTGAGGCAGGTGCCCAGAAACCTTCACACAAGGATCGAGCCAGACAGACATCAAATCTGGGAGCATCTTTCCAGGTAACAAGGCCCCAACCACCTGGTGGATGAGGGGCAGGTGGACTAGGGGCTGCCTGCCCAGCACATATGCTCAGGGCTCACAGGACCCAACTCTGCCATGCTCTGCAAGCTGCCCCTACTCACCTTGGTGCCTGCTGCACACCAGCCTGGGCAGAGGCTGCCAAACCTCTGGCAGGGACATACTTACCAGGTTGGTGGGGAGAAAAATGGCCACTTTCAATTTCAATTTTTAAGGAATCTCCAACTTTTAGGGGTCTGGGAGGAAGTGGTTAGAAGACTCCTCTTTTTTTTTTTTTTTTGAGACGGAGTCCCACTCTGTCACCCAGGCTGGAGTGCAATGGCGTGGTCTCGGCTCACTGCAACCTCCGCCTCCCGGGTTCAAGCAATTCTCCTGCCTCAGCCTCCTGAGTACCTGGGACTACTGGCTGGTGTGTGCCACCACACCTGGCTAATTTTTGTATATTTAGTGGAGAAGGGGTTCACTATGTTGGCCAGGCTGGTCTCCAATTCCTGACCTCGTGATCTACCCGCCTTGGCCTCCCAAAAGGATTATTTGCGTGAGCCACCACTCCCGGCCAGAAGACTCCTTTTAACGTCTTGTGTTATGAGTGTTTGTTAAGGGGGGCAAGAGTTGTGTTTCTTAATTTCATGTCTCCCATATAGGGCTAAACTCCCAATTTAACTTATTAGGGAAAGGAGGTGTCTTCTACACAGTGCCTCCGTTTCCTAAAATTTTAAAAATAACTTTTTTGAGGATTGTAGGGAAAACATTTCTGTAACCTTTCCTGTCTCATATTGCTCCAGTTCTTTAAACATTACAAAAAAGAACATTTGATTTTTGAAGGTGGGGGCAGAGAGAAGATACCTGGTTACTCTTAATTTCCAATGCTTTTATTTTTGAAAAGTACCCTTGCAGTTTTCTTTTGGGGAGGGGCAAAGAAGGATTTCTGTTCACCTTGCATCTCATAGAAGAGCAATTCTTAACATTTTTATTCCAAAAATCAACCAGTTGTGGGAGATGTAGGATGGATCCAGTAATCCCTCCTTGTCTCTATAATAGGGCAGGTCCTTCATACTTTCAATTTTTAAAAAATCGGATTTTTTAGGAGAATAGGGAAGAGAATAGAAAAAAAAATCCCTTTTAAACTTTCCCAAGTCACAAGGAGGCAGTTGCTCAAGTTAAAAAAAAAAAAACAACAATAACAACAACAAAAAAACTGGCTATTTTGGGGTGTTGGAAAGAAATATCCTGGTTCACGTTTTATTTCACATGCAAGTTTCTCAAATTTTCCTTCTCTAAATCAACCTAACTGGGGGATATGGGGGTGGGGGGCGCTAATATCCCTTAACCTTTAACCCCTCTTGTCTTACTGTAGGACCAGTTTTTCAAACTTTTATTTAGAAATACATATATATATTTTAATTTGGCAAGGATAGGCAGAAACAGCCGCTTCACTGGCATTTCACATAAAAGCGGCTCCTCAAGTATTTATTTTAAAAATCAGTCTGGCTGGGGGGCTAGAGTCCCCTTAACCACTCTTGTCGGACATGGGGCCAGTCCTTCAAACTTTTATTTTATTACATTAGTTTTTTTGGGAGGAGTGGCAGGGCAATAGAATATTCCCAATAAGCCTTCCAGTCTTCCAGCAAGCCAGCTCTTGAAAACTTTTATTTCAAAAATCAATCTGGTTTTTTTTTGGCGGGGGGGTACAGCGGGGTACAGAGTTCCCATTAACCTCTTGCGTTCCGCCGAGAGCCGGCTCCCTGAACTTTTTTTCCAGCGTGAAAATGACATTTCCGAGGGGCTGGGGGACTGGGGGAGGGCAGAAGGGAGCCGGGGAGCGGGCGCGGGGGGCGCGGGGAGGGCAGGGCGCGGCGCGGGAAAGTTTGGGGGGGCGGGTGTGCCGCGGCACTGGGGCTGGCGGACGGGAGGGCGGGCGCGCCCCTGGACCGGCCGGCTTTGTGTGCCACGCGGAGGCCGGCAGCGCGGAGGCCGAGGCCGAGGCCCCGAGCTCGCGGGCCGCACGGCGAGGCCGGCCCGGGGGCGGGCAGGGCGGCGGGGGGCGGCGGCGGCCCCGCGAGGGGCGGCTCGGCGGCAGCGGCTGCCGCGGCGCGGCCGGTGCGGGCCGGGGGTGGGGGCGAGGGCCGGCGCCCCCCCCGCGCGCCCCCAGCGCCCCCGCCCCCCCGGCCTGAGCGGGGCGGGCGGAGGAGGGAGCGGCGGCGGCGGCGGCGGCGGCGGCGGCGGCATTGTGCGCGCACCAGCAGCCCGGCCCGGGAGGAGCAGGACGCGCCGGGGCCGCCTCCTCCCGCACGGACCCATGAACCAGCCGGGCGGCGCGGCGGCTCCGCAGGTACGACGGGGGGCCGGGGGCATGCACCGCGCGGGGGACCCCGGGGGGCCGGGGCCCGGGGCGCTGCGCCACTTCATTGCAAGATTTGCAAAATGCAAAGTGCCTGGGCACGTTTGCGGGCTTTTTGTGGGCGCAATCGGGAGGGTCGGGGTCCGGAGAGCACCCCCCCGGGCGCTGCGGGGTGCGAGGAGGGTGGGGGTGACGAGGGGGTCTTTTGGGGCCCCCACCCAGCGCCCCCTCCGGCCCCGGGCTCGGACCGGAGCCCAGAAAACAAAGCGGCGAGAGAACAGAGCAGCCATTTCAGTTTGGACAATTCACATTTTGCAAAAATGCAACCCCTTCCAGCTCTGCCCCCTCCCCCCCAAATTTGCAATTTTCCCCTGACCCTCTCTGCGCTCGGGGTCCCCGATGACCCCCCGGGAGGTCTTTCCCCCCAGGTCCCCCATTTTTGCAACAATCTTTTTTTTTAGGCCATATTTTCCTTTCTCAATTTTTTTTTTCTAATTTTTCTTCAAACGGTAGTTTTTTCCCATTAAAACGACGCCACCTAGAGGATACTATTTTGTAAATAAAAAAGAAATTAAAATTGAAAAGAAATATTTTTTATTTCTTATTTTTTCAAAAGTTTGCACTACCAGGCAGTGGAGGGGTAAGAGATTCTTTTTTTTTCTTTTTTCGGGTGAAAATTTTCACTTTGATCTTTCCAGAAGCATGGAGACAATTTTTATTTCTGAAGCCAAATCCAGATAATATGTAAATGAAAATTAAGCTGGAATTTGAATGAATTTAGTTCTTGGAGGGGAGAAAGCAAAAAACCTCCTAAAAGCAAAGTCAGTTTGGGTACCCAACTCATTTTAGTTTGAGAAAAAAACTAATTGGAATAAAGAAAGGAGGGAAATTGTTGAGTTTAGGGAAAACTGAGAGAATTGGCTTTATGAAGCAATTAGAAATTGTACTTCATTGTAATTTGGAACTTGTTTAGCTCAGCGGGCAAAAAAAGACTAATTTCTCTATATGGCAATATTTAAAGTTTTTCTATTTCCACGAACGAAGGATTTAAAAGAGAAAATAGAACCTAAAATGTTGGCTTTGGACACACCCAAAAATTGTAGTTTTTTTTTTTTAATTTTGCATTTACATTTTACTGCATTTAAATCCTAAGATTCTAAAGAAAACAGAAACTAGAAAAGTTACAGTGAAATCCTTTCTTTCTTTTTTTCTGTATTTGTTGGGTTTTGTGTGTGTGTGTGTTTTTTTTGTTTTGATGGAATAATTAAGACTGTTTTCTGATTTTGTTTCCTGAAAGGTCTAGGCATTTCTTTTTTGTTGTTGTTTTATCCAGAAAATGTCAGGAACCTTTTTTGAGCAATATTAAGTGGAAAAAATGTAAATTCATACATTATACAAATTGAGTAGCCCACAGATTTGTAGGAGAGACCGCCATTAAAATAAGATATGCATAATTAACATTATTATGAAAAAACTAACAGTGGATTCACAGAAGCTCATTTTTTATGACATGCAACTGAATCAATTGATGAAGACAAGGATTGAGGAATCCTTGGTAAGGAAGAAAATTTTCCCTTTTCTGTCTTGTTCACCCTTCCAATTTGAAAAATTTATTACTTAAAAAAAATTTAGATTGGTTTCAGGCCTCTTTGATTGTGATGTGGGGTTGGTAGTTTATCAATATTTGTTATTTTTCAAAAACCTGATTACTTTCAAAGGGGGAAAAATCCATTAGCCTTGATCATTTTGGGGGGTTTGTGACCAAAAAAAAAAAATGCACAAATTTTACTGACTTAACAAGAAAAAGATAAAAGAGGGATGGGCAAAAAGGAGATGAAAATTCTGATTCTTATCCATCTTCCTTGGTAGAACACTTACTTTGCTGAAGAAATGTGATATAACACCAACTCAGCTGGTTTTAGCAGCAACAAAATAAAGGAAAAATAATCAAAATACAAACAAAAGCCAAACCCAAGGTTTGCCTTTGGAATATGAAAGCATATATGCAAACAATATTTCATGTGGAGGTTTTGGCCTTAAAATGAATCACATGAAGGTGAAACAAAAAAGAAAAAAAAATTTAAGAAGGCAAATAAATATTGACCGAATTGAAATTTGACAGATGAGAATAAAGTACCCACCCAAAGATGAAGCGTTTTGTGATAAATTAGTATCTAATTGAACTTGCTGGGGATTTTGAGCCTATCCCCCAAAAGTTACAATTTTTCTGTCCAAAAACAGCATATTGTTAGGACTTGCAGGGCGGGATCTTGGAGGGACCTTGGATTGGAAATTGATGGTGGGTCACCTGGGGCAAGAAAGGAAACCCTTTGCTCCTTTTGCCAGCCACTAGCTGGTCTTGGGAAAACTGGTGGCCCCAGTCCATAGATTCCCAACCCTGTTTTGTGGAAATTTGGATGTTTAAGTGGAATAAGTCAAATATATTATCTCTGTGAAATATATTTGACAATGGCAGAGGTTTGACATTTCCCATCATCGCCATTGCATTTGGGAGATTTTATTTTTTTAGTAACGAAATCCTTCAGGGCTGACTGGTCACATTCTGACATATTTGGAATGAGCTTTTTTTTTTTTAAGTAGCATAATTAAAAAAATTTTTTTCTGTTGAATTATTTAGGCCGATGAGTAGGACGGTCAAGGAATTTATAATTTCCAAGGGGCTTTGGAGGCCTCATGAGGCAGAAGGCCTGAGTTTAGCAGTGATGAAGGAGAGATGGGCTGGGGAGGGGTGGAGGGGGGTAGGGGCATCTGAGAAAAAGTCAGGGTTGTAGATAACAGGTTATTTCTGGTGCAAGGAATAAAAATATTGCAGCACGTCCCTTTGTGTGGCCTGGATCTCCTGACACACAATTCAGCTTCCTTCATTCCATTCTGCTGAAATTTTGTTCTGTTGTCTATGGCTAGAAGTTGAAAATCATTTCTGGTTTTGTAGAACTGTTTTTTTTTTTTTTCTGTTTTTTTTTTTTTTTTAAATTGGTTATTCTGATCATGTTTGTTGTAAAGGAAGTAGAGGTGCATGATGGTTCTATTGGGGGCGGGGCCAGTTTTCTTTTGTTTCTATTGGTGTCTCTCTCTGGATTGAGATCTGACCTTGGCCTTGGCTCTCTCACCTCCTATTTTAGGTGGACGTGTGACCAGAAATGGACATGTGAGCTAATTTTTATTAGCTCCTGTCTGTTCACCACATTCTCGTAGATTATTGGGCAAAATATCTGGCAAATTGGACTTGGGGGTGGTAATTTGATGATGGGCTGAATTATTTTGGCGAAAGATCGTTTATATTCAGTTTCACAGTGGAGACTCTTATTACTTAATGTTTTGCTTTTCTGCCTAAGGAGGTTTTTTTTTTTTTTTAATTTTTTCTAACAAGGTTTGAAATTTCAAGGGCCTGCTTTATAGTTTGACTTTGGAGCAAGCTAGGAAAAGAGGTTTGCTTATACTTCCAGCTCTGCACAGAGGTGAACTTGAACAAGGGTTCTTGCTTTTGCAGAACGAAAGCAACAAAGATGGCTGGTCAGTATAAGGCTGACCTCTCCCTCGTCCTAGAAAATAAACAGCCAATGGCTTGTTTCACTTGAGAAACTGGGTTTTAAAACTCCTCCAGTGTCAGATACAATATTTTTCTCACTTTTGACTCAGCTCTTGGCATGCTGCTTCCTCTGACCTCAGAATCCTTACGTCTTCTCCTTGGTGGGTGATAAGAACTTCCTTGCCATATATGACTGATGTATATAAGCCGACTTCTCATGGTCATGAGGAAATTTTGAATTTTTTCCATGTTCTTGTGATGTTTTGGGTCAGTTGTACCTTCTTTCTGGTGATGTAAAATGAAGTGGCTCTTTTCAGGAGCCCTAGCCCCCACAAGGTCTTGCTGTGTGACCTTGGACAAATCACTTTTTCCTTCAGAGCCTCAATTTTTGCATTTATAAAATGAACACTTGGGATCAGATCAAGGATAATAATAAATAGGTTTCATTTCTGATTGTAACTCCAAGGAATTGGTTATGGCTGCCTGGATCACTGTGTTGAGAAGGATTCTGAGGCCATATCCCGACTCCCATATTCTAGAGAGAGGGGTGCAGTGGCCAAACAGCATTGTAAATCAGAGTGGAGAGTGTACCTCTTAGTTACCATTCCCAGGCGAGACCTTGAATCATGGGCCATTAGTGGCCTGTGAAGTCAATTTAGTGAATCACAATCAGAATTTTTTAAAAACAAGAATAGACTAGAATATAGGGGAACAAAAAATAGCAGAGGCATACCACAGGGTACAGGTGAGTATCCTCTCATGAAACTTGTATTTATATTTGTGGATGTATGTGTGTGATTTGAAATAGATTTCCTCCTGTGGGTCACGGCCAAAAGAGTTTGAAAGGTACTGGACTAGCTGAACCGCCATGATGTGCTGCAGGTATACTGCACTTTATTGCTTATACTTTATTTTTGCATTTATTATCTCAATTAACTTTTAGGTGAACCCTGTGGGTTAGGTGTCCTGTGCCACATATTTTGAGCCCTGGTTGAGCCCACTTCAAGGGCCACATATGAAGAAAGCTCAGCCACATGGGCAGCCCAGGCACATACCCCAGCTTGTTGGCCTTGGATGAGTCTGGAAGGACATATGGAAAGGCAGATACAAGTTTGAAGGCAGCGTCTTTGCAAGGTCTTCTTGCTGGAGAGGAGATCTAAAGTGTGTGGAGTCCTTGTCTTTTGTTCCCCACTTTTAGTTTAAATTGCCAGAGAAATTTTTCTGGAGTTAGAGAGTCTGTGTTTGTGCTATATTTAATTTAATCAGACAAAAACACAGTCTGTATTTTTGTGTGTGTGCACTTCCTTAAAAATCCCAGAATTTCTGTCTTAGTCTCCTCATCTTTTAAATGTGTCAGGTCAGCGCTAATAGAAATATAATTCAAGCCCCCGTTGCGAGCCACATATATAATTTTTAATTTTCTCACAGTGTATTAAGGAAAGTAAAAGAAACGGGTGCCATTGATTTTAACATATTTAACTCAGTATATCCATAATACTATCCTTTCATCAAGCCATCCATATGAAAATTATTAATGTGACAAGTTACAGTCTTTTGCGGGGGTGCTATTGAGTCTTTGAAATCTAATGTATTTTACTCCTACAGTACATCTCAATTCTGACCAGCCACATTTCACCTGTTCAGCAGCCACATGTGGCTGGTGGCTACTATATTGGACAGCTCAGGTTTGGACCAGTTGTCGTCATCACTGGCTGGCCCCAGAAGGGTAGCAACACCTTTCAGACCTCTTGGTTTTGTTGGTGAGACTTCCTATCAGAATCTCACATGCTCTGAGGCATTTCAGCCTGTAGTGATGATGAGTTCCATCCATATAGCTCTCCTGGCTAGAGTAGCCCACATTTCCCTTTTATTTGTCCCAACGCAGACTTCTGCCAGGGTTAGGCCACTGTGCTGTAGTTAAAAATGACAAATGATGGCTAGTAACTCCGGGATGATGTGTTGCAGCCTGTGAGCTGTTGAAGTCAAGGAGTGTGAGTCCGGGAGGCTGTTGCTTTTTGAAGTGCATTTTAAATAAAGTGTTGCCAGAGAGAAGGATGAAGTTGCAAAAAGGCAGCAGGTGGCCAGGACCAGGGCTGGGGTCTGAGGAGAGGAAGGAGATCAGAGGTAAAAGATGGCCTGGCAATGAAATCTATTTCTGAGCCAAAAACATGGCATCAGCAGGAAATCCCCCCAGGCCAGGCCTTAGGTCAGATGCATAGAGATTTTCCGAATCCACCCCAATTGGGAAAATGGAAAGCTGGGTTTGAGGTCTGCCAGACCAGAGTTTGAAATCCAGCCTCATGGTGTGGTTAGCTTTGTGTGACTTCGGGAAAGTCACTCTGGTTCTGGAACCACAGCTTCTACATCTGGGAAAAGAGGGTTAATGATCCCAGCCTTGCAGGGTTGTTTTAGGATTAAATGAAGGGGTCACATGTGGAGACTCTCAGCCGGTCTGAGGGCCTGAGTAGGTGGTCGACGCATGTGAGTTGACTCAACCCAGTGGCCAGGGATTCTCCATTTGGGGAGATTAAGTCCCACTGACAACACTTGGGGTAGTCCTGGAAACCTGGTGGCTTATCGTTAGCAGGCAAAGTTAGGCGACAAGTGAGAATGTACACTCTTGGCTGTTGCTTTAAAACAGCCTGCCATCCATGAGACTTTCTTGTTAAAGCATTCTGGATGCTTTCATTCCGGGGCTGCTCTAGCTCCTTGGAATGTTTCTGGATTTGTTTCTGAGCCTGTGGCAAGGCTTTAAAAGGGATACATCTCAATCGCGGGTGGACCTGTATGTCTTTGAGCTTCTGCTCATGCTGGGGCCCTTGCCTCTGGTGCCCCTTCCCTCATTCATATCTGCTTCGTGAGAAACCAGACCCTCCTCGAGATCAGCTGCACTTCTTCTTCTGTAGAGCTCCCCCAACAAATTTCCCCAGGTAGGCTTCCTCTCCCTCTGCCCCCATGGTACCTCCCAAACAATGTGGACCCACAGGTCAGAGTTGGTTGTTTGCATTTCTGCTTCTCCAGCCAACTTGTAACATCTGTGAGGGTAGAGATCACCGGTTATTCATTTTAGGGTCTGGCGCAGAGCAGCAGCTCCATAAATATTTGATGACTTCATTTGATTTTTGGAAATAGCTCAGATCAGTGGGCTTTGGGTCTAGTGAAGAGTGGATGACCAATTTGGGCTTGGCCATTTGGTCAAAGCCAATGTTTTATTAGGGAGCCCGAGGCACATTTTCTTACAGCTGGCTCTGAAGCCATGGCTCCCCTGGAATAATAAGTCCAACAGGGATCCTTAGTTGGGGAAATGCTCCTTTACATGTCTTGGGGGATTTTTAAAATGTTCGTCTGATGACTTTCACCCCTGCCCTCCTCACTCCTTTTGTATAAAGTATTTCTTTAAAGTGGATGGGGGACCCCCAGATGCCTGATTTGCAGGTATGGTGAATGGGGCATAGCAGTGCCCTGTATTTATGCCTGGTCTTCTTAGCCAGGTGTCCTGGAACTGAACACCAGGGGCCTGTTTGCAGAATATCCAGGCACACGGGCTCCTTCAACTTGAAGCACCTAAATGTGTGATGTGACCCCATTTTTGGTTGAATTTTGGTTTGCAGATGTCAAAGATTCAAGGAAAATTTATGGGAGAAAACAGAACCTTCTGTTTCTTGGCTTAGTTTTTTTCAGCACGTTTTATAAAATGCTGTCATTTTTAACACTTTGTGGCCAATTTCAGCAAGCAAGCATAGAATCCTAAGTTAAGGTAGACATCGATCCTCAGTGTTCATATTCCCACGTTTCCATATTTCTGAAATCAGGATGCCCCTTACAGTAGATTTGTTCTTCTAGTGAACTTTTTCTCCCTCTTATTTCTTCTCCAAAAGCTGTTATAAAATCGATGGTGCATCTATCAGTTGAAAGCATCTTGGGATTGAGTGTTGTTGTCCTCCTGGTGGGGAGGACTATGACCTGTGGGGGCTCCATGCTCTGTTTACCTCACTTTTCTCTGGGCTTGGCCCCCCCCCCCCCCCCCCCCGCCCTGTACAGTGAAGGCAGGACTTCACCTTGGGAAGAAACATCTGGAACTCTGACTTAGTCCTACTTTCCTGCCATGTCTGTGTGTAGGTTTTGTAATTTTGCTGTGGCCTCTCTAAAAGGGGCAAGTAGCCCGTGGGAGGGAGGTGAAGTCCTGTAAATGGGGGAGGGGGGTCTCTTCAGTACAGCCACATGCATGAGCTGGCCCGACAACAGCGGAGCACCAGTTTGACATTTCCAAGGGTAGAATGAGCAGAGCATAGTCGGAGAGCCAAGGCACGGCTCCCCTCTCTGCTCCACCAGTTAATCATTTTGTGGTGTTTGCCAAAGTACTTCATTTCCTTGCACCGTATTTTCCTTACCTGTAAAGGTGAGATGATAATATATTGATGATGATGATTGAAGATGATGATGCATAGGGTTCTTGTGAAAGTTGTGAGAGATGTAAGAAAAAAGTTTTGTAAAGGGCAAAGTTCTTTTCACTTGCAGCATGTTATTTGTGCATCATCTAGTCCAAGGATGGTAAATAAGTAGCATACATGCTGCCATTCCCCATCCTCTAGCCTGTGGCAGACATCACTAATTGACCATGGTAGTCCTTTCCATTGAGTATGGCCAGCGGCCTCAGAGTCCTTAGTATTATATAATGCTACCCATCAGTTGGGCTTAGATGGGACATGAAGCCAGTTTGTCCTTCCTTATCGACACACACACACACGCACCCCATGGGACATGAAGCCAGTTTTTCCTTCCTTATCGAGACACAAACACACAGAGAGAGAGAGAGAGAGAGAGAGAGAGAGAGAGAGAGACAGAGAAACTGAGGCCTTGGGAAGAAGGTGGAGTGACTTACCCAAGACCTCAGTGAACAAGCGGAAGTGGGACTAAAAGCCTCAGATTTCTTCACTCCTCAACCAGTGCTTTTCCTGCCCTGTGTGTATACACTGTATCAAAAGGAATTAAAATTAATTTGGTCTTGAGAAATAGCGAGAGAATCCTGACTCCTCCCTTCCCTGTTATAATTAGATACCCTTGGGGTTGTCATCAAAGCAGGGCTGGATGACCTGCTTCTCTGCCTGATCCTGGAGTGATCAGGTTTCAAAGGGGAGACGCCTGTGGCTAGGCAGCTGGATTGGATGGTGTCTCTCAGCAGTGTAAGTGACGTGGCAGTGGGGCAAGGCAGGCCCTGGGGTTCCTGGATGATGACCTGGGTTTGGGACAGGTTTGCTGCTTACACACTTTCAAGTCCACAGACAAGTTCTTTAGTCCTTCCGTATCTTAATTTCTGCATCTGAGAAATGGGCTGGTAATGATTCTTCACAGGAATGACATAAGATAACAAGTTTGAAAATGCTTTGTAAACTCTTGACATACATGTTACTTTTTAAATACACGTTACTTTTTATAACTAGTACGAATTATTAGTGCTATGCTGGGTAAGTTGTGTAAACTGAGTCACAGACTAAGGGCCACAAGATGAGTGGGTCCCTTCTCTTGTATGTTATTTTATCTTTTTGCCAGCCCAGGGTTCAGAAAGTTTGGAGTTTGTGAGTCTTTCACAGATTCTTTCCTGTTTGCATCTGTCCCCAGCCTCATCCTGTTTCAATCATGTATGTGGCCTGCCTAGCCCTGGAAGGCCTTGGGGTCTGGGACCCCGACACAGCCTCTACTTGTTCATCTGTTTAGTGGGAGGACAGGCCATCCTTAAACCCTTCCAGGCTTTTTGAAAGCATCGTATGAGTTAATGGACTAGAAAGTGCTTCATGAACAGCAAAGAACTGGAGAAACATGTTGGCGACAACTCCTTTCTTAAAAAGGAAAGGAGGAAGGCTGAGGTGAGGATGGTATTGAGTCGACAAAAAAGTGATATAAATATTTTGGCTGACAAAGCAGAATGAGGCTTTCTATATAAGCTAAAGCGAATAAATGGAGTCAGGTGATGCTTGGCCCCCCAGTCTGCTATAGAAAACACAGGGAAAAACATTGCTTTCTAGTGAAGTGAGCCCTTTGTCAGGGGTGAATCTTTGATTACCAGGGGTCAGCCCTGTTCCTGGGTGAGGACCCAGGGAGGAATGAAACCTGGTGTCTCCCCCAGGGGTGGAAATGGCTCCTGCAAAGTGGAGGAGGCCTGAGTATCTCTTGGCAAGTCCCTGGCTCGCAGTTTGCTGGTAGCACTCAAAGTCAAAAGTGCTTTTGGCTTGCTTACTGGATGTGTTACTGTCCAAGACAGCATATCTGAGGAGCTAGCCATTCTTACCTCTCAGCTTTGAGCCTGTGCCATACAAATTCCTGCCTGTCCCAACATTTTTGTGGAAAATTGGGGGACTAAGGGTGGGAATTTTTGTCAGGTGAAAGTTTGCAGAGAATTTGTGTTTTGTTTTATTTTGGACTCAGAGTTTTTGCAAGCGAAGAAGATGTAGTCGGGGAACTTAGAATACTCAAAAAGAATAAAAGAATAGACGAAGACATTTTTGGATGTTGGGGAATTTTTTTTTTCCTTAATTTCATCAACTGGGAAAAATAACTATAAACATTTAATTGTGTTTATGTGGGTGTTTCTTAAAATGTATGCTGGAAAAGCAGAAAGTGAAACTGATCTGAAATAAAACTGAAACTAGTCTGAAATGAGACCTCAGGGAAGAGAAACTTCCCTGGGGTGCTACTAGCCTTCGTTGGAATTTGTTGTGAGGCCTGCCTTTGTTTTGTCAGAGGGGTCTAGAGCTATAAGGGTAACAGATAGCATCTAAGCCTGTGCCATCCAGTATGTATTGGTATCCACTAGCTGCATGTAGCTAGGAGTAGTTGAAATGTGGGTAGTTAATCCATACAAGATTTCAAAGACTTAGTAGAAAAAAAAGACTATAAAAGTAATAATTTGAAAATACTACAGGTTGAAATGATATTTTACATATTAGATTAAATAAGATATATTATTAATACTAATTTCATTGGTTTCTTTTTACTTTCTACTTTTTTTTTTTTTTTTTTTTTTTTTTTTAACAATGTGGCTACTAGGGAAATTTGAAATTCCCTCCATGGCTCATATTATATTTCTATTGGACAGTGCTGATCTAAGCCAACCTGCTCCTTTTATAGTAGAGGAAGTGGAACCCCGGAGAGGGCAAGTGGCTTGCTCAGGGTCACACAACACCGTCATCAGATACCTAGACAGACTGTAGGACTCAGAACCTGGCATGGGATGGTGATGTAGTGGTGTAGGCATTAGTGTAAGTAGGTGGTTGAAATGGAGGAGGTAATGAGAGTTTATAAGACAGAGAAAGAGAGAGAGATTAGTAATTCAGGGAAAAAATTATGTTGTTTCCCACTCTGCTTATCCCTCCCCTAAACATTAGTTGAACACTTTGAAAGAAAGCAAATCCAACAAGATGAGCAAAAACAAATCTAAAAGATAATCCCTGACAATTTCTCTGCCTACCAAAAGATTCCAAATTCGTTTTTGAGTTTGAACTGGGGTATTTTTGGATCAGGTTGCAGTTCTGGGCTTGTTTGGGCATAGAGACCCAGGTCACATTGGGGGCTGTGGACTTTGAGTCCTGCGGGGACTGGAAGCCATTCTTTTGCTAAGTCGTGTCTGCTTCCTGTAATGATTTGGGAAGGAAGGCTGCTAGAAGACCCAGAGGGCATCCTTTTATAGTGGGCAGAGCTGGCAGGGTGGGGAGTCATCTCCCTTGACTTCCAGCCTGGATCAGAGACCTGGAGGTGGGTGAGCGGCCCAGGCGGGTAGCAGCAGTCTGTAGTTTTCCAATTCAGTACTCCTGCTCTTCATGTTTTGAAAGGAAGTTTGAGCCATGTGTTGGAAATTCAGCTTTATAAAATTTTATTTTTTTAATTAGGAACTTTTCAAGGACTGAAGTTTAGCATTCTTATTTATCTCACATTATTTTTGCACAATGGAATTTATCTGCCTTGAAATACAATCATTGCACATTTGCTGAGTGCTTATTATATGACTGGCCTTGGACTAAGCATTCAATATCTATTATCTCATTTAAAACAGTCACCTTGTAAAGTAGGGTTTGTTTTTTTTTTAAATATGAGAGAGTGGAAATTCAGAGGTGAAAGGAATTGCCCAAGGCTACACAGCTGGTAAGTGGCAGCTGGATTCAAATTTAGGTGGCCACCATATTCTAAGCTCACAACACCACTTTGAGGTGTTGAATCTTACCATTCCCGTTGTACAGCTGAGGAAAGCACAGTAACTTGCCCAGGATGTGGAGTCGATGGATGGGCTGGGACTTGAGACACGGCTACCCATTTGTCTGTGGTGGATTGTTCTGAGCCATGGCGTCTGGGGAAGCTGCTCTCCCCATTTCATGGGGCCTGGGTCTGGGACTCCCTGGCTTTCAGCCCCCAGCTCCCCATGAGCCTCAGCAGACCAGCGGGTTTTGTGTTCCATGCTCACAAAGCCTTTAATACCACGTTTGAAAACAGTTGCAGAAGGTTTGCTGTAATTAATTACATTTGACATACTTGGAATCGGGGCCTCCCGGATTCAGAATGCAAATTTATGCCCAGACAGATGTAAGGTATGCTTGGAGCCAAGAGCTCTGGCATGTCCCAGTCAGGGCCTGCAGCATCGCTCACTGCCCTGATGGGACAGTAACAGGCCGTGAGAGGTGGAGTCAGGATTCAACCCCAGGGATACCTGGAGCCCACAGGCTGTTGGAGGAGAAATAGCCCTGGACGCTTTCCAGTCTCGGGTACATTCTTTGCTCTCTTTGGACCTCAGTTTTCCCTACTGTACAATAAGGGCTTGGACTAGGTTGTCTCAGAAGGCATGTGCTGTTAGTTTGGGCAGGAGGGCAGTTAATCAGAGAATCAGAGGGCAATTGGAAGTATAAACAGCTGAGGTAAGAGAGGCTTGGAATAGCCAGGTAAGCAGGAGGCCTTTGGAACAGACAAGAGAGATTTACAAGGTAAGGTCTGATTTAAGTGCAGGATAGTGCTGATTGCCAGGGTTCCACATGCAAAAATCCTCCAATCAGCGCCAGTTCATCTTCCCACCCACATACACTCACCTCACTGTCTGTATTAGACGGTTATTGCTGTGCAACAAATCACCCCAAAATTCAGTGGCTTAACGCAACAATGATCATTTATTGTCTCATGGTTTCTGTGGGCTAGGAATTTGGCAGTGGCTCAGTTGGTCAGTTCTGGCTCAGGGTCTTTCTGTGGTTGTGGTCATATGGTGGCTGAGGCAGAGTTATCTTAAAAGGGTTCTCCATGCTCATATTTGGTGCCAGGATTCTGAAGACTTGAACAGCTGATCTCCTTGGCCCTGTCTCCCCGCTACCATCTCTCTCTCTCTCTCTCTCTCTCTCTCTTTCTCTCCCTCCCTCTCCATGTGTGGTCTCTCCAGCATAGAGGCTTCATATATGGCTAGACTTCTTACGTGGCGTCTTGAGGCTGCAAAGATGCATGTGCCAAGATAGATAGCACTAAGCAGCTGCAGCCTCACCTGTTATGACTTAGCCTCCAAAGTCATGCAGCATCACTTCACCACATTGTATTGATGGAGGCAGTTACAAAGGTGTGCGCCATTCAGAGGGCAGGACATCAACTCCATCTGTCTATGGAGGCGTGTCAGCTTTACATTGAGCATGTAGGATGGGATATATCTTGATGTGGCCATCTTTGGAAAACAAGGGCCACCATACCATCAGTGTGCCCATCAATCTGTCTGACTAGCTATCTACCTTTCCATGCATCTCTCTCTCTACCCACTCACCCATTCCATCTTTCCACCCTTCAGACGTCTGTCCTTCTGTGTGACTGTCTGTTCTTCTGTCTATCCCAATCACCTAACACATTTTGAGGACCTGTGTGCCAGGCACAGCTATGTGCATTCAATAATGAGCTCGGAGGGAGAATGAGACTAATGTTGATTGAGAACCTAGTGAATGTTAGTCCCTTGATCTTCAAAACAACTCCATGACTTAGAATTATCATCTTTATTTTCCTGGGAAGAAACCAAGACACAAGCTAAATAACTTGCCCAGGGTCATTCAGCCAACTAATGTCAGGGTCAGGACTTGAACTCCAGGACTTCCTGACTACCCTGTCTCTGCATAGGATACAGGCTCTCTTTTGGTTTCTGAGTGTTAAATGTCTACTAAGAGTTAGTTCTCCACTTCCATTTTTTTCCCAAGCGAAAATAGTTTTTCTTCCCTGACTATAAAAATAACATGTTCATTACAAAAACATTCAAGCAGTACAAAAAAATGAAGATTATTCTTTTTAAAAAATCACCTGAAATGCCGAGATAACCGCCCTTCACATTTTGATGAGCATTATTCAAGCCATCTCTACATATTTAAGTACATATGATTTTACGCAAATGGGATTATATTCCATGCTGTTCTGAGGCCTGATGTCTTTTTCTTTTTAAATTCATAGATATATTTTTCATCATCAGCAAATGTAGATAGGTCTTCATTATTATTTTACTGACTACATTGTGTTTCCACTGTATGCATGGCCCAAAATTCAGTGTGCGATTAGATTTTGGTTATTTCTAATTTGTCATTGTTATAACCTACTCTGTGAGAAACATCTTTTTCGTACAGCTTCTCACTTGTGTGATCATCTCCTTAACATCACTGTTTGGAAAGCTGACTGCAGGACCATGGTGGATTTTTATTCTACATGTAGACAGAACTTGCCAAGTGTCTCCCAGCCAGGTGGTATCCGTTTACATTTCTATTAGGAGATTGTGAGTGCCCATTTTACACATCCTGGCCATCACCTTGTGCTTATATTTTATATCTTTGATGGCCTGATGGGCAAACTAATGGGGTTGAATATCTGTTGGTATAGTTTTATATTTTAGTTGGTATGTTTTACTTGCATTATATTTTGGTTGATATGTTTTACTTGCATTTCTTTTATGAATTGCCTGTTCAACCTTTTTGCCCATTTTTCTCTTGCGGTGTTTGTCTTTTCCTTTACATTTTTAAAGAAAAGCTCTTTGGATTTTGGAGATATTGACTTTGTTATTTAGATTCCATTTTTTTCCCCAGACTTTTTAAAACTTAGTTGATGTTATTTAGTGGAAGTGGTGGTTAAATGCAATGTTTACTTTTTAAAAATATTTATATTTGTGTGTTTTGGATTCTTCGTGTGTATGTGTATATGTGTGCCACATTTAAAAAGACTTCTCCATATTAAGAATTTATAGTGAAAAGGCAACCTACAGAATGGCAGAAAATATTTGCAAATCATATGTATTTGGTAAGGGGTTAATATCCAGAATATATAAAGAAATCCTATAAATCAACAACAACAAAAAATAACTCCATTAAAAAATGGGCGAAGAAGTTGAATAGACATTTCTCCGAAGAAATATACAGATGGCCAGTAAGCATATGAAGAGATGCCCAACATCATTCATCAGTTCAAAACCACAGTGAGATATCACCTCATACCCATTAGTATGGCTGTTATTTTTTTTAAAAAAGTGTTGGTGAGGATGTGGAGAAATTGGAACTCTTGTGTGCTGTTGGTGCAGCTGCTATGGAAAACAGTAGGGTGTTTCTTCAGAATATTAAACATAGAATTACCATATGATCCAGCAATTCCATTTCTGGGTATATATCTAAAAATTCAAAGCAAGGTCTCAAAGAGATGTTTTTCCACCCATGTTTATTGCAGCATTATTTGCAATACCCAAAGGTGGAAGCAACTGAAATGTCCATCTACAGATGAATGGATAAACAAAATATGATGTATTCAGCCTTCATTTTTAAGGCTGAAGAATATTCTGTTATTAACACTACTGGATTGTACATTTAAAAATGGTTAAGATGGTAAGAGAAACAAGTTAAATATTTACATAACCTAACAAATCAACAATATATGATAGAATATTCAGCCTTAAAAATGGAGGAAATCCTGTCATTCTTCAACATGGATGAAACTTGAGGACATTCTGCTTGGTGAAATAAGGTGGTCACAAAAAGACACATGCTGTGTGATCCCACTCATAAGAGAAATTGAAGTCAAACGCAGAAATGGAAAGTGAAATGGTAGTTGCCAGCAGCTGGTGCAAGGACAATGGGCAGTTGTTAAATAGGTGAGAGTTTCAGTTTTGTAAAATGAAAAAGTTGTAGAGATCTGTTGCACGACAGTGTGAACATGGTTGTCCCTTAGTATCCGTGGGGGATTGGTTCCATGCCCCGCCCCCCCAATATAAAAATCCATGGATGCCCAAGTCCCTGCCATCAAATGGTGTATTTGCATAGAACTACGAACATCCTCCTCTATATTTCAGATTATCTCTAGATTATGTATAGTACCTAATACAATGTAAATGCTGTGTGAGTTCTGTATATTTAGGGAATATGACAAGGAAAAAGTCTGTACATGTTCTGTACGGATGCAGCAGTTCATTTTAATCCAAGGTTGGTTGAATCCATGGATGTGGAACCCATGAAGACAGAGGGCTGCCTGTATACTTAACACTGCTGGATTGTACATTTCAAAATGGTTCAGATGGTCAAAGAAAAAAGTTAAACACGTCCATAACCTAACACATCAACAGTTTATCTTGTAGGAACATGCAAGAAATATTTATGTCTTTATACCATGCAATATATGCATAAGTGGTCACAGTAGAATTGGGTTTATAAATAATATGAAATAACTGGAAACAAGCAGAAAAGCATTTACAGAAATTATACATTTCTTCTATTTTTTTATATAGGTTTTGTTGTACTTAAATGGTTTATCTATTTGGAATATATTTGGTTTAAAGGAGGGACATAGGGATCAGGCTCTATTTTTTCCCAAATGGTGAGCCCTTGCTATAACGCCAATAATTGAATGATCCATCTTTTCCTGCCTGATTTGAAATGCTGTCTTTATCTTACGTTAAACTTCTATGTACTTAGGACTGTTTCTGGACTGTCTGTTGTGTTCTCTTGATGTACAGATGTACAGGTATCACACTGTTTATCACTTTAAAGTAAACGTTAACATTAGAATCATGTCTTAAGAGCAGACTTACGAAATAGCAGATAAATTACTGCACTGCCTGCTGTGCTCACTAAGTTGGGCCGCTTTCTGGTGGACTCCTTCACTGGGCAGACTCGCCTTGTTAGCTAGACTGGCATCAATGCCATTATAGATAAGGAAACTGAGGTTGAGTGAGGTTAAGAAACTTGCTGTAGGAAGTAGCAGAGCAGAGATTGGAGCCTGAGTCTGTCCAACCCCAAAGCCTATGGAGTCCTGTTCAAAACATGCTATGGACGTGCCAGTATCTTTCCCTAGGGACTATATAAGTACCTTATTGAATCAGATGGAATATGATAGTTGTGGCTTATCTGAAATGTTTCCCTGGCTGCAGTTAGTTGCATGCTAATATTTGTTTTAATAAGTTAATTTTTAAACAATCTAGTGATATTATAGAGAAATCAGAAAATAAAAAGATCATCCTAAATAAATGTCAACCCTCTTACATTTACCATTAAAATTTGGACACCTTTCCCTCTGGTTATTTTGTAAGCATATTTTTATTATTTAAGTCATAAAGTATTAAGAATTTTGTTCCTGCCTTTTCCTTCCCCTATCTTCTCTGTTAAGCTGCTTTGTCTTCCTAATGACAAAGCCATTTTTCAAGACTACATAATATTCACAGATGAGAATGAAAATAATTTATTTAACTCATACTCTATTGTTGAACATTTAGGTTGGTTCTGATTTTCCACTTATAAAATTATACTGTAATGAACATCTTCTATATATAAAAATATTTTGATATTTTAAAACCATCTCCTTTTGATACAGTCCCAACGAGAGATTATTGGGTTAAGGGTACATATTAGTTTAACACATTTCCATATTTCCACCTGCCCATTTTCTGGCATTTATTGATACTAGGCTTTGGGAAGCTTTGTTCATTTGGAAAATAAATTTAGTATATTCTTTAAAAAGGCTTTGCTGACTTATCATTATGAAAGGAGTTTATGTTCAATGAGGAGAACTAGACTATGTATGCAAAAAAAGAGTCATAATACCACAGTGCTCCAAGATGATTTTGTCAATTTCATATCTATCCTTGCATTATTTTTTTATACAAATAATAGTTTTTCAGTAAATTATTTTTAAATCTCACATTTTATTAGCCAGAATTCTCTAATAACCAGTTTTTCTGCATTTATGCTGATAGTTTGTATTTGGAGGATGATTCTTCATCTTTCAAAATCTTAAACATAGTTTGTATTTGGAGGATGATTCTTCATCTTTCAAAATCTTAAACACCTTTTCAATTTATCCATCCACCTGACTGACCATTACATATTTGTGCCAACTATGGGCAGTGACCCTTAATAGGTGCCAAGGTGCTGAATCAATATGAATTTTGTTCACAGCCTTCTGGAATGTGCTGTAGAAAGTTCAGCGCTCTCAGACTGATTGTCAAGGGTGGTGGAGGGAAAGATGAATCTTGGTAAAGGGAATCCAAGGCAACTTCTTGAGGGAAGTGTCATTTGCACTTAGCTTTGTATTTGTAATTGTAAATGTCTTGAATTTATAAAATGACTTGGATAGGACAATATTATGTTTTTTCCACCCGGTAACATGGTCTGTTTCTTTATTCATTCACGCTCCTTTATATGACTCAAGTTTTGGAGTTTTCCAAATAAGTTTTGAGCACTTATTTTTAAGTTTATTCCTAGATATTTGATATTTTTGACCGCAGTTGTGACTGAGATCATTGCCCTCATTGAATATTTTGCCTAATTAATGTGGGTACATAGAAAAACTACTGATTTTTATGTGATTGTTAAGTTAGTGGATAATTTATTGTATTACCTTCTTAGTTCCAACAGTTTCTTGTGGTTTCTAGGTAGGCAATAATATCATATGCAAATAATATTCATTTCCCTTCATCTTTTACAATATTGTACTTTTTTCTCTTATATTATGCATTGACTAGACCTCCTGGAACAATTTGAATAATAACAGGGATAACAAGTATTCTTGTATTATCTTATTTCTTTTCTTAGTGAGAAGGATTCTAGCGTTTTGTAATCAAGTATGATATTTTATTTTGGTTTCAGAAATGTATATTTTTTATCACTAAGCATCCTTCTGAGTTGCTAAGAGTTTTTTATTTTTAAAATTTGTGAAGATGGAGGTGAGTGATACGATAGAGGAGTGATTTTCAATTTTCTGTATTTGAATTTTTCTTTTGCAATGGAGGTTGAATCATTCCCCTCCCCCACTATAAAGCTATTTAGTAATAAGAGGGGGTAAAAGGATGATGAATTTTTAACAAATGCCTTTTTATTATGTACCCAGATGGCCATATGGTTTTTTCCCTTTGATCTGCCGATGTGATGAATTATATTAATAGATTTTCTAATATTAAACTATCCTGGAAGGAACCCATTTTGTTTATGGTGTTTTTATTCTTTTAATGCATCCTGGGTCCAATTTGCAGCGTTTTGTGTCTATATCCATTAGTGAGATTGCCCTGCAGTTTTATTTTTAGTGTGCTGTTTTTGTCATTTTTTAAGGGGGTTATGCTAGTATAGGGGTTATAAATTAGAAAGCTTTCCAGTGATCTGAAACATGGAGGATAAATACATTTAAGATTATGTACTTATTGGTAGTGGTCGCTGAGATTGCTGTGTTGAGAAGGATTCTGAGGCCTTGTCATGTGTAAACAATTTAGTGTTTTGTAAGAGTGTAGGAAATGAGGGTTTAAGTGTGCATGCCAGATGTTTATTTGTAGTCCCTGCTTGGAATGATTTATATTGCACGGGAATTATCTTTTCAGAGTTTAAAATAACTTGCCATTAAACTCTGTCTTGTCAGGTTTTTGGAGATAATTATTTTCTACTGTAATCCTTTCTTCAATAACATTTTGGCTTTTGCTCTTTTCATGCCCGTTTTGACCATTTATATTTTCTGAGAAATGTATTCATTTCATCAAGAATTTGAACTGTATTTGCATAGAACAGAATATAATGTTATTTTAAGAATGTCCTCTGTATGGTTCTATTTCCTAAACTGATTTTTTTTGTAGTTGTATTATTTTTTTTCTTTATTCCTTGGTTGAATGACTGGTATTCAGGGAGTATTTTGTTGATTTCTATTGTTTTATTCTTTCCCCCTTAAATTTTTAAAGTTACTTGTCAATTCTAACTACTTCCAAGTTATTATACTTTTATGGTAAGTAAGCCCACCGTTCTGCTTTCTTTAGATTTTTAAAAATTCTTGAGTGAAAGCTTGGCTCTTTATTTTTCTGTTTAGTAATAAAAGTGCTGGGTTAATCAATGAATTTTCCTCTGAGTACATCTTTGGTCACTTACAGATGTGTAAGTGTAGCCTAACGATTATTTAAAAGTATAATTTAAATTTCTGTGTTACTCCTTTTCAATAAGTGCTTATTTTTATTCATTTTTAGTTTATTCTGTTATGAGAAACATTACCAATAATAGTTTTTGCTTTTTGTAATTTATTGAAATTTTTGGATTCCTTTTAAATATTAATTTGTGGAAATGTTTCATCTGCTTGCGAAAGAAGTAATTTCTGTTTTTAGGATTTATTTTTTGCTTGTATTCACACATTACATAAGCCACTTTTATATATCATTGACTTTATTAATTGTATTTTTCAGATTCCCCATAGGGCCTTAGATATATTATTAAGTTTTTCTAATTATTTCAAGAAATTGAGAGCCTGTTAATGTCTTCTAATATTATAATATTTCTTTTGATTTTACCATTTGCTTTATATGTTTTACTTTATGTATTTTATTACTAGGTCATTTAACAGAAGTATACCTGCCTGCTACATTTTATTATGGGTTGTACCCTTAATCTGTAAAAATAGGCCCTCCTTGACCTGTTTTATGCTTTCTACTTTCAGTTCTGGATTTTCTAATTTTTATAGTTCATTTCCTGCTTTTACCTTTAATTCTAGAGATTTTTATGAAAGCACTTCCTGCTTTCTATTGTTGGAATTTACCTTGTATAGATTTACATGTTTATTTTACTTTTGCTTGTTCTGTGTACTTAAAAAATAGCTACTATGTATTTCTTTTGGATATCATGCTTTCTTATACTTAAAAACTCAGAGTCTTGAGATCTGTGTTTTTTAATATGGAACTTACCCCCGTTTATATTTATTATCATAACTGATGTGTTTTGTTTCATCTAATTACAGTTTTTCCCCCTATGTACTAGTACAACTAAGAAGATGTTTTTGATTCCTTCATATATGAATGGCAGTTTGGATAAATATAACATTTTTGGGTTATGCATTTTATCCTTCAGTACTCAAGAGATGTTCTGTAGTCTTATGTTATTAATATTTTAGAAGATAATTTCGAGGATACACGATATTTTGCTTTTGTGCTTAATTCTGTTCCCATCCCCAGCCTTCCTGAATGCCTGTATCACTCTTTTTTCACCCTTGAAATTTGAGGCTTATTCCAGCCTCTATGTTTTAATGCCTTTTAATTAGTTGCTGGGAACATGGCATGTACTTTCAGTCTACAGATTTCTTTCTTAATAATAGGAAATGTTTTGTTCCATATGTCCCATTGGTCTCATCTTTTTAAAATGGTAGTTATCTCTATATATCCATATACCCCTATTGTTTGCCTTCCGTAATTATCTTTACTTTTGGTTATTTTAATCTCTTTAAATTTTTTTTAGTTTTATATGTGTTTCCCCAGCTTTTCCTTTGCATCACTTACTCGGTTTTCTGCACTGACAGTTCTGCCCTTTACTGCTTTGGATACTGGATTTCGTTTTTTGTTTTGTTTTGTTTTGTTTTGAGACGGAGTCTTGCCTTGTTGCCCAGGCTGGCTGGAGTGTGGTGGCACGATCTCGGCTCACTGCAACCTCTGCCTCCCAGGTTCAAGCAATTCTCCTGATTAGCCTCCCGAGTAGCTGGGATTACAGGTGCCCACCACCATGCCCAGCTAATTTTTGTATTTTTAGTAAAGACAGGATTTTTCCATGTTGGGCAGGCTGGTCTTGAACTCCTGACCTCAGATGATCCACCCGCCTCAGCCTCCCAAAGTGCTGGCATTACAGGCGTGAGCCACTGTGCCTGGCCTCTTAACTGGTTTAATGGTGTTATTTGATTCCTTGCACTTTTCATTCCTAGAGCTTCTCTTTCTGTTTCACTCTGTTCTTGTCTTTAATTTTACTGAGCACACAAAGGAGTGTGTCTTAGATGTCTTTCTGTTTTCCAGAGTAACACTGTGCTCTGTATGTTTCTTCTCTCAATCTTGAGCATGATGCTTAACTCTATTTTTGTCACTCCATTTTGTTTCCTTCGCCCTCCCCCTGTTTGCCTCATTTATTCATTCAAAATAAGGGAAGTCTCGTGTTTGGCATGTTTGGCTTGGCCTGGTCTATATCCTAAAATGATGTCAGTAGCTGCTTCCTCAGATTTTTCGTTTTTTTTTTTTTTTTTTAAGAGATGGGGTCTTGCCTTGTCACCCAGCCTGGATCATATCTCCCTGCAGCCTTGAACTCCTGGGCACAAGCAATCCTCCTGCCTCAGCCTCCTGAGGAGCTGGGACTACAGGTGTGCACCACCATGCCCAGCTAATTTTTAAATTTTTTGTAGAGGCGGGGTCTTGCTATGTTGCCCAGGCTGGTCTCAAACTCCTGGCCTCAAGCAATCCTTCTGCCTCAGCCTCTGGAATAGCTGGGACTGCTTCCTCAAACCTTGAGTGGAAAGAGGAGGGCTAGATGTTACACATTTATAGATCAGCGATGCAGCAGCCCGGGGTTAATGAGGTGAGGCTGAGACTGTAGTTACCTCAATATGTGGTTCTTTCCTTTGGCTTGGTGAAGCTGCGCTGGGAAGTGCCCAGTGGTTTATGCTCAAGATTCTTTCCTGGTAGGATTGTGGGGTGGGTTTGAAAGCCCTAGCTGGAAGTAGCTTAGCTTCTCTTGGCATTCCCTGTAGGTCCTGTCACCTTGGTTTTCCTCTTACCAGCCTGCCTCAGAGTCTCCAGGAGGGTGGCTGTGAGATGGTCCCTCATGATGTCCCGTGATTTGTCCCCACATCTGTAACATCTAGCGGAAATTCCTCAGTAGGTGGCTTGTGCATGACTCCTTTTCTAGATTTTAAGACCTTTTTTCCCTAGTTTTTTTTTTTGTAAAGTACACATATTAAATTTACCATCTTAACCATTTTAAAGTACAGTTCAGTAATATGAAGTACATTCACATTGTTGGGCTACCAATCTCCAGAACTCTTCTCATTATTCCAGGCTGAAACTCTATGCCCATTAAACAGCCACTCCCCATTTCCCCTTCCCCCAGTCCCTGGTAGCCTCCATTCCACTTTCTGTCTGTGTGACTTAGATCAGGGGTCCCCAGCCTCCAGGCTGCAGACCAGTACAGGTCCGTGGCCTGTTGGGAACTGGGCTGTATAGCAGGAGGTAAGCCAGCATTACCTGAGCTCTGCCTCCTGGCAGATCAGCAACACCGTTAGATTCTCATAGGAGCGCGAACCCTATTGTGAATTGTGCACACGAGGGATCTTGGTTGCGCTCCTTAGGAGAATCTAATGCCTGGTGATCTGAGGTGGGACAGTTCCATCCTGAAACCATCACTCCCCCCACCTCTGTCCATGGAAAAACTGTCTTCTAAGTAACTGGTCCCTGGTACCAAAAGGCTGGGGACCGCTGACTTAGATGACTCTAGGTACCTCATAGAAGTGGACTTACACAGCATTTGTGTTTTTGTGGCTGGCTCGTTTCACTCAGCATAATGTCCTCAAGGTGCATCTGTGTTGTAGCACATGGCAGGTTCCCTCTTTGTTAAGGGTTGAATAATACTGTCATATGTACCTACCACATTTTGTTTATTCATTTGTCTATTAATGGATATATCAGTTGCTTCCACCTTTTGGCTGTTATGAATGATGTTGCTATGAACATGGGTGGACAAACAGCTCTTTGAGACTCTGCATTCATTTTTTTTTGGTATGTACCTAGAAATGGAATTGCTGGATCATATGGTAATTCTGCATTTAATTTTTTGACAAACTGCCATTTCTATTTTTATTTTTTTATTTTTTGAGACCGAGTCTTGCTGTGTTGCCCAGGTTGGAGTGCAGTGGTGTTATCTCGGCTCACTGCAACCTCTGCCTCCCAGGTTCAAGTGATTCTCGTGCCTCAGCTTGCTGAGTAGCTGGCTGGAACTACAGGTGTGCACCAGCACACCTGGCTAATTTTTGTATTTTTGGTAGAGATGGGGTTTTAACACGTTGGCCAGGCTGCTCTCGAACTCCTGACTTCAAGTGATCTGCCCACCTCGGCCTCCCAAAGTGCTGGGATTACAGGCGTGAGCCACCATGCCTGGCCGACAAACTGCCACTTTTAAATGCGATTAACCCTAACAGTTTTTTGCACAGTAGTTAACCTCATCACTACTTTGGGTGGGCTGTACAGGGATTCTTTCCTTCATCTTACAGATGAGTAAACAGGCACAGAGAGGAAGGGGAAAAGTGACTTCTTTGAGGTGAGGCAGCAACCCAAGAGAACCTGGCAGAGCTGAGGCCAGAACCCGAGCTCCTGTCTCCTAGCACCGTCCTCTCCCGCGAACCCGAGCTCCCGTCTCCTAGCACCGTCCTCTCCCGCGAACCCGAGCTCCCGTCTCCTAGCACCGTCCTCTCCCGCAAACCCGACCTGCTGTCTCCTAGCACCGTCCTCTCCCGCAAACCCGACCTCCTGTCTCCTAGCACCGTCCTCTCGCGCAAACCCGACCTCCTGTCTCCTAGCACCGTCCTCTCCCGCAAACCCGACCTCCTGTCTCCTAGCACCGTCCTCTCCCGCAAACCCGACCTCCTGTCTCCTAGCACCGTCCTCTCCCGCAAACCCGACCTCCTGTCTCCTAGCACCGTCCTCTCGCGCTAACCCGACCTCCTGTCTCCTAGCACCGTCCTCTCCCGCGAACCCGACCTCCTGTCTCCTAGCACCGTCCTCTCCCGCAAACCCGACCTCCTGTCTCCTAGCACCGTCCTCTCGCGCTAACCCGACCTCCTGTCTCCTAGCACCGTCCTCTCGCGCTAACCCGACCTCCTGTCTCCTAGCACCGTCCTCTCCCGCAAACCCGACCTCCTGTCTCCTAGCACCGTCTTCTCCCGCGAACCCGAGCTCCTGTCTCCTAGCACTGTCCTCTCCCGCTGCTGCGAGAGAGCGTTTGTTGCACTTGAGGGTCTAAACTTTGTCTCCAGTTCTCCTCAGGGCAGAATCTCTCCTTTTCCTCAAGTTCTCCTGCGTCGTTGGGCCTCAGCGTCTCCAACATTTAAAACGGGCATCTCCTTGCCCCGTCTCCTGTCTAGGCAGCTGTTGCTCTCGCCCTTCTCTGTGCGGACTTGGCCAGCCCGGTGCTTTGCCAGACACTTGCAGGGAACTGCTCTTGCGGCTGAGCTAGCATCTGCTTCCCCATCTGGTCTCAACTTTTTTCTTAATTACCCACTGAATTGGCTCTAACAAAATGCTGACAACTTGAACGAGACATTAGCTGATACATCAGCGCCCGTGCCAGGGCCTCATGGGCTTTTCCGGGACATGCTAAACCCGGGCCCAGCAAAAGACCTTGTTCCCTGGCCAGAGTCCCCATTCTAGCTGAGTGGAAGCTCCAGCCAGGGGACAGGGTTATCACGGGGTCTCGTAGCTCATAAACGCCACTGCTTCGTGGCTGAACTAAGGCTTACAGCTTCTTAAGTGGCCTGGTGGCTGGGTCCCAAACCTGCAAGCAAGTTTTGTTCTCTCTCCTGCTGCCTCCTTGGTCCCTAATCCTCTGAGTCTTTTATTCCAAACTCCTGTTCTCCGGACTATTTCTGTTTTGTTTTGTTTTTCCTCTGCGTGTCTAACTGGTCTTGAAGCTGGGATACTAAGTGTGTCGCAGTGGGGGGGACATCGCGCTGAGCATCTGTGGCCTTGAGGTGCCTCTTCATGCCTTTTTGGGCCTGTTTTTGCATCTGCATAAAGGGGTCCAATGCAGTGCAATACAGACTCTCTTTCTGACTTTCTGTGATTCTGAGAAGAAATGGCAGTGCTTCCATTTTCTCAGCTAAGTAGGGTAAGAACAATCAGAAGCTGCCTACGTGAGGGTGGAGAGTGCAGACACCGGAGTTCGCCAGCCTGGATTCAAGTCTTGCCTCTGCTCCTTCCTCCCTGTGTGGCTCTGAGCAGTTTGCTAAACCTCTCTGTTTCGTCTTTGTAAATTGCAGGGTCAGGGGCTGGTTCAGAGAACCCCATGTGGAGTTAGTTATGAAGATTAAATGAATTAATACATGTAAACACTCAGCACATAGTAAGAACTCAGATGCTACCTGTTTTCTTTCCCTCCCTTTTAAAAGTCATGTGCCACAAGTTAATTTTGCTCAGTTTAGGGTGTGTGGCTATCTTTGCTTGTGTAGGGTCCTTTCTAGCTTTGTTTAGTTTTTATCCCCATTTTCTCCAACTTCTCTGCTCCTCCCCTACCTCCAAGCCGCTTATTCTAATGTATTTAACATGCATCTTTTTGTTTATGTGTTTTTAGAGACATGCACTATTGTTTTGTGTGCATGCTTTAAAAATTTACATAAATAATACAGTGTTTGAATCTCATTCTGTTTCTCACTTTTGTGCCTCTGCTCTGTTTTTGAGATCTGTCCACATTACTTCCAGCTGCTTGGTGCAGCCACCACATTTTACCTATTCACCTCCGAGCATTTTAATCAACGCCCAGTATCCCATTGTAAGGAACTACCATAGTTTATATAACCAGTCCCCTTTCTGATGGGTGTTTTGGTGTTCCTAGTTTTCTGGCTATTATAACTGGAGAACCAGTGCTGCTTGTGGTGTAGGGCTGCTGGTGATGAATTCCTTAGCTTGTGTACTTCTCATTTGCCTTAACTGTCCCCCCTCACCCCAAATAAAACTGCAATGAACATCCTTGTACATGTTTCCACATGGACCCCTGGGAGGCCTTTTTTATGATGTGTACCCAGGTGTGGAATTTAGGATAGAATGAAATAGAGAATATTTGAAAGAAGCAAAAGGAATGGAGGCTGGTCTTGAACTCCTGACCTGAACTGAGTAAGTCATAAAATCACTTTGCCAATAAAGAATTTGACTGCCTGTTGGGCTTGCCTTGAATCCCATCTAAGGACCTCTTTTGGTTTTTCAATTTTTAACTTGAAATGCATGAGCGAATACATGTTCTTTGAAAACAATACAGATGACACAGAAATAAGTGGAATGAAGAATAAGAATGGAAAAGACCCCTTGACATTACTTTCCATTCTCCTAAGCCCCATTTCCAGTGTGTAAGTCCTGGTGACAGTGGAGTATATCACCCTAGGTCTTTTTCTTATACATTTACAGATACAACTGGGAGCCATTCATACTGTTTTACAGCTTAGCTTTTCTCACTTAATAGGGTGTTCGCAAGGTCATTCTATGTTAGCCCCAATAAATCTGCCTCTGTTTTTTTTTTTTAATCAACACTCAGTATTTCATTGTAAGCATCTATCATAGTTTATGTAACTAGTCTTCTGGTGGGTATTTTGATATTCCCAGTTTTCTGGCTGTTATAACCGGAGAACCAGTGCTTCCTATGTAGGTCTGCTGCTGATGAATTCCTTTTGGTTTTGTACGTCTTTATTTTGCTTTTGTTTTTGAAAGATATTTTTGCTAGCTATAGAATTCGAGGTTGACAGGGTTTTTTGTTTGTTTCTTTCTTTCTTTCAGTACTTTAAAGATGTTGCTTCACTGTTTCCTGGCTTGTTTCTGATGGAAAGTTGGCTGTTATTCTTTGTTCCTCTGTGTGTAATGTCTTCAAAATTTTTTTCTTACTACTTTTAGGATTTTCTCCTTATCTCTCATTTTAAGCAGTTTGATTAATGATGTGTCTGTTTCTTCTGCTTGGGATTTATTGAGCTTCTGGGTTCACACCAAACTAGAAAACTTTCGGCCATTATTTCTTCAAATATCTTTCTCTTCTCCCCTTCTTCACCCCTCCTTTTTTTTTTTTTTCCAAGGATTCCAATTGCATGTATATTAAGCCTTTTGAATCTGTCCCATAGCTCATTGATGCCCTATTTTTTCCATCTTTTATTTTTCTGTTTCATTGTTAATAATTATTGCTGTCTTCAAGTTCATCAATCTTTTCTTCTTTAATATCTAACCTCTTCTTTTTTTTTTTCTAACCTATTCTTAATACTACCCAGTGTATTTTTTTAATCCCAGGCATTGTATTTTTCATCTCTAGAAGTTTGGTTTGGGTCTTTTTATATCTCCTGTGTCCCTATAAGGTGATTATGTTTTTTTTCCTCTACCTTCCTGGACATATGGAGTATATTTATGATGGCTGTTTCAACATCCATAAAGTCTATCATATGTCATTTTTGTATCTCTTCCTGTTAATTTTTCTGCTGCTTTCATGCCTAGCAATTTTTGATTCTGAATTTTGATTCTGAATTTTACATTCCTGATTGTTTTAGTGCTGGCAGTTTTGGGGTTTAAGTATTTTTGTGCTGTGTTTTGCTCTGTTATTGGTGAAGTCTTAGCTGTATTTGTTTCCTTTGACTGCTCTAACAAATTATCACACACTTAGTTGCCTAAAACAACACAAATTTATTGTCTTGTAATTCTGGAGATCAGAAATCTGAAATGGGCCTCACTGGATTAAAATCAAGGTGTCAGCCGAGGTTCTAGAAGCCCTAGGGGAGAATCTGTTTCCCTTTCCAACCTTTAGAGGCTACCTACACTCTTTGGCCCATGGCTTCTTCATCTTCAAAGCTAGCAACATTGGGCAGAGTTCTTCTCACGTTGCCCATCTCTCTGGCTCTCTCTCTTCTGCCTCCCTCTTCCACTTAGAAGGACCCTTGCCTTGAGCCCACTCCAACCATCCAGCATAATCTCTCTATCTCAAAGTCATCTGATTAGCAAGCTTAATTGCATCTGCTTGTAGCCTAACACCTTCACAGTTCTGGGGATTAGGACGCACATGTCTTTGTTGGGTACAGGGAGGGCATTATTCTATTATTCTGCCTATCACAGTCATTAAATTACTTGGAAACCGTTTGATTTTTTTTTTCCAAGACTGCCTCGCTCTGTCACCCAGGCTGGAGTGCAGTGGCATAGTCTTGGCTTACCGTAACCTCTGCCTCCTGGTTCAAGCGATTCTTGTGCCTCAGCCTCCTATTGGAGGCACACGCCCTCACACCTGGCTAATTTTTTATTTTTAGTAGAGATGGGGTTTCACCATGTTAGCCAGGCTGGTCTTGAACTCCTGACTCAAGTGATCTGCCTTTGCCTCCCAAAGTGCCTGTTTGATCTTTGAGGCTTGCTATTCAGCCTTGTTCAGCAAGACCAGAGCAACCTTCAGAATAGAGCAGGGTTTGGCAAACTACAGGCCAAATATGGGGCAAATCAGGCTTGCCTTCTGTTTTTGTAAATAAAATTTTATTGGAACACAGATATGCTCATTTTTGTGTACTGTCCGTGGCTGCTTCCATTCCACAACAATCCATAAAACCTAAAATATTTATTTTGTGACCCTTTATAGAAAAGCCTGTAGACCAGGAGTCTACAGTCAAAGTGAAATTTCTCCACTTTGGCTATTGGGAGTGTGAACTGTTCGTAGCCCTGGATGAGCTCTGAGAATGGTTCTGCTTGGTTCTTTCTCCAGCCTCAGGTGCTTTCCTTATACACATGCGCTGATCAGCACTTGGGTGAAGCCGTTGAAGAATTGCAGCTCATTCTCCGCATGATTCTCTTCTCTGATTCCCTCCCTTGCATGTTTCACCTTCCTTGCTCTTCCCAAAGTCTAAACTCATACCTCCTCAACTTCAGGAGACCTCTGAGCTCTGCTTGGTTTTCCCCTCCCTGCCCTGCAGCTTGATCATTCTCCAGGCAGCAAGATGGGACAATCGTAGGACCCACCTTGTTTGCTTCCCTCTCTTAGGGTGTTTTGCCCAGTGTTGCCTGTTATCCAGTGTCTAAAAATCATTGTTTGATATATTTCGATCAGTTTCTTAGTTGTTTAAGGTGGGTGGTGAATCTGGTCCTTCTTACTCCGTCATGACTAGAAGCCACCAGTGCTTCTTGTATCAGTATTATTTTGCATTGATGAGAGTAGTTTTGGAAGATAGCATACCAGAAGAGGCATTGTGGGGTCATAGACTCTGTGCATTTCAAAGATATTACCAAATTGGCCCTTGTCAAGGCTGCGCTGTTTTATATTTCTGAGGGTCTCATTCTCTTAGCAGGGGTTGTGGGGATAGATGATGAATATGAAACTGCTTTGAGCTCCATAAAGTGCTGGGAAGATGCCAGAGGTTATGGCTCTGAAGAAAGGGCTTCTCCTGGCTGTTCCTCCTTTGGCTTAGGGTTTCTGATGGGCATTTCGCTCTTCCATGCTATAGTCAGGTTGTAGGGTCGTTTTAGTCACTGCCATCATGTAGGACTGTTATTTCCTTAGCAAGTGGGGGTGGCTGGGGAGGAGGCTTCCTTTAGACTGCTGCTTTCTTTCCTGACATCTACTGAACCTACAAATGCCACATAATGTTCCAAGTGCTCCGTGGAGTCATTGTGATGTAATTTAATTCTGCACCACAAGCTAGAGAGTTTGAGATGAAATGGAAACTGAGAGAGCTGGTGTGGTTTGCTTAAGGTTAAGCAGCTAATTCCTAGCAAAGTGAGGATTCTTTCTGCCTTTAAACCAAACCTGCCAGTTTATACAACAAACCATCCATTATAGTCAGGACGCCTTAGGTTTTAAGTGACAGAAACTCATCTCAAACTTGCTTAATCCAAAAGGGGACGTGTATTGGCATGCCTACTGAAAAGTCCAGGGGTTAGCCAATTTTAGGCATGGCTGGCCCACATATGCAGATGATGTCATCGGAAATGTGCTCTTCTCCATCTCTCAGCTCTTGTTTCCTTGTGGTGACTTCTTCAGGCAGGCCCTCTCCAAGTGGTGGCAGAAATGGCTGTAGCAGCACCATGCTTATTTTTCACCCCCAGTGGAGTAGTCCTGGAGGAAAGAGAGCATCTCTTTTCCAAGGGCTTTAACGGAAGTCCCAAGGAAGGCTCTCATTGGCCCAATGAGGGCCATAGGCTCATCCCTAAGCCGATCACAGTGCGAGGATGGTGTGTTGTTATTATTGGATGGCCCTGGGTTATTTGATTCTCTTGTTGGAGTTGGGGGCTGGGGATAGCCCATTGACACCACTTAGGTTGTGGGGACCTGAAGGGATGAGATAGTTCTGTACTGTAAGATGGGATGCTGAGGAGGCAGAAACAAAACTGTCCACTGTATCCCCTTTGGCCTCTAGAGCAAGCTCACCCACTCTGGCCCTTGCAGCTCCAATTGTTCATGGTGTTCACAGGTCTGCTTGGCCCCTGCCCTGGTGAGTTTTTTCCTCGCCTGGCTTGACAGTGGCATTCTGCCCTCCCACTTGCTGGCCGTTCACTGTTCTCTTGCCACCCCGGGCAGGGACTTTCCCAGGCAATGAGGCTTCCTGGATCTTGTTCCCTTTTGCTGAATCCTTATCCAATAATCAGAACCAAGAAACCCAGGCCCAGCAGGCTGAGGACACCTCCACACCACCTCTTTCATCATGAGTAGGCAAGCGCTTTCCAGAGGGTTGTCCAGGACCCCCCCGCATGAGAGGCCCCTGGGGCCACCTGTAGACTGGTGTTTCTGCATCGCTGGGAGGTACAGTTGAATGTCTAACCAACTCCCCAGGCAATGCTTCCACACGGAAGGTTGAGAGCCACAGTTAGATGACTGTCCTCAAATGAGCTGGGGTTTTCTTTCAAGGACTCTCTTTCCTTCCGATGGGGTTGTTTGATTTATCCTGATTTTAGGATTCCCCTCCTTCCCATGAGAGCTGCCCCCTTCAGAATCATGGGGGTGTCACTGTGAGAGCTTGAGTCTGCAGTGTGGGATCCCTTTCTCAAGAGGTCAGCATGATTATTTTCCATCTAGTGCTTTGTGGGTCTCAAGACTTAAATTGGGAGGAATGTTAAAAACAAGGATGACGCACAGTGTGCCTGCATTTCCATGAAACAGTGACACCCAGAGCCTCAGCAGGATGGCTCCTGAGAACTGGGAGGCTCGGGCAGTCAAAAGAATCTTCATGTCTTGAGCCTTTGGCTTGGGAAAGTTCAGTGACTGATGTAACAGCACATTTCACTTGTTCGTAAGTTAAGACCCTAACATTTATAGAGAAAAACATCATCTTTACCCACTACGAGATTTCAAAAGCCTTTTTAGCTAAAGAACTCTTTCATAAATGCAATCTCACACAGGTGCTCAGGATGTTAAATACATAGATAAAAGCAGTTTAAAAAAATGGAGGAGGGAGGACCATATTATGACTTTTGTGGGCCTTAGGCACTTTTGTCTTCGTGGGCTCCTTCCTCCATACAAAAATATTAAAAATTATTTTGTATGACTGCATTGGTGTAGACATGAATATATTAATATTCTATGTTATACATTTTTTTTTGACCTGAAAGTTCATCTTTTAAGTTCTGATTTTAAAAGGAATGAAAGCATTTTTGTGGGTCTCTAAAAGTTTCTCGGGCCCTGGGTGCTGTGTCTGATGGGGAAGTCAGCCCCGAGGCAGCAGGTTCCTATCTGCTTGGCCCCTCTCTGGTTGGCCCCTCAGGCAGCTGGAGGAACCCAGTTTGAAGACCGCTGTGCAGAGTTATCTCTTGCCCCTTCTCAGGCTCTGCTTCTGCCTCACTGGGGAGTGAGGATCACAGAATCACAAGATACCATAATAAGGATGGAATGTCAAGGCCATTCATACCCCAGCCACCCTCACCCTCCAAGAAACAGGTCTTGCCCTTCAATCTCTGAAGTGCCATTCTTGCTAAATGATCATCTTTCCTGCCTCTGCTTGGGCCCCTTCTGGGGACGGTGATTTCATGACTCTGTTTTAGTCCTCCTTTTTAGTCTCCTATGGGGCTTCAGTAAGTTCCTGGGTCAGTCGCCATTTATACCCCAAAGCCGGTGAATCCCTTAGTGGCCAAGTCATTGCTGAGCTGGGATAGGAGCCAGGAGTCTGGGGTTCGAGGCGCAGCTCTGCCCCTCGGCTGCTGTGGGACCTGAGCAAGGACACTCTCTCTCTCTCTGAGCTTGAGGTGCCTCATTTGGAAAAGGAATGGGTTGGAGGGAATGGTCCTGTCGCCTGTTGCAGTTGTATGCAGTGATGCTAATGGAAGATCGAGGCATGTCCCGGCCTGATACCTGCAGCTCAGGTCATTCTGGGACTTGTGGCTCTTGCTTGGTGGTTGGGGGCTAGAGGCCTTGTGTGTCCCTGTCCCCCTGGGTCTGGGTGGAGTATCGTGACTGGGACTTTGACCACAGATGTGGATAAGGAAGGGGAAAAATCAGGTGGCTTCAGACCATGGCTGCGCTCTGTATGTGCTACGAGGCTGCAGATGGACTTTTCCTGAGATTTGTTTAGGGAAACTTGGGTCTGTCAGGGCTCAGTGGGCAGCTGTCCAGAAACCTTGGGGTGTCATGTGATGCCCACTGAGGTTTGGGGAGAGGGGAATGAGGGTGGTGACTTGCTTTCCTCCCTGGGACTTGCTAGCCCAAGCTTGAAGGTGCCACCGTCTCAGGGCCTGGGCTTGCTTGGGGATGGGTGGTGGCTCCACAGGGTGGAAATGTTCATTCCTTTCTCCCGAGTCCAGCGCCTCCTGGCCTCTGGTGCTTGCATGCGGATGCTCCCATGCTGTATCCCGCTCCCCGATACTCACAGCCTAGCCTTTTTTGTTTGTTTTTTTTTTTTTGAGACAGAGTCTCGCTCTGTCACCCAGGCTGGAGTGCGGTGGCGCGGTCTCAGCTCACTGCAACCTCTGCCTCCTGGGTTCAAGTGATTCTTCTGCCTCAGCCTCCCGAGTAGCTGGGATTATAGGCGTGTGTTACTATGCTCGGCTAATTTTTGTATTTTTAATAGAGATGGGATTTCACCATGTTGGTCAGGCTGGTCTCGAACTCCTGACCTCAGGATCTGCCCGCCTTGGCCTCCTGAAGTGCTGGGATTACAGGCATGAGCCAGTGCGGCCAGCCTAGCCTATTTTTATGAACTCACCACTCCCCGCCTGGCTGCCCCTTATCCCTGCTATACTAAATGGCTCTCCTAGATACACCTTGATTTTCCACCTCCCCACTTTGCTCATGCTGTCTCTCCTGCTGAGGCAGTTGGTGCCATGGCCTCCCAGACCACAGAAAGAGAGTAGGGTGCAGGATGAGTCTCCATTTCTGGCCTCTAAGTAGGGGAGCCTCCTGACCAGCCAGCTTCTAATTCCAGGTCTGTGTTTGTTCACCTGGTTCCTGCTCTTCACTCTGTAATTATTGATTCCTGCCGAGTCCACTTAGCTCGAGCCAGCTGGGGTGGACCTGCAGCCCAGCATCAGCTTCCGGGGCTTAGAAGTTCCTGGAAACAGTGACTTATTATTGGCCTAATAACGAGCGTGTTCCTGCCAGCCAGGTGTGTTCAGGTGTGCGCGGCTGCTGTGAAGGACGTCTTCATGGGCATGCATTTATTTTCCTTTCGCTTGGATCTGGCTCCTCAGGGTTGTTTCCTCTTCCACCATTACATTTTTACTTCAGTAATTTGTCCAATTATCTACCAGGGACAATATCACTTTCCTAAAGTGGTTCATCTGAAAGCCCTTTTCTCCATCCTCTCTCCTGTCCTTCCTTCACACCTGTGCTCAGGGCCCGTCTTCCCGTCCCAGCTGACAAGAGGCTCAGAGCCCAGCCTAGCCCATATCTGAATGAATTCCAAGTTAGCATGGAACTTTCTGCTTTTTCTTTTTTTCTTTTTTTTTTTGAGATGGAGTCTTGCTCTGTCGACTAGGCTGGAGTGCAGTGGCACAATCTCAGCTCATTGCAGCCTCTGCCTCCCAGGTCCAAGTGATTCTCCTGCCTCAGCCCCCTGAGTAGCTGGGATTACAGGTGCCTGCCACTATGCCTGGCTAATTTTTTTTGTATTTTTAGTAGAGATGGAGGTTCACCATGTTGGCCAGGCTGGTCTTGAATTCCTGACCTCAAGTGATCCGCCTGCCTTGGCCTTCCAAAGTGCTGGGATCACAGGAGTGAGCCACCGCGCCCGGCCTGAAACTTTCTGCTTTCTAAGCACTGTCTTAAAACACAATTAAACCAAGTTTGTTTTTCTTTGTTATAACAAATAGCAAGTGCTCTTTATAGAAAAAGAAAACACAGAAAAGTATGAGGAAGAAAGAAAATCACCTAGAGATCCCTACTCAGATGTTGACACTTTTGACATTTTGAGCTTTTTTCCAAGTATTGTTTTTGTTTTGTTTTTTTGAGATGGAGTTTCACTCTAGTCACCCAGGCTAGAGTACAATGGTGCAATCTCGGCTCACTGCAACCTCTGCCTCCCAGGTTCAAACGATTCTCCTGTCTTAGCCTCCCGAGTAGCTGGGATTACAGGCACCTGCCACGATGCCCAGCTGATTATTGTATTTTTAGTAGAGACGGGGTTTCACCGTGTTATCTAGGATGGTCTCGAGCTCCTGACCTCAGGTGATCCGCCCGCCTTGGCCTCCCAACGTGCTGGGATCATAGGCGTGAGCCACCGTGCCTGGCCGGTATTGTTTTTTCTTTACTAATAGGTGGGATGGATACAAATTCTCTCCTGATTTTTTTAAAAAAGCTCAACATTATAAGATTCCTGTTTCCCAGTGTTATTGCAAGCCTTGAGGGTTTTGACTGCGGGTATTCCATGAGGTGGCTGTACCCTCGACAGCCCAACAGTGGCCTGTTTTGGGGGATGTTTTGCTATTTACAGGTTTTCCTTATTGTAAATATTGCTGAAAAGAATATCTTGTAAGTGAATTCATTTTCATGTTTTAGATTGTTTCTCAGACTTTTCAATCTAGAAGGAGTCTTGTTGATCACCCAGACCACTTCTTTAGTGTTAGCTTGTCCTAGAACGCGAAGGAGGGCCTGAAACACAGATTGCTGGGCCCCACCCCCAGAGATTCTGATTCAGCAGGTGTGGGCGGGGCCTGAGAGTCTTCATTTCTAATAAGCTCTCAGCTGGTGCTGATACTGCCACCGACCACACTTTGTGTGGCAGGAGCCAGCCTCTGCTTCAAGGGAAGTTGAGGCTAAGGAGATTGGAGGAATGGTGAGGAGTGGCCATTTCCCAGCCAGACCAGTGAGTGGCTCCCATGCTGGGGCACTGATCCCACTCTTGCTGCCCCTGTCCCCTGAGAACATACAGGAGAAGGCAGCATTCATCTACACAAAGGGATCTCCTCCATTTAAATTTGATTAGGATGGGATTAGGATGGGATTTCAGCAACTCAGGCCTGGCAGATGCAGGCAGCAGACGTGTGCTTAGTGCTGGGATATGGGTGGGGCCAGGGTAAGAGCCAGTTTAGGAAAGAAACTGTCAGAGAATATGGTGAATCATTTTAAATGTGAGTGAGTGACAGTCTTTCTAGGATGCAAGGGGTTAAGCAGGCAGCAGGCACAGCCTCCCCGGAGCCAAAGGGGGAACTCAGGAGTAAGTCGGGACTGCCTAATTAATTCAATTAAACTATTTTATAAGCTCTGCTGGTGTCAGTAAATTGTTAAAGTCTATTAAAAAATCAGTGGAACGTGATGAGGGTTGGGGATGCCACATCACCTTCCTAGAGTTCCTCCCCTCGTCTTCCTCCCCTGTCGTGGGATGCACCAAAGGAGGGATGGGAAGGTGTCAGAGGCCCTGTCTGGTGCTGCCACTGACCTCTGTGGGTGCCAAGACAGATCCCACCCCCCTTGGCCTCATTTTCCCCATCTGTACAGTTAAGTGATGGACCAGCGCTTTAACATCCCTTTAGCAACAGTTACGAGGATTTTCTGATCTCTTCTGGCCTGGGCTGTTTTGTACCAGGGAACCTTGGGCCTTCAAGAAAACCCTCCAAGGTCAGAGGCGGCTGTTACTCCAGACATTCTGCTTGGTCTCTGCTCTTCCTTCACAGCAAGTTCATCTGGACAGTTTCCAGGGGCAGCTGTCAGGGCAAGTGATCTATAAGGGAGGTTCAAACTCTGGAAACGGGAGAGTGAGCAGAGTGGATTTCACCAGGAACCGCTGCCACGTGTAAGAGCTGCTTTCTCTAACGCCTGTGCTGAGTGAAGGGAAGCTGCCCCTAGAATCTCACTCAGTGCCCACCTGCCCACACGCAGGGAGGTGGTATTCCCCCCTTTTACAGATGAGGATACTGAGGCTCACAGGGTTGAAGCGATCTCAGTGTTAACTGGTAAGTGGTAGAGTTGAGATTTGAATTCAGGATTGCTGTCCCTCAAAGTCTGTGCGGTTGACCGCCTTCTTCTGCAGATAGATTTAACATAAAGCTACATCCCCCTGACAAACCCTGCAATGTGCAGCATTGGAGTCACGGGAAAGAAAACACTAGCAATGTTCTTTAGCCAGTATCCAGTTGTGAGGAACCTGCAGGAGGGGGCGACAGCCCTACCCTTGGAGGTATGAAAGCAGTTGCTGGCTGACCACTAAGGCAGGCCTCTTAGAGCCAAGATCCTGCAGCTCTGGGCCCAGCTGTTGCTTCATACTTTTCAGCAGTTTATGCCAGGCTTGGGAACTTGGCAGATATCACTCCTTGGTTCTTGAACACTGCAGTCAGTGTCTATCTTTGGTCAGATCTTGTTTGGCTAAACCAGTAGGGCAGGCAGCAATGGTCTTGAGGGAGGGAGGGTGGGTGCTGTGGAAAGACTGTTGTCTTGGGTTTGAGGGTAGACTTAATGAGCTGTGGATCTTTGGCAAGTCCCTTTCTCTCCTAATCTTAGAAGTTGAGGCTTGTTGCCCTTACTTCTGAAATGTGGCTCAGGCTGTATGCTCCACGGGGACATGGGAGAGGAAGGTGGAGGTGAATTGAGGGCTAGATAAACCTGTGAATGGAACACACTGTGTCTTAGAAATTCACAGTGGCCATTGGGTCTTTAAAGGCTCTGAAAAGTCCTGCAGCAAAGAAAATAGATGAATTTTGTTTATTCAGCCTCCCCCAACCTGGACCACCCTTTCCCCCTCTAAGCACACTTTTTATTTAACATGCTGCTGGCTAATATAAGGAGACATGAACACTGAGTTATTACCCCAGGAGAGAGCTGCTTTTTAAGGCGGTTGCTCCCCCGGTTCTTTCTGTGATGAGAACACCCTTTCTGTAAATGGGATAAATTGGCCCTTAGCAAGGTAGTGTCTAAGTCTTCTAAGTCGGGTTTCCTTAAACCAAAGTCCATGTTTGTTCCAGGATCCCAGAGGCCTGCCAAATTCCAAGAGCCTCTTTTGGTTCCCTCTGGCAGCCAGGCCTTCAAGACGCAGGATATAGGCACCTTGGGGCTCTCCTCACGTGCGCTTCTCTGTAGAGCCATTAATCTCAGAGCCACTAAGCACTGAAGCAGAAGAACCCATTGGGTGGGACTTTAAAGTTGCCTCAGTGTATGCAACAAAATCCCAATCATTCGGAGTTGCCGGTTTATGATTTTGTAAACTGCAGTTGACCTTTCCAAAAGATTTGCTAGGGAAAATGCTAGTGTAAAGAAGATCTTCAGGGGAAGAGCTCTAAGGTGTGTAAGGAATCATTCTATTTTTAAGCCTTTTGAATGCTCCCATTGGAATATAAACACTATGCTAATTATAAAAACATCTTTTCTGTTCCAAACGGGTGTAACAAGATAGAGAGGGCTGGGTAGGGGAAGGGAGGAGTGTTTAAACAGAGGTTGAACCAGAGATCAAACACCATCTGGCCACAATAGTTGCTCATCTTTAAAAATTCTGATGTCCCACCTGTTTTGACAACTTGGATGTAACAGTCAGTAGGAGCGAGCTTGACTGGCCCCCTCATCTTCCCAGCACTGGCCTCCAACCTGACTGGCTCATGAAACTTACCTGCATAGCCCCTGATCCTTTGAAATTTGCACCCCTGTCTAAGAACAGTTTTCTCTAATATTTTAAGGGCACAGTTAGCATAAAATTGCTCATTTTCTCTTCATTTAACTATAGAGGGAAAATCTTCTACCTTACTTAGCAAAACTTTCAAAGATAAACAGTTTTAGCAGCAACTGACCATTATTGAGCACCTACTATGCATCAGGCTTTGTGCAAGGCGCTGGAGTTTGGCCTCCATGTAGCTTGCTGCCTGCTATGGTCGGCATCACTGAGTGCATCTGAGGTTGCTTTCTAGCCACCAGCCAGGTGTCACTCAAAGCTTCTGCCCTGCCTGTCGTATGGTGGACCTCAGCAGAAGATTCTGAAATAGTGGAAGTGGTTCTTGCTGTTGACATCCGCTACTGTCAAAGATGAGATGAAGGACTAGATGAGCCCCTGAGAAGTCAGGCCGTTGGTTCCCTTTGAGCTTTGTGGATGCCAAGGTGAAGGGGTGGAGGAACTGGGGGGAGACTGGTGGCTTGAGGAGGGTCAGGGACACCAGCTGGAGGAGGTGTGCAGGCTTGTGGGTAGTTAATGCTGAGATTGGTAAAGGGGAAAGATAAAGCCATCCGAGACTCTAAGGAAAAGGTAGAAAGATTCTAATTAGCCAAGGCTTTGTATGCAAATGGCATTTCAAGATGCTTAAAAATACCTTTTGAGGGAAGCTGAAAATATTAGGTGGTCTACTTGAGCAGGGAGTATTTGGGGAGTGGTGGGACATAAAAGGTGTGTGTGGGGTTTCTGGGGGAAGGAGGAAAGGAGGGAGGGATAGAGAGAGGTAGATGGATGGACAGATAGACAGACAGACAGATACTAGCTATTCTTGTGGACGACCCTGTAAACCAGGTAGAGAATTTTGCTAACCAAGGAAATGAATAATCCCCATGAGGGCACAGCCTGTGTTTGCTTTATTCATTACTATGTCCTCTGTTCCCAGCAAGGGCTAGACATAGTAGATGCTTATTAAATATTCGTTGAGTGAATGAATAATGATAATTATAGTATTTATCACATTTATCTTTATGGCAGCAGCTATATAAGGAGATAGTATTATCTCTTTGTGCTGACAAAGGTGGGCCATTCTGAGACATGCGCGTGTGTCTGTGTGTGTGTGTGTGTGTGTGTCTGTGTGACTGTGTGTGTGTATTGCAGTGTTGGAGAGAAGGGCAGGAACACCCGAAAGCTTTTTTTGCAACAGCTCTGTGAAATATTGATCAATTTGATTCCATTGTATGACCCAGGGACAATTTTACTAGCAGAAAATATGACCGTGTTATATGGCTGCAATAAAAAATCACAGCCATGAGCTCAGGCCCAGAAAACGAAACAAGCTGATGATGTAGCCTGGACCGGTGGATTCCGCATCTTTCTGCTAGAGTTCATTTGCTGTTTGTGCCTTCGTGGTCCTGATGATAAGGTTACAGGTCTCAGCCAAAAACTTAAGAAGAGCCTAAAACTGATTTCAGTTTGACCCCTCATAAGCTTCTCTTGCAGTTAGGAAATGCCCACTGTTGTTCTGTTGTAGAGGTAAGTGTACCAGTCTAGGTTGGGAGCTGTCCCGTGGAAAGGGAAGGGCACTGAAGGTTTTGAAGCAGAGACATGATTGATCAATGAGTATCATGGCACTTAACCGTGGAGAGTTAAGAATCATGCAGGTGGCAGTTACCCTGGTGTGAGCGTGCCTAGAAGATGAGAACTGATGAGCTTTTGGTCCCTCTCAGAATGAGAACATGTCACCCACCTAACTGTGATTCTCGTGTTGCAAGGTGTGTATCCTTCACCCAACATGGTCCCTTAACACATCTTCGTCTGGTGCTCAATCAGAAAAACATTGCTCTGTCCCAATTCTGGAGGACAAACTGGTTATTGGGCTTCTAGAAAACTGGGAAGACAGTCTCCAGCAATGGTACCTTCTTAAGAGATTGTTCAAGTGAAATTTAAACTTTATTTACTGGCTCGAGGACTGAATCTTTCCTAAGATGCTACTCTGCCAAGCCTTTGGGCGGCTAATCTGGCATCTTGTTCAGAAGGAAGAGGGGCATGGAGAGGGTGGAATGGGGTGGCCAGCTCCCACCAAGGCAGGAATGGAGCTGAGATATTGCCACAGTTCAGTCTGACTTTGTTTTTTCTCTGTCACACCAGACATTGCAGCCTCAGGGCCTTTGCACTTGCTGTTTCCTTGCCCAGAATGCTCTTTTCTAGTTATTTTCTGGGCTCGTCCCTCTGGATATATCCTTCTTTGCCTAGCAAGCCTTCTCTCTATCCTTTTTTTTTTTTTTTTTTTTTTTTTGTGAGATAGGGGTCTGGCTTTGTCACCCAGGCTGCAGTGCAGTGGCTAAGTCTCCACTCATTGTACTCACTACCTCCCGGGCTCAACTGATCCTCCTACCTCAGCCTCCCGTGTAGGGAGGGACTACAGGCGTGTGCCACCACACTCGTCTATTTTTTTTTTTTTAAATCTTTTGTAGAGGCGGGATTTTGCCATGTTGGCCAGGCTGGTCTTGAACTCCTAGGCTCAAGCAATCCACCTGTCCCGGCCTCCTAAAGTGCTGGGGTTATAGGCGTGAGCCACCGTGTCTGGCAAGCCTTCTCTTAAGTACTGTTTAAAATTATACCATCTCCCCATTCCATCCTCCTTTTTGGCTTCATTTTTCTTCATAGTACTGGTAATCATCTAATGGTTATTTTACTGTTTAAAAAACAATTTGTATATACTTCCTCTCTATCTTCCCACCTCTCTTTCCCAATAAGGTAAGTTTTGTGAGGGAAGGGCTTAACACATTTTTTAAAAAACTTTGATTTCGAAAGATTTCAGACTCATAAAAACCTCTAGAAATACTAAGAGTTTCCATACACTTTCACCTAGCTTCCTCAAATGTTAACTTCTATGCCCATAGTATAATGCTCAGATTATACTATGAAATTAATATTTACACAAGAAATTGGATTAATATAATACTGTTAACTAACCTGTAGACCTATTCACATTTCACCAATGGCCCCATTAATGGTCTTTTTTCTGGCCTAGGAGCCGATCCGGGATCCCACATTGCACTTAGTTGTCTTACCTCTTTAGTCTTCAGCAGTCAGGGGCAGATCCTTGGTCAGTCTTTGAATTCTGTGCCCTTGAGTCCTTTAAAGAGTCCCCACCGGTTGTTTTATAGAATGCTCCTCCTGGATTTGTGAGACATTTGTAGGATGACGGAGGGTATGCATTTCCGGCAAGAATACCCCAGAAGTGATGCTGTTTTCTTCTCACTGTATGACATCGGGGACCTAGGGTATTGATGACTTACTACTGGTGATGTTAGTGTTGAACACTTAGTTAAGGTGGTGTCTGCCAGGTTCCTTCTCTGTAAAGTTACTCTTTTATTCTTTGCATTAATAAGTGTTTTGTGTGGCGATATTTTGAGACTATGCAAATATCTCATTTTTCATCATGCTTTTCTATCCACTAATTTTAGCATCTATTGTTGCTTCTTGCCTACAACAGTGATAACTGTGGTGTTTGCCAAATAGTGATTTCCTATTTCCATCATTTCTTCTGTATTTATTAATTGGAATTGTACTGTAGAAAGATCTCTCCTTTCTCCTCCATTTATTTATTTATTTACCTGCTTATTTAGATCAATTTAGACTGCTGGATGTCTATTTTATGGGTTATAATCAATTACCATCATTATTTTTTTTTCTGATGCTCAAATCATTCCAGATTTGGCCAGTGGCAGCCCCTTCACGCAAGCTCCTCTGTCCTTTGAACAAGTCCCTGTCATTCTTTGAGCATTTCTTACTTTCTGAGTCTTCAGGATGTACCAGGCTCATCTTGCACCCCGGCCCTGGAATCAGCCCTTACCCCATGGCACAGAGCAAAGGTTTTTGTCTGTATCACTCACTGTTGTATTCTTAGTGCCCATGGTGTCTGGCACGTTGTGGAGTCACAGTAAATAAATTTGGTGTGAATGAACGAATGAAAACTGGAAAGGAAGACTCAGTGGCCACCTTCCAGAGGCCATAATTCATATCCTCACTAGCCTCCCCTAGTTAGTCTGAATTAGCAGTTTAGGAGGGGAGGGGCTTTCCCTCATCTCCTCACGTTTTGTCCCTTTCAGCTTGTTTTCAGTTTTATCCAGTCTGAAAAGGATCCCAGGGCATCCCCCATCTCGTAGAGCAGAAAGAGCCAAGAGTGTGAGCAGCCAAGGGGAGCAGGCTGGCAGGAAAGTGAGACAGGGCTGGCAGAGCCTGGACCTGCTTGTGGCTAATGACTTGGTTGAACAGCAGCCGCGGCAGGGAGAGATGCTCTGGTGGCTGATGGCAGAGGTCCTGGGACCCCCACTGGTGTGTCTGTAGCTGGGGGCTGCTGAGAGCCTCTTGCAGTCTCCCGAGATGCACAGGCCTCGCTTGAATATTTAATGAATTTTTCTTTATAAAAGATTAAAACTCAGCCACATTGGCTTTGAGAAAGCCTGTGATAATCAGATTTTTATTTATGAGTTGAATTGTATGTGTGTGTGCATCCCTGAGGAGGAAAACTGGCTGGCGGGCTTGCCATCCGTGCTGGCAGGCTGTTATGCCAGGAGCGAACTTGGCGAGTGGTAGCCTTTTCATAGTCAGGAGAGGCCTGGCAGGCCCCTGGGCCGGCTGCTGCTGGTGTCCTCCAACGGCGGGGCCAGCCCTCTCCGTGAGGAGGTGGAACTGTCCCCATGCCACCTTGATTCCACGGTTTGGATTTGCAGAGCAGACAGACTCCTGTGTTCTTGCTGATTCTACACAGTGGTCCTGGGAAGTGGGCCAGGCAAGGAGGGTTGCCTCTAGTTTGCAGATGGAGAAACTGAGGTCCAAAAAAGGGAAGTGACTGGCTCTTCGTAGTCTAATGAGTCTGGAAGTCATGAACATTGTAAAAGTATCACAGTCAACTGCAGAGCTGATGCACAGCCTTCGCGTCACCCCAGGCTCACCTTCTTATGCCATCCTCGTGGGTGGGGATGCTGAAGGCTGCAGCCAGGGTCTGGTCCAGCCTGGGCTACACAGGGGCCTGACACCTGGTTGGACCTTTGAACCTGGGGAGCACCAGGGCCCTGGCCTGAATGTCAGGGCCTCTATAGCTCCTGGGTCCAGAGTGGGGAATCACTGTTGGAAGAGATCCCAGGTATCCCAAGTTCATTCTCCCTTGGGCCTTTGTACTCCCAAGTTCCTGACAGGCCTCATTCAGCCAGTTGCCATGGCGATGCAGAAGTCACCTGCTTGATCTCTGACACTTTTGTTTCAAGTGAGGCTATTGGCGTGGAGCCCTTTAGGGGCTAGGAGACCCCTTAATGGTGATTTATGGTGGGGAGGAGCCTGCGGGGTGCAGTCCATGTAGTGTGCTGTAGTGCTTGGGAGAAGGTACTGTAACACAGAAGTAGATCTTGATTTTTTACTTATTTTCAGAGTCACAATTTTTTTTTTTTTTTTGAGATAGTCTCACTCTGTTGCCCAGACTGGAGTTCAGTGGTGTGATCTCGGTTCATTGGAACTTCCACCTTCTAGGTTCAAGCGATTGTCCTGCCTCGGCCTCCCACGTAGCTGGGATTACAGGCGCCCGCCACCATGCCTGGCTAATTTTTTTATTTTTAGTAGAGACAGGGTTTCACCATGTTGGCCAGATTGGTCTCAAACTCCTGACCTCAGCTGATCTGCCTGCCTTGGCCTCCCAAAGTGTTGAGATTACAGGCATGAGCCACTGTGCGAGGCCAAGAGTCGCAATTTTTAATGAGTTTACATCATAAGGTGGTGGTAAGGATTAAATGAAAGAATGGATATGAAGTGGCAAGCACAGTACCTAGCACATGGGAAGAGCCACATCAATGACAGTTTGTGATAGTATCAATAGGATTTAGCATTGGAGATTTGTGCAGTTTGCCATGTGGCTAGTTGTAGTTTTGCTAAGCCATACATTTGTGTCCCACCTAGCTGAGGGTGACAGTGCTACCTGGGTAGCCCATTTCACAAGTGGAAGTCAGTTGTGTGGTGTGTTTCCCTTGCTAGCATGCACGCTCCATCAGGTTAGGGGCAATGGCTGACCTATTGGTGGCTCCAGCTCAGCATGTGTCTCTTAGAACCTGACACAGATCAGATGTTGAATACCTTTGCTATTTTAAAAAGTTACTTGAGCATATGTATTCATTTATCTTGCAGCTTTGGCATCCATTAGACCAAGGCTGGAATCCTGGGTCCTGTGTCTCCCACCTAATACCTGGGTGTTCCTAGGCAAATTATCTCGCCTTTCTGGTCCGTTTCCCCATCTGTAAAATCAGGCCAGTGTTATGCACCTAGATTCTGCTCTGGACTTCAGAGAGAATGAGTGCAAAGCACACAGGCAAGCCTGTCCCAGGGTAGCATTTGTTGGGGACTGCCTGTATGATGTCTGGTTTCACTGAGTGGAAGGGTTTTCATGAGGTCAGAGATTCAGAGTTGATTTAGCCATCCACATGTTAGGCTGAGGGTGTTCTCTCTTTAGCCAGTCCCTTGAAAGGCTTCTTCATGGTTATGGCCCAGCAGAGAATCCAGTCTGGTTTTCCAGAGTCTCGAAACACCCACATCTGAAGATGAAACCCCGGAGGCAAACAGAGTTAGGAGTCACTGAGCTTGGAACTGACCAGCTGGGAATGTGCTGTGGTCTTCCTTGAGAAGATGGGGAAACAGAACATGATCTGGAAAGAAGGAAGAAGGAACAGCTTCTGTTCTTCTCAGGGGAAATGGGACTTTCTGAACTTCATCATTCTGAAGTGTCCCACAGATCAAATCCTTTTTTTGACTACTCCTTACATAAAATATTTTTATGACAAAGCTTTCTACAAAGCAAAAGATGCCTTCTATAAAGTGAATCATCACTTCGGATGCTTCCTTTGTATAAACCTGGCCTTTCTTATGTTGTAGGGAGGGTTTTTTTTTCCTGTTATTTGTATTATCCAAAGCAATACATGTTCGCTGTTGAACAGTTAGGAAGTTCCAATGAGCAAAAAGGAATAAAAAAATCAAAATCACCCATAACTTTCCCATGCAGAGATAATCACTTTGGATGTTGATTTTTGATGTATCGATACTTTGATGTATGTACTGAAAACACATATGACATGTACATAACTTAAAAGCTTGTTCATTCAAGAAGTATTTATTGAACTCCTACTCTGTGTGTGATCCTGGGGATAAACCAGGGAACAAAAAATAAACACAATTTCTCCAGGGGACAATTTATGCAGATAAAAGGAAGAGAAGAAATTGGAACAGAAATGGGACTGAGGAAAGGCCTGAAACTGATAGTGAAAGTCGTCATGGGCTCTGAGAGTTTTGATCTCACTGTGGAGTGGTTAGGTATGAAATGGAGGGCTGGACGGGGCAGAGGGAAGATAAGTTGGCAGCTGCCCAGAGGGCCAATACCTTCTATCCAAAGAAAGTGGTTGTGGTTGGTGTCCTAAGTTATGTACACTGGCAGACAGGGGCAGGCCGGAGAGGGTTTTGTTTTGGTTTGTTTTTTTTTTTTTTTTTTTGCATGCGGATGCCCAGTTCCAGCAACATTTGTTGAAAAGAGTATCCTTACTCCTTTGAATTACCTTTGTGCCTTTGTCAAATATCAGTTGACTATATTAGTTTGGGTATATTTTTGGGCTTTCTATTCTGCTTATTCTGTCTGTTCTGTTTATTGTGATCTACTTGTTTATTCTTTCACCAACACTACACTGTCTTGTTTACTGTACCTTTATAGTAAGTCTCGAAGCTGGGTAGTGTCAATCCTCCAACTTTATTGTTGTTCTTTGGGATTGTATTGGCTATTCTGGGTCTTTTGCCTTTCAGTATATACACTTTAGAATCAGTTTGTTGATATGCACAGAACAACTTCTGGACTTGTGATTGGGATTGTATCAAATCTTTAGATAAAGTTGGAAAGAAATGAAATCTTAACAATACGGAGTCTTCCCTCCATGAACATGGAATATCTCTTTATTTATTTAGATCTTCTTTGATTTTTTTCATCAGAGTTTTGTAGTTTTCCGTGGATATCCTGTACATGTTTTGTTAAGTATTTATACCTACGTTTTTATTTTTTTGGCACTAATAAAAATGGCATTGTGTTTTTAATTTCAGATCCCAGTTCTTCATTGCTGGGATATGTGAAAGCAATTGACTCTAGTATCCTGCAAGCTTCCTATAATCACTTATTAGTTCCAGTTTTTAAAATGGATTATTTGGGATTTTCTATATGGACAATCATATTATCTGTGAATAAAGAAATTTTTTTTGTTTTGTTTTGTTTTTACAATCTGTATACCTTTTATTTCCTTTTCTTGTCTTACTGCATTAGCTACGACTTCCACTATGACATTGAATAGGAATTATGAGAGAGGACATCTTTGCCTTGTTCCCGATCTTAGGGGGAAGACATTTAGTTTCTCTCCGTTAAATATGATGTTAGCTGTAGGTTTTTTGTAGATGTTCTTGATCAAGTTGAGGAAGTTACCCTCTTTTCCTAGCTTGCTAAGAGTTTTTATTATGAATGAGTGTCAAATCTTGTTAAATGCACATCTATGATATGATCCTGTGACTATTCTTTTTTAGCCTGTTGATGTGATGGGTTACACTATTGATTTTCAAGTGGTAAACCAGTCTTGAACTCTAAGAATAAATCCCATTTGGTCAGGGCATACACTTTTTAAAACATTTTTAGGTTCAATTTTGTACTATTTTGTTGATCATTTATCCACCTTTGTTCAGAAGAGACATTGGTCTGTAGTTTTCCTTTTTTGTAATGTCTTTATCTGGTTTTGGTACAGATTGAGTATCCCTTATCTGAAATGCCTGGGACCTGAAGTATTTTGGATTTCAGACTTCTTTTCAGATTTTGGAATATTTGCATTATATTTACTGATTGGGCACCCTTAATCCAAAAATCCAAAATTTGAAATGCTTCAGTGAGCATTTCCTTTGAGTATCATCTTGGCAGTCAACAAGTTTCAGATTTTGGAGCACTTTGGATTTAAGATGTTTGGATTAGGGATGCTAAACTTGCATTAGAGTAATGTTAGTGTCGTAGAATGAGTTAGGAAGTTTTCTCTCTGCTTCTACTTCATGGAAGAGATTGTAGAGAATTGGTATCATTTTGTCCTTAAGGGTTTGGTACAATTCACCACTTGGACTTAGGGCTTTCTTTTTTGAAAGTTTATTAATTATGGATTCAGTTTCCTTTATATTAATAGATACAGGCATTTTTAGATGATATGTTTCTCCTTATCTGAGTTTTGGTAGCCTGTGTCTTTCAAGGAATTGGTCCATTTTATCTAAATTACCAAATTTGTGGGCAAGGAGTTGTATATAACATTCCTTTGATCATCCTTTTAATGTCCATGAGATCAGTAGTGATGACCCCGTTCGATTTCTGATGTTAGTAATTTGTGTCTTCTTCTTCTTCTTCTTCTTCTTCTTTTTTTTTTTTTTTGGTCTTGGTTAGCCTGGCTAGAGGCTTATCAATTTTATTGATCTTTTCAAATAATGAGCCATTAGTTTCATTAATTTTCTCTACTCATTTCCTGTTTTAAATTTCATTGATTTCTGCTCTAATTTTTATGATTTCTTCTGCTTGCCTTTGGTTTATATTGTTCTTCTTTCTCTAGTTTTCTAAGGTAGATGCTCAGATTATTGATTTTATATTGCATTCAGTGCTATAAAATTTCCTCTAATCACTGCACTTGCTGCTTCCCATAAATGTTGATAATTGTATTTTCATTTTCGCTTAGTTCATAATAGTTTTTAATTTCTCTTGAGATTTCTGCATTGACCTGTGTGTTATTTAGAAGTGTGTTATTTAGTCTCCAAATATTTTGGAATTTTCTGGCAGTCTTTCTCTTATTGATTTCTGGTTTAATTCCATTGTGATCTTAGAGCAGATTTTGTGTGGTTTCTGTTCTTTTAATCTCGTTAGGGTGCTCTTTTGGGCCTAAAATGTGACTATCTTGGTGAATGTTCTGTGTGTCCTTGAGAAGAATGTGTATTGTGGTGTTGTTGGATGCAATACCCTATAATAATGTCAATTAGATCCAGTTGATTGATGATGTTGTTTAATTTAACTAGATACTGATTTTCTACTTGCTGGATCTGTCAGTTGTTGCTAGAGGATATTGATGGTGGATTTGTCTATTTCTCCTTGCAGTTCTGTTTTTGCTTCACATATTTTGTTTCTGTGTTAGGTACATACACATTAAAGATTCTTATGTCTTCTTGGAGAATTGACCCCTTTATCATTATGTAATGCCCCTCTTTATCCCTGATAATTTTCCTTGCTCTGACTTCTGCTTTGTCTGAAATTAATATAGCTACTCTAGGTTTTTTTAATTAGTCTTAGTATGGTATATCTTTCTCCAAACCTTTACTTTTAATCCAAATATATCTGCATTTTTATATTTAAAGTGAGTTTCTTATAGACAGCATGTAGTTAGTTGGGTCTTTTTTTTTTTTTCAATCCTTTCTGATGATCTCTGTCTTTTTATTGGCATTTAGACCATTCACATTTAAAGTGATTGATATGGTATATTAATATTACCACATTTATAATTGTTTTCTATTTGTTGCCCTTGTTCTTTGTTTCTTCTTTTGTCTTCCATTCTTTTTCTCCCTTCTCTGCAGCATTTTATATGATTCTATTTTCTTCCCTTTCAACATATCAATTATTTTTTAAAAATAGTGATTTTCCTTAGAGTGTGCAGTATACATGTACAGTTAATCTGAGTCCACTTTCAAGTAACACTTTGACGCTTCATGGTTAGTGCCACATATCTTATAACAGAGTAGTCCCAATTCTTCCCTCCCTTCCCTTATAACATTGCTGTCATTCATTTCATTTATCCACATGGTATAATCATCCAGTATCCTGTTGGTGTTACTATTTTGAACAAACTGTTATCTGTTAGGTAAGAATGAGAAAAATAAAAGATTTTATTTTACTCTTATTTATTCCTTCTTTAACACTGTCCTTCTCTTTCTGTTTGTTTGAGTTTCTGACCCAAATTACTTACCTTCTCTCTGAAGAACTTTTAAAAATATTTCCTGCAAGGCAGATCTTCTGGCAACAAATTCCCTCAAATTTTGTTTTTTGTTATTTCTCCTTCATGTTGGTAGGATAATTTCACTGGATCAGATTTCTAGGTTGGTGTTGTTTTTTTTTTTTTTCTTTTAGGACTTTCAGTATTTCACCTATCTTCTTGCTTGCATGATTTCTGGAGAGAAATCCAATGTAATTCTTATCCTTATTCTTCTTATAAGTAAGGTTTTTTGGACCCCTTTTGCAAAAATATTTCAATATTTTCTTTTTGTCTTTTATTTTCTGCAATTTGAGTATGATACGCTGGGATACAGTTTTTTTGGTTTTTGTTCTGCTTGGTGCTCTCTGAGCTTCCTGGATCTGTGGTTTTGTGTCTGTCATTAATTTTGGAAAATTCTCAGCCATTGCTACTTCAAATATTTCTTCTGTTTTTTCTTTCTTTTCTTTCTGGTATTACCATTACATTTATGCTATACCTTTTGTAGTTATCTCACAGTTTTTGGATATTTGGCTCTATTTTTTACACTCTTTTTTCTCTGTTTTTTCTATTTATGAAATTTCTGTTTTTAGCAATTTCTTTTGATTCTCTCTTAGTTTCCATCTCTCTGCTTATATTATCAGCAGTTCTTGCATGTTGTCCACCTTTTCCATTAGAGCACTTTGTGTATTTTTTACTGGTATTTTAAATTCCCAAATCTGCACTGTAGCTCATGCTTGTAATCCCAGCATTTTGGAAGGCCAAGATGGGTGGATCGCTTGAGCTCAAGAGTTCAAGACCAGCCTGTGCAACATGGTGAAACCCTGTCTTTACAAAAAATACAAAAATTAGCTGAGTATGGTGGCATGTGCCTATAGTCTCAGCTACTCAGGAGGCTGAGGTGGGAGGATCACTTGAGCCTGGGAGGCAGATGTTACAATGAGCTGAGATCGCACCCCTGCACTCCAGCCTGGGCAACAGAATGAGACCCTGTCTCAAAAATAAATAAATAAAAAGTAAATAAATTCCCAAGTCTATGTCATATCCGAGTCTGGTTCTGATGCCTCTTACTGTAGCTGTTCAGTTTTTTGCCTTTTAACATGCCTTATAATTTTTTGTTGAAAGCTGGACATGTTGTATCTAGTAGTAGGTACAGAGGTAATCAGCATTTTAATGTGAGGTTTAAAGCCTTGCATGATGTATTAGGTAAAAGGAACTGAGGTAAATAGGCCTTTAGTGTGAGGTTTTATGTTTATCAGGCTAGGAATTAGGCTGTGTTTACAATTTATTGTAGCTGTCAGTGTCAGAGGCTAAAATTTCCTCTCTGGTCCTTGTTTTTGTCTCACCTGTTGTCTTTGGGTTTCTTTAGAGATTCCTTAAATAGTGACCAATCCTTGTAGTTCTTTCAGCTGTGATCCCATTAGCATACAGGAGTCCTGTTGATGTGGTGCTAAGGACTGGGCGAGGGGTAGTGTTCTAGAATCCTCTCATTGGTTCTCAGTCTTTTAGTGGGCCTGTGCCCCTGTGTCGTGACCTTTACATGTGCTTGTGAAATTTTTCTTTAACCCCTTAGGTGAGACAGGAAGGCTAGAGGAGTCTGGAGTTGGATATTTTCCTTTCCCTTGTGTTGAAAACTAGAGGGGTTGGAGAAGGACATTTCCCTTCCCCCATATCAATCAGACCCTGGTAAAACCCACTTTGGTTAGACCCTAGTAAATAGTTTCCCTTGAGGGCAGGCTTTTGTTGAATAGAACAGTATGTTCTGCAGGTATTTCAAAATGTTACTTTGTCCCTACCCCACCATGAGGAGATTTTTCTTCCATCTTAACTCTGAGAAGCTGGTGAAGCTCATGGAAGTTTTCGTCTTTCAAGCGAGTTCATCAGCTTGTCTTAAGTTGCAATTCTCTTTATTTGCTGTCTCTCCACTTTTAGGGGCAGTGGTTTGCTCTGTGACCTCAGTTCTCTGATGGATCTAAAAAGTTGTTTAGTTTCAGTTTGTTAAGGTTTTTTTCTTGTTACGAGGCATGGAGTGACAGCCTCCAAGCTCTTTACATGTTGGAATGGAAACCAGAAGTTTGTATCATCTCTTTTTGAAAATCTCTTTGTACTTCAGTTTGGATAGTTCCTATTGAACTCTTCCAATGCAGTGATTTTTGTTTTTTATCAGCTATATCCAGCTACTGATGAGCTCATTAAAGGCATTCTCCATTTCTGTTGCTGTGTATCTGATTTCTTGTGTTTTCGTTTCATTCTTTCCTATAGTTTCCATCTCTTTGCTTATGTTAACCATCTGTTTTTGGATGTTGTCTAATTTTTCCATTAGAACCCTAAACATATTAATCGTAGTTATTTACAATTGCTTATCTGACAGTTCCAAAGTCTGTGTCATATCTAAGCCAGTTCTGATGTCTGCTGTCTCTCTTCAGGTTGTGTTTCTTTCCTTGCCTTTTAGAATACCATGTAATTTTTTTGTTGAAAGCCAGACCTGACGTATCTATTAATAGAAACAGAGGTCATGAGGATATTAGTGTGAAGTTTTATGTTTATGTGGCTAGGAACTGTTCTGTGTTTAATGTTCGCTGTAGCTGGAGATGCCAGAAGCTTCAATTTCCTCTTTTCTTTGTTTTTTGTTTTCTCTCCCTTTTCCTGTTGTCTTTAGATTTCCCTAGAAACTCCTTCTTAAATAGAATCTGTGTCTTGCAGCTGTCTCATTTGTAATCCACTCTTATTATATTGGAGTCTTTTTGATGTGGTTAAGTATTAGGGAGAGGAAGTAGTCTATACTCTCATGATTCAATCTCAATTATTATTATTTTTTAAGTGGGCCTGCATCCCTGGGCTGTGATCTTCAGAAAAATTTCATAGCCTTTTCTTCTCCCTTTATGTGAGATAGGAAGGCTCGACAGGCTGGAGTTGTCCAGTTGTCCTTCCCTTAGGTCAGATAAGTCTGTGGTAAGGTAGATTCTTTCAAGGGCAGGCCTTTGCTCTGGAGAACAGCACACTCTATGCTATTTCAGAATGATCACTTTTCCCCTGGTGTATTTTAAATGGTTATTTTCCACCCCCAACTCCACATTCATCTCACTGAAGGACAATGGGATTATTGTCTAATCTCCACCATGAGAACCTGTTCAAGCTCCTGGAGTTAAAATCTATGAAAATGTGATGACTCCCCTAAGACTGGACCCCAGATTTTAACTCTCAAGCTAGTGCATACTCAGCTTCTAGCAGCTAAGTCAGTTACTGTTTAAACGTTCCTACCAGTTACCAGCCCCAGCCACTGCAGCTCCTGGTAAGCTGTATTTCTCTGCAGTTGACTGTCTCTGCAGATTTCAGGGTGGTTTGCTCTGTGGCCTCAATCCTCTGATATATCTAAGAAAACTTGTTGATTTTCAGTTTTTGCAGCTTTTTTCTTGTTGTAAGGATGGGAGTGATGACTTCCAAGCTCTGTACATATCAGGGCTGAAATTGAAAGTCCTCACCTGGTAGGTGTTGATGTTCTCCTATTTCAAAACTCTGCTGGAGGCTGTGGCACCCTTAAATTAGCTGGGAGACAGGGATACAGTAAGGGCTGTGGTTTGCTTAGTATCCCTGCCTCTTGTCAGGGACAAATGTTGGGTGGACCAAGCTGGGCTGGGAATCCTGAATTCAGGTCTGAAATGTGCTCTCTGGGCCTCAGTTTTCCCAGCTTTATAGTGGGGATAAGGCCAAAGCTCTTCCAGTACTCTATGCTTTAGTGACAATAACATAACCTTTAGTTCACTTGTTACCCGAGATAAGGAAATGGTTTTGGAATGAGTTGGTGTTTCATGGCAGTACTTCCCGATGCCAGCTTTGTCTTTATTGTTGCTTTAAATAACAAAATGGCTTTCTAATAAGAAGAGTGGAAATAGCAGTCATCACATGACATTGTATGAATAACCAGTAACTCAGAGCTTGTTTATCTTGGCTTTTTCCCCCATGATGAATGTGTTTTTAAAAGCATTTCCTCTGATAACAGCCTTGGCCTATAGGGCTTTCACGTGTTCTGGGAGGAGTGGAGTGGTCCTAGGTTGTGATAAACCAATGGCCCTCATTCATTCCTCCTTGTTTGCAAAGGAGACCTAGTGTTACACGTTGTCTGTAGGTTCTGAAGCCAAAACATGGGGAAATTGCCTCGCTTCTGGAATTTCCCCCAAGTTTTTTGGGGAAACTGAAATGTATGTCAAGGTTACCTTTTACTCATTTTCTTAGATGTTACTTAAGTCATTTAGGGGCAGGAAAAGCGTTGCACATGCTTTGTTTGCTCATAAAACTTTCATGTTGGGTTTATACATTTAAAACTAGTTAGTTTAAATCATAGTCCCAGTTCTACTACTTGAATTCCCTTAAAAATGTTTAGTTGTAGATATGCATTGAGCTTCATGATGGGAAACTTCATAGGTTTAGGGGGCGCCTATTTTTTTTTAAACTTGTTCAAAAAAAGCAGGCTTGTCCTTGAATGGATAAGAAATTATTGCCATTTTAGGCAAACAAACTCAGAGGTGTAATTTCTATTTTTAAGGCTGTTTCCCAGCATGTGGCCTGGTGCCCCGTGAAGATGAAGTGCTCATTAATGTTTGTTGAATGAAGTAGTCAGTGCAGTAACGTACTCACATTTCTGTCCTTTAAAGTTTGACAAGAAGGTGCCTAGAAGCGAAGGAGGCTCTGATTCCTTGCCTTCCTCGCTCAGCAGTGGTCTTTCTTTTGAATCAATGGCATTGCTGCTGGGGGCAACAGTGGTAGCTGTTGGTGCCTCTGGTGTTGGTATTGAACTGTCACTTTTCTGGGCTCAGGACTGTGATGATCCAACAGGATCAGTTTTTCACATAAAACTATTTCTCTTTTCTGGATTTTAGCCTTATTCGGGGGCAGCAAAGGAAGTAAAGGCCAATAAGCACCTGACAATATTTTTACATTAAATTGTGTGATAATTACTCCCCCTTCATTAGAATACTGGGGGAAATACTGAAATTTACTTGGAGTTTTACTTTTTTAGGATAGAATTCAGGGAGAATAGTTAGATATAGAAGAAATAGGAAAGACTGGACACAGGAATACACCATTCACTGTTTTTCTGGATGGTATGTTGAGTAAGGGCAGAGAGGTGCTGTGGAGTGGGCAGAAGTGGGGAGTGAATGATGGCCTGATTGCCAAGGAGCCACCTTCTGTCACTAATTCAGTGATAAGCATGGAACACCTGCTGTGTACTCAGCATAGAGGCATGAGGTGGTCCCTGCCCTGAGCACACTCGTGTCGGGGAGATGGCAGTTTAGGAGCGTGGGGCAGGAGTGTTGAAGATTGAGTAGGAGGTCTTCAGATGAATAGGACAGGAGCCTTTGAGGCAGAAGGGACAGCATGTGCCCCAGGCTCAAAGTCAGGGAGTGGAGGGCACAGAGATTTGAAGTTGTGTTGGATACCAGGGGCGTGTTGAGAGATGAGGCTTGCGACTCCAGATGGGCAGGTTTAATGCTTGGCTGGGTTGGAATTTCATCTTGGGAGTGATGAAGTGTCAGGGGAAGGTTTAGGTGTGGGAAGGACCAGATCAGGCTCACGTTTTAGATTTGGGCTGATACAGTAGCCACAAGCCACATGGGGCTGTTGAGCCCTTGAAACTTGGCTAGTCCAAATCGAGATGTGCTGTAAGTGTAAAATACGTACCACATTCCGAAGACTTAGTATGAAAGATTGTAAAACATCACTAATAATTATTTCAGTATTGATAGGTTGAAATAACATTTTGATACATCGGTTTAAAAAATACAATAGTAAAATTAATTTCACTGTTTCTTTTTACTTTTTTAAATGTGTCTACTAGAAGATTTAACATTGCATATGTGGCTCATATTTTATTCCTGTTGGACAATGCTGTTCTCTACTCCTTGGGCTGAGGGAAGGCTGTATAGTGTAGTGATTGATTCATTCATTTGTGAATTCATTTATTCAACATGTATTTATAGATCGTCTGCTGTGGGCTGGGGCCTGTTGTGGGCATTGGGAATATAGCAGTGAATAAGATAAGACTCCTGCCCTGACAACTAAATGATGAATGGAATTCAGATACTGTTAAGTGCTGCGAAGAAAAAGGAAACGGATTTGGGATAGACAGGGGCAGGTAATGGAGTGGAGGGCTATTTGAGTTTGGGAGTCAGGAAAGACCTCTCTGATAAACAGAGGCGTGCATGAAATGAGGAAGCAAACCTTGCAATTGGTGGGGAACAGCATTCTAGGTGAGGGAACAGTGAGTGCAAAGGTTGGAATGAGCAGTAGAAAGGCCACAGTGGCTAGATGGAGATGAGGGGGTGCGGCTGGTTAGGCAGGGGTAGCCAGGTCACGGAGGGTCATGGAGGCCACTGGGAAGGGGTTGGAGGATTTTATAAGGTTTTGAGCAGAGGTGTTGACAGGATCCAATTTACATTTTAAGAGGATCCCCTGGCTGCTATGAGGGAAAGAATGGAAATTAGAAGACTGGTTGGGAAACTTAGAGGGAGCCCAGGTGAAATGTGATGCTGGTTTGGAAGAGAGGACAGTAGAGAGGTGGTGGAGAGAGAGTGAGGAGAGGCTACGTTGAATGAATGTCGATGTCAGACCAGCAGGACTTCCTGGCTTCCTTGGATGTGGAGCATGAAGGAATTGAGGCTAACCCCAGTCTAGGTATTGGCCTGAGCGCTGGGTGATTGGGAGCACCATTGCTAGATGGGGTGAGACTCTGAGGACCAGGTATAGGGGGAGTGGGGTGGAGGTGTGGAATGGGAGCCATTAGGTGAATTTTAAGATGCCTCTGAGGTGCCCCAGTGCTGATGTTATGTAAGCTGTTGGATGTAAGTCTGGAGCGCAGGCGAGCAGTGGTCAGGGCTGAATATTAAATTGCTGGATCATCTGCATATAGATGGCATTTAATAGTGAGACTTGACAGCTCACCTAGGGAATAAGCCTCAGACTCGGGGAGAGGAGGAGGAACCGGTCAATGGACCAAGGAGCAACCAGCGAGGTGGGAAGATGCCAGAGGGGTCTTCAAAGCCAGGAAGAAAGGAGAGATCAAGCATGTCAGCTAAGATGAGATCTGAGGAATGTCCACTGGGTTTGGCAGCACTGGGCACTGGTGACTTTGGGAAGATGACTTCAGTGGAGTCCTGTTGGGGCAGAGCTGGCTAATTTGAGAGGAATGGAATCAACAGAATGGGAACTGAGGTAGAGCCAGTCAGCGTAGGTGCATTTTGAGTTTGCTCTAAAGAGGAACAGAGTTAGGGGCATGTTCCCTAGTGCTGACATCACAGTCTGTTGCTATGCTGTGGAAAGCCTCTGGTCGGGAAGGGAAAACTGATGTTGCAGGAGAGCAGGGAAATTGCCAGCTCAGTGACCTCGGGTCCAAGCCAAGAGAAAGAAGTACAATTCCACTGGGGCAGCACGCAGGAAGAGTGACTTTAGAGTGCATTAGATCTGGTGGTGGGGAGATGAGTAGTTTTCTCCTGATTGCTTCTATTTTCTCAGGGAAAGTAGCTGTTAGTGGAGAGCAGGTTGTTTGAGGTTTGAGGAGAGAGGCGAAAGTCTCAAATGCCCATCTAGGATCATGAATTGAGGAGGGAAATTGTTGGGCTGTACTAAGGGCCCACTGGAGGTTTGTGGTCACACATTTAAAGTCAGACAATCCACATGGTTTTGTGTGTTCTTCCAGTGTGGGGTAGGCAAGGAGTTGACTTGGGGTTTTGCCAGAGAATAAAAGGAGAGAGAGGTCTAAAGATGGAAAGATTAGGCAAAGGGGCAATCATTGTGATGGGCTTGGTCTTGGCTGGGGAGGGATAGCAGTGGGGGAGGGGCATGGCAGGGCAAGGGTGACAGGGTGGTGGATTGCAGCTCCTGTGGGGGCCAGGATTGGTGGAAGGGTCTGGGAGTCAGGAGACAGGATGCTTGAAATTGAGATCATGGCATGGTGGTGTCATTGCTAAGGACAAGGTCTAGGGTGTTACCTGGGAGCAGGGGTTGAGCTGGTGGGCTGGGGACAGGGGAGAGAAAGGGGACTGAAAGAAAGGAGATCCAAGAACTGATTGATCAGAGTCAGATGAGTTGTTAGTATAGCCAAAATTGAAGACAGAAGTAATGGCGGCAGGAAAGTCAGTGAGCCAGGGGCCCAACTCACGGGCACACGGTGTCTAGATGATGCCACTAGGCTGGTGGGAGGGGTTGTCTGGTGGAGGGTGTGCTGGGCTTGATGGACTTAGACTTCAGGCTGCTGCTGTTTGGAAGGAAGTTAGAGGGTCCATGCTGTAGAGATGGCAAGGAGTGGTGAGGGGGATACTCACCCTCTGGGGTGCCCCAGGCCCAGCCTCAGGTCTGCCACCCACTGGTTGATCTTGGGCAGGTGACTCTTCCTCATCTGCAGAGTGTAGATGACAATTACACGAACCTCCTCTGTGGATTGTGAGGAGTAAATGGACAAAACACATGGAACGCGCTGAAGCCCGTGTTCGGTTTATGGAAAGCACCACAGACTGGTCGCTCTTTTCACCAAAGCACATCTGTCCTTACATGGGGAAGATTCATTTCTAGAGAGAGATTTGCAAATGTGTTCCCCAAAATGGGATTGTTGGAGTGAGAATATAGCCTCCCAAGGGCACTTTGAGAGAAATGTACCCGGTTGGTTATGAGCATTCTGGCCTGTTGGTTAAGCATTGGTCTTTAGGCACATCGTGAAGAAACAGCTAATGATACAAACTGGATTAAATTAATTCCGGAACTCTGTGTGACTCGAGGCAGACGTGTGGAGTCAGGGAAGGCCTTGGGCGTGAGGATGTGCCTGGCCGTGGCCCGAGCATGGAGAGGCTGGGGACCGCCAGAGTATCCTATTTGTACAGCCTTTATGCTTTCTAAGCTCATTTGCTACAGCAACTCCATGAAGGAGCCGTGCAGGATGAGGAGGGGCGTGGGGCTCAGCATGGTTAGGTCATGCCCAGGGTCCCTCACAAGCCTGGCTGTCCCCAGGTGCAAGCCCAAGGGGCATAAGACCCAGGGCCTGATTTAATGCAGGGCCACAAGGCTGGTCAGGGGTGAGAGGGACCTCAGTGGCCTGGCTGAAGCCCCTGGGCTGGCATGGGGCTGCCGACGAGGGTCCCCTAACCTGGCAGGAAGCTGCTTTATGGCCCAGGCCCTAGGAAGGAGAGGCTCACCATGCCATTTAGAGTGGCCCCCTCCTGATGACCTCTCTGGGTAGTGCCCCTGTGGGAGCAGATGGACATTGCCCCCCACTTTACATCATGGCCAGCTGCAGCGGGTTCACTAAGAGGAGCATCTCACCAAGGTGAAAAGTGTCATTGCAGGAGGTAAAGCCGCAGCTGCCAGCCCAGGGGCTGGTCCTAGAGAGGGCACAGCTGATGCCCTCTGAGCTTCCATAAAGGCACATTGGGATGAGAGCTATTTGCAGTGATGGAAGCACCACCTGCACCCCACCTGGCCCTGGAAACACCATGTGCTGTGCTCAGAGCGTGTCCTTGTTGCGGGTCGTGTCACTCCACAGAATGAGCACTGCCCAGGGCTGGAATTGGCAACTTTGAATTTGTTCCTCCTGCTGGCTGACCTCTGAATAAACAGTCCTCTTGGGGACTCTGTGAAGCCTCCTTACCTCTACTCTTCTCCTTCGAGCCCAATGAGTCTTAATTGGCTCCATCTTTAGGTGTGATGATGGATACTGTCTGGACTGCAAACTCTTTGAGGGTGGGTGAAGTCTCTCCCTGCACCCTGCCCTGTGCTGTGTACTCAGGACCTGCTCGGCGAAAGTTTTGAGTGGATCACATGCCTGCTTACTTGCTCCTAAGGCGGATTTGGGGCCTAGGGCAGGAGATCAGGCCCGTTCCTCCCAGCATCTTTAGTGTGATAATGCGCTTATCCCAGTGGGGAGCGTGGGTCATCTGAGATCACAGGCTGGGATTCTTTTTTTTCTCTATTGAGATAGGGTCTCACTCTGTCATCCAGGCTGGAGTGCAGTGGTGCAGTCGTAGCTCACTGCATCCTCGAAATCCTGGGCTCATGTGATCCTCCTGCTTCAGCCTCCCAAGTCACTGGGATTATAGGCTCGAGCCTCCATGTCCTGTGCCACAGGCTGGGATTCCTTGTCCTTCTCCAGGGGAAGCCAAAGGCAGTGCAGCTTGGTGGTCAGAGACCAGGCTCCAGAGGCAGACAGACCTGGGTCCAAAACCCAGTGCTGCCTGACCAGTTATGTTACCATGGGCCACTCACTCCCAGAATCTGAGCCTGTTACCTCAGTTCAAAACTAGGAACAAAAAAGCTACTCCCTGATGGTGGTATAAGGATTAAATAAAATAAGTAAAGTGCCCACTATCGTGCTAGTAAAAACAGGTAATTTATTTAGCGAGTAGTACATATTTGTTGAAAGAATGAATGGGAATCTTCTAGAATTTTCTAGAATATGTCTGCTCCCAGATTATTTGCTTCAGTTTGTTGTTCAGGAGTTGCACAGGAGTGGGGACCTTCTGCCATGAGCAGCATAGGCTGGGAATTGGTGCAGAATTTGGAGACTGGAAGGTGCCTTGGGCCTGTGACCAAAGGTCCCCTCTGAAGCTCGTCTGTGTACTACAGTAAGAATAGTACCATCACTGGGTTATAAGAATCAGCTGAGATAACATGTAAAGTGCTTGGAATAGAACCCGGCAATAATACCAGAACCTGGTATTATTTTCTTGGTCATTGTTTTACTTTCTGTTTTTTGAAGATGCTTTTAAATACCTCTTCATTCCAACATTATTTTTAAAAATGTGCTCTATTTATTATTTTTTTAGCATTTTTTCTTGTTTAGCTATTTAATCCATGTGGGATTTCTTTTTGTGTGTTTTTTCCAAGTGTCTCACTCTTATCTATTTGTTGATAAACTCTTTGTTTTTTTACTATATCTGATTTTCTTTATAAAACTTGATGGAGGGAGTTGAAACTTCCTTCCCCAACCTCATTCCCCTCGCTCACCAGAGGTAACAACAATCTAATCTAATTTGGTGTTTATAATTCTCAGATCTGTTTTATAATAATGCTATATATGGATGAAACCATAACTATCCCAAGAGATCTTAGAATTTACATTTTCCTTTTGAAAAACTTATTTCGACATAATTTCAGGAAGTTTTAAGAATAAGAATACCCACCTGCCCTTCACCCACATTCCTCAAATGTTAACTGTTCCCACACTTACTTTTTCGTGTCTTTCTCTCTCTCCTCCTCTTTCCCCCACCCCACTGTCTTTATAAAATTCTTTTTCTAAACCATTTGAGACAGAAGTGAAGGCATGATACTCCTTTACCCCTGAATACTTCAGAAATGTTTCCTACAAACAAGGACATTTACGTATATAACCACAATCTTTATCAGGAAATTAACACTGACAGAATACTCTTAGCAAATCTACAGACCTTACTCATATTTCACTGTATATTCCTATGTTTTTTATAGGAAAAGAAAACCCTGGATTCTGAGTGAAATTGTTTTCCTGTCTCTTTCGTCTCTTCCAATTTAGGAGAGCTCCTCGGTCTTTGTCTTTCCTGACCTTGACATTTCTTATGAGTACAGGCCAGTTATTTTGTACACTGTCCCTCAATTTGGGTCTCTCTGATGTTTCCTTACAATTATATTCAGGTTAAGCACTTTGTGCAGTAATGCCCAGAAGTGATGTGGCTTTCTCAGTGCATCATATGAGGAGACAGTATTACTTATTGAATAGTCTATTCCTTTTCCCACTGATTTGAAATGACACAATCACAGTTTTCTAAATTCTGATATATACATGGATCTGCCATTGGGCTTTTTAGTCTTTTAAATTGATCAGTTTTACCTAATTATGTGCCTTTTTTTTGTTGTTTTTATTACTTTGCCTTCCTAGTGTGATGGCATATGTTAGTCTTTTAAAAAGTGTTTCAGATTTGTACCAGGGGGCTCTAAAAATCTGTTCTTCTACATGAGCTTTATATCAACTCCACAAGGTCTCTCAGAAGTCCTATCGGGATTTTGACTGGAATCACATTGAATTTATAGATTAATTTTGAGAGAACTGACATATTTATGATATTATATCTTCCCATGCAGGAATGTGTCTCTTTAGGTCTTTGATGTTTTTAGGAAAGCTTCAGGCTCCTGTTTTTTTTTTTTTTTTTTTTTTGAGACAGGGTCTTGCTCTGTTGCCCAGGCTGGAGTGCAGTGCCATGATCATAGCTCACTGCAGCCTCAATCAAACTCCTGGTCTCCAGTGATTCTCCTGCCTCAGCCTCCCAAGTAGCTGGGGCTACAGGCACACATCACCACACCTGGCTAATTAAAAAAAAAAAAAAGTTTTGTAAGGACAGAGTCTTACTATGTTGCCTGGTTTTGTCTTGAACTCCTGGCTTCAAGTGATTCTCCCTTGTTGGCTGCCTCAAAGCATTGGGATTATAGGCGTGAGCCACCACACCCAACCCATGCATATTTCTTAATAGGTTTGCTTATTAGTGTTTTGTAGTGTTATTTGTAGGATGTGATTCCTCCTCCCATTATATTTTCTTTTTTTCTTTTTTTTTTTTTTGAGATGGAGTCTAGCTCTATCGTCCAGGCTAGGGTGCAGTGGCGCAGTCTTGGCTCACTGCAACCTCTGCCTTCTGGGTTCAAGCTATTCTTCTGCCTCAGCCTCCCAAGTAACTGGAATTACAGGCATGTACCACCATGCCCGGCTAATGTTTTGTATTTTTAGTAGAGACGGGGTTTCATCATGTTGGCCAGGCTGGTCTTGAACTCCTGACCTCAAGTGATTCAGCCACCTCAGCCTCCCGAAGTGCTGGGATTACAGGTGTGAGCCACCACATCCGTTCCGTCCCATTATATTTTCTGATTGATTATTGTTGATATGTAGGAAAGCTGTTGACTTGCGAATATTTATCCTGTATCTGGTTACTTTGCCAAATTCCCTTTTGTTTTAATAGTTTTCCAGTTGATTCTCTTGGATTTTTTTTTTCAGGCAATTGTATCTGCCATTAATGGCATGTTGGTTTGTTCCCTCCCAATATTTATGCTTCTTGTTTCTTGTCTTCAACTTGGGTAGCTAGCATCACCAGAATAAATTTAAATAATATGGTAGTGATATTGGGCATTCTTGGTTATTCCTGACTTCAATTAGAGTAGTTCTGGTATTATATTGTTAAATATTTGAGGGAGGTTTTTGAGAGATACCCCTTATGGAGATGTAAAGAAATTCCTAATTATATTGATCAGTGGTTTTTTTGTTTGTTGTTTGTTTGTTGTTGTTGTTGTTGTTTTTGCCTCATACTATCTCAGAAGACTTAGGATGATGTCTTTTGGAGTTGCATTACTTTTGTAATTTAGTGCCATATTTTATTTGCTAACATTTATATAGGAATTTTGGATCTATATTTATGTAAGATTTACCCATACTTTTCTCTTTTAAATTATCTTTCCCAGTTCTAATGTGAGAATTATGTTGGCTTTGTAACAAGAATTGGAATGGTCTCCTCCTCACACCTCACGATTTAGAAAACATAGATATAATTCGCTTATTGAAAATTTGACACAGTAAAATTATTTAAATATTCCCAGTATTTTAATAATTCAAATTTCTTCCTCTAATTATTGGCCTATTTGTTTTCTATTTCCTCTTGAGTCAATTTTGGGTAATTTTTATTATTTACAAAATGGTCTATTTCATGTATAATTGAAGATATATTAATATAAAGTCTTCCTTCCTTTCTTCTTCCCTCTTTCCCTCCTTCCCTCCCTCTGATTCCGTAGTCATAGCCACTTTTTCATTTTTTAATATTTCAAGTTTATTTTTTAGTTTCTTAGGCAGACACATGGTAGGAGGTGGGATTAGCCATTTTATCAGTAATTTCCAAGAACATGCTCTTATGTTTAATATCAAGTGTTTCGTTTTCTATTTCTTTAACTTCTGTTTATTTTTATTCATTTTCTGCTTTCTTTTGGCTTATTTTGATTTTATTCTTCTCAGTTCATTTCTTTTTTGAGTGACTGCTTTGGAAATATCCCATGGGTTTTGCTATATAGTGCTCTCATTGTTCATTTTTAAATAGTCTGCACTTTTTAATTTCTCAAAAAAAAAAATACTCCTCCAAATAACCTTTAGGTTACATTTCCAAGTGGTTAAACTTTTTGTGGCTTTTGTTTAGTTTTATTGCTTTGTGGTCAGGGAATATGGCCTGTATAATTTCTTATTTTAAAAAGGTTATTGAGGTTTTTTTTGTGGCCTGTCACATGATCAGTTTGTAATTGTTCCATGGATTTTTGAAAAGATGTGTATTGTTTTATAAGTACATATAAAAATACATCAAACTGGTTAATTGTGTTTTTCAAGTCCCTTATTACTGTGTGTTTTTTATCCTCATGTTCTGTCCATTTCTGGAAAGTATGCTTAAGTCTCCTATTGTAACTGATTTTTTTCTTCCTGTTTCTCCTTTTATTTTCAAGTTTTTGTTTTCTGTATTTTATGGGTACGTAAAAGTTCATGACTATATATCTTTTTGTTTAATTTTATGTCAGTTAAAATTTTGGGGGGGTGGTTCTTGATAATTATTTTGTTTGCCTTGGAGTTTTTTACCACGTCTGCTTTTTATTGACATATGCCTGGTGTAGTTTTGTCCATTATTTTTGTAAAAAAACTTTTTGTTTTAAAATAATGTAAGACTCACAAGTAGTTGCAAGTACAATGCAGAGAGTTCCCACCCTTCATCCAGCTTTCGTCATTGATAACATCTGGCATCTCTGTAATCCCCTTTATTTTAGCCTTTCTGACTCTTTTTGTTTTAGCTCCTGGCCTACCTGTGCCCCCCAATTTGTGATATTCTGCCTTTTAACAGGAGAATTTATATATCGTTCATATTTATTGTGATTTCTCGTTTAAGTGTCAGTTTCTTTCTGCCACGTAATTTTGGTTTTGGTTTTCCATGATTTTTTTTCCTAGCCTATCATTGAACTGCCAAAGTTTTCTTTATTCCCCTCTTTTCTTTCTTTATCTTCTTTTTCTTCCTCTCCTTTCTGCTTGTCCCTTCCCCAATTCCTTGCACTTATTGATTTGGAAGTCATAATTGTATTTCTCATTTCTGACATTTAAGTTTTTAACAAACTTATTTAAACTTGGGCAAGAATAAATCTCTAATTTTCCCCAAGGAATCCTCCCCCACCACAAATATTTGACCTCCAAGGGCATTTACATTTTCCTCATTCTCCTTCCATAGTTTGTTTTTAGTAAATATGACATGGAATTTTATTTCCAACTTAAAACTTCTTTTTCTGCATTGTTTTTGGGGGTTATGTAAGAGCTTCCTTGAGATTCACAGCTCTTATTTCCAGTTACTGTTTAGACTTAATCTGTTTTGTTGGGTTACTTTCTCTTTCTTTAAAAATTCTGTCTGATGTCTTCTTTCTTGGATTTATTTTCCTTAATGTTTTTCAGAAAATGTGCCCAGGTGACCTGAATGTCTCTGCATATCTGAAGAGGCCATTATTTTTTTCTCACATTTGAGTGATGAGTTGGTTTGCATTTGAATTCTAGATCCAGAGTCCCCTTTCTCAGGATCTTGTAGCTGCTGCAGTCTTGTCTTCTGCCTCTTGATCTTGCAGATGAGAAGTCTAATACTAGACTGAGTCTTACTTCTCTAGGGGATTTTTTTCGTCTATGAAAGCATTTAGGATTTCCTCTTTGTTTTTGGAGTTGGGAAACTTTTATCAGGATGTGTCTAGATGTCTTGTTTTATTCTTCTTTAGTACTTGCACCTTTTGTAATGAAAATTTCAGCCTTTTGTACTGTTCTTTTCTCTGCCATGCAGAGCTGAGTGAATATTGGGTCTTCAGGATAGAGAGACCATGAGACGCTGGCAGCCAGATTGCCTAGGATGCCAGGTGCAGCTGGACAGCTGGTCAACCCTCTCCAGACTCACTTTCCTCCTCTGGAAAAGGCAGGTGAACAGCTCCTACCACATAGTGCTGTTGGGAGACGAAATAGGACACAACGGACAAAACATTTAGGACAATGTCTGGTATGGAGGAAGTGGTCAATACGGGAACTGTTTTTTCTGTAATTCCTCGTGGGTATCAGAGACGGAGGAAGAAGTGGGCTTTTGAGCAGGACTTTGAAGGTGGACAAGGTAAGACCTTCTCTGAGCCTCAATCTCCCCACTGAAAATGATGGAGCTTGATAGGTTTTTAGGTAATAGTTCTCCTTTTTTTTTTTTTTAAATTTCACACAGAGGAGTGGCTTCATGGGATATAATTTCTCACTCCTGAATCTCAAGTCTTCCTTCCTCTTCCCTCTCTTCTTTTTTTCCATGGTGTTTGGTCTTTCTGGTGAGTGTGACTTTGTTGAAGGTAGGACGCAGGAGTTGAAAGAAGCTTTTACTTTGCCATAGAGAAAGAGCGGCCTACCTGAGTCTGTTTTGATATGGTAAATGAAAAGGTAGATGTCTTTGAGCTTGATCTATATCTGGCATGCCCTCCAGTCTTCTCTGTATCCATAGCCACTCTACTGGGCTGTAAGCTCACCTGTGTTTCCCCAGGCACTGCATGCAGTAGGTGCTCAAGAAGTGATTTTGGAGCAGACGATGAATCAGTGCTTCATTTTTCCTACATGGAGAAATGATTGTATCTCACTTCACTGGGCAGGTCTCCCTTGCATTTGCTGTTTTATAAAAGATTTTATTTGTGGTTGAATGACAGTCAGTTCTTTCAGGAAAATGAGAAAAACTGGTTTAGAACCATTGTGAAATTCCATTTTAATAGCAACAAGACCAGGCTCTGGCAAGTTCAAAAAGGGCAATCAAGAAATGCTTGTTTGCTCAACAGAAAGAGCTATTTAGGTGGTTACATGGTTCAGAGTCACCCCCAAACTCCATATAATTTTCAACTTCTAATGACTTTTTTAGCCTCTAAGGTAACTGGCGAAAGTGTAATTTATTTAGAGGAGTGTTTTGGGTTGGTTTCATCAAGTTGAGGATTGTCCCAGGTGCATCTGGAAACATCACCAGGAAGAGAAGAAACTCCACTGGGAAGGAGATAGGGTAGGGGTGTGATTTCCAACAACTCTTCACTCCTCCTGGCGTGGTTTACAGAGCAAATGTTTTTGAGCATCTTTTTTCTGTCTGGCACTGGTAAGACAAGCAGGATGCCATCCTTGCTCTCCAGTGGCTCAGAGCAGGCATGGGAATGGATCATTGTGATAGCCTGCGGTAAGTGCGAACTCTGCTCCTAGCTTAAGCAAGCCAGAGGGTCAGGAAAGCTTGCGGCTGGGAGAAGATTGTTGGGTGAGGAGAGGCTCAAGGGGGAGAGAGGGAAGAGAAGGGAGAGTGCTGGGCAGCAGTGACTGCGTGTACAGAAGCCTGGAGCCACGTGTGATGCACTTGGCAGCTCTATATCCTGAGCTCTGTTAGGGAGTGTCTGGGCAGGGTGCAGACCCACGTGCAGTGGGGCTGGGGAGCTCCTGTATCCCATCTCAGGAAAGCAGTTGCCACTCAGCTACAACCGATTGTTGCCATGGCAGAACACAGGCCCCAGTGTGGCCAGATCTTCTGATTTTTTTTTTTTTAAGAAAAGCTGTAAATCTGAAGTTTTATGTAAAACCTCCCAAAATTTCAAATCATGACCACTAATTGAAAAAAAAAGGTCTTATAAAACCCGAAAGTCCCACTCCGGGCCATTGGTTTATGAAACCTGTTTAGGGACTAGAGAGAAGCAGAGGGGATGAGGGGGACTGAGGTTCCCTGCCCTGGCCTCGGCTGTGCCCTGTGTAGCCTTCCCTGTGCCGGTGGTCAGGATAGTGGAGGGCTTGGACTTCAGTGTTGAAACAGAGTGCAGGTGACTTTGGAGAACTTTGCTCTTCCCCTAACCTTGCTTTGCTGTGATTCAGAGAGTAAGAGTCAAGTGAGGCTTAGGTTTTCAGGTTTCCTCGTTTTAATGCCTTTTCCTTCCTTACTAAATCTGGATGGGGAACGTGATGGGTGATAGTTGAGGCTGGATTGCCTCTTACAACTATTAGGCTCCCTTTGCCCCTGCTCACACCTCGCCCTGCACGGTTTGATCCAATGTGGAATTTCCCCTCTTTCTACCTTCTTTTTCTGCTTTATTGAAGATCGGGGAGAGGGCCAGATAAATACACTCTTGGGCCTAAACGAGCCCTTGATGTGGGCTTTTCTGCCACACTAGTCAATGAATGCTCGTCTTCCCCCTAGAGTAGATGAAAATAAATCTTTTGTTTAAAATTCTTTCTATTTTTTTTGAGACAGAGTCTTGCTCTGTTACCTGGGCTGGAGTGCAGTGGCATGGTCTTGGCTCACTGCAAACTCCGCCTCCCAGGTCAAGCGATTCTTGTGCCTCAGCCTCCCGAGTAGCTGGGATTACAGTTGTGTACCACCACACCCAGCTAAATTTTTTGTATTTTTCATTGAGACGGGATTTTGCCATGTTGGCCAGGCTGGTCTTGAACTCCTGGCCTCTAGTGATCTGCCCACCTTGTCTCTCAATGTGCTGGGATTACAGGCATGAGCCACTGTGCCTGGCCATACTTAAAATTCTTAAATACATAACACAGAGTTATCTAATAGAAATGTCATGCAAGCCGCATGTGTAACTTGAAATTTTCTGATATCCGTGTTAAAAAAGGAAAAAGACACAGGTGAAATTAATTTTCATAACATATTTTATTGAGCCCATTGTATCAAAAATGTTATCAATTCAACATGTAATTATAATAAAAATTCTTATTAAGGTATTACACATTTTTGATTTTTTACAAAGTCTTTGAAATCAGTGTGTGTTTTCCTCGTGACAGCCCATCTCAGTTTGGATTAGCCGCATTTCAAAAGCTCAGTAGCCACAGGGGGCTAGTGGCAACCATGTTGGACAGTGTGGCTGTAACAGATGCACATAAAAAAGTGACATTCCGCAGATATGAAGCAGTGTGCAGGCCACCTGTGAACCTGTTAATGAGAATGACTCATTTGATCGTGTCGTGATCAGCTCTCCATTCTCCTCAGGGTGAATCTACCAGCCCAGTTCCCTTTCCAGCCCCATCCCCTGTCTCCCTACCTCACTCTGTCCTGCCAGGCTGGCCTTCTGTTCCTTCCTCCCACGTGCCCAACACCTTCCAGCCTCTGAGCCCTCACACATGCTGTTCCCATTGTGTGGATTATGCCCCCTTCCCTCATCTCTCTTTGCTTGGTTTAAGCCAAACCATGTTTTCAGGTTAAATACCAGTTTTTCAGGAAGGCATTTCCTTATGTCCTTGCTTCCAACTCCAGACTAGATTGTTGCCCCGTGGGATGCTGTCATGGGGGAAAGAGAGGAGTGTGTTCCTTCTCCGCATGTACACAATGATAGTTATCTATTTATTGGTGAGATCTTGGCTTGACATTTCTCTACTGCATTAGGTGTTGCATGTCAAGAGTACAGGGGCCATGACTGCTTTGTTCACTCGTTTTGTCCATGGCAGCCTGTATAGTGGCTGCAGAAAATAGATGATCAGTAAGTATGGGATGAATGACACAGGGCTGAGATTCAGTCTTGTAGAGTAATCTGGGCCCATGGGACCTCCAGAGGATCCAGACCCCTAACAGTGGGGCTAGGGCGTCAGCCCCTGTGGCCAGTCCTGGGTCTCCTGCTTTGTCGTTGGCAGAGTCAGCCTCTCCCTGTCCCTGCCTTGACTGGCTTTTGGTTGCCTGTAAATTATATTTTTGGTGGCTGTTAATAAAAATATAGGGCTGGGGGGAGAAAAAAAGACTTTTCCTAATAGAATTTTATTAAATGGCACTAGTTTAAAAATGTCTCGTAAAAAGTTAATTAATTTGGGATTTGGGGATGAAAGGCGTGATATAAATGTCAGTTATTATTATTACAATTTCAGCCTCACGCTTATGCTCTTGATCCAGTCCCTGATCTGGAGTCTCTGCTACTCCCAGGGACTGGCGGCTTTGCTGAAATGCTGGAGGCAAATTTGAGCTTTGAGGCTCCATCGGGGACAAAGAGGACCTCGCCAAGTTAGGCTGTCCTGCCTTTTCTTCTAGAATAATGCAAGGCCTTGAGAGCCAGCACCACTGTCAGGGCCAAGAGCTGTTCAGAGCAGGATGGTCTTGGCGCTCTGCGGAGCCCCCTGGGCCAAAGCAGCCAGGAATATCAAGGCCACAGGCTTAGCCCCCTCACGGAAACCTGGGGTGTTAAAGCTTTCGGGGCTTCAAGAAATTACAGCCCCATTCTCATTTTATGGAGAGGGAAACTGAGTTTAAAGAGGGGCGGTGGCTTGCCTAGCCCAAGGTCACATAGCAAGTTAATTAAATTTATGGAGAAAAAGGCAGTGAATGCAATTAGTGAAGTGGGGGAAGTCTTCAAAAAAAAAAAAAAAAAAGATGCAGGCAATTTATTGGTGACAAGTCTAGAAACTATTTTCCAAGGAAATGGGGAGTCCTGGGACTTCTCTTGAGTTCACAGAGGCAGGCAGCCCTTCACTCCTTCAAGACATCCCACCTTTATGCCCCTGATGGCAGACACCGCACCTAGAGGAAGGGACTCGGCCCTGACCCAGCGTGTAATTACCAGTGCGAGGTAGGGGGCAAGCTGCGATGTTAATCAGCATCACCGCTGAAGAGTGAGTGTCTGTGTGCGTCTTTTGCCTCCTCTCTGAGAGGGGCTGTGAAAGTACCCCTCGCAGGATGTAGACGGGAGTGTGTGTGTTTATGTGCTGGAAATGGCAGCAGGCAAGTTGGGGATCTCATGTTCTTGGACTCATCTGTCCTTGCAGAGCTGCAAGGGAGCCTAGTGGCTGGTTATTCCCAGGACCCTTCCTGATGCCATCTCTGCTACAGAATTCCTGACAGGTGTTTGCTTGTTTCCAGTTGGGCTCACCCACATGTTCCCTGCAGCCCATTCCATTTGAGGTGGTTCTGGGAAAGCCTGCCTCCTCCTCACTGTCTTTGGTTCTTAAATCTGTGTTCTGTTTTGGGGACGACACAGACAGCATCTCCCCTGTCCCCTTCTGAGTGGAGGCCTGTTGTTATCCAGCACCACCATTGACAGAAGTCATGAGCTTGCGGAGCCTGCTGCAGAGGAGGGGCTCAGGGAAGGTTTGCAGAATGAAGCAATTTGGTGCTCTCGACAAAGAATCTGTCTTGGGGCTCTTTAGTGAATCCTTTCTACACTGGTTGGCTGGGATCGTCCAGGGGATTTTGGAATCAGAGCTGGATTTGAACCTGGGCTCCTTCACCTGAGCAAGATATTTAATCTCAGTAATTCTCAGTTTCCTCCTCTGGACAATTGAGATAAGAATACTTACTCCACAGCATTACCATGAAGAGGCATGCGTGTAGAGTGTTTAGTACACTGCTGAGCACATGTGATGGTGGGAATAATTATAATGTACTCATGACATATGACACCAGCCAGGTCCTCCTGCTAACATGTTCCTTGAGATGTCCATCTTATTACTGAAGTCCCCAAAGTCCTGCACAGGGCCTGACACACAGACCCCTACCGGAACCTTCCAGCTCCTACAGCCATGTGCCTCTGATTCTTAATGACTGTTGAACTGAACTGAGCTGAATTGAGAGTTCTGTCCTGCGTTTTACAAGCTCAGAGTCAGGCCTTCGGGAGACCCCTTGGGATGAGGCTGTCTGTATTTCCCCGAGGCCAGACCAGCCCTGGTGTGGAGGCTTCCGAGCTGGTTCGAGGTCTCCCCCAGCCTTTTAGAATGTGAAAGCAGCCAATAAGAGTCTCAACTAGAAAAACAAGTGCCGCAGCTCTATTGTTGTGTTTTATTGGAAATAAAATTTTTATTCTCTTTCTTCCCCTCTTCTCCGTGCAAGAAAACCACAGCTGCCTCAGACTTTGAAGTCCTTTTAAGTTGCAGGCCTAGAAGAATGGGAGGGAGAGGGGAGGTCCAGGCCATCCCTTTGGTCGCCATGTTGCCACTCTTGACAAAGAGCATCAGAATGGCAGCTTGTTTTTTCCTCAGTCAATGGCAGAGCTGGGTAGATTGCATGGAAGAGATGCTGTTGGCCTCTCTGGGAACAGAGCAGCCTCCCCCGCCCTCATCTTTATTGGATTTCAATGAGTCTTTCTGCTGTGGGTCATACATGCAGTGCGACCTCATAAATGGAGCGGTGGAATTTTCACTCCCTTTGTACTGAGGGCCTCAAGCATACTCCATCGCCATTGTCAACCCTGGATGGGTAAAACGCAGAAAACCAGGCAGAACTGATTCCTCCCAGGCAGCCCTGAGACCTGGAATATGACAGTTCTAAGTTTCTAGGCACTCGCTAGTCAGAAGGCGGAATAGGGCAGGAAAGCAGAGATGACATTTCCCACCTCGTGCCCCTGAGTCTTCTCTGGAAATCCAGATCCTCACACTTTTCTGTGGAATATATCAGGGCCTTCAAGAGAATGGGCAAGGCTTTGGGCCTCACAGCTTTGCAGTTGTTGCATCAGAGGAAGCCTGTAGCCATGGGAGTTAGAAGGCTCTAGAAAGATTCTGGAGGCCCTGTAAAGCTGAGATGTTTTTAATCAAAAGTTAGTGGATTAAAAGGCCATGTGTTATTTAACTGGATGTGCCTGGTAGCTGCCAGTTAAGTGCCTGTTTTGTGCCACTCGTCCATCCACATATTTTTGAGGGCCCAAAATGTGCCAGCCATTGTGCGAGGAGCCAGCCGTGTTGGGGAAGCAGTGGGAGTCCCTGATGTTGAAGCAGTGGGAGTCCCTGATGTTGTGGTGGTGGCTACAGAAGGCAGCGCTGGTAATAACAGGAAGAAAGCAGTGCCCCCCACCCCACAGATGAGATGTATACCCAGGGTCAGATCTGTTGATGGCATTATTTCTGCACTTACCAGCTTGGTGGGGAAGGTTCCTGCTTTGCTGCATTTTGAAACTGGGAGTTTGCTATGAGATCATCTGTTCTCCCGCTTCTTCCCAAAAGGGGGAACTCAAGGACGGTGGGCAGTTGATCTCTGCCTATTTACTCAGCCTGTAAGTTTCAGAGATGAAGCTTGAATGCATGTCTTCCCGGTCATCAGTCCAGATCTTGTAATTAGATGAAATGGGTGACGGAAGAGTGAGGCTGGTGCACCATGGGATGGCTGTAATTGCCCGTGACATCACCTTGCGTCTGACTTCTGCATTGGAGCTTCACATCTTCCACATGGAGGTGGCTGCTGGCTATTACAAATTGCTGCATGCATTTGAAAAGATATAATTAGAGAAGGAGCATTTCCATTGCAGTCCCACATGAAGGGCTGGGTGTTCACAGTGCAAGTCCTGTAATTCAAGGGGTCGGTGGCAGAGATGGTCCTCTGATGTGAAGAGTTCCTTTGTCCCCCACCATCCCTCCAGACCCCTGTCCTCTGTGTGGTCCGAGACAGGAGTTGTTCTTACAGTCCCTCGGAGGCGTATGGTTCTTCCTTACGGCTGGTTCCTCTGCATCCCTACCACTGGGTCATCCAACTTAAATGCCTCTGTTGTCAAGGTGCTCACTACCTCAGTCAGACTCTTTCCCTGGAGGAGAATGTTCCTCTTCATCCTGAGCTCAGAGCTGCCTCCTTCTGATTTCTGTCCCCAGGGGTTGTATGCTCCCCGCTCCTCTCTCCCCTCCCGGACTGAAGGGCAGGTCTCTGGCCCTACATGGTCCACCTCTGTCAGCCGCCACCACACTGGCTCCGCCTGGGAAAATCCTGCCCGCCGATGTGTAAGTGTGTCACTGCCAATAATAGTGCGAAGCCTCCAAATCTGAGGGCCTTTCTAGGATCGTTTCCTGATTAATTAGGTCAGCATCTCCAAAATCAATTTCCAGCGAAGTCGCGCCACCTGGTAGCGCCGTTCCCTGCCCAGCCAGGCGAGGGAGTTGGCACGGGAGGCAATTCCCTGGCCTCTGGTGCAGTTCAGGTCTTGTCTCTACCTCATCTCTTCTGTGATTATCCTGACTTTTTATTTTATCTGCCCCCCTCAAATCTTCCATTAAACCCCCGTAGATCCTGCTTCAAACAGGCAATTAGACTAACAACGTAATTATATCCCTCAATTCTAATTGTAACTGGTTTAGAGGAAAAACAAAGAGAAAGAGGCTTCAAAATCTCTGGAAACTAAAAGCAGCGGTTATGGTTTCCAGGTATTTTTCTTCCCTGTGTGTTTCTTTGAGAGCCCTGGTTGCTGGCAGGCTGGCATCTCTGTAGCTTGCCCAATGCCATAAGGACCACCGTATCTGTTCCCCTCTTCTGAGCATGTGCTAGTTGACACCCCCACCTCTGTCCTTCTCTGGGTTCCTGGCTCTGCTGGCTGTGTCTCTCATTGTCTCTCCCTGTCTCAACCACTTTCACCCTATTAGATGTGGTCAGCTTGCCGGTGTTGGAAGAAGTAGCATTTCTTCTGGCTCTTGCTAGCACTCCATCATCGCCAGTAACCATGGGTTGATGATCCATGTGAGTCTGTCTTGGGGAGATTGGAAGCCAGGCAAGCTGGACCTGGTCTTGGGGTTTGAGCCCAGCCAGGCTTATGTGACGAGGCTGCCACAGGGAGACGTCTTGCGCCACCTGCCTATACTCAGCATTTTCCGAGTCTGTTTTTTGAGCAAGGCCTGCACTCTGTGAATAAGCCTTGGTCTCTGCCTCCAGGCTGCCCTCGGCCTGGGGAAAGAGGCATTCAAATCATTGAATGGTGGGACCGCTGGGAAGAGTAGACATCAGAGGGGCTCCAACCCGGCCTCAGGTGGCAGGGTGAGATGGGAAGTGGAGTAGGGCAGTGTGGGGACATTCGAGAGGTTCCCTGGTGGAAGGGATGTCTAGGATGAGAGTTAAAAGATGGGGAGGAGAGTTGGCCAGGCAGTGAGTGTGGAAGCAGGTCCAGGAACCCTGGTGTGGCCGGACTGTCTACTGTGAGGGTGGCCTCGGTGGGAGCTGAGGCTGGAGAAGAGCAGGGACTATGTCTCTGAGGAGGAGGAGTGGGAGGGGAAAGGAGGAAGGGAGGGGGGGACAGGATCAGACTTGTGTCTTACAAAGACCAAACGAGCTGCAAGTGGAAATTGTTGAATGGGAGGGGGCTTGATTGGAGGCTAGAAGGCCAGTTGGAGGGCTTTTGAAGAAACCTAGGTGGTTTTTCATGAATAACAACTTGCTGTGATGGGGCTGGACTAGCTGTGTGGCTTTGGGGTGGTCGCTTAACCTCTCTGTGCTTCCCTTTCCTCATCAGATTAAAGGGAGGGTATTTATATTTACCTTGCTGTGTTTTAGGGGACATATCAGAAATAGGCAAAGGTTCTAGTTCAGTGTTTGACATAGAATAGGCATCCAAACAATATTTGTGAATAGGGACCTTTTACCAGGATGGCTTGGAGCACTTTTTCCTATATATATACGTATATATACACACATATATGTGTGTGTGTATATATATACATATATGTGTATATATACATATATGTGTGTATGTGTACACATATATGTGTGTATGTGTACACATATATGTGTGTATATGTACACATATGTGTGTACATATGTACACATATGTGTGTGTATATGTGTGTGTGTATATGTGTGTGTGTGTGTGTGTGTATATATATGTATATATATATATGTATATATACTCCTCTCCCATTAACTCTAGTATTTCCAGAGGATGAGAACTCAGGCAGTTGTATGTTGAGGGGCCTCTTGAGTACATAGTGGCTTTTCAGTTATCATGACTTTTCCCATCTTGGAGTCGTGTCCCAAACCTTGACCTCATGGCTAAGGAGAACAAGTGTGGTTCTGTGCCATTTTCCTTTTCTTAGAAACTGGGTTTCCCAGTTTGATGATTGAATGTGCTGACACCGTTTCCCTTTGGGCAGATGGGACTCAAGTTGCCACCGCAAAGCCTGGGGTGGAGACTTGGTCATCATTCAGACATTGATGAGCTTGGAGCCCCGCTTTCTTTCAGTGACTGCCTTGAGGCTTTCGTGGCACTCCATATGGGCCATTTGGTGCCAGGTATTCCGGCCCTGGGTTTGCCATCAGTTATGTGGACGGGGCGTTTCATTAAAATTTCCATTAACTGTTTTTTCTTTTTTTAAGCCAGTGAGCAATTTATAGATTCATTAACTTTTTACTACACTTGTGAAGCCAGGAAGAGGGGAATAAAGGAAATGAAATATTTGGTCCGCAGCATTTCACTAAAAGATGGTGGCCCTTAAATATGGAGGAGAAAAGCTGGATAATTAAGGCTGGTTTGAAGAAGCATTTAGGAAGGGCTGGGATCTTCCAGAAGGATCCAGAATTGGAATATCCTGGCAAGGAATACCACCTTTTACCACCCCTTCCCTGCACACTGAGTAGCTGATCTGTCCTTTTGCTCAAAATGATTGATTTTTTTCCCCACTGGGTGTCTGTCCACCCCCTGATGACAGCCTCTCATGGGAAGCATACCGCCTCAGGACTAACTCTGACTGTGACTCTGAATGTATTTCCTTGTTTGGGGGTGCAGTCTGACTCCTCATAGTCCTCTCATTGCATTCCCTTTTGGGGGAGTTAGGGATGGCATGATGGTTGAGTGATGGGCCTTGGGGCCAGATAAGCTTGGGTTCAAGTCCAGGCCCTGCTGCTAACTAGCTGTATGATTTTGGATAAATGTCTTCACCTCTCTGAAACTTATTTTTTTAATCTATAAAATCATGGTAGTTTTAGGAACTCTGAGAAGTCTCAGGAAAGTGACAGTAGTATGTTCTACCACACACTAAGTGGTGAGGACAAAATGGTTTACTAAGGATGCCTGACCCACATTCACATTCCAGACTTGCCATGCAGTTGGACTGCTCACCTACAAACATTCTCAATTGAATTCCATTCCCTAAAACAGCAAGGCACATCTCAGGACATCAGTTTCCCCTGTTGGAAAGTAGATGAATAATCTCTAGTTAATGAGGATGTTGGATGAGATCAGACACATTTAATGAGCCTTTTAGAGTTGCTGGCACATAATAGTATCTTAATACATACTAGCAGTCATATATCTATTGTGGTTGCAACTACATGCAATATAAAAACTCTGCTCCCAGGGTCTACTGTATTAAAAAGGCAATCGGCTTAAAGATGACTTTCCCCAAGAGCCTCTTAGAAAGAGAAAATCTCAGTACGTGAACGTACTTCGAGGTCACCCTGTTCGGCTCCCAGGTGGAGCTTGGATGCCCTAAGTGTTGAACTTCCCATTGAAGGGGTGTGTACCCAGGCCTATCCTCGGGAGAGATGGTTAAAAGCAGGTCTTTGTAGAGTCACAGTCTTCTTCAATCAGGAGTAGCATGGAACCCTAGGAAATCACCTCATCCTAATACCTGCCTCTATAGATGTACAGCATGAGTATTTGAAAGTATAATGAATTTTTCCTCAAAAGTGGTAATAATGGAAAGCGAAGCAGGAAAGAGGAAAGTATCATTCAATTTTGAGCCATCCAGGCCAAGTGCTTTTAGGGATATTGTATACGTGCATGTGGTATTTGTTAGTGTAAACTTTATGTAAAGTTATATATAGAGAGTTTGATTCTGTTCTTGTCACTTCAGCCAGTTAACCTCTGCTTCTTCCTCTCTGTAACGGAAATCATGACTCCTACCTTGTGAAGAATTAAATGAAGTAATGGATATAAAAAATCACTAAACAAATGTATGTGGGGGATTGATAGAATATGTTATTCCTGCCTCACTCCAGACTCAGGCTTCCGGGAACCTGAGTCATCTTCCCCTTTAAGGATGCTATGTAGACACACTCTCTGTGCTGGGCTGTCTGGTGGGCACTGGGGAATCCAGAGGCACAGCCCCTGCCTGGGAAAGATGGATGTCCAGCTGTGAAGACAGGTAATAAAAAGATGACTGAGTATAGCAGCCAGTTGATCAATATCTTTTGAATAGTCCAGGCAATAAGTGCTTTAAGAAAACAGGGGAGGGAGATTGCCCCTGTGGCCTGGAGGAGGTGGGAATGGAACCCAAAAGGAAGGGGAAGGGCCCTTCCTTTCTTTGCAGAATGTAGTTAAATGAAGCCTTTAGCAACAACTAGGACAAAGAGGTTCTGGGGGTTGAGTCTATGTGGGGTAGGAATGCATTTGCCTTTTATGATACTGTTCAGCAAAGAGCAAAGATGTCCTGCGTGCCTCTGGAGTGTCCTTGAATGTGGAAAGTTCTAGGGCTCTAGGAGTGGGTTTCCCCTAGCCCAGCTGGTGTCATACTGTGGTCCCCAGAGCCTCTGATCGTCATCCCTATAGGTCTGGTCAAGGGATGCTTCTAGAGTGTCCACTGGGTGCTTGGGTCTTCTGGGCAGGGGGTTGAGGAGAGCATTACCCTTTCACATGATGAGTTTTCCGTACTTCTCTCAGCAACACTGGAGTTACAATATGCTAGAAGGATACCCAAGCAACCTACATGTTGGGGGACTGGGCTGTGTGGCCAGGCATCCATTTCCCAGACTTCCAGAGTTCTTTAAACTCCAAGCTGTGATTCCACTGGATAGTGCAGAGCATGGTGCAGTTCAAGACAAGGCAGTTCTTGCTGATGAGGAGGCTGGAGTCCAAATGGGGGACTGGACTCAGGTGGACTCTTTGGTTAGCTCTGCAGGGCAGTGTCTTCAGGTGGATCCTGCACTTCTGGAGTTTCCTATCTGAACTGATCTGTTGGTTTGACCTCAGTTCCATGCCTTCCTTTTCCCTGCTGTGCTCTGTATTGCAAGGGATTGCATTTCCTAGGTGCTCTTGCTCTCTGGCCTTCAAAAGTTTAACCAGTAGGATGCTCATCAGGAAGACTGGAATGTGAAAAGGGAGGGAGAAGCCTGGGGTACTTCTTCTCACCCATTCTCTCCCTCTGGTGGTGTTTTCTGTTTAGCTCCAGCCCTTCCCTCTATGGTCCACTCCCAGTGGGCAGCCTTTTCCATAATTTTACTTCTTGCTGGACAGCCCCAGTTTCTGATAACACCATTTCATCCCTTTTATCTCTCCAGGGCTATGGGTGGTAGCAGCAGCTCTCCCATATGCTGATATGCCTGGTTTTCTATCTGTCTCCTGTTTGCCTTCTCTATTCACTCATCACCTGTGTTCTCAAATCCTTATATTAAATTGCCTCCATTTAAAGGGCCTAGAGTGACTTCTCTTTTTTTTTTTTTTTTGTCTATCCTGGACCCTGAAGGCTATTCCCAAATCAGACCCCTTAGAGAGTTTGACTGGCTGTTGCCACCCTGACTCACCCCGTGGAAGTCACTGTAAGCTCATGACTGCCCTAATGAATTCAAGGTACCAGATTTCCACACCCCACCCCCACACTGCAAAGAAAACAGAATTGTAGAATAATTTCAAAATAGTCTGGTTGTCTAGATTTCTCAGCAGGCACCCATTGGGATGTGCAGAATTACAATCTTTCATTTCTTCATGGGCCTCTCATTTTGTAGGAATATGAGTGATTCCTTCCTTTCCAGCTGTGAGAGGAACTATTTTGCGTATACTATTTTGATTTTGAAAAAAATTCATGCAGTTGTTCTCCCCCTCCCCCTATTTTCCTGGGCTGTTGATCTTGTGATATATTTATAGAGATTGTGGTTGGCTGACCAGGAGTTATTTTGCAATAGGAATTTGTAAGATTTCTACTTTGAGTTTGAGCATGTGTTCCAGACTTTTCTCTCTTTAAAAAAAAAAGTCTTACTTAGAACATCTACTTTGCCCTTCTGTAATTATTTCTCTTTCACAGCAAAAGTAAGCCCTGCACTTTACACATATTTTTTTCTATGTATATTTCTTCTGTCTCTGGTCTTCTTTCTTCTTTGATGTCTCTTTTTACTACATATTTTAAAAGCCCTCAGCTTCTTTCTTCTATGTGGGAATAGGTTTGCAAATGAAAATGTGACCGGAAGAAGGGTGCTTTGGGGGTCAGGAGGCCTCAGTTTCTCTGTCTGTAAAAGAGGAGCATCCCAGCACTTTGGGAGGCCGAAGCGGGTGGATCACCTGAGGTCAGTAGTTCGAGACCAACCTGACCAACATGGTGAAACCCCATCTCTACTAAATACAAAAAAATAGCTGGGAGTGGTGGCTCACGCCTGTAATCCCAGCTACTCGGGAGGCTGAGGCAGGAGAATTGCTTGAACCCGGGAGGCAGAGGTTGCAGTGAGCCAAAATTGTGCCACTGCACACCAGCCTGGGCAACGAGAGTTAAACTCTGTCTCAAAAAAAAAAAAAAAAAAAAAAAAAAAAAAGAAGAGCATTGGACTAGATTAGAGGGGGCAAGCATGCTTCCATCCCCAACTTTACCATACTCACTGCAGACATTAGTAATCAATCACAGCACTCTTTCTAACCGAGCTCTGCTGTGACCTCAGAATCTTTCTCAACACATGGTCCCAGGCAGCCACTACTAAATGGTTAGAACAGGCCATTCTTAAACTAGATGAAATGATTCCTTGGACCCCATTCACCACTCTGGCTCTCTGACTATTGGAACTACAATTCCTTTATGTTTTAAACCAGTTGACTGACTTTTATGAAGCCTCATCTTGACGTAACACATCCTTAGGCCTAGGTACTATGGAGCCACAGAGAAGCTGAAAACAGCAGGCCACCCTCACGGAAACTACAGTTTGGTGGGGAGCAAGGCTGCAGAGTGGCGATGTTCTTAGGTGTGCTCAGGCACCTTCTTGGTGCTCTAGGATGTTGTCCTGTGGTCAGGGAAGGCTTCCTAGAGGTGGTTAGAGTAGACTGTCGTCTAGGCAGTGAGACAGCCTTAGCAAGTTTCAGAATTAAGACTTGCCCAAATTTTAATAAGTGGTAGTAATTATAGCTAAAGTTAACTACTAATAAATCATTTTATAAAAAGTAATGATTTATATAGGTAGTACTTATATACTGCTTAGTAAGTGTCAGACGCAGTTCTGAGAGTTTTATGTATTATGAACTGATTTGGTCCTCAGTCACCTTGTGAGGTCAGTACTGTTATTATCTGCATTTGACAGATGAAGAAACTGAGTCACAAAGGTTAAATGACTTACCCAGTGACACATAGTATGTAAGTGGTGGAGCCAGGGCTTGAACCCAACCCATCTGCCTGTAGATACTATGCTGGGAACTACTGTGCCAAATAAATCCCGCCGGCCGGAGAGATCAGAATGTGTTTGGCTTTTTAAAAAGTATATTAATTTTACTTACCACCATCAATGTAATCTTAATGACATCATCCAGATCTGTGGCTCATGTAGTGTTGTTAGCACTGGCTGAGAATATTATAGACTCTCTATCACTTCATCCACCCAACAGCCGTGGGATGGGGGGATTTTTATCTCTATTTTACATCAGAGGAAACTAAGGCTGAGAGACAGGATGTATCGAGCTACTAAGTAGCCCAGGCAGAATTTGAACTCAGGCCTGACTGACTCCAGATGTCAGAGTTGGAATGTTTCTGAGAGGCCATCAGTCCAGCAACCTCATTGAACAGATGGGTAGTCTGAGGGCCAGAGACTGCCTCTCGAGCAAGTCAGAGGAGGACCTGGTGCTAACAGGGGTCTCCTAGAGTATAAAGTTCCTCCTCCCTGGTGAGGCCGTCCAGACATGCCAGACATGCCAGCATTACCCTGGCCATATCAAAGGAGGCTGAAGCCTTCGGTTCACTAGAAGAGATTTGAGGACAGCCTCTTCCCCTACTGCCATACATAGAAATACCTAAGGGGGTGACTTAAAGCCTTGTCCCTGAATTCTGGGTTCACCTAATTTGGAGTTTGCAACCCTTTGTATTTATAATAGGTTTTTCTCTCCATGAAGCAAAAGTTTCCTTTTTTTTTTTTTTACCCCCAACCCCCACTTCCTGCTGATCTGAAGTGAATATTTATCACATATTTAATGAGTAATCTGAGTCTCAGCTTGGTGAGGCTGTACCAGGACATGGTTTATGGCTGATCTGGTTTTAACTCGCTCCAGGCGGTTTTCCCTAGAGTTTTCTGTAAAATCATAAACCTGGAGAGAGAATTTTTGTGGAATTCAGTCACATGACTCACTCTTTTGTAAATTGAGAGATTAACTGTGACTGGAAAGAACTGAGATTCATTTCTTTTTAAAAAAGAAAACAAGCAGAGCAGCATTTATGCACCCAGAGGAGCGTGTCCATGCTGAAAGACAAGGGGGCAAGTCACTCTCTCCAAGGTCACCCCACCAGCCTTGGAGGCAGGATGGCATAGGATTTGAAAATGTGGATTTGGACTCGGAGTATCTGGGTTGGAGTCCTGGCTGAGTCTTTCCCAGCTGGTCCCTGGACCCAGCATGCCTCTAAGTCCTCCCCTGCACATGGGGACTGGTGACATCCCCACCTCTTATGGTAGTTGAGAACATTAAATGAAATGATGCATGCTGTACCCTGAGCCAGGGCTGGCACACGGGAGGTGCCCAGTGGATGCTGGCCACTTCTAGATTGCTAGGATTACCTTCATTTGAAGCCCTTTATGTTGAGTTGATGATACTAGCTGGCACTACATAGATGGAAAGACCCTGTTCCAAGCACAACTAGCTCATTTAATCCTCACAATGGCTCTGTGAGGTGGGCAGTGGGATCTCCCCATTTTACAGATAAAGGAACGGAGGCACTGAGAGATCATGATGCATCCAGCGTCCCATTCACACGTTTGTGCCCAGGCTGATTCCCGTAAACACTACCCTGTTGTTGCTGCTGGCTTCTTTCTTCCTGGTGTACTGCTGGAGCCTGGGGGCATTTTGCTTGCTGGTCCCTGGGAGGGAGACCAGGCTTCGCCTTGCCTTAGCTCAGACCTCAGCCAACCCTCCCTGGACTTTGACATCTACCCCCAACTGGTCTTGGTGTCTGTCATTGCCCTAACCAGCAGCCCATCGGAGGACAGAATTCTGACCATGTTACTGCCCTGCCTGGAGCCCCTGATGGCAGGTGAAGGATATATGGGAGCTCCCTGCTATCCCTGAGAAACTCTTTTGTAAATGTGAAATTTCTTCAACATAAAAAGTGTTTTAGGCCGGGCGCGGTGGCTCATGCCTGTAAATCCCAGCACTTTGGGAGGCCGAGGCAGGCCGATCACCTGAGATCGGGAGTTCGAGACCAGCCTGACCAACATGGTGAAACCTCGTCTCTACTAAAAATACAAAATTAGCCGGGCGTCGTGGCGCATGCCTGTAATCCAAGCTACTCAGGAGGCTGAGGCAGGAATTGCTTGAACCTGGGAGGTGGAGGTTGCGGTGAGCCGAGATTGCGCCATTGCACTCCAGCCTGGGCAACAAGAGTGAAACTCTGTCTCAAAAAAAAAAAAGTGTTTTAAAAAATAAAAACAACACCTCACTGGGCCAGATCTAAGAAAAACCTCACTCTTTGAAACAACATTTAGAACACTTTCTGATCCTGCCCAGCTGGGGGAATAGAATGAACACACATTAATCCACCAGAAACTGTTATAGTACGTGTTGGACTCATGTGCAGACTGAGGGCCCCAGCCGTGGTGGCACCTGGTACCCTGGGATGGAAACGAAACTGTGCCTTGGGTGGTGAGTCCCACATAGCCCTGCAGGGGAGGCTGCTGCCTTTACCTCTCTGCGGATTTCCCCCTTTTCCTTTATTTTTTTATTTTTATTTATTTTGAGATGAAGTTTTGCTCTCGTTGCCCAAGTTGGAGTGCAGTGACACGATCTCAGCTCACTGCAACCTCCGCCTCCCAAGTTCAAGCGATTCTCCTGCCTCAGCTTCCTGAGTAGCTGGGATTACAGGAGTCCACCACCATGCCTGGCTAATTTTTTGTATTTTTAGTAGAGACAGCGTTTCGCCATGTTGGCCAGGCTGGTCTCGACCTCCTGACCTCAGGTGATCCACCCGCCTCGGCCTCCCAAAGTGCTGGGATTACAGGCGTGAGCCACCACGCCCGGCCCCCTTCTCCTTTAAACGTCGTGACTCAGGCCTCAGGTTTGGAGGTGAATTCTTCTATTCTTCCATCTCTCCCAGGGGCCCAGGTCTGTGCATGAAGGAAACGAGGCCCTCTGCACATAATCTAAGACTGGCAGAGGTTTCTCAACAGCTGCTGCAGTTTATTTAAACAACAACAGCAACAAAAATCTGTGTTCACAGAGCAACTAATATGTGCCGGCGTCTTGCTGGGTGTTTTCCTCACATTATCTCAGTTGATCTGTGCTGCTCCCAGTAGCTCTCAGTCCTGCAGCTTTCTCTCCTCCACCACCTTCCCCAAACCGCCATCATCTCTTCCCTGGAAGGGGACAGTGGGCTCTCTGTGCTGGCTACCACCTCCAGTCTGCATACTGCAGCTCGCAATTGCTTTTGGGGTGCATATGCCTTCCAAGTCTGTCCATAAGCTTCCAGCTCCCTTAGCCTGACTTACAGGACTTACTCATTCCTGACTGTTGACAGTGATGTCAAAGACAACGATGATGATGATGAAGACTGTATTAGGGTCTGGATCCAATCTGCATGGCTGCCTATCAGAGAGAGAAGAATCCACCTGTACCTGGAAACTCACAAGAAGCAGACAAGACCCACACTGGTTCCATTCCAGACAGGAATGATTTATGTTTTAACACTGGACCTCAGAGAGCCAGGGCTTGAGAAAGACATAAAAGGTATCATAACTGAGAGGCGTAAAGAAAGTGGTCATTTTCCCTGGCTTTCCCTTGTAGTTGGAAACTTGGCCAGTCAATCACAATGTCTCTGGGGCCTCCTGCGGAGAAGATGCCTAGACCTGGTTTGGGGACGGTCTTCACATTTCTGTTCCATGGAGCATTGTGGCCACTCTGCAGCAAATGAAAAGGGGAAAGATCAAACCATTGTTCCTTCCCCTTCAGAGCTGGAAGCTACCAAGTCCAGAGGGAGGCGTGGGCTCTGGCCTTGGGGTCTAGTCAGGAACTCCTTGTGTGAGCCTGTGCATGTTGGGTGGGTTGGGCCCTTCCTTCATTGGTGAAGCCTTCAGAGAAGGCTACAACCCAGCGAAGTTCACGGGCCTTGGTTTCCCAGCTGGGCAAGGTGGTGCCCTTTTCTTCACTGCCCTGCACGAGGTGCATGTCGCTCCCTGCCATCCAGCCTGTGTTAGCTTTACCTGCATCTACAGTTTTATTCCCCCTGTCGAGTGTGAGCTCTGTGCTTCCTATTCCAGTATCCCTCTTCATAGAAGCTCTTCCTGACCCTGAAGTCTGTTGGATCCTCTTGTCAAAGATGCTGACGGAACCCAGACTTTTCCCTTCAGAGCACGTATCTCAGGTGGTAATTATAAACTGATTGATTGAAGCCATTAAGTCATCAATGCCTGTCCCCTTCACTGTTCTTGTTGCTGTTGTGTCCCCAGTAATTATTTTAGTTCCCAGCCCATAGTAGGCATTTACATCATAATACATAGTGGTATTTGGGCGAATGAATAAGGAACCAGGTCTGATTCATCTTCGTATCCTCCACCGGCCAAGGCCTTGCCCAGAATCAAACATCTAATAGGAACTTCATAAATATTTATGGAAAAATGGCACAAACTCATGTGAGTTCCAGCTCTTTCAGGCCAGGGTCTTCTCTGGCAGCCTCTTGCCACTCCTCAAGCGTGGAACCTAGGGCAGTCAGTGGCTTTGAGTTACCGTGTTCAGTTGGGAAAGAAAACACAAAAACCAAGTACAATGTGTTAGATACATACCACTGAATGTGATCTAAGAGGCAAGGACTAATTAGAGAATTTATCATATATTTGGTTTCCAGGAACAGAATCCTCTTTGTAACTTGCAAAGCTCTTTATAACTTTTTCAGCATTGGCCCTGGCACTTTTAAATGGCATTTTTTAGGGACACCTGGTGAATAAATGCTGGAGCTGCCTGTGCCTGAGTTGGAGCTCTGTAGCTAGACAGAAAAACAGTTCATCCATATGGTTTGGGGCTAAGTTTTATCCATTGGTTCCATAGGGGAAGGGCCAAATATATAGAGGAAATGGCTGTGGACTTGGGGTGAGAAGATGTGTGAACCTTGGCCAAGCCACTGGCGGTGGTATGACCTTGGATAAGTCACTTAGCCCCTCCACGTGCTTGGTTAATTCTTGGTCAAAGAGGGATATTTAAACCACAGTGTTTTCCCTGCAGGGTTACTGGGAGGATCTCATTCGGCGTAACTTATCTGTAAAGTACTGTGCTGATGGTTAGTATTCTCATGTGTGGGAGAGATGCAACTCCATTTTTCTTGGTGCTAAGGCCCATGATTTTTGGAATCTTCCTTGACTCTTTCTTTATGTCATACCCCACATCTAATTTACCAGCACCAACCAGTATATTCAGAACTCAACCTTTCCTCACCCTCTTCAGTCCCTGCCACCATCATCTTTTCCCTGGACTGCTCCGTAGCCCTGCCAGCCTTCTGTTTCCCCCCTGGCCTCATGGTCTCCTTTCAACACAGCAACCAGAGTGATCTTTCTAAAATGTAAGTCAAAGTATGTCACTTTGCCAAAACCTTCTAGTGGCTTTCCAGAGTAGAAGCCAAGGCTCTTCGGTGGCCTGCAAGGCTCTGCATGAGCTGACCTCCCATGATCTCTCCTCCTCTTGTCCTCATGTACTCTGCCCCAGGTATCCTGACATTCTTGCTGTTTGCCAAGCACACCAGGCATGCTCCTGTCCTGGGGTCATTTGCACTGGCATCCACTTTGCCCCAGACACCACATGGCCAACTCTCTCACCCTCTTACAGTGTTCACCCAATGATGCCTACCCAACTACCCTACTTAAAATTGCAGCCTGTGGCTCCTCCCTTGTCCCCAGCATTCCTGACCACCCTATCCTTCCCTGTTCATGACTCCCCCGCCTCCCCCACACACCATAGAACTGATTACTTTCAAGCATGCTATATGTTTTACTTATTTATTACGCCTAATGTTAGCGTCTCCCCCCACTTGAATGTAATTGCCACAAGGGTATAGATATATCCCAACTGCCTAAAATGATGTCTGGCATGTAGAAGGAGCTTGATAAATGTTTGTTGGATGAATGAGTGAATTTTCCTTATTTGAGTCTTGTGCCTCAGTGGAGGAGACAGAAAGTTACATGTTAAGTTTTGGGGATTCACTGGCTTTTGGAAAGGAAATAGATATATAAATAAAGCTTGAGTTGTTTCAGACCAACTGTCCTCTAAATATTAGGGGACATAGAATCATCCTCTGGGCAGGTCCTGGGTTGGTGGGTGCTTCTTGCAAGCGCAGTGCCCCCTGCAGGCCTCCAGGTTAAATGCACTTGGTTGCACCCACTGCCGAGGTCACATATCTTCCTGCAAGGTTAATTGTACCAGCTGGTCGTTTAAAACAATGTTGATGTTTGTACTAACATATAAAAATATATGAAATATGTATTATGGTGTCGTATGTATTTGGTAGTTTGAATGTAATATTCAAATGTATTGGTAAGAATTAGTAAGCTACAAGACTTCAAAGGGCATTTGAGCATGCAGAGAAACTCCCATTTCTCTCTGGGTTCATGTTCATGCTTCCCTTCCATAAGGGTGCAGAGAAGCCTGAAAAATACTGACCACTGGGCATTCAAAATTGTCCCCTAGTGGATTTGACGTCATCCACCCAGAGCCCAGCAGAGTACTTGCCACATAGTAGGTTTCCAAGAACTATCTGCTGAGTGAATAAAGGAATGATTAATTATTTGAGGTCAATTGATATATTTCATTCAAGCATGATTGCCAATGCACCATTCATCTAAGCAACCTCATTGTCAGTATTTTTTTGAGAAACAATCATAATTAACAGATTCAACTATATTTGCCGAGTATTTGCCCTGTGCCAGGCCCTGAGCTGGGTGCTGGTGACATGGTCATGTGTGGGATGTGGCCTTTGGAGGAGGGGCAGCACACACCCTGGGGGGTGACAGACGCTTCAGGAACTGCAGCCCCAGTCCCAGTCCCGTAGAGTTGGTTGATGTCTGCGTGTCAGCAGTGTTGGGAAAACAATGAACAGGGACAAATTAAATCTAGCTGGGGGAGGAGGGAGCCATTCAATTCTCTAGAGACCAAGTAATTTTTGAGTTGCGGTGGGGGAGGAAAAGGCAAAATCCTAATTATAGCACTGTGAAAATGTGCTGCGCCAGGTCCATCTTGAGCTTGGCTAGCTGAGGCGCCATCTTGGAAATGCCCCCTCCAAGATGGCGGCCCCCTTCTAACCTCACAGAGCTAGGGGGACTGTGAGGCCCCCACATTTGTGGCAGCACCTCAGCCTCCCCGAGCCTCAGGCTCGGTTCTCTTATCGAAGAAAGGCATTTCATTCTTCGAGATCAGGCAGCCAGGACCTAAGGAGCTGTTTTTCCTCCATTGTGCAAGCATGACAAATCATTAATTTTTGATTGATTTGCTTAGAATTATGGGCGCCCCAGCATTCTTTCCGCCGCTGAACAGCTGTATAACAAATGAATATATCAGTGAGCACAAAAGATTGGAGATCTAAGAGAAGCAATTACATTGGCCACCCTCCCCCACCCTCACCGCTTCCCGGGCAATGAAGGGAGGAAATTTTTACCAGAAATTCCTCAAGTGGCTTAAAAAAAAAAATGCCATTTTATAATTGAATTAAATCTTTATCTCTTCATCTTTTGCAGCAGGTTTTTCCAAACACACAGCGGTTCCCCACGTGCTTGGGTTCTATCCATCCAGGAGGAATCTTTAATAATGAAATTTCAACTTGTGAGAATTAAAACCAAAATGAAAAAAAGGAAAAAAAGAAAAGAGCAAATTCTACCCCTCCTTTCTGCTTTTTTTTTTTTTTTTTTTTTTGGTTGCTGCTATTCCTTTAAGATTTTGGAACCGTACCAGTGCACTAAATGTGACCTCCATAACTTTTAAATTAAGAATTTATGCTGGCTTGAAATTTATGAAATATTTCAGCATGAAAGAAAGCCTTTTTCCCTCAGGAAAATTGAGCAATAAATCACAGCACTGTGGATTTACTGCCCTAGAGCCAGCGAGAGATAGGATTTTTTTTTTTTTTTGCTTCATTCTGAAAAAAAAAAAAATGTAATCATATAAGACAGCTTAGCTGCTATCCTCCCACTCTCTAGAATTTTTAATTTCAGCTGTTTCTGCTTGGATTTATTTCCAATATTCCTGCTCGGCTTTTCAATTTCCTCAGTTATTAAATTTTAATTCAGTGCATTAGCATTTAAATTAAAAAAGGGTTTATTTTATCGAAATCGTTGGCCAGCCCCCATCCTGGAGCACACGAATTGCCTGTTTCTGCCATTTGCACAAAATGTGAAATGCAGCTAATGTCTTACAACTTACATTTGCACAAATTTAGAAATAAAATTTCTGGGTTTGGAATAATATTTTCTTTCCAAGAAAACCCTTAATAAGAGAATGGAAAAGAACAACTTCACATTCATTTGGGAGGGAAGAGGAGGGTCGAATGAAACCAAAAATAGCCTTGCCCAGGTCCTGAGGGGAAACTGGTGAATAAGGAATGGGTGGGGCTGGGAAGAGGGGACAGGCACCCTTATTCGGGGCTGGAGGGCTTAGATACACCTTCACCCCAGCTTTACGAGAGTGAGAAGGAGGATCTCACTGGGGTCCTCCTTATTTTATTTGTCATAGAGGAGTCTGGTTTTAAGGTTGGGTCAACTCCACATGGAGTGGGGGAGATGACCTGATTTAACCTCCTTCTCCGCCCCCATTTTTTACCTATGGAGAATCTCAGGTGCAGAGAAAGGAACGAGCTTGTCTGAGGTTCAAAATGAGACTCAGAGCCAGGGAAACAAGCTACATCCTTAAGGAGCACACAGTCCAGTGGCGGAAGATGGTGGAACAACAGCAGCTGCAGTGGGAGTTTCCATTACCTGAGTAATGACTATGTATACCAGGGCTGCGCTTAGTACTTTAGTGACATTACTGTCATTCTGGCTGCACCGTTGGAGAAGGCCTTCGGGCTGTGTGGTCTGGTGGCCACTCATGAGATGCCGACTTGCAGCTTGGGATTCGGGGAAGGCCTTGAGGCAGAAGACCCATGGTCCACCCCAGGCTGGCTCTGCGACTCGTTCATCTTATACATATCATTCTGTTTTTCTGTGCCTCAGTTTCCTAGACCCAATAAATAGTGGCCTCTATAACTATAGGGTTGTCAGTGATTATTTTCATTATTATAGCCAAGCACTCACTAAGTACTTTTACATGCTATTACATGTTTTACCTTATTTAAGCTATCTCAAGTCCCAAGCCAGTCCCGTGAAGTAGGTCCTGTGATGAGCATCTTGCCATTTTGCAGAGGGAGAAATCGAGGCCTTGGAAATACGTGTGACTTGCTGAAGATCGCAGAGCTAGAAAACGGCAAAACCAGGCCTTGAACTCCGATGTTCTAACTCTAAACTCTGTTCTCTTAAGCTTCGGTTCAAATTGAGACTCAGGTCAGTTTGCACAGGGTACAGATGAGTTTGCTGTTTAGGTTGAATCATATGAAACTGCTGGTGTTAGAACATTTTGGCCTCAGCACATGGCAATGTCAGAGGTTCAGCTTAATCCACTTGGAAGGAATGGCTGTGATGTATTTGTAAGGACAGACCACACCGGCCTGGCGTGTATGGAACTCCACCCTGGGAGTTGGTGTTCCCAACACAGTGGACTTTGGCTCTGTCGTCATGGTGTAGCTGGACTCGGCCAGGCCCACACGCTGTGATTGCCAGGTGCTGTGATACTGACACATGTGTCTTGGACATCTCCCACTGAATCCATTGTCCATCCATATTCCAATGAAGCAACTCTCATCTGCCACCATCTGAACATCCCACACCCTGCCCAGGTAGAACTCTCCTCTAGTTGCCCCAGTTTCCCAGCAGCACCACCTGAGTCTCTGCAAAAGTATTTGACAATTCTTTGAATATTTTTAGCACTTTCTCTTTGTTTTATGAAAATGGGTGGAAAACAGAAATGCATGCAGCTACCAGTAACACGAAGCTGAAGTATCATTCACTCAATAAAAGAGAAACAAAGGTGGAGATTATTAGGCATGCTGAAAACAGAGACTCTTATCCCACACTCTGTCACGTGTTTGCTGCACTTGAGCTGGTCAACTCTGTGTGAAATTGTGAAGGAAAAGGACAAAAATGACAACTTTAAAAGTGTGTGTGACAAGCTAAAAATACACGCACAGAATTAAGTCTGAAAGGCGAGAGATCCATTTGGGAGTTAACCATTTTTTTAAGATCTCTGGGGCAGAATTTCCACCCGTACCACTTCTGCTGCTTATGATACAAACATTCAAACAAATTCAGCCTGTTTGCTTTGCATACAAGTTTTGAGGAATGCAAGATGTTGGAAAGAGGCTGTAATTGATCTGTTCTTTTGCTCCCAGTGAAATGATATGCAAACCATTTTCTGCTTTCTTGTTTCTTCTGTTGAAATAATACATGGGCAGCTCATTAATTTCTTCCTCCCCGACCTCACATTTCTCCCTCCCTATTCGTCCTTAACCTTGCCCTTTCCCTTGTGTGGGAAACAGGAGCTGTTTGATGTCACCCCATTTCCCAATTGGCTCTCCTGAATGTCGGTGGGAAGTAAAATGCTCCAGAACTGAGGATGTTGGACTTTGGAGTGACCCAGACCTGAGCTTATAGCTGTGGGACTTTTGATAAATACATTCTTTGACCTGTGTTCTTGCCTGTAAAGTGGGGATATTATGGGGTGGAGGGGGGAGGACCTATGGTGAGGATTAAATGAGAGAAGGCATTAATGTCCACATCCTAGCGCCTAATGGGAAGTTCTCCCTGGGGAGCAAGTGTGGATGCCCGCTGGGACCAGACGGGCTGGGTGATTATAAGGCAAGAGTGGAGGATGGAGGCTGTGGAGAGCCAAGTATGTCAGCTCTAGCTGCCTGTCACCATGTAGGACTAGGTATCATGGGGTTATCCAGTTTAATAAGAGAAGGTGGAGATCTCGCCTTTTTTCAGTGCAATTCTTTTATTTTTATACATTGCCGATTTGTTTGAATCGAAGTCCGCCATCTGATTTTGCCAGTTTGCAACTTCTCGTAAGCACTCATCAAAAGGTGTTTTATTTCAGGTCCTCAGTCCTTCATCCGCAATCCTGAAATTCAAAAAAACTCAAAAAGTTTTTATAACTGATGAGGCAGCAGAACTTGACCTGAAGGGAGAAAAGGCTAGTGACAGTCCTCATTGTTGTTTTGTTGACGTTTATCCTATGTAGGGTTACCTATGCATATGTTTTACAATAGAAATATCAATGTGTTTGATTAGCGGGGGCTCTGCCAGGGTTGTTTCAAAATATAAGACATAGGGCGGTACATTACCTTTCTAAAATTGGAAAAATTCTGAATTTGGAAACACATATGCACCTGAATTTCAGACCTGTATTATCCTATGATTCTTATTAGAAGTGTTTTGACAAAGCTCGGGAATGTATCTTCAGCTGGCGGTAGTGAAGATCTAGGTATTGTTCCCAGGTCTGCAACCTCTGTCAGCCTCTGCATTGAGGTCCCCCTGAGCACTGGTCTAGGAGTCAGGACCCCTGGAGTTTGTTTTCATGAGACTTCAGGTAGCTCCCTCTGTGCCCAAGGCCCCAGTCTCTGCATCTGAATCAGAATTGTATGATTTCTGAAAATTTCATTTGATCAGCTTTATGTCCCCCTCCCCCCACACCCAAATAAAAGAGATTAAGAACTGGCACTCTCTTGCCTTCTGCTCATAGGGTTGGGAGAAAGAATATTTTAACATAATAGGATTTTTTCCCTCTGGTTGGTAGGAATAAATCTACAGCTACTGTTTTATTGGAAATCCCAGCTGAAAATAAAAATGGTGCAATTCAATCTCAGATTTAGCTGGTTACTTACTTTTCACTGAGTCCCCAGGGCAGTGCAGTTGCTGAGTTTGTGTTGGCAGTGGGTGCTCAGTGGGATTTAAAGGGCCAAGCAAATGGGGTTGCAGGGAGGTGTTCTGACTCCCTCTTACCACTGGGCACAAGTTTGTCCAGCCTGGAGGAGCGGGACAGGGGCTTGTGGCCAGCTCACCCCACAGTGTGAAGGCTGGTATTCAGTGGGAGCTTGATGGGGTGGCAGCAGGTCAAATCTGCATCTTCTGCCTTGGCTGATGTAGGTGTTTTGGGTTTCTTTTGCAGGCTGACGGAGCCAGTGCAGCCGGAAGGAAAAGCACTGCGAGCAGGTACACTCCCTCTCCCGCCCCCAGCTTGTCCACCCATCGACTCAGGTCTTCATGACTAACAGTTACCACTCTCTGGTCCTCATCTTCCCCCTGGAAGGATGGGTGGTCCAGGCCAGCCCTCCTTGGCAAGAAGTATCCAGACTTCCCCAAAGAATGTGAGGTCATAGAAAGCATTTTCCATGTGGCTACCTGTGACCAGAATCCAAGGATGGTTCATTCCTGAACTGGCCATTGGCCACTCAAGTTGAGAACTTAGGAGTGAAGCATAAGACTAGGCAGAAAGACCTGGGCTGGAATTCCATCTGGGCTGCTGCATGGCTAACTCCTGGGGCAGCCAGTCCCATCCTTGTCCAGAATCCATTGGCCTATGTGCTAGTGTCATGTGCTCCTCTCTCTTCACCAGTCATGCCAAAGCAGGGGATGGGATACTCTGATTAGCCAGGGTGGAGAGGGGGCGGCCTTTCCTCACCCTCAAGGATGGCAGGAGAGGGGAGAGGGGTGGTCCCCAATAGAGAACTGGACTGTTTTTACCAAAGAAGGGAGAGATATCAGACAGGCCCAAGCTGTGGACATCATGACAGGTGTCACAGGTAGGTACTTGGTAATGTTAACACCCATGCTGCCGCTGCTGTTGCTGCTGTTACGTTGGGTAGAGCAAGGCTGGAACGGCCACATGACCTGTATTTGGGGCTTTGGAGGCAGAAAGAAGGTAAGGGACAGACAAGAGAGATGGCTCCCCTGAACACATACATAAAATCTAGAATCGATCCTAGGGTTACCTGTTAGAGCTGAGGGTCAGATTGTGAATGCCAAGCAGAAGAATTTGCCTGTTAGCCTGTGGAACACTAGTTCTTTAAAATGTTAATGGATTTTTTTTGTGTGAGGAAAAAAAGGTTCTTTCTGTGGCCCAGTAAGTTAGAGGACAGTGGGTTAAACAAAATTAAAAAGGTTTATTTGCTGTGAGACTTTCCAGATCTTTTAATATGCTAATGTGTGTGCTTGAGAAGAGAGAGCCAGAGAGAGAGAGAGAGAATCATGTTTCTCAAACTTCTTAACTATGGGACCCCTTTTTTTTTGACGTTCATTGCATTGAGCAAGTGTTCCTTGGAACATACTTTGAGAAACCATGGAAAGATATTGACATTCTCTGAGCAGGAGAGTAATGTGTTCGGCTTAGTGTTTCAGGAATACCACCCTGGCAGCCATTTGTTGGGTGGATTGGAGGCTAGTAGAATAGAGGCCATTATACCAGGCCGGAGGTCTCTGTAACCCAGAGACCTGTATTGTGTGGCAAATATTTTACACTTTGCAGGCTGTATGATCTTTGTGGCAGTTTCTCAACTCTGCCAGTATAATGCTGAAGTAGCCATGGTGATACCTAAATTTGCCCATAAATGGCCATAGTTTGTCAACCCCTAGTCTAAACTGACCCCTACCTGAGAGCTTCTGCAACTGCTGTTCCCTGTGTCTGGAATGTTCTTTCTCTGATCTTCCCATGATGAATGCCCTTTCATCTTTCAGATCTGGAGTCAGTTCTACCCTCAGGGAAGCTTTCCCTGACCCTCCGTATCAAGGTACCTGCACCCCAGTATGTGGTGTGTGGCCTTCATAGCCTGTTTATGCTCTTTAATTATTTCATTTTCATTATTCGTTATTTCATTCCCTTCCCTGTGTTCCTTTTTTTCTGTCTCTCTGAGAATGCCAGCTCCATTGGCAGAGAACATGTCTGTCTTGTTCACTGCTGTGGGCCTGGCCCCTAGCAGGCTCTCAGTACGTGTTTATGGGATGGGCACACTAGATGAGATGGAAGAAGATGTGCCAGTGATGTGGAGACAGGGAGTGTGGGAGAGGAGCAGGTAGAGCTCAGAGACGGTGCACTTAGGCCTGTGGTCATTGGGGGTGACCCAAGTAGCCAGCAGCTGCCCAGCGTTTTGTGTTTCTCTCCTGGGTCCCTAGGAGTGGAATTTGTGTAAGAACAATGTGTGAGGTTGTGGCCTGCGGGGCAGTAGCAGTTGTCAGACCGGTGCCTGGAAGTGTTTCTTGGATCAGGAAATCAGGACTGAAAGGGGCATTAAGTTTGTCTAGACCACCCTGTCATTGTGCAATGGGGAGATCGAGGCCTTTGGGAGGAAAGGCCCTGCTTAGGGGCGTATAATGAGTCAGTGGCTGTGTTGGGCCTTGAACCTGCCAAAGCTGGTGCTTTCTCCACTCCTCAGTGCTATGCCCAAGTGAGGGTCTAGCCAGCCTCTCCCACTTTCCTCCCACTTTCACTAAGCACCTGCTCTGGTAGGCCCAGTGCTGTATGCTGTGAACTCAGGCTGGTTAGGTGCTAATTTATTCACCCAGCCAGACATTCTAGTGTCTCCTGCATGGCAGGCACTGTTCGAAGTACTTCGTGAATGAAGAGACAAAGCACCACCCACCCCTCGTCAGTCCTGTGGGAATGCGGTCTGCCCTCACTCTCTAATGCATGAATCTCTCCTACACGAGTATCTCTGCCTGGTAATTGTAGCCAGAGAAGAACAGGCAGGTTTTCCCACGGTGGCTGCCTGAATCTCTGAATTGAGTATTATCCCCCTAAGGCTGTAGTTGGTGGAAGAATGCTGAGATTGATTGGAGATGCCTGCCCAGTCAGAGGAGGGGTAGGGTGGCACGTGAGACATTGATTTGTTCTCCCTGCTAGCCTAGGCTCTTCATCACACATACTCAGTGACTGAGCCCCTGTGTTACTACCATGGCGCCGGAATATGCATCAGGAAGGGCCACCCAAACCTGGGGTTGTGTGTGGCTTAAGGTGTAAAAACAGACTTTCTAATAGTAAAGACTACCATTTGGTCAACATTTCTTTGTCAGGCTCTGAGCCAAGTGATTTATGTGTATTAATTTATTAATTTTTCTTTTCTTGGAGACAGGGTCTCATTCTGTTGCTCAGGCTGGAGTGCAGTGGTGCAATCTCTGCTCACTGCATCCTCTACCTCTTGGGCTCAAGCAATCCTTCCATCTCAGCCTCCCAAGTAGCTGGGACTACAGGCATGCAGCACTACCCCTGGCTAATTTTTGCATCTTTTTGTAGAGCTGGGGTTTCACTGTGTTGCCCAGGCTGGTCTCAAACTCCTGAGTTCTAGTGATGCACCCATCTTGGCCTCCCAAAGTGCTGGGATTACAGATAGGAGCCACCATGCCCACCCTTTATTTATTAATTTAATGTAATCTTTTTAACAACCTCATGAGAGAGATACTCTTATTATTCCCACTTTACAGATGAGAAAGCTGAGGCACAGAGAGGTTTACTGGCCCAAGGCTGCCTAGGTGGAGGTAGGCAGTAGAGCCAGGAAGTCTACCTGAGTCTGACTTCTGTGATGCACTTACTCACCACGCCCTCCTGCTTCTTGGTGGGAAGGGATCAGTTAACACGTGTTACAGGAGCCTGTTTGGGACCAGGGACTGTGCTGTAGGCTGGAGGCCTATCAAGAAGGTGGGACTCTGGAGGAGCTCACAGGCAAGTTTATAGACTCTGTGAGGAAAACTAATCCTTTGAAAGACCAACACACTATTACTTACATAGTGACTTGATGTTCAGTCTGAGAAGTGAATTATATGTTAAACGTCAAGAGAATGTTGTTGGGCCCAGTGCGGTGGCTCACCCCTGTAACCCCAGTACTTTGGGAGGCCGAGGCGGGCGGATCACTTGAGGTCAGGAGTTTGAGACCAGCCTGGCCAACATGGCGAAACCCTGTCTCAACTTAAAAAATACAAAAATTAGCCAGGTATGGTGGCACACACCTGTAATCCCAGCTACTCAGGAGGCTGAGGCGGGAGAATCACTTGAACCCAGGAGGTGGAGGTTGCAGGGTTGCAGTGAGCCAAGATCATGCCACTGCACTCCAGCCTGGACAATAGAGTAAGACTCTGTCTCAAAAAAAAAGAGAGAACATTGTCAGTGTGGTGGCCTTAGCTGACACCACTGGTGATTTGACCACGGCCAGGTGGGATTTAGATGGGTAGACACTTTGTAGAGCATTAGAGCTCATTTAATCCTTCTTCAGATGGAGAAATGAAGGGCCTGAAGTTCCCCAAAGTCAGAATTAGATTAGACGGCTCTGAGCAGAATGACCTTGAAGGACCCCCAGCCCTCCAACGTGGGCTTCTACCCCCAGCTATGCTATGGCACACTCTGCTACTACGCCAGGGTCCGCTTTCATCCCAGCGCCTTCCTCTTGGCCTGGAACACATAATGTTATTTCTCCAGAGGGCCTCTGGCTAAACCCCAAAATCAACAGCATGGGCTGCTACGGAATTAGTGTTAAATTGAGGGGGACAAGGAGAGGTTGTGTTTCTGATCTTAAGAAACAACCGAATGTGGTTTGGTTTACTTCCCTGTAACCCAAACTGGGTCGATTTTACAAGACCAGTGATCCCAGCACTTGAGGTTAATGTCGATCTGGTGTGCAGGTTACAAATCATGTAGCATAACTCCAGCCAAACCCCACTTATTCTAAGGGTCAGGGAGGCTGTGGGGCCTTAAGTTTGGAAAATTCTGAAGGAAATGCAGTTTTTGTAATCAAGTAAATGCAGTTACAGACTTGGTGTAATAAATAATTGTATGTAAATATATCTATTTTTCTTTTGTCAGCTGAGGATTTTCAGAGCTGGAAGGACTGTAGAAAATCTAGTCCAGCCCTTTCATTTTAGAGATAAGGAAATCTGGGGTAGAAGAGGTTAAAGGGCTCATTATTTTGTTATAGGTTGCCCAACAAGTGAACAGGATCTTGTAGACAAGGAGATTGGGGAGGAGAATAAGAAAAAATCAAATCTCATCCATGCATTCCACAAATATTTACTGAGTGCCTGCTAAGTGCTTGGCACTGACCTGGGTGCTGGAGGCACAGCAGTGAATGAAACAGACAGGAATCCCTGCCCTTGTAGAGCTGATGTTGTAGTGGGAGTAGAGCAGCTGTAATAAATACATAAAATATATGCTTGTTAGATAGTAACAAGTGTTGGGGGTGGGGAAAGCAGAAGAGATTGGGAGAGCCGGAGACAGTGTTGCCTCTCTAATTTGAGCATTCAGGGAAGGTGAGTCATGAAGAAGGATCTGAAAGAGTTGTGGGGGCCGAAGCAGGCAGTCATTTGGGAGAAGTGCATTCCAGGCAGAGAGAACAACAGGTGCAAAGGCCCTGGAGCTGGAGTAGCAGCAAGGAGGCCGGTGTGGCCACGGAGGCCCTTGGAGACCGTTGTCAGGACTTTGGCCATTCCTCTGCGTGAGATCAGGAGCCACTGGGGAGTTTGAACAGAGAAGTGGCATAATATGATTTGGTTTTAAAAGGATCATTCTGGCTGCCAGGAGGATGAGATGTGATGATAGGTGTTGCCAAGGGTTCAGGACAGACAGGACCTTACACAGTAGGCTTAGAGCTGAGTTTCTTAAGGGCTATTTTTTTTTTCAGGCCTGAGGACTTCAGTTCAGCAAAGGATTATGTGTAGCCTGCATCCAAAAATGCACAGCCTCCTGTGTGTTTCTTGGATGGCCCCAGAGTGGAGCAGCTGTACTCCTGTGGTCCCCATTCTCCATGCCCCCCTGCACCCCCTGCCTGGTCTGTCAGGCATCTTCCTCACCACCTCTCCAGCCCTGCTAAGGGCCAAGCAGCCTAGTGCAGAATGGAAGAGCCCAGACTGCCTGGATTCAGATTCTGGCCCTGCCCATTGCCTGATTGTGTGACCCTGGGCTCCTTACCTAGCCTTCCTGCATTTTGGCTTCCTCATCTGTAAACTGGGGATTATATTAGTACCTCCTTCATAGTGTTGTCAATGACGATTAGGTGTAATAATATATATACCCTTAGCACAATTCCTAGTTCAAAGCAGGTGCTCAGTAAACATTTATTTTTATTACTACCATGGTGGATTCTGGTTCCTAGGAGGAGATAACATGGGGTGGCAATTGATTCCTTGTAGAGCCTGGACATTGGAGAGAGGGCTGGAGGGAGGGATGACGGTGATGGAGCTCTTATTTGTTGAAGGCCTACCATGATCCAAATATGTGTCTTGTGTCTTATTTGATCTTCCCAGCAGCCCTTTCAGATAGTGATTGGCATCCCTCATGTTCAGAGGGAATTGAGGAATAGACTTATATGGAGTCACCCAGATGGTAAAATGGCTTTCAATGTAGCTAAGTCTTGTTCTTTAATTAAGCCAAGATTTTTCACGGGTGGACCATTTTATCTGATAACCACATGTGTGTGGCTGCATAATTATTTATATCTTCTTCTTGTTTACCATTTTGGTTTTCAGCAGCAAAATAAAAGTAGCCCTAAACAACGCAATTTCCTTTGCACAAAATTTCACAGCAATACAGATTGAGTATTCCTAATCCAGAAATCCAAAATGCTCCAAAATCCAAAACTTTTTGAGCACCAACATGATGCTCAAAGGAAATGCTTATTGGAGCATTTCAGATTTCTGGGTTTTGGATTAGGGATGTTGAACTGGCACATGTAGTGGAAATATTCCAAAAACTGAAAAAAATAAATTAAAAATCCAGATACTTCTGGCCCTGAGTGTTTCAGATGAGGAGTATTCAACCTGTAGCCAGCCCAGTGCTAGTCAATGAACAGTATGGTATTAGCAGAGTGAATTATTTGAGAACGGGGTATGTTTTGGGAGGTATCTTCATCTTGACTCTAGATTTATGTTCCTGTTACTGGAGTTCAGATTTCATTTCTAGAAATGTATTTCCAGAAATATTCTCACCCTACCAAAATTCGGGCAAAGTTTGTCCACAAAAAAATCCTAAATTGCAGGTTGAATGGGGGCCCATGTACTTACTCCAAAGGGGCCGGTTGCTTTTTTGGTGGGCAGAGTTCACTCTGCTTAATTAGTTACCATTTACCATTCAACCTAGGCTCTGTAAATAAGAGAGATTCTTGAAAATTCATATACAGTCTTAGGTTTGCCCTCTGGAGACAGCCACAGAAATGCAAACCACAATTCACGTCCATCAAGATCCGTGAGTTGTTTGTGCCAAAGGGCACTTGAACTTTGGGTGGTCCAGCAAAGGGAATTGGTGGGGGTCTCTAGGGAACTCAGTCCTCCCAATCAGCACATGCCCCCCACATGTGCTTCTTGAGCAAAGTAAGAAAGTTCTTCTTGTGAACCTGTGGCTGTTAGTTCAGAGTGTTCAGAATCTTGCCTTGTCCTGAAGCACAATATTGAGAGTGCGAAGTAGGAGGACCTGACCTAGTTGCTTCTTGAGGCCTTTAATAACAGAGGCCCTTGATCTGAGAAGGCAACCCAGGAAATTTGCACAACCTCACCATCTGTCTGGCTCTGCTGACAAAAGAGAACATGCTCACCCTTGGCTGGAGCACCTTCCAGACTCCATGTGGAGTGTGACAGTTAACAGTGTCGGGACACCTCAAACCCACCTTCTTGATCACTCCTGCCTGGCTGTCCTGCAGTGGACTTGGCTGCAGTGTGGGTCTCCCGTCTCTCCTCCTCACTGCTGCATGGAGGGTGACCTTGTCCCCCACTCCTTTTGTTTTCATAGGAGCTAAAAATTCCTCCTCTACTTCCATTTATGAGTACTCCACTGACAGCCTGTGAGCTCATCTTTTTCATGGTTAACCTAACTTTTCACATTTTGTCTGGTGTATTTAGTAGGGGTAGGAGAAAAGAACTAACTAATATGCATTGAGTTCCTATTAGATATATGGCACTTTACATCCATCCATCCTTTAATCTTCCAGAGTATCCTTAGTGTGGACAGGGTATGGCTCCTAGCAACGATCCCTGCATCTGCTTTGTCATCCCCAAGCACCTTGTAAGGACTGGATCATGTAGTTAAAAGAGTCCTGTGTGTGTGTCCAAGGGCAGCGTGCGTCCAGGCAGTGAGCAAACCAGGGCTGAGTTCTCACTCTGGGGTGTTGGGGCAAGAGCTGGTTGGTTGTCACGCCCCTAGTGCTAGAGACTGCAGGGTGGAGGGGAGGAGGGCAGTTGTAATGCCAGGACGGGGACAGCACCATGGAGAGATAGCAAAGCTATGTCAGCAGCTGGGCAGCACTGGGCATCAGCTGGCGACGTGGGCAGGAAGGTGGAGGGGTCACAGTTCTGCTGGGGCGCTTCCTTATCCTTTCATTCCTAGGAGAAGATGGCCAGAGGAGTTGGACCTTGGAGAATTAGAAAAAGGAGTAGTTGCTAAGTCATAGCCTTGGCATGAAGTAATGGTGAACAGAGGGAGTGTGTTTATCCTTTGTTTAGACGTCCAGTGTGAGGGCTTAGGGATGGCCTCGCTCTTTAGTGGTTGAGCTCCCTGACTTCTGGGGTCTGCATAGGACCTCATGTGTGCAGGATGGTCTTTGCAGGGTGGTGGGTCTCTGCAGGACAGCATGGGCCCCTCATTGGCCTCTACTCCATACCTGTCTGTTGGGGATATTCTATCTGGGAGACAGAGAGGTGGCCCCTCAGAGAACAGTGTACATTGCTAATTGGTCAGAATTGCACCATTGCCAGACCCATTGGTAAACGAAGGTAGCGTGTCTGTTTAAAATGCCATTAACACTGCTTCTCCTTAACGTCCTGGGCAACCTTCCACATGCCACAGCACCCTCAAAAGAAGTTCCCAGCTTTAACTGTTGAACCCCACCCTGCTAAATTTTGGAGTTTGTGACTTGACAAGATTGCCCAAGACTCTTGCTTTCCCCCAGTCTAGGTTTAACTTAACCAGGAAATTTACTGTTAATATTTAAATCATATACCATCTTTGTGAACTCCAATATTACCTAACGTTGTGGCTGACTGACACCGTACAATGAGGAAAATTAAGTGCCTAAGAATTATCTCCAACTAATGATATATTTATGCATTGTAGGTTACTTTGAATTTCTAGACTGTTAAGAGTTGTTTAATAGGTTAATAGTTTTAATCTATTAATCTAATCTTTTCTACTTGACTATTTATTAAAATATATCAGTGATACATGACAGAAATGGAAGTACAGATCATTTTGAGGGTTATTAAGGAACAGGTGATGATGTGAGGATTTGAAACTTAGGCGGAATAGTAAGTACCAGGCATGGGCCTCGCTCCTGTCATTTGCGGACACTGTGGTTCTGCTCCATGTTCTCTCTCTCAGCTCTCCCAGGCTAGTGATGAAGCTATGACCTTTTTCCCACGATGGCTTCTCTCCTTGTCACTAAAAGCTGGAGACTCTTTATGTCTGAAGGACATGTTTGAGCACAGCAGCATTTGAAAACACATCAGGGAGAGAGAGAGGCAGGTGGCAAGCGCAGAGCCCAGGCGCCTTTCTCTGTGGAAGAGGTGGGACCCTTCATTCCTTTCCTTTATTTCATGTCGGTGTGACTTTTAGCATCTAAAATGTGCCCAGTTCTGTCTGTATGCTCAGGAAACAGCAAAAAACAAGGGAGTATATTCCCTGTGTCTTGGGACTTCTGGCATTTAGTCATGTATGTGTTCATTCATTCAACAGGTGTTTTTATTATTTTCTCTTGAGAAGAGAAAACAAAAATTATCCAAATGGTTAAAAGCCTAGACTTTGGAGTCAGACAGACCTGGTGGAATTTTGATTCTGTCACTAGGAAGCAGGGAGACTGTGAAAAGTCACTCTGTTTCTCCAGTCCTTGGTTTTCTTATCTAGAAACCAAAAAATCCCATATCAGGCATTGCACAGAAGGATGAGATGGTGTAGGTGTGGGCCCGGAGCACCGCCCCAGCATGTCATAAGCACTCATTACACCACAGCTGCCCTTGGCATCACTCTCTGTGTTATTTGTGCCATTTGCATCATGACTGTCCTCACCAGCATCACCTCCACCCTGCATGCTGGTGTGTTTTGTCTGGTCATTTTCTGTTTGTGTCATTGAGCAGACCTTAGCTGACACCTGCCAGAGGACCAAGCACAAGGATACAAAAAGCAGTGGGTAGAGCCCTGGTCTCTGGAAATCTTCCAGAACCATATGGAATTAATTAGAGGGCAGATTTGGAGTTCTAACAGGGCAGGAGCCTGTTAGAAGCAAAGAGGAGCGTTTCCAGAACCGCTGGTGGGAGAATGAAGGCTCCTGAACTGTTAGTGGGAGCAGCCACCCTGTCGCCTTAGGGCCTGAGTGTATGCTGATTGGTGGTCATGATGGCGACCCTGCACCCTCAAGAGAGAATGTCAAGGTATTACCAGGCTGCTGTATCTTGGCATTTCAGAAAGTGGGAAGAGTGTGTTACATTTTAGAAATTTTTCATCAGTTCATCAGAAAGGATAAAGATATAACTTTGACACTCAAGAAATAAGCTTCACTTATTCAGAAAATTGGCTTCTGTGAAACATCCCTAACCTATGTTATAATAAAGGCCAGATGAATGAGTCATTCTTCAGTTCTGAATATTCAGTGAAGCAGGAAAACCATCGACAGTTACAGTGATGTTGATGGATTGATCACAGAAAAGTCTTGCCTGGATCAGAGGCTACAGGTGCCTCCAGTGCCATGCTGGCATTGACCTTTCCTGGGCTTGGTCCTTGGTTCACTTGGTAAACAGCCTCTTGCTGACCATCACCCATGTGCCAGCCACTGCTCTGAGTATCATGAACCAAGGAGACAAAATCTTGTCCTCTAGCTCACGTTCTAGTTGAGGAAACAGACAGTAAAGTGGACAGAGAGGTAACAGAGTACACCGAGTGGGTAAATACTGGGGAACCATAAATGAGTTTCAGCCAAGGAGTGACATGACCTTGGTTGCTCTGTCCAGTGTGGATTCCAGGGCAGTGTATAGGGGAAAGGGAGATTGGCTGTGAGATGTTTACAAGACAGGAGAAAGGGGGGGTGGCTTGAACTGAAGTGGTGGTCGTGGTATGGTAAGGAATGGTTGGATTCTGGACATACTTTGAAGGCGGATCTGGCTGGATTTGCTGGTATATTCATAGTCGGGAGTGACAGAAGAGGAAGAGTCAAAGATAGTTCTAGAGTCTGGGCAGCAGGAGCTGGAAGGTTGGAATTACTGTTAGCTGAAGTGGAGATGATGGTGGTTATTTGATTGTATTGTCTTAGATGGCAGGTTTTAGCCAGAAGAGTGCTGGGCTAGGAAGCAGAATTGTTTTCCTCTCTTGGGAGAAGAGATGTAGCAGCAGGGTTTTGGACTTGTTAAATACGAGGTGCCTGTTAGGTATCCAGATGGAGGTTTCAAGCAGTTGGGGGTTTATGCAGGTCTGGAGTTCGGTGGGGGGCCAGTCCAAGCTGGAGATACAATTTGGGATTCAACACCATGTAGTTAATATTTAGAACTAAAGAGTCTAGCTGTATAGTCCCAGCTACTTGGAAGGCTGAGGTGGGAAGACCGCTTGAGCCCAGGAGTTCAAGACCAGCCTGGGCAACATAGAAAGACTCTCTTTAAAAAATGAAAATTAAAAAAGATAAATAAGAAATAAAAGTACAAGTCTCCATGAGATCGCTTAGGAAATGAGTGTGGATAAAAATACAATAGGTTCTAGAACTGATCCTTGGGGCATATCAAGTTGTAAGAGCTGGAGTGATGAAGAGGATTCAGCACAAGAGATAAGAATGTCCAGAAGGCCGGAGATCCACCAGGGGAGCACAGAGCAAAGTGAGCAACCAGCTGGATGGAGGAGAGGCAGGCCATGTTAGAGGCTGCTGCTAGAGGCAGAGTCCGACGGGGACTGAGAAGGGACCACTGGATTGAATAGAGTGGCAGCCACTGGAGACCTTGAAGAGAAGCTGTGGTGGAGTAGTGGAGGCAACAGCCCATTGGACTTAACAGTTATTACCAAGGAGCCGGCCTGCCAATATCAGCAAATAGATAAGAATCACTTGCACTCATATAGTCAGTGAGTGGGAAGTGGGTAGAGTTGGAGGACTTGGTCAGTGGGCAGAGTCCTGTCTGGATGTGTGTTAATGCATTTAACATCCCATGCATGCATGCATTCATGGAGAGTGTATTTAAGCTCAGCTGGAGAGCAGTTCACCTTCATTCCTAAGGAGTGGAGTTTTATTCTAGGGGGAGTTAACCAAGTCATTATTTACACACTGTAATTAGAGGCTTTTTTCTCCACCCTTAACATTGTTAAAGGTGGGTGAGGTGTGAGAGTAAATGGCACCCTTTGGAGGAAGAGCAGGGGTCCTCAGGCTGAGTCTTGGGACGTAGATGTACGCCTTGCTCCCCCTCTGTGTAAGGAGACACACATGTCTTGCTGGGTAAAGTTCTGGCCTGTGTAAGGGCCTTAGATGTCTCTGATCCCTGCTCACTCATTGTGCACATTGGAAAACTGAGTCTTGGGGTAGGCAGCCAGCCCAGGGAATCAACAGCAGAAATAGGACTGAAGGCCAGGGTGCTGAGCATTGCTCACGTCTACTATGACTTGGTAGAACTCTTAAGCATCATCATTATTGGCAGAATGATGTGGAAACTGTGCCCAGAAACAAAGCCGCCATACTCCCAGGCACCTAGCATCAGGGCGGACTCTCCTCTGACATGCCTGAAATGGCATCTCTTTGGGCTTCAGATCCACTGGTAAGTTACTTGGTTGCATTGTCTTAGGCTGCAAGCTTTAGTGACAACAGTACCAGAACAGGAGCCAAAAAGTTTTCAGACTAAGCTCATCACTAAAAATTGTGTGACCTTGGCCATGCCTTTCCTTCACCTGTGTGCACTGAGTTCTTTCTGTGGGCCAGGCATTGTGCTAGGGCTGGGGATATAGACATGAATAAAACAGACCCGGGCCCCGTTCTGTGCCTTGGTTTCCCCATCTGGCCACGGAGCTCTTGTCAATGCCAAGCATGATGAGGTGGGCATGAGCTCTGTGAAGAACTGTCAGGTGAGACCCAGAGAGAGAGAGAGAGACATTTGTTTGTTTCTGAAACCTCCCCGGGCAGAGTCTGCAGGCACATTGGCCTGGCCAGACACAGTAGCAGGATTGAGCAGGAACAAAGCAGAAGAAAACCAAAGGTAGTGGAAGATAGTAATTTACAAACTTCACTGCTTTGGAGCTGTTTCTTCAAATTTCATGTTACACCATGTATTGGTTGCCTATGGCTGCTTTTGCTCCTGTTGCTTCACTACAATAGCAGTTTATACACTCCTTGGGGTCAGAAGTCTGAAATGAAGGTGTTGGAAGAGTGAGATTCCCTCTGAAAGCCCCAGGGGAAATCTGATCTTTGTCACTGCCTGCTTCTGGTGGCCATCGGCATTCCTCGACTTGTGGCCACATCATTCCAGCTCTACCTCTCGGGGCGCATTGCCTTCTCTCCTCTGTAACTTCTCTTCTGTCTGTCTTAAATCTCCCTTTGTCTTATGAGGACACTTACTGCATTTAGGGGCTACTCAGATAATCCAAGGATGAGCCTAATCTCAAGATCCTTCACTTAATTACATCTGCAAAGACCCTTTTTCCAAATAAGGTCATATGCACAGAATCAGGAGATTAGGATGTGGACATATCTTTTAGGGGGCTACCGCTCACCCCACCACAGAGAGAAAGAGGCCTAAATCTGTATACATCAGGCAAAAAGCAAAGCTGTGTGTATTGAAGATGGGGAGTCTTAGAGCCTTGCTCAACACTACCATCCCCATTCCAGCCTCATGGGTGCATCTAAGAGCCATTGCTATGGAACCCCTAGACCTTCAAGGAACATACTTTGAGAATCATTGCCTTAGAGAAAGGCCAGCTGTCTTAGGGAACTTCTTGGGCAGGGATCCCCTTGGTCTGGCTTCTCTCCTGGTCAGCTTGCACAATTAGTAACCGGTGACCACGGATAGCAGGTACTTACTGAAAAATATCCTTTTAATGTTTGACTTTGGATTTTATGTTGAAGTGTGACTCGGGTTAAATATAAAATTCATAGCATATCTTGAGCAACTATTTTGTAGTTATCTATATATAAATCTATTTTACAGCGACACAAATAGAATAGATTATGGAGTGTCAGCATGTAGATAGATTCCGAGTGCTTTTTCACTAATATACCTAATGATTCGTGCTGAGAATATCCAAGGGCTCCACTGTACATTTAAATGGATATAATTAAAATAATGAGCTCTATTTTAAAAAATGATATATGAAAAAAAAATTTTAAAGAAGTTAGAAGGAGCTGCGCCACTAACTCAAAGTGATATAAGTACTTATGTGATTCCATTGTTATTAGGACACCTAATTAAATGCAAAGCATTTGAGAAAAGCAACATTTGGGTTTGTAAATCTAAAGCCTAGAAGTCGGGGGCGAGGGGAAGAGAAGGAAGTTGCCCATGCCTTTGTCGCGGCAAGGACTCGGGGGCATCACGTTTAAGGGAGTGGATGGTTATGTGCTGTTGTGCCCGTGGGTGATAGAGGGTGGCTCACTGGTCCCCATCTTCTGTGAACTCAGTCAGGAATCTGGCTGGTCACGCAGCTGCAGCTGTATTTGCCAGTGTGAACTCTGATTTGTTTGGGGTGGGAGATGTGGGTACAAGAACTAGGGAGAGGCTGCCTTTTCATGGGAAAAAGACATTCCCCTGTGCCTGACTCTCAGCTCCAGGTGTTAAGGGCACTCCAGGTGACCTGAGACTCTGGTGGTTCAGTGGAAAGAACAAAGGATGGGGAGTCTGGAGATGCGAGTTCTGGTTTTGACTCTGCTACACGTCCTGTGCCTTTGGATAGGGCCTCTCCTGTGATGCATTCATGCCTGGCCCTGTTGCAAATGGGTGACCATCCATTCTAGAAACCCATCTCAAGGATATATTCTGCTGTTCCAGTGGGCCCCGGGGAGTCTTAGGAGGCATATGTCCCAGTGCCTGCTTACTAGAAGGCAGGTATCCTTTTGGTCATTCAGCAAATACCATATTTATGGAGCACCTAATATAGGCCTACTGGATGCTGGGTATAAGAGGCGCACAACACTCCCGAGGGCCCCACCTACTCTTAGGACAAGTGCAGTTTGGTGAGCCAGTGTACAAAGCATTTTCAGGTAACAGGGCTGCAAAGGAAATAAAACAAGGCAATGAACTAGAAGCTACACTGGAATTTCGGGAAGGGGACGAGCGAGTCAAGATGAGTTCATTAGGACACAATGGGAGGATGGCTGTCAGAGTCACCTGTGCAAGGAAGACGTGGCATTCAGAGAGGGAGTCTGACTCTGCCTCAAGCAAGCCAGGAAGGCTTCCCAGAGGTGAGGATGTCATCATGAACCAATGTCATCATCATGGCAGCTGCCATTCATGGAAATGCACTCTGTGCCCACCCCTGCAGCTAGCAAGAGTCATGGTCCTTCTTTAACAGACAAGGAAACAGAGGCTCAGAGAAGGGAGTCTCTTGCCCAGGGCTGCAGGGTGTAGGGGTGGGCAGATGAGAGTTCCACCCAGCCTGCCTGGCTCCTACAGCTCCTCCCTTCCCCTACCAGGATGCCATGATGGTGGTGAGGACTTGAGAGCAGGAAGGGACACTGAATCTTTTCAGGTGGCATGGTCAGGTGCTCTTGAGGCCTCGGGCTGAGTTTCAGAACACTGGCTGTGAAGAAAGCCGAGGTAAGGGAGTTCTGGGCCGGGGGCCCCATCTGTTTCCTCTCCTTCCATCTCTTTGCCTACTGAGCCTCAGGGCCCTGACCATTAGCACCCATGAGGTCTTAGCTAGGAAATGGGAATGTCAGCTGCTTTCTTTACCCCCCGGCTTGAATGTGAATACACATCGTTCACTATCAGCTTCATCAGCATGACCACCTCTGCAGCACTAGACAAAGTCCTTACTCCCTCACCGCCTGTATCCCATTACTGAACAGTGGTAGAGCTGGCATTCAAACCCTGGTTGGTCTAACTCCACAGCCCATGCGCTAAACACCTATGCCACATAAACTTGCATCTTCTGCACATGCCCCTCCCCTGCCCGCCATAAAAAAGACAAAGGTAGATAACAATGAAACATCTCCACTGGGAGCTTACTGTTCTAGGTCCTACGTAGACATTACTTTGTTTTGCCTCACAGCACTGTGGGGTAGGTACCGTGTTTGTCCCCATTGTTTGGATGTGAAGACTGAGGCTTGGAGGAGTCAAGTCACTTATGTAGGAACCTGCAACTGGCAGTTTTGAGATTTGACCCTAGGATGATCCAACTTCCAAGTCTGGTGCTTGGCCCATTTCACTCCAGCCAGGCCATCAGCCAGTCTGCTCCAGTGCTTCTCTTGACGGGGAGCTCACCACCTCCAGGGGATCCCCTTTTCTTGTTGGCCAGCAGTAGGAATCACCTCCCTCTCTAAAGCCACAGCTGTCCTCTTGTGACGTGCTGGACCTGCCAGTTCTAGTTATGTCTTAGGCCTCACAGAACTTGAGACTTCTTTGCCTTGTGGTGTCCTGCAGCTAGGCGGGCCCGTGCTCCCCTCTGGGGGGCCAGGGGGACTCTTGCTCATGATATTATCCCCCACAAAGGTGGCAGCAGCCCGGAAAGCCAGGGAACCTACTGTCCTCCTGCTCACCCACGAGCATCTTGGTTTTGGCTCTGTTCTGGATGCTGAAGGTCAAAGGTGGGTGATGTGGGGCAGCCTCGGCTGTGGGTGAGGAGGCTTCCCTCTGCGAGTTTGTCTCCCAGTCCAGGCTGCCTGCATCAGGTCCCCGTCCCACCTCGTACCACCCACATGACTTTGGGTACGTTATTTCACCTCTCAGTGCCACAGTTCCTAGACTGTAAAGTGGAGCTAATACCAAGATTTCGTTCCTAGAGTCATTGCTAAGGATGAAAGGAATTAGTATGTTAGAACACTGCCGGGCACATAGGAGGCTCTGTTTAAGTGTTTCTTAAGTAAATTAAGGAAATGAATTCTGAGGCGATTGAATCATGCAGTTTTACACTTTCTTACCGTGGAGAAGGGCAAAAGCTCAGACAGTGTCTGGTGGCCCTGATGGGACAGACACATGAGGAGGAGGCGCCCCTGGGTGCCAAAGAAGCTCTAACAGTGTGTCATTATTAACAATGGTCGTGGTGACCATGTCTTGAGAGCAGTTCCAGGCCAGGCGCTGTGCTGAGTACTTTCCATGTGTTCGTTGATTAAAATCTGCATGACAACCCTGTTACCTCCATTTTGCAGACGGCGAAACCAAGGCTCAGAGGTTAGGTGGCTGGCTTGAGGCCCACAGCGAGGAAGTGGTTGGCGCGATAGCCCTTGCTCCTGACTGGTTTTCCCAGCATGCCCTTGCACTCGTGTTCCGTCCATCTGAGTCCTGGCCTCCTGTATGAGTCATCTTGGGCTGCTGTTAACAGAATGCTGTGGGATGCCATGCCTAATGCCATAGGCTTAATTAAACAACAGAAATGTATTTTCTCACAGTTCTGGAGGCTGGAGGTTGTGATTAGGTTGCCAGCACGGTTGGGTTCTGGTGAGGGCTGCCTCCTGGCTGTAGAGGGTCGCCCTGTCACTGTGTCCTCACGTGGGGGAGAGAGCAATCTCTTTCCCTTCTTACAAAGCCACCAATCCCCTCATGAAGGCCCCTCCAGTGTGACCTCATTTAACCACACTTAACCTCCCAAAGACCCTTTCTTCAGATCCAGTCACACTGGGGGTTAGGGCTTCACCATCTGAATTGGGGGCACATAGTTCAGTCCATAGCACCTCCCCATGGCCTTCCTCTGTCCTCTCCTCATTAGCTGGGGGCTCCCCTCTCTATCTTTGCTCAGTTTCCCAACCTTTCTCCACCTTGGATGAAAGCTGAAGCTGGGAAGGACAGCAGATGTGATTAAACCCATGCTCCTGTGATAAACAGGGCTGTTGAAACCCAAAGAAGAGAAAAGTCTTGCCCAAGGCCACACAGCAAGCCCATTGTAGATGGAGGACTGGAGCCTGGGTCCCTGAGTCCCAGTCCAGTGGCCCTGCTGTGCTGCAGTTGGAATGCTGGCATTCTCTGTTTTGAGTCTGGGCCTTGAAATTCACAGACCATGCTCTCCTCTGGCACAGTGGAGAGGCTAGCATGGCCAGGGCAGTGTCTCTGGGCCTGGAACATGACTCGATTTCCCAGTATGTGCAAGCCTCAGCTTCCCCACCTCACAGACAACAGTCATGGGGATGCTTCCCTTGTCAGAAGGATGTGGGGCCCTTAGGATGATAACATGGACAGCTGTGTTGAAAGGAGGATGCTTCAGGAGTGGATGGCAGGGACCTGGCTTCCTGCCTTGGCCTGTCCCCAATTTTATGTCTGGCCTGAGCAAGTCACAGCTCTGCTTTAGTCCTTAGTGTCCCCCTCATGAGGGACGTTGAGTGACCCACGCCCTGCCCTCTTCAGAACTGACATCATTACCTCGAGGATGTTTTCCGATGTTTAAAGAGCCCCCTCCATGCCACAGTGTTGGCTCCATGACATCTCAACCTAGTGAGTCTTTTTGAATTGGAGTTTCCCGTTTGTAAAGCAGGAGCGGGGAAGAGCCTGGACAAGATCCCAAGCCTTCTTGCCTAGGAACGAAGGGAACAGCACTGGATATCGCGTACATCAAAGCACGAAACCCTTACCGCCCAAAGCGTAGTTTGAGGCCCAGCAGCCCTGGCCCCACCTGAGAGAGCTTGTTAGAAATGCAGAATCTCTGAGTGAGGCATGGTGGCATGGTGCCTGGAGTCCCAACCACTCGGGAGGCCGAGGTGGGAGGGTCGCTTGAGCCCAGGAGTTTGTTTGTGTTCTGCCTGCGCAACATAGTGAGACCCATCTCTAAAAAGGAAAAGAAATGCAGAATCTCAGGCCCTACCCCAGAACAGCTGAGCCAGAATCTGCATTTTTTTTCAAGATCCCCCCCAGCTGATCTGTATGCACACTGAGGTCTAAGTACTGATTTCAGCCAGCTGGAGGTGCCCTTTTAGGTCACTTGTAACTCCAGTTATGATAAGTGCAAACAAATAAGTGGCAAGTGAGGCAACTGGGCACATCTAGACCTCTTGAGACCTCAGCTTCCCCAACTGTAAAATGGGTGGAGTTGGAGGCTTTCTTGCTCAATGGTTTTCAAACTGTGTTCCTTGAAGCCTCAGGGTTCCCTGGAAGAGCCTCAGGGGTAGCCGTGGGGGTTGTGTGGGAGGCTAAGGGGGCCGGGGGCCCTAGAATTCACTATGCACACAGCCTGGCATGTCCCTGTGGTGCCATGGGCTGGTGGGCTCCTGTGTTGATCTGGAGGAAGAAGGTATTGAACGGAGTTTCTTCTTTCCCAGGGAGCGCTTGAAGCGCAGCCAGAAGAGCACCAAGGTGGAGGGCCCAGAGCCAGTGCCAGCCGAGGCCTCGCTGAGTGCCGAGCAAGGAACGATGACGGAGGTGAAGGTGAAGACAGAGCTGCCCGATGACTACATCCAGGAGGTGATCTGGCAGGGCGAGGCCAAGGAGGAGAAGAAGGCGGTCAGCAAGGATGGGACCAGCGACGTGCCTGCCGAGATCTGCGTGGTGATCGGCGGCGTCCGCAACCAGCAGACCCTTGGTGAGTGCCCAGCGTCTGTGGTCAGGGTGGAGACCAGGGTGGGAACATGGAGTCAGAGTCCTGGGGAAAAGCGGCCTGGCGCCTCTGCCCCCTTCCTGGCTGAGAGAACCTTTGCTGGCTTCCCTCTGCATTCAGGGAGAGATCTCAGCTTCTTAGACTTGCCTTTGCTTGTGCAGTTTCCGGCTGGAGAGCGCTTCTGTTTCTGCTGGGCAGCAGAACCCTATCCATCCATCAATACCCTGTTTAAGTCAAATGCCTGGAACCTTCCGGGGGCCCAGTGAATCCCTTTGTCTGTCTCAGGGCTCCCATACCCCTGGGGGGTCTCCCACAGCCCTTACTGCTCGGTGTCCTAAATGCCTCTCTGCTGGAGATCCCAGTGCCGGTGCTGCTCAGAGCAGTACCCCATCAGGATTGGATCAGTGACAGATGGCACTTCCCCTGCCTCTTCTGGCCTGGGCCAGGCCCAGAGGAGCTCTGTGGAAACTCACATCTTAGCAACAATTTCTCTCCCTCCGGTCTCCAGCATGCACCAGGGATACCCCTCAGGGGCCCCCTGCACTGCTGCCAGGTTCACAGACTCAAATGCCCATGAGGCCCAACAAATATGTTTATTTAGCATAAATAGAGATGAGCCAACAGGACAGGTGGTGGGGACCATGTCCAGTTAGAGAAGGCACGCCGCGTGTGTGGAGGGCGGCTGCTGCTCAGCTGCTGCACTGACGGTTGCTGGGTGGGGATACGGCTCAGCGTTGCCACATCTCTGGACAAATCACACGCCAGAAATGAACATTTTGATGGGAATTCTTTTGGCTTTAAATGTTGCAACCAATTGACCTTTTGAAATCTGCCAAACAAAACATGTCTGTGGGTCAGAGTCCCTGTGGGCACAAGTTTGCAACCCCTGGTCTGTGACATAAAGTCCTCATTCCTGGCGTGGAGGCCTTGCCTGGTCTGGCTCCAGATTTCTGCTTCCCTCCACTCCCTACTCCATGTTTCCAAGGCTCAGTGTGTTCTTAGAAGTGCTGCTGCTGTCCAAGCCTCTGCTGCCTTCCTGGTCCAGCTCTGGCTCACCTCCTACTGACTTCCAAGCACCTCCATCTTCCTGGCGCACATCCTGTATGCGGCACCATGGCCTCGTTTCTGCAAGTTTAGACTCAAGTCCTGGTGCCTTTTCTTCCCAGTTGTTGAGAATCATCCTTAAACTCCCTTTGCCAGCTGTTCCCTGCTGGTTGTGGCCATCTCAGCCCCACCTGGGTCATGGCAGCATCCTGCTAACAGCCATGCTTTTGCAGCTTGCCTGCCCCCTGCCCTGGCTGCCAGGAGGCCTTGGCCAAAACAGAACACCGACCATGTTGCTCCCCTGCTTATACCCTGGGACTCCCTACTGTCTCTAGAGTCGAGGCCAGAGCATTAAGAGCCTCCATAACCTGAACCTTCTAGCCCCATTTCTTGCTTCTGGTCTTCCCAGACCTTTCATTCCAGTGTAGTCTGCTCTTCCTGTACTTTGTGTATGCTGTTGCCTCTCCCAGGAATGCCTTCCCCCATTTCCACTTGCCCAAATCCAACCTATCCTTCGAGGCCAACTCCAGTGCCACCTCCTCCCAGAAGACTTCCTTGATCTCTTCTGGTGAGAGTGGGCTGTTTCTACCCTGCTCCTCAGTTGGTGCACTTTCTACTTTCTTTTTAGATTAGAGGGGCCCTGTCTGTGCCTGCCTCTTCCATGAAAGTGGAAACCCCTAGAGATTGGGGCTCCAGGACCTGCCTGATTTATGTCTCCATGTTCCCTGCTTCCACTCTGTAATACCAAACAAAGTATTGGTTTCTGGGAGTGGTAATGTTGACACTGGTGCTGCAGCTGTCAAGGTGGGGCCAGGTTATGCTGCAGTAACAAAAGATCCTGAAAGGTACAAGATATCTTAGTAGCTCAAAACCACAGCAGTTTATTTCTTGTTCACACTACACGTCCATTGTGGGTCAAGAGGGACCTCTGCTCCCCTCTGGTCCCAGACTAAAAGCTGTCATGTAGAATGCTGCCAGCCAAGTGACAGAGGGAAAGCACGCTGTGGAGAGACTTACGCTGGCAATTAACTGCTGCAGCCAGAGAGAGAGGTGTTAATTCCGCTCACAGTCATTGGTTGGAACTAGTCACACGGCCCCACCCAACCTCAAAGAGGCTGGGAAATGCCGTCCTCCCATGTGACAGAATAGGGGTGAACCAGGAATGTTTGGGGAGGCGCAGGAGTGACTTAGGCCAGTGTGGAATGAGAGAGTGAGTCTTTTCAGGGGCCTGCGCTGACGTTTCTCCATCAGTATTCACTCCCTGAGGCCAGGGACTGTGTTAATCACTGGTGGATTTGTTAGTTAATGGAGAAGACCTGCACTTGCTCTCTTTGGTATCTGTGTGTGTTAAGACTCATTAGACCCAGTAGCTGTTTCTGCCCTTCACCAGGAGATGCCCAGGAAAGGATGGTTGAATCTGAATCCTGGGATAGAGCCAGCAGTCTGGATTCAGTGGGGAAAGCTCTGGGCAGCTAGGCCAGGGAAATGCTGGGAATCTTCCTTAGGCCAGCTGCCTGCACAGTGAGAGCCCCAGGACCCGTGAGCCTCATGCCAGCCACCGATGCTGATTCCAGCTGAGCTGCTGCTCAGCAGCAGGGTCCTTGGCCTCACTGTACCTTAGTGTCCTCCTGTGTTACATGAGGCATGGCCCCTGTCCCGGCCACCTCATGGGCGTGGCCATCCAAGGCGGCAGTGGAAGGAAACAGTGTTGCCTGAGGAGAATGAGCTGGGATCCTTGGACTGGGAGTGAATCCAGGCTCCATGACTTAACTGGTGTGCTACCTCAGGCCCTGTCTGTCTCAGTTCTTACAATTATGAAATCATCAGGCTATCTGAGTATTCAATGAGATAATGTATGTGAAGTGCTCAACATTGTGCTTAGTAAACAAGTAGCTAGTATTCTCAGTACTACTAATATTAACAGTATAAAATGCCTCTTCAAGAGGAAGGGATAGTCATTGTTTCTGCTTTTTCCCATCTAAGAAGTAAGCTATTGTGATATATTGAAACGATGGGATGGGGAATAAAGTCGGTGCAGGATAAGGTATTAGAAGACAGGGATTCCAAGTGGGCTTCAGTTTTCTCCCCTGGGAACTGGACTGGGAAACCTGTCTGGACCTTGGTGTTCCTTCTAGTACTGCTTCCCTCCAATTCAGGGACTTTGAGGATCTTGTAATCTGCTTTGGGCAGACCCCTGTGAAAAAGATGTAGAAGCCCCAGTGACAAGGGACGTGTGGAGCTGCCATGGTGTAGCCCTACGGAAGCAGGGCCAGAGTGCTCCCTGCTGTCACGGCAGCTCATCTTGCATGCTGGAAGTCAGGCTTTTCTGCCTAGGGATGGGGGTTTTCTTCCAAGGGTCAGGCTCAGAGGAAGCTGGCTTGGCCTCATCACCAGGAAAGAAAGGCATTTAAAAACAAAATCAGTGTTAGAGTTGAACCTTTTGGACTCCTCTCATCTCAAGATGGCAAGTAGATTTTGTGGGTTAAGTCCAAGCAGTTGCTACTGGCTGTAAGGAGTTCTCTGTTGAGGATTCTAAAGGGTGGCATGATTGATTGTTGGTGTCTGCCCTGGATGTAGAAGTGGGCAGTGGAGCTATGCATGCTGTCAATTTGGTACCCATGACCTCCTTATTTTATAGAGGGGCAGACAAGGCCTGAGGAAAGGATGAGAGTTGCCCAGGGTCACCCAGGAAGTTGGTGACATTTTCTTTCGTGTTATGAAGGGCCTACCACAACACCTACCTCCTACCTGCTTCTGAAAGTGTATGAAGGAGGGAAAGCTCTCCCAGGGACCTGGCTGGGGTGGGGTGCTGGTTAGAGCTTGCTTTTAAGTGAGCCCCTGCTGCAGTGTGCATTCGTTGTCCTGGTCACCGGGCATGGGGGAGTTAACGTGTTCCTGGGGCACTTGGCGGGGAGTGCTGGGTGCTGTGGTGCCCAGGGCCTCCTGAGTACTTCGCTAACCCAGCCTCGCTCCGGGCTCAGAGACGGGCTCTGTTGCTGAGTAGAAGAGTGTTCCTGTTCAGTCACCCAGTGCTGCGCCATGAGGGAGCCTCCCCGAGTCCACACTGGCCCTTTAATAGCCATCAGACAAACAATGTTCCCAGTGACACAAACATCATCCAAGGCACTTCCCGTGGGGGAGCCCGGGTCATGGACACACAGATGGCATTTGGCAGCTTCTCCTGCTGGAGTCAGGAGGGGCATCAGTGCCCAGGAGGCTGGCTGCCAAGTTCGCAATGGTTGCTGCTGCTTCCCTGCTGCCCAGAGAATTCCCTGTGCTGAGAAGGGTGTCTCTCACTCCGAGAAAGAAAGTCACTGCCATTGGAGCTGGTGCAGGGTTTGGGGGCAAGACCAAGAGCTTCCTTTTATAGTAAGAAGAGCAGAGATGATAGATACTAAACTTAATAACTTTGCTGGATAAAAGCAGAAATGAAAGAAAGGAAGTTAACAGACGCCTGCACCCATCTGACAGGCTGCAGGAACAGCTCTGTACAGCAGCCCCAAGAAGGAAGGGCAGACCACACTTGAGGTTTCAGGGGCTCCTCTAGGAGGAGGAGCAAACACAAGGCACTACCATTGCTCCTGCCGTGCCAAGGGCCTCCTGAGGACTTCGCTCACCCAGCCTCGCTCCGGGTTCATGGCAGTCCCATGTTCATGGCAGACACTGCGAATTGATTACTGTACATTGTCCAATGATGCACCTCAGAATCCTTCTCAACACAGTATGCCAAGAGGTCTCTGCCAGTCAGCTAGAATTGAAAAATTAGAAGTGGAAACCTACTTGCCATTCTTCTTGATGAAGATAAGGCAAGTTGGGTTTACAACAGTGAGAGCATCCAGCCCTTAGACTATTTCCTGGCTCTGAGAGATAAGGATGCCCGCATCCCATTATGGTGGTCCAGGTGTACTGTTAAGCAGTGGGTACTCTTTCCTATGCTGTGAAACCACTGGTCCTTAATCCTGAGGTGTTTACTAATGAGGGAGTCCAGGGAGAGCAGTAGGGGCCCAGAGACCCGAGACTTAACTGAGTTTCCTCAGTAGCAGTGCAGGAGACCGTGGAGGGAATGAGTGACCCAGACTTGACCCCTCTTCAGATGAGGGACAGGGACCAACTGGGTTATTCCCCGATAGTGGAGACCTGAAGAGGGGGATAATGGAATCTAAATATTCACAACTTACAGCATTTTGCAAGGTGCGCATGGAGCAGACACATTCCAGGGTGTCCTAGCCAATACGGAGAAGTCTCCAGGAGGGGATTTCAACTCAGTAAAAGGAAGGACTTCGTGTGATCATGGGAACTGTTTGGTAACTGGACATAAGCCTGTGAGGGAGTGAGTTCCCCGTCCTGACATAGGTGATCAGGGAGGGTCACTGGACAAAGTGCAGGAGCGGGAGTCAAGGATGAGATAGATGGGAGACTGGATTCTGCAAGGATGTTTCTAGGCAGCAAGCTTTCAGGACCGAGGTACAGAGGTGTTCTCACACACATAGGGCAGCCCAGAGAGCCAGGAAAAGAGGAGGAAGGAGCTCCAACCAGGAGGCAGCAGCCAGGCTATGGCGCTGGAAGGAGCAGCAGAAGAGCTTGACAGTCATTCAGACACAGCCACGTGGGTTTCAGCCTGTGACAGACCCAGGCAGCGTAGGTGCCAGGTCCTGCTTCATCGTGCCAGCTGATAGTTCGTTTCCTGTTTCAATAGGTTGTTGGCAGGGCCTCACACAAGAGCCTGCCAGAACCAACACTCAGCTCTTTGCTGCAGCCACTCGGAAAGGAGGAGTTCTGGCCACCCTCCCAGGCGCGTCCTGTCTCTGCTACTGACGCTTCCTCTTGGGGTCTGAAGGGTTAGAGGGTCCCTGTTAGAAAGGGCCCTTGGGCTGTAAGTCAAGAGCCCAGGGTTTACCCTACTGTGGGGACTTGAATAAGCCCCTTAACTTCTCTAAGCCACCGTGTCTTGAATGGTCAGTAGGTAGAATAAAAGTCTGCCCCTCTTTCCAGTAGAATTGTTGGGGGCAGAGTGACGTAATAGGTATGGAAGTGTTTTTAACGGGACAAAAAACGTAAAACCAGTACCACTGCTATTAGCTGGAACCTCAGGACATTGATGCCTCTGGGGTTACCTCTAGAGTGACAGGAACCTAAAAGGCCAAGGTTTTCAAACATTTGTTTTTGCTCAATACCTCCTAAAAGAATTTTGAAAACTGTATATTCTTTTTCACATGTTTGAGTTGCCATCTAACATTTTTATCCAAAGTTTAAATCATTGCAAAGGATATAATTTCCAGGATATTGTGTAAAAAAAAAAAAAAGGTGGCATTTTGGAAATAAAACTGTGAACCAATTTTCAAAATGTATCCAAGGGAATCCAAACACTACCACTATTTGATATCCACCATCATCACTTCAAAAACATATGAACAAGCCTATCTTTAACAGTCAGAAATTTTACATCTTTCCTTTTTCTCCTTGAGCTCATATTTCCAGTCCACTGCCCCCACAGGGTTTTATCCTAATGTAAAATATATTTTTTATGCTTGAAAGTCTTTTATTGATCACTGTTTCACACTCATCACCATAACAAGATGTACATAAATTGAAATTGAAATTTCTAAAAAAAAAAAAAATTTCCTGGGATCATAAAGCTCTACATTCTCCAACATTTTTTTTTTCCAGATTGAGTTGTTATTAGCATACAATTCATCAAAAACAAATTTAGGTAAATAGTAAATGTAAAAGTAAAAAATTATTGAAAATGCATCTCTTAATGAAATGGATAGGGCTTCATTTCTTTCTCAATTGGCTCATGTATCTCTGAATTAATATTTCTTATTGCTAGAAGGAGACAAGATTCGACATTAATTTAATTCCTATCTTTTGGTTTTTGTAGGTCTAAGTGCTTAGAAAGCTCAGTCACATATGTAAGTAGCTGGCAGTGGATAGAGTTTTGTTTTAGCAGTGTCACTCAATTCTTTGAATTCCTTCCAAGTTGTATGCCAGAAATCACACAGGGGTCTATCATCAGATGATATTTTTAATGGTCTCTTCGCTGACAACTCCATTATATCCTCCTCTAATTTTGTTGAGAGCAGAGAGTTGGAAGTCACCCGATTCAAAAAAGGAGTTGTTCCTGGTCATTAGATCCACTCACTTTCTGAGCCCGACACCAGTATTGTAGGGTCACCTCTTTGCTTGGAGCCCCAGGGTTTTCATCTCTTGGGGCAGGCACCGTGGTAGGATTAGGGGTGGGTGAAAGGATCGTCTTTTGTTTGTAACGTGGCACAAGGGTGAAGGTGAGAGTGGGAAGAACCAGCGAGTGGGGCCTCCCACCTGCCAGATTCTCTGGCACATTGATTTTAGGAAAGAACACATTTAGAAGCTGATGATTCTCTTAAGGCTGTGTGGACCTACTTACCCCTTGGGCAGCCACCACACACCCCCAGGAGATTTGTGCTTCACTCAGAAGACCCTGCTCCAGAGGACATTTGGTTTGAGGCCAAGCCCCAGAGCCTCAGGAAACCCACTTGTCCATGACTTCCCTGTTCAGATCCCCTGTCATTCGGCAAGCCCTGGACCCAGCTCCTGTTGCATGTTTGAACAGAGAGGGCTGGACACACTCCTGAACATTTGTTCTCTGAACAGTGGCTCCTGAGACGCTCTGAGCTAAATATGGGACTGTCCATTGTAAGGAACCAGCCTTCTGTCCCTACCCTTGCGTTTTTCTTCTCTCATTCACCAGCTTTGGATTTCTATCTTGTCACATTTTGTGTATTGTGAAAGGTGCCCGAGCTTCTCTAGACCTGGCTGGGTGCAAAGGGTTGCTACCCCACATTCTTTCTCAGAAGCCTGCATCCTCTCCTAGGCATCTTCCCAGCGTCCCCCTCTGTGACTTCAGGAACTAGACCCCCTGTCCTCGCCTGGTCTGTCTGATGCTCTGGGAGGGAGCTAAGCCAGGTGTTTAGGGAAAGTGCTCAGTGGGAGCTGTGAACTCGGATTAGTTGGGATGGCGACTGTTGCATCACTTGTGATAGCAGGAATGGGAAGAGGAAAAGTCCGCTCCTGCCTCCTGTGTGCTGGCAAGCCCTGCCAGCCATCCCTGGGAGCAGTCCCAGGGCTCTCAATAGGGCACTCTGGGGAGTCCTGTGGCAGCACCAGACATAGTGGGGGGCTCTGCTGCCCTGTAGCATTTAAGGAAAGTGCCATGACTGAAAGGAACACACAGCTTGCCTGACATCCAGCAGGTGACCTGGGGTGGTGGCAGTAGCATGGCTCTGGATCCCCAAGGCCTACTTTGAGCCCAGTTCCTTGCCAGCCACTAGCCAAGCTGATGCTCATCCTTGCGACGGATGTTGAGTTGCCAGCCTCATGAGGACTTCTGGGAAGATGGTGGACGGAAATGAGACCTGGTAAAGGTTCTCTCTCTCTCTTTCTTTTTTTTTTCTTCTTCTTCCTCTTCTTTCTTCTTCTTCTTTTTTCTTCTTTCTTTCTTTTTTTTGAGATAGGGTCTTACTCTGTTGCCCAGGCTGGAGTGCAGTGGCATAATCACAGCTCACTGCAGCCTCGACCTCCAGGGCTCAAGTGTTCCTCTCACCTCAGCCTCCCAAGTAGCTGGGACTACAGGTGTGCTCCACCATGCCCAGCTAATTTTTGTGTTTTCTGTAGAGATGGGGGTCTTGCTGTGTTGCCCAGGCTGGTCTTGAACTCATGAACTCAAGTGATCTGCCTGCCTTGGCCTCCCAAAATGCTGAGATTCACCGCGCACAGCCCACAAGCACCATTTCTTCCTGGTGCTTTCCAAGAAGCTAGTTGTGTGGCTTGGGAGCAAATCAGATCTGACCGACCTCTGGTGCTATTCGTTGCCCCTCTGGTCCTCACTTTCCTCATCTGAAAAATGGGGATAATAATCACCTTTACCTGCTGGAATTGTGAGGATGAACTGAGCTGGTGTGAGAAACCCCTGAGCCAGGACCCCGAGCCCACTAACTGGCTGCATGAACTGGGCGAAATGCTGCACACAGCTGCCCTAGCCTCTGCTTCCTCACCCATGCAGTGGGGCAGAGGTCAGTCTGCATGGAAACATTGCAGATGAAGTGAGCCCAGACAGGTGGTGATGGTGATAGCCATGGTTCATAGAGGAAAAAAGTGGCTGGGATGAACAGAAGAGGGAGCGTGCTGGGCAGGGAGCCAGGCGTCGGGGCTGAGGACTGCCTGAGCTGAGTCCCCAAGAAGGCCCTCCTTGCACCACTGCATCAGTCTGGGTCTGTGGTGGCCACAGGCCAGGGGGATGCATGGACACTGCACCCGTGGGGCACATGTCCTTGGAGGGTGATTTTGCTGGAGGGTTTTTGGGTAGAAATTGTGTGTTCTAACCATATGTTGAATCAGAATATAGAGAAAACACAAAACTGAATTCAGGGAGCTGTTGACCCATGGCTGCTGTATTCTGCCATGTGCCAGCCTCCCTGGGGAACATGTGGATGCCCCTTGGCCAGCACAAGGTTTTTAACGAAGAGGTAGGCAGTGTGATCTTGTCCACGCTTCTCAAAGTGCAGCCAACTTCGCCCCTTCCCTAACCTTCCAGGCATTCTCCAACTTTAAGGGCTCTTTCTGATTTCTTACGTAATTCAGATGGAAAAGCGCCCGAAGGCAGCCCCCACGGTGGATCTGTGCGAAGCCGGTATTCAGGGACCTGGATTTTTGACCAAGCATTGAGATATGCATCTGGTACGTGATGGCCAAGGGGTAGTGCCTGATCCGGGGCCAGTATGGGTGGGGGCACAGCTGGACACAGCCATCAGTTACAGACCTGAGTAAGCAGGCCCCTGTTAGCATCTCAGGGTCAAGAGGGGCCACCTTCTTCATCCCCTGTCCTGGCTACATGTGAGCAAATCTGACTGGGACCCTGGAAGTACTGGACTACTGGAGGGACGATAGAGCATGTGGAAATCTGGACGCCTAGAATGTCCAGAGCATTTTGGCAGCACTTCCTATGGGCCGCAACTCTGAAACAGGCCAAGGGGACAAAAGGGTTCCAAGCCAAATGTGTTTGGGAGACCCTGGGTTAAACAGTAGCTGACCTCTCTCCCTGCAGGACTTCGCAGGGCCTGCGGCTGCCCCTGTGCAGTGGCCTCCCCAGGACAGGCCACGCCACGAGGTCTCCCTCATGCACTCTTGGCCATGGTCCTCTTTTTGCTGGGGTGCATTCAGGAAGTTGGGTTCCAAAGAATAAACTTCGGAAAATGCTGCTAGTAACAGCAGCTGACCTGTATCGTGTGCCTGCTGTGGACCAGGCCCTGTGCTAAGGAGCCACCACGTTATCCCTCACAACCCGTTCCCCTGAGGGGTGTACAGTGTTACAGGGAGGAAACCTGAGGTGTGGGTGGTTCCATGACTTGTCCAGGGCTCCCTCTGCTGGGATGTGGTGAGCCAGGGTTTGCACCCAGGTTTGCTGGCATCACTGCACTGAGGGCTGCCCCTCTAGTGAACTCTCCCCATGCCCCACCTCTCACCTCCCTGGCCCCATCACAAAGGGGAACCTGAAGCCCAGAGTCGGGCTGAGCGAGGCGCAGGTGGGGGCCCTGGGCTTTAGGCTGTGCGAGGGGCAGGCGGGGCCCTGGGTTTTAGGCTGATCGAGGGGCAGGCGGGGCCCTGGGTTTTAGGCTGAGCTAGGGGCAGGCGGGGCCCTGGGTTTTAGGCTGAGCGAGGGGCAGGTGGGGCCCTGGGCTTTAGGCTGAGCGAGGCGCAGGCGGGGCCCTGGGTTTTACGCTGCATGAGGGGCAGGCTCAGGGTCCCTCCTACCAGCACACAGTGCTCAGTCCAGAGACTCCGTGTGCCAGACAGGCTGCCTCACTCTGCACTGGGGGTCAGGAGCCAGCCGAGGAGAGGCTGAGGAGCCATCATGCCCCCCATGACTCCTTCTGTGGGGTGACACCTGCAGGCAAGGCTGCATGTGCCCACAGCTCTCCCACAGCTTGGGGTGAACTCCATACTGCCTGCCAATCAGGCCTTGACTTGGCTGTAAACAGTATCTACTCCACTGACTTGGGCCCCCCACTGCAGTTGGGCCAGGGTCCTGCCTCTGTGCCCCCAGGCCCTGCACTTGCTGCCCTAACGCCATCATCGTGCGTTGTCCCTGTGCCAGCTGGCCTGTCTGCTTCCTATTAGATGGAGGACAGGGAGCACACCTTGCTCATTGCTGGGGCCTCAGTGCCCGGCACATTGCAGGCACTCGTAAATTCTTCACTGGTTGAAGGGGAATTGGCAGAAACTGCTGAAGAGTGGGTGGAGGCAGCAGGAAGAGAGTTGGAGGCATTATTACTCAGTGACAGATGAGTACAACAGCAAGACACCATGGATTTATGGAGCCCTCGCTGTGTGCCAATCACAGGGCTAAATACAAAGAAATATGCAATCTCATCTTTGTCCTCCACGTGATTGTATTTTTCCCTGTGTGACAAGGGTAATACACATACAAACCACTAAATAACAGACTCCTAAATCCCACGCTGGTGTTAGGATGACAGCGGCCCTTGGAGTGACCCACAGTAGTACCAGTGGCACCGGCTCCTGTTCCTCAGTACCTGTGGTGTGCCAGCCGACTCACATGATGAACCTCGTTGATACAGACCTCAGTCATGAATTGTAGGAATCAGAGTCCGGTTTTGCAGGTGGGGAAACAGAGGCTCGGACAAGTGAAAGGTTGTGTCCGAGATCAAAAAAAGGATGTGTCCGAGATCAAACAGATAAGACAAACTTGTCCAGCCCACGGCCCGTGACCGCATGTGGACCAGGATGGCTTTGAATGCGGCCCAACACAAAGTCATAAATTTTCTTAAAACATTGTAAGTCTTTTTGTGATTTTTTTTTTAGCTCATTAGCCATCGTTAGTGTATTTTATGTGTGGCCCAAGACAATTCTTCTTCCAGTGTGACCCAGGAAAACCAAAAGGTTGGACCCCCCTGAGCTAAGGGATAGCAGAGCTGAACTAGGCTTCAGACTCCATATCCAGTGCTCTTCCAGCTTCACTTCATGCCTCAGGTACACACTCAGGAAACGGGCCTCTGCTTCCAGGCAAGACAAAGGGAGTAGGAGTTAATGATCTTCACCTGCACGGAGGGGCTGGTCTTGTGCTGGGAACACTCTTCATGCAAACTCAGTCTTCACACCAACACACTTGAGTCATCCGCATTTTTCCCAGGAGGAAATTGAGGCCCAGCCAGTAAATGACAGAGTTAAGACTCTTATCCCAGGTCTGCCTCTCCCATCCCCAGATGCTGGGCACCAGAATTCCCTGGGGACCTTGGAATAGGCAGGTCTCCACCCCAGCCACTCTAGATCGCTAAGCCTGGAGTGGGCCGGGGCCTCTGCATTTGTCCACGCTCCCTGGCTATTCTGTTAGGAAGAGCAAGGCCTGGGCCCAGGTGGCATCAGGCCTTCATGAGGGCTGATTTAGATGGGGAGCAGGCAGGGTTTCTGCCCCTGGGGTCCCTGCCAGGCTGGATCTGAGGGGCTCTTCTTGGCTTCCTACCATGGGCCTTTGCTCTGACCTCTACATGGGCAGGCTCATCTTTTAACCTCTCTGCAGTGCTCACTAGGAGCTTGGCCATTTCAGTCTCCCTGCTCCTGGGAGAAGGGCCTGGCAAGGGGCTGGGGGGGCCAGGCATTTACACCATGTCGGTCTCTGTGTGTCTGAGGGAACAAGACAACTCCTCAGCAGGTGTGGGGGGCGGTCCTCTCCTTGCTGAGCCTGTCTAGAGTAGGGCTGGGCACTTCCTACAGGGAGTATATGGCCACCCCTACGAGGTAGGTGCATGTGGTCCCATTCTGCAGATCAGCAGACTGAGGCTTCATGCATCTAAGGAAATTACCAAGGTCATGCTGCTGGTAAGTGACAGAACAGGGACAGGGACCCAGGTGTGTCTGATTCAGTCTGTCTGTCTTAATCTCTGTCCCATTCCGGCAAGGAAAAGGGGTTGCTAGAAATTATTGTAATGCGTTGAAGTAATGATTTCCTTATGTGGATGCAATTTATTCCTTTCAGAGCACTTTTAACATTCATTTCCTTTTTCCCCTCAAGGTGTAGGGCTGAGAATTAGCTGAAGAAGTTACCTTCTCCATCTTACAGATTTGGAAACTGAGGCCCAGAGATGGGGGGGTGCCTTGCCCAAGGTCACCCACAGAGTGGAGGGCAAACCTGGATCTAGACCCAGGCCTCGTGACTTCTAGCTCGGTGCTGCCTCCTTGCCAGGGACCATCTCTGCCCCTGGGACAGAGAGTTAGCCACACTTGTAGGCATCGCCTGTGGGTCCTGGGACCTTGTGGTCACAGAGGTTGGGTGACCAGTCCTTTCCTCTTCTGTTTTCCAGGGTCTTACGAATGCGGAATCTGTGGCAAGAAGTACAAGTATTACAACTGCTTCCAGACCCACGTGCGGGCGCACCGAGGTGAGAGGAGTGTCCCTGGGGCAGAGCCCAGGGGCCGCACCTCCCACTGTCTGCCTGTTTCCCACTTGGGCCCCTCGTGGGTGACCCCAGAGGCCCTGACAGCTCCAGCCTTTCCCATTCTCCTCCTACTTTCATCAGTAGGACAGGGTGCCAGGCAGGAGAAGGGAGGCCTCCTGATGCGGGACAGCTCAGGTGTGGGAGGGGGACTCTGCAGGACACACCAGACCTGCGCCCAAGGGCACCCCCTGCTCCCCACTGGCCTCACGCCTCCCAGGACATCTCATCACTGCTCAGTGTCAGTGGCCCCCACAGGGCACTTGCTGAGGTCAGTGTGTGTGTTCCTCATGACAAGCTTGGGAGTTGCAGACAGGAGGGATGGCGTCTGTTCCTCCCGGAGCCTGGCAGACAGGGAGGAGAGGCTGGCATCAGGGGCCCGGTGCGGGACTGTGAGCTCTTCCCCTGTGGCTTCCATGTTCTCTTTTGCACTTGGCACTGGCCCTGTCATTGGCCCGGTAGCCCCACCCCCATCCCTCTCTCTCTCTCTTTGCAGACACCGAAGCCACCTCAGGGGAGGGAGCCTCCCAAAGCAGTGAGTACTTTTTCCTCCTCGTGGGCTGCTGAGGGGCGAGGGCTTGGGGTGGGATGAAGAGGAGCTGCTTGTCCCCTCCCCCAGAACTGCTCCAGGTGGCCTCTGAGAGACACAGTGCTGGGGTCCAAGCTTGGGGGCCAGACCATCCTTACAAAACCGCAATGCGGTACCTCAGAGCAGCCCTTCCCAAAGCGTGCTCCATGGCAGGCTCATTCTGGGAAGGTTAGTGGGTGTTCTGTCCATGACGACTTCTCTGGCCAAGTAACTTTGGGAGACCTTGAGTTTCACTAAGGGGAGCAGGTTTCTTGTGGACATTTCCAGCCCTTCATTGACAGACACAGCTGTGCATCTCCCATGGGTGCCCTGGATATGCGGGTCCTTGTGTTCTTTTGACTCTGACTCATGACTCTGGGGCTCCGTAGTTGACTTTTGGGAAATGCTGCTTTGGAGAGTTTTCTCCTGAGCCCCCACAGCCAGGGGCACTAATTGCTTATTGGTGATTTGCCCTGAGGTGCCATATCCCAGCACCTGGGGCGGCACAGGGCCTTGACATCTGCGACAGCACTGCTGCTCACAGGCCCTGCTTGCCATCCCTCCAGTTCTAGGCCCCAAGCGCCTGGTAAGTGAGCAGCCAAGCTGGTGTAGACTAGGATGGAATCTCCCCACCCAATAATCTGAAGCTTCAGAAGTCACAGTTCCACGTGTAGGTATGTCGCCAACAGAAACGGGTGTATATCTGCTGCAAGATGCAAACTAGAATGTCCTTAGCACACCATTCCTAACAAACTAGAAGCCCCCAAATGCCCAGAGCTCATTGAATGGAGAAGTAAGTCTAGTGACACAAAAGACTACTGTAAAGTAGTGAGAACGAACAATTTATAGCTACACACAGCAACATGGATGACTCACAAACAATGGTGAGCAAAAGAGGCCAGGCGTAAACAGAGTTCAGCCTCTAAGATTCTGCATAGAGAAAGGGCAAAAGCAGCTAAAACTAATTATTGCCGGTAGAAGTCAGAAGAGCGGTTCCCCTGGGGAAGGGGCTTCAGGGTTCTGTTTCTTGAGCTGGGTGCTGGTTACCTGGGTGGTTTCAGTTTGTGGAAGTTGAACAAGCTGTGCACTTAGGATTTGTACACTGTTCTACACCAGGGGTTAGCAACATTTTTCTGCAGAGGGCCAGATGGTAAGTATTTTAGACTTTATAGCCCAGACGTCTCCGTCGCAAGTATTCAGCCCTGCCCTTGTAGTGGGAACATGCCAGGAACAGAGATAATATGTAAATGAATTCCTTACCAAAACAGATGGTGGGCAGGATTTGGCCCACAGACTGTTGCTTGCCAATCCCCGTTCTATGGGTTTGTTACACCACACCATCACAAAAAAAGATTCTTAACATAATAAATAAACATTACCACCCCCTGCCCAACAAAACCCCAAACCAGAGCAGTTTGAAGAGATGGCGATGGCTGAAAAAGGATTGTAACTGGCCTGGGTCCCAGTAGCATTTCTTCTAAGACACTTTCTCATCCACTCCGTTTGGATTCTTATGCCAAAGGAGAGGCCGGCATGTTCCAGAGAGAAATCTGAGGCCCAGGTCAGCTAGACACCTGCCACAGGACCCCAGCTGGGAGGAGGTGGGAGCTGGGCCCTCCCCCTCCAGCCCCGCCTTTCCTGCCCCAGCCCCAGCCTCAGCCTGGTCCTTGGCTCCCATCTCCTTCAATAGTTCCATTCTTTTCCGGCTCCCATGGACTGGCTGCGGTCAGCCACACATTTAAAGAACTTCCCTATTTATCTTTCCTTCCTCAGCTATTCTGGGCCCCTGGCCTCTCCAGCAGCCCCTCAATGATCTGTTGTGTTCCGTCTGGCTTCCGTTGTCCGCGGGCTTGCTGGTTGCTGACGGCTCTGTAGCGGGGGTATTTTTAGTCCTTCCGTCACTTTTCCCTTCCTCCCTGTGGAGTTTCCTCCCTGCGGCCATTGCGCGCTATTTTATTCTCAGTCCTGCAGCCCTGCCCTGACCCAGACTGGCAGCACCTGCTTAGAACGCCTGGCCTCCACTTACAGAAGCCTGGCCATGGAGTCATGGAGCCAAAAGGGCCCAACTGAGAAGACTGAGTCCAGCCCACCCATTTTGCAGATGAGGACAGGGAGTCATACAGGTTGTGAGTAGTGGAGGCGGGCCTAGAAATGAAATGAGGTCTCACACATTCTATTAACAGTTCTAGGACTTTTCATTTATTTATTAGGAAAATAGTACAGTCATACATAGAAGCAGACAGACATATTCACTCATCCATCTGTCCACTAAGGAATAAAAGATTAGCCCCTCATGCTACTGTCACATTGATATTTGTGACAGTATTAGGTTACATTTGGCAAGTATTTATTGGATGTCCCTTGTGTTCCTTTATTCTTTATTATAACTATAGGAAATGAAGAACCTCTCATTCCCATTTTACAGATGAGGAAACCGAGGTGCAGAGGTTAGGCAGCATGTCTGAGGTCTGCCGCACTTATACCTGGTAGAGTTGGGTTTGATTAGGCAGCATGAATCCAGAGCCTGCCTCCCTGAACGGATTCACAGTGGCATCTAAGAGACACCGAGCTCTCGTGTCTGAAAATGCAGCGGTTCTGAAAACGTGCTTTCACTGACAAAAAAATGATTCTGCTCTCCTTTTTGGGGATAACCCTCTTGGCCTAATCATTTCCTGACTGACGAAGACCTGGGAGCGGGCTCCCCATCCATGTCAAAGAGATGTCACGGTGTCAGAGCAGGGTGGGGGTATTCTCAGCAGCAGAAACCTGGGGGCTCACGTTTTATTGGAGGTAACAGATGTGGCCCTGAAGTGAGGGGTCAGGCCCAGCTGGCCAGGGAGGCTGGGTAGAGACAAGCAAGTGGGCAGGTGGCGGCAGATGGCGGGTAGCAGTGGTCAGCTTAGGAGAGGAATGTCAAGGCAGAGCCCAGTCTGGAACCAGACCCCAGGTGGCCTTGACTTCTCTGTCTCTGTTCCTGGGCAGGTGTCCTGCACAGAAGGCAGGGTTGCAAAAGAGACACTGGGGACCATGGTCTGGACGGGACCTGATGGGGAAGTTGTCTAAGTTGATTGCTGGCTACATGAAAGGATTAAAGCCTGGGCCAGGCACAGAATCCTAGAACCACCATCCTGGGAGAGGCCCCAGGAATCAGCTCATCTACATCCCTTTCCCAGCTCCCCAAATTATGGGGGAAAACAAGGAAGCAGGACCAGCCTCTCCTGCCCCACACCTTGCCACCTCTTTCTTGGATGATTCTGGTATCCAGCATCCTCAGAATGTCTCCAAGGAACCTGTGGCTCCTTGCTCAGGGACCAGTTTGTGTCTGGGGCTCTGGCACCTGCTAAGGCATTTTCAGAGAATACGAAGAGGTGAAGCTGGTGGTGGGAGGGAGAGGTGGCTAATGCCATTTGTGTCCCTAAGTTCAGAAGGTGGGGCCAGAAACCTTCCCACGGAATTACCTGGCAGCGTAACCTTGTGGTAGAGGATTGCATCAGATCCTGTATTTGGGTTCTGAGGGACAGGAGGGGGACCAGGAGAGAGGTACCCCAACCCAGTACTGATTTGCAGCTTATTCAGACAGAGAAGGGCCACATGCCCTGACTCAGCCTTAGCTTGGAGTTAGTGAATGTTTGAATCCTAGCTCTCCCTTCCCCTCCCCACACCGGGCAGCCTTGAGCATATCACCAAGCCTCCCTGTGCCTGGGGTGATGGGATTGATAGGCCCTCCCTACATCAGCCCAAGGAACACACACATGAGGTTCGTGCCAGTGCAAACGTTAGAGTGTGCCATTGTGGAGGGGGTAATGTCCTGTGTCCAGCCTCAGCCTCAGATGTTGGGTAGACCCAGGGGATCATCCAAACTCCAACCTCATGTTAGTTACCTATTGCTGTGTAACAGATGTCCCTAAAACTTAATGACTGGAAGCAACAAGCATTGATTATCCCTCAGTTTCTAGGGTCAAGAATTTGGATATGGCTTTGCTGGGTCCTTTGGCGCTGGGTCTTTCCCTGGCTGCAGGCATGGACTTGGCCAGGGCTGTGGTCTCATCTCAAGGCTCAACTGGGGAAAGAACTGCTTTTAAACTCACTCATGTGGTTGCTAGCAGGTTTAACAACCCTGCTAGGGTTCTGTCCTTCCCACACTCTTAGACTGAAGGCCTCACTGGCTGTTCACCAGAGGCCACCCTCAGCTCCTGGTCACCTGTGTCTCTCATGGGGCAGCTCACAACCCAGCAGCCAGCAGGTGTGACCTGGACAGAGAAGGTATGCTTGAGACAGAAGTCCCAGTCTTTTGTAAGCTACCCTCAGAAGTGATATTCTGTCACTTTTACTGCATTCTGTTCATTAGAAGTCAGTTACCAGGTCTAGTCCAGACTCACAGGGAAGGGGTGATGTAGGGCATGAGCATCAAGAGGCAAGGAGCCCTGGGTGCTGTCCCCAAGGCTGCTCATCACCGGCCCTCCCGGCTGTGCCCTTGGGGCAAATCCCTTCTGATCCTCAGTTTCCTCATGTGTAAAATGAGAGACTGCTTCCTCCCTCCGCTAGCCAGACTGGGCTAGTTTCATCTTTGGTTTCTGAGATGATCTGGCCAGAAAAACCCCACCCCACAAGACTGAAGCCCTGGTAACCAGGTGTGTGTTTTCATCCCATGCAGACAATTTCAGGTACACATGTGATATCTGCGGGAAGAAGTACAAATACTACAGCTGTTTCCAAGAGCACCGAGACCTGCACGCAGTGGATGGTGAGTCAGGCCCCTCACTCCCTGGAGTCATGCCAAGAGGCGCCCTTCCTTGGAGACACCAGCCCCCAGCCCTCCCCGCCTCCCTCCTCCCTCTTACCCAGAAAAAGGCCAGGCAGTAGCTGGAACCATGAGGGGAATGACCAGCCCTGGAGGATTCTGGGGGCGGGAACGTCACCATCATACTCCACATACACTTCTATTTAGGTTAACCCAAGTGAAATTGCCATTTTTATAGGTCAAAATCAGTAGAATATTGGAATTTCGTATCGAGTCATTTTGTAGTTTCATATTGAGCATTTGCATGTTCTGATTAAATTAAACCGGTTTTAAAAAACGAATGATGGCCTTTTAGCATCTTAGATTATACAATTAGAAATTAGAATAATACATTTAGCCAACACATATTTGAGTCTCAAAAATCCTAGAAAGAGGGTCTTAGACCTTGGAAGGGCCTTAGGGGTTCCCCGTCTAGCCCCACACCTTCAGCCCATCTTGAGCTGTGACAACCAGGCCCACCACCTGTTACCACTGGCCCATCTCTTTTCTCACCTCGTCTTTCTCTCTCCTCCCAATCTCTTCCTCTTTTCTCCTGCCCTGGCCCCTTGAACCCATGATGGCAATCAGAAACAGATCCAGGCAAACTGTCTGCCTGTACCATGGATGGGTGCCCATCCTAGTGAGGACGAGGGATTGAGGCCCAGGCTGTGTCCTGGTTGGGATGTATCCTCGTGTTGTCCTGGTTTTGGGGGGCTTCCACAGTGGCCACGGCAGCCCTCCTGGGCCCCAAGGCAAACCCATGGGGATAGGGGCTGGGAGCAGTGGCAGAGGCAGCTCTGGGCAGGGACTAACAGGGCTCCTGTTTGTTTCTTTCCTTCTGCGGCTGCCGCCTCCTGCCCGGGCGCAGTGTTTAGTGTGGAAGGGGCCCCTGAGAACCGGGCAGGTAAGTCCTTGGTGTCTGCTTGTCACCTCCCCTGTCCCCGGCTGGGCTCCTGAGACCTGGGGGACCAGGGTGCTAAGGGCCGTGTGTTCTCCCACAGACCCCTTCGACCAAGGTGTCGTGGCCACGGACGAGGTGAAGGAGGAGCCCCCGGAGCCATTCCAGAAAATCGGGCCAAGTATGCGGGATTCCCTCTGGGGCCAAGGGCTGGGTGGGGGCTGGCCAAGGGAGGCAGGGCTCAGTCTCACTGCTAGGGCAGGGGTAGCAGTGGGTGGCATCACTTAACTGCAGCAATGGTGCCCAACCTGTCAGTTGGGCCAGTCAGTGTTAGGACTGGAGCTTTCGAGGAGCAGCAGGGCAGCACAGGGTCAAGGTCAGGACAGTGAAGGCAGCCAGGCTGGGGCTGAGTCCTGGCGCTACTGCTTACAGGCTTGGTGTCCTCATGGTCTGTTAGCCATCCTGAACCTCAGCCTCCCCACCTGTGGAGTGAGGATGACATTTCCCCACAGGTTTGTTGGGGGATTAAATGAGATCCTGGATGTGAACCACTTGTTAGCACAGTGCCTGGTACATAGTAGGTGCTCGGAAAATAACACGTCGTAGTCACCTGAAGGGGCCTATCAGTGAATGAGCTGTCCAGGGCAGCCACAGGCAGACTCTCTGTCTCTGTCCCAGGACACCCCTTGAGGGCAGGAGCCACACACGTCTGGCCTGTTTTTGATAAACTTGTATTGAGTGTTGTGGGCACACAGCTGAGAACAGGACACATGTGGTCCTGCCCTTGGGTAATTCAGATGGGGCTTGGGGGTGGGGACAGCAGATCATTGAACAGATAGTTCCAACATAGCTTGCAGGGAGCTGTGGGAGGCCTGAGGGAATGCTGGAAGCTTTCAGATGGGGACGAGGGTAGGGGATGAGCCCCAGCATCCCATGCCAAGGCTGGAGAGCCCTGCTGGTCCCGAAAATCGATGATGGCTTCAGGTCTTACAGAGCCTTGAATGCCAGCAGGCAGCATCCTCAGGAGAATGAGCCAGAGAGTTTTTACTAAGTGGAGAAGGGACTTGATCCAATTTGCATTTTAGGAAGCCCCATTTTGCTGCTGGGAGGAAGATAGATTGGGAGGGGCTGGGTGGCCAGCCCAGGGCAGGTGCCGTGGGACCACAAGTGAGTGAGACTTGTCCTTTCCAGCTGTTCAGGAATTGCCATACCTGCTATTTATCTCTCTGTTTTCTGTACCTCACTTACTACCCAGCAAGAAGAGACCTTTATGGTCTCTGCTTCCTTCCAATAAGGATCTAAGGCAGCTTGTAAAAATATACACAAAAACAGAACAAGCAGATGAGGATATCTGAGTGAAGGAAAATCAGAGGAGCTGAAACACTAAGTTGGATACGTTCCTCAGGGCAGAGCTCGATCCCAGCTCTTGGAAGGGGTTGGGTGGGTTCCCTCCCCCTCCCCCAAATGCTTTTTCTTCCTCATCCCTTGTCTGTGGTCATGGGATGATTCTTTGCTTTCTTCTTAACTCTTCTGAAAGCATTCAGGAAACTGAAGATGAGATAATGTCTATAAAGTGGTCAGCACAGTGCTGTCACATGCATAGTAAACACTCGATAAGCAGGAGCATAAAAATCATCTTAAAGATGAAGAATATGGCCGGGCACGGTGGCTCACACCTGTAATCCCAGCACTTTGGGAGGCCAAGATGGGCGGATCACCTGAGGTCAGGAGTTCAAGACCAGCCTGGCCAATATGGCGAAACCCCGTCACTACTAAAATTAGCCAGGTGTGGTGACGCACACCTATAGCCCCAGCTACTTGGGATGCTGAGGCAGGAGAATCACTTGAACCCGGGAGGTGGAGGTTGCATTGAGCTGAGATTGTGCCACTGCACTCCAGCCTGGGTGACAAGAGTGAGACTCTGTCTCAAAAAAAAAAAAAAAAAAGATGAAGAATATGATGAAACCCTCAGTGCTCAAATACGAGAAGTTAGACGGTACAGGGGAAACACAGATGTGAATCAGGCATATTTGCAGCATTCAAAGAATTCAGGCTGGGCGTGGTGGCTCTCGCCTGTAATCCTAGCACTTTGGGAGGCCGAGACGGGTGGATCACAAGGTCAGGAGATTGAGACCATCCTGGCCAACATGGTGAAACCCCATCTCCACTAAAATACAAAAATTAGCCGGGCGTGGTGGCATGTGCCTGTAGTCCCAGCTACTTGGGAGGCTGAGGCAGGAGAATCGCTTGAACCCAGGAGGTAGAGCTTGCAGTGAGCCGAGATTGCACCACTGCACTCCAGCCTGGTGACAGAGCAAGACTCCATCTCAAAAAATAATTCCAAAGAATTCATAGTTTGGTGACTATGACAGACATTCATAGGCAGATATAGGACAGGAACAGAGGATCTGTGACCTCCCCGTTGAGTATCTATCTAGGATCTGGCAGTGGTCCCAGTGTACTGCTGCTCTTCCAACCGTGTCATTTTCCTTAGGAAGATGGGCTTTGAAATCAGACAGGCTTAGGTTTGAATGCTGTTGTCACCAGCTTACTAGCTCCCTACCCCTTGTGAGTATCCCATAAGTTGCGGACAAGCACATCTCTGAATTTTCCAGTGCTGTTGGAGCACACACACACAAAATGTCTCACCAAGCACCTGGCTCATATCCAAGGTGTAGGGAGACCTGTTACTGAGAAAGAGTCAAGGGCAAGAGTTTTAGAGCCAACCGAAATAGGACTCCCAGCTCGACACTTAATAGCTGCATGATGTCCTACCAGTTTTCTAATCTGTCTAATCCATAGTTTCTCTACCTCTAAATGGGCTGATGACAATAAAACTCACCTTTCAGGATTGTCATGGGGCTTAGATGAGATTATATTTGTAAAAGAATTAGCATAGTCCTTACACATGCATGCAAAGCATTAAATAAGTGGTACCTTTAATTACCCAGGAAGATGCAGAACAAGATGAAGTGTGTTCTCTGTATCTGTAACTAAGTCTGACAGACAGCCAACGCCAGGACCTGGGAGGAATTAATCAAATTATTAGGAGTGTAGAATTGCATTGAGAATATCAGACTGGGTCTGGCTGCCAGCGTGCTCCCAGCTGGACTGAATGGAGCTGAGATTGCTGGTGTGGTGTGAGACCATCCCTTGCTGCCACTCAGGAGCTGCCTTGTGAGACAAAAACGTTGCTTCTTCGGCTCCTGCTACGTATAAGCAGGCCAATGCCACAGAACGCGAAAAACGATTAGCCAGTAGAGGCACACGTGTTCTGAAGGGACTGATTGCCCAAGTAAAGCTCTGTAGTCAGAGGAAGAAGAAACACCCTGGCAGGAGTGAGTGCTGGGAAGTACACCTTTCACATCAGCATCAGCTGAGCACATTAGAGAATTAGGTACTTAGGTTGGAAGAAGCCCAGGCAATGACAGAGCAGAGAATCCTGCTAGAAAAGAGAGAGTTGGTCCAAGAAGCCTTGTGGGTTAACTCGCTCTTCATCTGCATATCCAAGAATTACTTCCATGATAATGGGCAGAGGGAGAATCAAGGAAAACTCATTTGTGTGGTCTGTTGAAACAGAGTAAGTCTGGAGTCATGTATGGGTTACTTGATTTTTATGCCTGAATAAGGAAGAGTCACTTGAATAGTTAAAAAAAAAAAAAAGAGAGAACTATGTAAATTCCACATAACAAGAAAAAGAGAATTTAAGAGACTCAGAGAAGAGAACACCTGAAAATGATCTACCACAAAATCTAGAAGACCATTCTGTTTGACAACCTCCATCTCATGTAAGAAAATATGACCTTACACATCCACTTAGGCTGCCACAACAAAATATTACAGACGGGGTGGTCTGAACAATTTATCTCTTACAGTTCTGGAAGCTGGAAAGCCTGAGATCAGGGTGCCAGCATGGCGGGTTTCTGTTGAGGGCTCTCCTCCTGGCTTGCAGATGGTCACCATATGTCTGGACATGATGGTGAAAGAGAGAGAGAGCAAGCTTTCTGGCCTCTCTTCTAATAAGGGCACTAATCCCATGGTGGGGACCCTACCCTTATGACCTCATCTAACCCTGCCTACCTCCCAAAGGCCCCATCTCCACATGCTATCACATTAGGAGTTAGAGTTTCAACATATGAATTTGAGGATGGGGACACAGTTCAGTCCATAGCATGACCCCTGTGAAAAGGGAGCCAGAAGTTGTATGGTGAAAAAGCAACAGAATAAGAAAGCAAAGAGAGAGGAGTGAGACGAGGAAGGATTTCAGGGAAGCAGAAAACGTAAGAACAGAATTAAAACCTACATTCTATGTAGTAAAGAGCCGAGTTTATCTGCAAAATTGGAATTAGTGATGTGAAGGATGAACTTGAACAGATGAAGATAATGAGAGGAAAATATGATAAATGGGGAGAACAGGGAGCCGGTTTCAGATAATTGATGTTATAGTACCAGTGGCCAGAAACAGTGCTCCTAAGATCTAATAGAAGAAAAATTTGCTTAGCTAAAGGAAGACCTGTATATGCAGATTTAATATCTGCATAATCATCATGTATCAGATAGATTCGATATAAAGAGACCTGTACCTACATAGATCTCAGTGACTTTTTAAAACTATAGGAAAAAAAAAAAACCTATATAAGCATTCAGGCATAAAAAAGTAGGTTACCTATACATGAATTCAAGGTGGACTTGCCTCAGACTTCTCTGCAATACTAAATCTTAGAAGATAATGGATAAGTGTTGAAGGGAAAAAGTTGTAATCTAAGAATTTTATATCTAGACAAATTGTGGTTTGTGTGTAAAGAGAAAAGCAAGGACTTAAAAACGTATTTTTTTTCTGTGTACCCATCTTCACAAAATTATTTGAAGATATACTCTGATGAACTAAGTTGTAGAGTACATGTAAAGACTCAATTGTGAGAAATTCATAGTATAAGAGGAACTGTGAGTAGTAAAACAAGATAAACTAGAAGTTAGTTTAAAATGTTCCAAATCTGATTATAAAATTGCAGAAGGCAGATTATTCTAAAATATTAAAAATGAGGGTTTTATTTATTTTTTATTTTTTATTTTTTGAGACAGAGTCTCACTCTGTCGCCCAGGCTGGAGTGCAGTGGCGCAGTCTCGGCTCACTGCAAGCTCCGCCTCCTGGGTTCACACCATTCTCCTGCCTCAGCCTCCCAAGTAGCTGGGACTACAGGCGCCCGCCACCACGCCTGGCTAATTTTTTTATATTTTTAGTAGAGACGGGGTTTCACCGTGTTAGCCAGGATGGTCTTGATCTCCTGACCTTGTGATCCACCTGCCTCGGCCTCCCAAAGTGCTGGGATTACAGGCGTGAGCCACCACACCCAGCCAGGGTTTTATTTTTTTAAAAGGAAGGAGGAATTGGGGAGGGCTTACAGTAAAGTAGGTTAAGCCTTCCTATTCATAGTGTGGCTCCAGACCAGCAGAGCAGCATTCCTGGAAGCTTATTAGAAATGTATATTCTTAGGCCCTACTCCAGACCTACAGGATGAGAATTTCTCCAGCAAGCTATGTTGTAACAGTCTTTCCAGATGATTCTTTGACATGCTAAAGTTTGAGAAACACTGGTTTAAACTATCTTTCTCCATGGTGATAGACAGAAAAATGCTATTTCCCACTTGACTATTAACAATTAGAGAAATATATCTTATATACTGTCTAATTGTCTAAAACAATAGAGAAAATTGGAAAATAATGGAATATCAGAGAATAATGGAAAAATATAGAGTTCATATATCAAACAAGTGGGAATTAAGGCAGCAATCAGAAAAGGTGGAGCATGAACAAGACTTGTAAAACCAAATCAATTATAGCAATAAAAGCAAATGGCATAATCTCCTTTATTAGAAGGCAAAGCTTGTGAGGTTGATTTAAAATAATCCAGTTATTAATGGTGTATTAGAGACAAGGTTAATTCCTTATCTTTACTCTGCACTTGAGCTTCTCTTTCCTACTTCCAGAACTAGATTAAATTCCCTATCATGGGTTTTTATAGCACTGCATATGTCTCCTTGAGAGCACTTACTGTGGATGGAGTTTTAAATTTGTCTGAGTGTTTCTTTGATTTTTTGATCTCCTTTTGTTAGACTGTAAACTCCTTGAAGGCAAGAACTTTGCCTGTTTTTGCTTAGCATTTTGTGCCAGCACTTAGCACAGTACCTGTTTAATGAATGACAGTACGAGAAAATATAGGGACATGTCTTCAGGTACATGTAAACAAATAGATCAGGGTCTGACAAATTATCAAATTATTTATGCCAGACAAACTAATAAAACGGAATAATTAAATGTTACAGCAAGCTTTCCCACACATCAGAATTTTCTGGAGGGCTTGTTAAAACATGGATTGCAGGACACAACACCTAGAATTTTTTTTTCAGTAGGTCTTAGGTGAGTCCTAAGAATTTGGATTTCTAACAGGTTCCCAGGTGATACTGATGTTGCTGGTCCAGGGACCGCACTTTGAGAAGCACTGTGTTGGAAAATAGTTTTATGTTACTAAATATAGTTCACAGTGAAGATTTTGATCCCATGAGCTTTTAGGTATCAAACAACATTGTTTCCAAATATACAAAATAAATTTAGAAATACAGTGAAGTGGAAAGATTTATCACAATATTTAGTCTTTGACAGAGCAAGTAGACAAACAAGGTTGTATAGAATTTAAATAATATATTTAATACAGTTGATGTAATAACTGAATCCTACCGAGAGCAAGTAACTTACCATTTCCAATGTTTATGAATCAGTTACAAAAATTATTTAACTACTAAAAATTCTATAGCAGGAGAGAAAAACCATAAACAGACTAATAAACCAATTAAGAACAAATTAATTTTAACACATATAACAAAATGTTGATATCCTTAATCTACAAAGAGTTTAGCCATTTCATAAATGTCAATATGCCTGTAGAAATGCTGGCTGTAAACACAAAAGGAAAGTCACAAAAGAAAAACAATAGTTAATTAAACATGAAAAATAATCAATTTCCTTAGAAATCAAAGAAATGGAAAGTAAAATCAGTGTAATATAGTTCTTCTCATCAGATAGGCAGAATGTAAGAAGATGATAATACTTAATGCTGGCTGTAGTATGCATAAACAGTCATTTTCATACCTTTCTGGTTGGGATGATGGTGCTATGATTATCAAAGGCCTTAAAAATACATACCCTTTCCCTCTCTTGAATTTTTCCACAGGAAATAATGTGCAAAGATTATATGGAATAGCCTTTATTTTGTGATAATGTGTAAAATTAATGGGTGAATGTGCAAAAATTTCTATAAAAACATGAGTCACAGCATTTTTCTTAATAGGGAAAAAATTTTGAAACAATTTCAATGTCCCTTGGTGTAGGGGACTGGCTCAGCAAATTCCAAAGTCCAGTGGGAACCATGCAGCCAATAGATGCAGTAGAGATCAATATTTATTGATTGGGCAAGATGTCCACAAAGTAATGTCGGTTGAATACACCAGATTACAAAGAGGATATTGATCAGGACTGGCTAATTCAGGGCTCACAGGAGCCAGACAGGTGTTATCAGTGAGAGAAGCGCACCCCAGATGAGACAGAATGAAGAGTGGGGACCAGGGCACCCTCCCCCAAGGGGGTAGATGCTGCTCTTTGTTTGGGGGTTACAGATGATTGAAATTTCTCTTTAGTTTTTATTCTGTATTTGTATTTATCAGTATTTTATAATTTTCCCCCAGTGAACAATATTACATCAGACATTTTTAAGAAGAAAGAAGTTAGGCAGTGCCAAAAGAGAGGTAAAGATAAAGTCGGGTGGGACTTGAGAGGAAGAAGTGACCCCTGCTGCTAGTGGGTGGGGGGTGCTTGGGGGCAGGGAAGGTCCTGGAGATGAGGGGACCCCGGGTGTGGCCACTGCAGAGGGCAGGGCTTGCAAAGGGGCTGACGAAGAGGTTGGTGTTGGAGGTCAGCACACTTCTTGAGCACCGGGTCTGGGGTGGAGCGATGTGCCAGGTACTGTTCTAAGCACTTGCCATCTAAATTTAATCCTCACAGCAATCCTACAAGGTGGTCCTATTATGACCTCCGTTTTATAGATAGGAAAACTGAGGCACAGAGAGGTTAAGAGACTTGCCCGAGGTTACCCAGCTCGAAATGTCTGAGCTGGGATTTGAATAGGGGTCTTCTAACTCCAGAGTCAGAATTGATTCTAGTTGATGGTCCCAGAATGGGGAGGAGTTTTTTGGGGGGTGGGAGCACGCTGATGCTTCTTGGTGGAGGCCAGTTGCACATTCTTACACCTTCGTTTCCTTCCTGGACAGAAACTGGCAATTACACCTGTGAATTCTGCGGCAAACAGTACAAGTACTACACTCCCTACCAGGAGCATGTGGCCTTACACGCCCCCATCAGTGAGTACCTCCTCCCGGTAGGGATGGGGGTTGGGGGACCCGGGACAGGGTGGGCCAGCCGTTGGCCAGGCCTCTGGAATTTGGCCAGGAAATGGTGAAAGCAAGGTGAGCTCAGTTCTGGGTCAGTCTTTAGGTATTATGTCTGACCCAGGGCCACCTGTCTACAGTGGCCGGCATAGCTGAGAAGTCCCCCTCTTAAGCCAGAGCAGAGTCCGAGCCCTCCCTTAGTGGACTCAGAGTCCTGTGCCCACATGATTGGGGTGAGGAGGGTGGACATCACTTGTCCAAGTCCTGCTGTGGCCCTCTTCTAGGTACCGCTACATCACAAGGTTTATGAATCTCCACCCCCAAAGCCAGTTCCGCATGATGCAGCTTCAGTCTGAACAGATGCATGAAGGAGCCCGGGCTAGGGGCGTGGTTAACTGGACAGGAAAGCTCCCTCTTGGTCCTTGATGGTGGGAAGCTAAGGAGGTGGCAGGAACCCTGAGCTGGGAGTCAAGCCCTGGCTGTTAATCCCAGCTGAGTCCCAGGCCTGCTTGTGACCTGGGGCAGGCTGCGTCCTGACCCTGGACCACCATCTCCCACTCTGACTGGGAAAGGAAGGGGCTCTAAGGGCCCTTCCCACAGTGACATCCTCACCTTCCATCCTCCTGGTGCCCGTGAGCCTACCTTACTGATTTCCCAGCTCCTTTTCTGGATATTTGAGGGGTCTCCATCCTCAGATCCCCGAGTATATGAGCTAGGGGGCCCATCAGCCTCCCTCTCTTTCATGTGCAGGTGCAGAAACCAAAGTCTGACAGGGGTGGGGCTTGTGCAGTCTCAGGGCAGTAGGGCTGGATGTTTAGCAGCGTTTTTGGAAGTGTTGCTGGTTTTGTTTCTCACAGCAGAGCTGTGGGGATCCCTCTCCCCATTCTGTGGATGGGAAGACTTTGGTCCAAACAGAGAGGGAGGGTTTACAGAAGGTCACTGGGGGCTGAAGCCCCTTATAGTCTGGGAAGGCCCAGGTCCCTCCTAGAGCCCTGCTGTTGGGATACCAAGGGTATTGGATAGGGAGGGAGAAGTATTCAGAGCCTGGAGGGTGGTGTAGGTAGCTTCCCCAGGAATTCCTCCCCTCTGGGCAGAGTGGCAGGGGCTGAGGGGTCTTCCCGTGGGTGAGAACTCCAGTCCTGAGGTCGAGCACTGGGCTGAGATTCTCATCCCTGCTTGCCCCTCACTGCTCTGTGACCTTGTGCCTGTTGCTTTCCTTCTCTGGGCTCTTTTCCCATCTGTGAAAGCTGTTTAAGGTCTTTTCAGCCCAGGATCTGGATTATAGACATCTCTGACATGAGGTACCTGCTATGGCCCCACTAGAAGAATCCATTCCACTTCCCAGCCTGGGCTATATAGGTCATTCAGTACCCGCCATAGAGCCAGATCTTGTGTGGAGAGAGAGGATGCAGGATTCCACTGGGTAGGCACCGACTGTCCAGTTGACCCACTTGTGGTGCTGATGCCCAGGCAGCAGGGCTGTGGTCGGGCTTGAACACCATGGCCTGTGCCCCTCTGGAGATCCAGCTTTCCATAAGCAGGTACAGGGCAGCCATGTTTGTTCTCCAGTGAAGCAGCAACTGCCCTGCTCCCTGGTGCCCAGGCTGGATGCTACCCAGAATGCACTTTCAGTGAGGTGTTAGCTACAAGGCCAGACTATAACCTTGAGTTCAGCCTTTGGAGACTATCTTCAGTGCTTCCTGGGACAAGTTGAGTAAGGCCATGGAGTTAGTAAGATGGGGAGCTTGGCTTTGAATTCCGGCAGGCAGGCTCCAGGCCCACACTCAACCATGAAGCTATCCTACATCCCATGTCAGATGGTAAAGCAGAAAGGGGTGTGTCTCTTCCACCCTAAGTTTTTCCCTGACAGCCTGGTGCATCTCTCCTGAAGGGCTGTCTACTTTTCTTTCTGTGTTCCTCACTTTCTTTTGCTTTCTATTATGAACTCTCTTTCTTTCTTCCTGTATCTGCTTGTTGAATTAATCTCTCTGTTACCTACTGAAGTCTGGGGACTCAGGGATCATCTGTGTTTAAAATACAGCATGAGAGATTTAGCCTAGATTCAAGAGAGAATTATTTATCCAAGGCTGTCCAAGAGATAGCTCCTGCAGTGGCCTCTGGTGTTAGAGATTTGTGTGCCAATGGACTTCTTGTGGAGGCAGGGGCTGGACTTGAGGGCTTCATCAGGTGGTATCCATGGCTGGGACTTGAGACTCTGGGTCTGGTGAGTGTCCATAAGGACATAGACTGACTGTGGAAGAATTTCTTAGAATTAGTGTCATAGAATCTATATTCTTTTATGTCTGACTTCTTTTGCTCAGCAGAATGTTTTTAAGATTCATATTTTATCATATTCTCATATGTATCAGTTGTTCATTCTTTTTTACTTCTGAGCAATGTTCTATTGTATGAAAATACCGTTTGTTAGCCATTTACCTGTTAATTTGGGTTGTTTCCAGCTTTAGGCTATTATAAATAAAGCTGCTATGAAAATGCTTATATGAGGATTTTGTGGGCATATGTGTTCATTTCTTTGGATAAATACCAAGGAGTAGAATGACTGGGTCATGGGGAATAGTATGTTTAACTTTTTAATAAGTGACAAACCATTTTCCAAAATGACCATAGCATCTTTCACTCCTGCCAGCTGTGCCTGTGAGTTCCACTTGCTCCATGTTCTTGCCAACATTCGATGGTATTGGTCTGTTTAATTCAGCTATTCTAGTGAGGGGATAGTGGAGTCTCACTGTGGTGTTAATTTGTATTTTCCTGATAACTAATGACGTTGAACATCTTTATATTTACTTATTGGCCACTTACATATTTTACTTTGGAAATTGTCTCTTTAGGTCTTCTGCCCATTTATTTGGTTGGGCTGTTTGTCTTTTTTATTATTAAGTTGTAGGAGTTCTTTCTATATTCCAGTAGGCCTGGGTTCTTTGCCAGATACATGTACTGTGGATTTTTCTCCTAGTCTCTGGCATGCCAGTTGATTTTCATACAGCATCATTTGATGAACAGATGTCTTTCATTTTGATGAAGTCCAGTTTATCATTTTTTTCTATTGTTAGTGCTTTTTGGGTTCTACCTCAAGGATATCCTTGCCTACCTCAAAATGGTAAAGATACCCTGTTTTATTATCTTTTAGAAGCCTTGTAATTTTAGCTTTTTCATTTATGTCTGTGATATATTTCAACTTAACTTTTCAAATGATGTGAGGTATGAGTTGAGACTCATTTTATTCCATACAGATACCTGGTTGTTACAACATCATGTGTTGAAAAGATTATCTTTCCCTATTGCATTGCACTGGTACTTTTGTGGAAAGTTATTTGAATGTGTAAGTATTTTTCTCTTCCGTTGGCCTGTTTGTTTATCTTTATGCCTATTCCACATGATTTTACTTATAGCTCTCTAGTAAGTCTCAAATCAGCTGCTCTTAGTTTTTCAGCATTGTTATTTTTTAAGACTATTTGGCTATTCTAGAAACTTTATTCTTCCATATTCATGTTAGAGTCTTCTCTAATTTCTACCAAAAAAATGCAACTTGGAGTTTGTTTGGGATTCTATTGAATCTGTAGATCAATTTGGGGAGAATCATCATTACAATAATATTGGGTCTCCCAATCCATGAACATGGTATATTTCCCCAAGTATTTAGGGCTTGTTTAGTTTCTCTCAGGAGCAGTTTGTACTTTTCAGAGAAGTCTTGCACATATTTCATTCCATATCTCCAAGTATTTTATGGTTTGTGACACTACCATGACTTTTAAATTTAATTTTCCAATTGTCTGTTGCTATTGCCTATAAAAAAATCAATCTTTGTGTATTGAATTTGTGTATTGCAAATTAGCTAAATTTACTTATTAGTTCTAATAGATTTTTTTAGATTTTTTTGGATTTTCTTTTGCATATTGATGTCATCCACAAATAAAGACAGCTTTATTTCTTTCCTTCCAATCTGTATTCTTTTTATTTTTTTTCTTCCTCACTATTCTGGTTAGGTCCCTCCAGTACAATGTTGAATAGAAGAAATTAGTGAATATTTTTTGCCATGTTCCCAATCATAGAGTTCAGTTTTTTATTGTTAAGCATTGTGTTAGCTAAAGTAGGTTTTTATAGATGCCCATTATCAGTTGAATAAGTTACCTCTTATTTATAGTTTATTAAAAGTTTTTCTTATAAATTGATGTTGCATGTTTTTTTCCTCCATCTTTTGAGGTGATTCTGTGGATTCTTATATTCTCTTTTGTTAGTACTGGTGAATTACATAGACTTAAAAAAAATTCACCATTCCTATACTTTATTAAAACACGTTAAGAATATCAGAAAGTCAAACTGTAAAATGAACTGAAGAAAGTTACAACCTGGGGATGATTATTCTTTGCCAGATAAAATGACTTCCTTCTTTGAAGCTTCTGTTTTTTCTTAATAGGGTATATTTAAGTTGTATAACTTGATTATTTCATATGTATACATTGTGGAATAACCCCACAATCAAGTTCTTGCTTAGGCATCTAAATTACTTAACGATCCAAGGTTAGTTTATAGAGTAATTTGTTTTTAAGAACATGTTTTCCTCTCACTTCTATCTAAAATTCTTCAGGATTTTACTTCCTTTTGATATCACTCCCAAAACTGTCTCCTCAAGGGCAGGGAAATACAGTCCTAGGATTAGCAGAATGCCTATATTTAATCAGTGGTGTGTTAATGAAGGTCATAATTAAGAAAATGAATATTTCTGGTGAAGTTTTTAAATATTGATTGAAGTATATTGTCATATAATAAAGTGCCTGTTATTTAAAGTGTACAGTTTGATAAGTTTTGACCTATGCATGCACCCATGAAACGGTCACCACAATCTAATTAACATACCCATCACCCCCAACAGTTTTCTCATGCCCTTTTGTAATTTGCTTACCACTTCCCCATCCCGAGGCAAACACTAATCTGCTTCCTATTACTGTAAATTAGTTTGCGTTTCCTAGAATTTTACATATATGGAATCTTACAGTATGTAAGTATATATTTTTGAAGGGAGAGGTCTGGCTTCTTTCACTCTGCATAATTATTTTGAGATTCATCTATGCTTACATGTATCAGTAGTTCATTCTCTTTTAACTGATGATGAGTAGTATTCCATTTCCAGATATACATGCCACAATTACTTTGTTCATTTATGGGTGGATATTTAGAGTATTTCTGGCTAGAGTTCTGGAGCTAATACAAATAAAGCAGTTATGAACATTTGTGTACAAGCCTTTGTAAGGAAAAATGCTTTTATTTCTCTTGGGTAATTACCTAAGAATGGAATGACTGGATCATATGGTAGATGGTTGTTTAACTTTTAACAACAGCCATGTTGTTTTCCAAAGTAGTTGTGCCATTTTACATTCCAACCAGCAGTACAATTTTCTTTTCTTGTAATGTTCTCGTCTCGTTGGGTATCAGAGTATTGCAGGCCTCATAGAATTGGGAAGAGTACTCCCTCCTCTTCAATTTTCTGAAGAGTTTATATAGAATTGGTATTATTTTATGTAAGTATTCTATACAATTCAACAGTTAAGCTTTTGAGCCTGAAGTTTTCTTTGTAGGAAGGATTATTTAGAAATATATTCCATTTCCAAATATTTGGGAATTATCCAGATTTTTTGTTGCTATTGACTTCTAACTTAATTCCATTGTGGTCAGAGAACATATTCTGTATTTTCCAGTCTTCAAAATTCATTGAGATAAGTTTTATGACCTACCTTATGGTCTCTTCTGCTGCGGTTTCATGTCCACTTGACCAAAAAAAAAAAAAAAAAAAAGGCATCTCGTATTGTCAGTTAGGCCAAGTTGGTTGATAATGCTGTTCAAATCTCTATACTCTTTCCCACTTTCTTTTTTAATTAGTTTGTCTTACCAAGTTCTGAGAGAGAAGCATCAAAATTCTCAACTCTAATGGTGGATTTGTCTATTTCCCCTTTTAGGTTTGTCAGTCTTCAATTTATGTAATTCGAACCTTTGTTATTAGGTACACACAGTTAGCATCATTATGCCTTGATGAATTGACCCTTTATAAAGTAGTGCAATGCCATTCTATATCTCTGGTAATGCCTGTTGTCCCGAAATTTCCTTTGTCTGTTACTGTAAGCCATGACAGCTTTCTTAGGATTAGTATTTGCATAGTATATCTCTTTTCATCATTTTATTTTAATCTACCTTTATCTTTGTATTTGAAGTATGTATATATAGTTGGTTCTTATGCCTTTCTTTATCCAGTCTGGTAATCCCTGCCTTTTAATTGAAATGTTTAATTCATTTACATTTAATATACTATATTAATATGGTTAGATTTAAGTTTACTATCTTGCATTTTTTCTATTTGTCCCATTTGTTCTTGTTCATCTTTTTCTTATTTTCGTGCCTTCTTTAGTATTAATCAAGTATTTTTTAAAAATGCCTCTTAGCTTTCTAGCCATAACTCTTTTTCTTTAGTGGTTTCTCTATGATTTATAATATACATGTTTCATATGTTACAGTCCACCACGAATTTATATCATAACACATTACATATAATATAAAAGCTTTACAATGGCATACTTCCCATTTACTGCCCTCCTGTTCTTTGTGCTATTTTTATCATACATTTATGCCTATGTGTGTTATAAACCCAACAATTACTCTTTTAGCTTTAAACAGTAATTTGTTAAAGTAACTGAGAAATTAGAAAATGCCTTTTATATTTACTTATTTTCCATTTTGTTTGCTTTTCTTTCCTTCGTATACATCTGAATTCCATCAATTATCATTTTCTTTAATTCTTGAAGAACTTCCTTTAACATTTCTTATATTGTAGGTCTATTGGTGAAAGATTCTCTAAGCTGAAGATGTTTTTATTTCACATATTTTTTTGAAGGATTTTTTTTCTGGATATAGAATTCTAGGCTGATAAATTTTTTTATGTTTAAAAATGTCATTCCTTTGTCTTCTGGCTTAAGTTGTTTCTGATGAAAAGTCAGAGATCATTCTGATTGTTATTCATCTATATTTAGTGTATATTTTTTCTCTGGATGCTTTTAAGTATTTCTTGGGTTAATAGTTTTTAGCAATTTCATTATTTGTGTTTATCCTGTTTGAGATTCATTGAGCTTCTTGGATCATGAGTGTACATTTTTCATCAAATTTGGAAAATTCTCAGCCAGTATTTCTTCAAATATTTTTCTTTCCTAATCTCTCTTTTCTCTCTTGTTGAGACTTTAATTACATAGATATTTGATAATCAATAATGTTTACAGATAACTGAAGCTCTGTTCATTTTTTCAGCCTTGTTTTCCTTCTGTGCTTCGGTTTGAATAGATTCTATTGCCCTGTCTTCAAGTTCACTGATCTTCTCTTCTGTGGTGTCTAATCTGCTTTATTAGAAAAATCCATTAAGTGAACTTTTTATTTCAGCTATCATATTTTTCATCTAAGTTTCATTTGGTTTCTTTTTATAATTTTTATTTCTCTTCATTATTTTTCATCTTTCCTTGTCATTTCTGTATGTTTCTGTTAATTGGTTTTTCTCTTGATTACTGGTCACATTTTCCTGTGTTGCCTGGAAAATAATTGTTTCTTCCGTGCTGCATCCTGGGAATGCTGTGTTGTTGACTTGATTTTGTCTTCCTTTGAAAAGAGTTTTGTTCTGGCAGGTAGTTAATTACTTCCAAATCAACTCAATACTTCAAAAGCTGGTTTTTAAGCTGTGTTAGGACAGGTCTAGAATAGTTCTTATTCTGGGGTTAGAACAGCTCTTCTAAGGCATGGCCTTTCTGGCCGTTTCTTAGCTGAATGCCTGAAGTATTGAGCAAGGTCTCGCCTCTCTGGCTAGGGGGAACTCCAAAATATCTCCTACTCTTGTGTGACTTTTGAATCTTCACTCACTACACAGCCCCCCCACCCCCATCCCCCATTAGCTGTTTTTTTGCTAGGCTTTGCGGAGACTCATCTGCACAAATATAGTTTGGTATTCAGCCAGATTTCAAGGGGGCCCATATGCACATTTCTGGAGTTCTTTTTGTTGCAGAATTCTCTCTTCTTTGTTAATTTGCCGTGCAAATTCTAGCCACCTCAAAAGCCCTGAACTCAGATCACTGTCTCCTTTGTTCACTGAGATGTTTGGGCTCCACCTCTCTCTGCCCTGGTCCAGAGGGGCTCCCCAAGCAGAGAGCTAGAGTGACCATGGGGCTCACATCATGTTTTCTCTCCTGAATCACAGTTCTGCACCACCTTTGTCCAGCTTTATAGTTGAATATGGCAGGAAGCTAGTCTTGTATCAGTTACTCCGTCATGGCCAGAAGTGTGAGTTCCCCAGTTCTCTTTCTAAGATGAAGATTCACGAGGAGGGGTTCCCAGGTTGACTCCTCTTGCATCCCATCTCCCATTCATCTCCACCTCCAGCCCTTGAGCACGTGATTCCATTTGCCTCCAATGCAGTTTCATCCTCCTCTACCTCGTGGAAGTTTCGGGGAAACCCCCTGGCCTCTCCACTCCCTTGATTGTGTGGTTGCTTTTCTTGAATCCTTGCATTCTCTAAATTTCTTTGCTCCATGCATTCTCTAAATTTTTTTGGTCCAGTTAAATTTTCAGCTTTCTGGAAAGGAGACCACAGTGCTCTGTTATTTTTTAGATATCTCTTGTGTGTAGATACTGCATGTGTGTTTCCTACAGGGGAAGTCAGCCAGTCTGTCTGAGACTCTTTCATGCTTTCTCAGGAAGAGCTCAGGTAGGAATTCCAGCATGACAGTGTTCCCTGTGAGGTCAACAGAGGGAGCACACTGTTAAGTAGAATGAGTCAGGAGCCTGGGACATTGATCCTGGCCCAGCCCAACCCACCCTGTGACCCAGAATTGATAGCCATACCTCTCTGAGCTTGAGTAGCCCCATCTGCCTTATACCTTTGGGACCACTGGGAGGATAACATGTCAGATAGCTTCATGGTACCATTATGTGCCCTCATTGGGATCCCATCTTTGATGTGCTCTTCTTCAGCAGTTCTGACTTTAAATTTCCTGGCCGCTCACGCATTGATACATGGATTCCACAATGTCTCTTGAGCACTGTGTTTCAGGGAACGTGCCAAACACTCTGTGCATGGCGGGCAAGGCTGGCAGAGTTCCTGCTCTCTTGGAGCATACACGCTAATGGGGAGAGAGCCATTGTTCAAAGGTCATACTGTGTATCATTACTGATGGTGATCAGTCCTTGAAAGGGAAGGCAAGAGGGGACTGACAAATAAATGGTCCCAGATGGGGAGTTTTGGGGGAGGCAGACTCCCTAAGGAAGAGATTTTTAAGTACAGTGTGTAGGACCAACAGTCAAAAGTTTGAGGGAAGAATGTTCGAGGCAGAGGGAATAGCATGCACAAAGGCTATGAGCTTGAAAGAGAAAGGATATTGTAGGATATGAGAAGGCAAGGAGCTCAATGGCCTGTGAGGAAGCTGGAGAGGGGAGCGGTCCCAAGCGGGGTGGTCAGAGCACACAGGTGATGCCCTCAGGCCTATGATACCATGTGCTTTATGCATGTTCCTGAGCTCCCTGCCACAGGGAAAGAGGGGGCTGTGTGCCTCAGAATGCCAGGATCTTTACAGCAGGAATTGTAGACTCTGTAACGGGCTGATCCAACGGGGCTCCTAGAGTCATTCTGCAAGGATGGAGCCTGAAGCCTCAGAGGGAAAGCAGCTTGATCAGGCTGTTGCTCAGAAACTCTGTTCCTGTGTGGGTCACTGCCATGGAGAGCAGAGGAGTGCACGGCCTTGTGCCAAAGGCCTCCTTGCACAGCCGGCAGACTTGAGCCCTGTCTCATCTCAGCACTAACTTTGTGTGTTGCCATCAACAAACTTATTATGTCTGTGGCCAGAATAAGCCTTTGGGCCTTGGGTTTTTTTAATCTCTGAAAAATACCAGTAATAGATACTTACATTTGAAGAGCAGTTTATCATTCAGGATGCTTCTGAGACTTTCTTGGATTCCCATAAAGTCCCCGTGAGACTTGCTATGTGGAGAGGGTCATCCCAGTGTTGGTGGAGTCGAGGGGGGAAAACAAAGGCCGAGAGAGGGGAGGTATAGTCTCCAAGATTGTGGAGGCCGAGGGTTACAGAGCTGGGCTTCAGAGGTGGATTTGCCTCACTCCAGACTCAAGGCTGGTTCCATTACAGTGAATAACCAGCTGTGGTCCCCAAACTCTGCCTCACACAGGAAGCCAGCAGTGATATTAGAAATGGACTCTGGGTGCCTATTGCAACATTGAATGTGTCGGTTCATTCTGTGGGTTAAAAAAAAAAATTGGAAATTATGAGACAAGCAATCACCTGGTGGGACTCAGGGGCCTCTGAGGCCCTCGGCTCAGAAAGAGAGACAGAGAGCAGGAGAGTAGGTATACAAGTGTCCTTTGCCACCCAAGACTTCTCAGTTCCTGATTCAGGAAGGGAGAGTCCCAAGAGTGGCAGCTCAGGTCACAAGGGACACAAGTGTTTTCCGCAGACTGAGGCCTTGGGATTTGTTTCTGGGGCTGGGGCGGACAGATGAGGGCTTGTTTAAGTGGGGCATGACTAAAGAACTCCCTGCTCCCAGCACGTGGCCACCACTGTAGGCGAGGAGTGGGTGACCCTCCACGGGGGAGAATGGGCAGCCCCAGTCCTCACAGCTCACCCCATGCACCAGTGTGGTAAATGAAGGACCATAGAGTGGCTTTTTCTTTTTGCCACTCAGTTCCTCTGTGACCTTGGACAAGGCCCTGCATCCTGCTTCTTTGGGCTGAGCTTCGCCTTCTGTGCCAGGAATGAGCAGAGGTGGCGGGCCAGGGGGCCCTTTCATTTAGGCTCTGCATACAGTGCCCAGGACGGACGCTGTCTTAGGAGCAGGGAGATAATGGGGCCTGCCTCCACCTGCCTGGGCCAGGGGAGCAACAGCCAGGTCCTTCGCTAGGCAGGTCAGGGCTGTGGCCAGGCACTGAGTCAAGACAGTACCCTCTGGTGTTACTAATTCTCGGGGGTTCTGTGAGCCTCTGGTCGGTACCAAAGGGCCCCTGCTTCCTCTTGCTGCCTAGCCCCCTTCCTGCCCTCAGGGAGAGTTGTGGATTTTGCATGATCTCTGAGTCTCATTCATGAGAATGAGGCCAGGTTGAAGTGTGGAAGTGTGGCCAGGTTCAGGGGCTGGCCACCACTGCTAAGGGTTCAGGGGAGGGTGAAGGAGGCCAACTGATGCTCTCCCAAGACCACCAGAGGTGGAAACTGCTGGAGAGCCAGCCCCCGGTTCTCAGTGACTCCAGCTTCTACGGACTTTTCAGGTGAGGGAGGCAGGGGGCCTGGGTAATGGTGATGCAGGGTTCCCCAGACAGCATCCAGGAACTGCTACACTTATTTCAATTAAAGCGTCAGGTGTCCCATGAGAGCAACAGTTCCCAGTCAGTGCCCACAAGGCACCACAGAGCCCCTTGCCCTAAAACCTTGGAGGGACTATCAGGCCCCTCTGCCTCACCCCCAGCCCCGGCATGTCCCTGCCTGTCTACTTCCTATTGTAACTTCCAAGCCAGCCTTCCTTTAAAGGAAAAGGAGCTTAGAAACCAACATTCTAGAAGATGCACTTGGGCCTGGGTTAACCAATTCAGATGCCCTAAGAGCCAGTCAGTCCAGAGACTGGGCTGGTCAAGGGTTATGGGTGACCTACACAGTGGGCTGGTTGGTGGCCTCCAGATAACTAAGCGTGAGCTGACAGAAGGTTCCAGACTCCTGGACTTTCTCTGGCTCTGAGTTAAGTGAGAATCCTTGTTCTCTGTGGCACAAGAAGAGGTTGGACAGAGACAGTCCCAACCCTGGAATGTGGGGCTGGTGGCCCGAGAGGCCACTCACTCTGCCGGCTGGGAGGGCCCTCGGGGACTGAGAGCGTGACCCTCTCAGGTACTGCCCCCGGGTGGGAGCCACCGGATGATCCAGACACGGGCTCTGAGTGTTCACATCCAGAGGTCTCCCCATCTCCACGCTTCGTGGCAGCGAAGACCCAGACGAACCAGTCGGGGAAAAAAGCTCCGGCCTCCGTGGTCCGATGTGCCACCCTCTTACACCGCACCCCTCCAGCCACCCAAACCCAGACGTTCCGCACTCCAAATTCGGGATCTCCGGCGAGCAAGGCAACCGCAGGTACCAATGGCCTATGTGACCCCCACACTTTCTCCCCCACTGCCCTTCTCACCACCTGCCACAGCTGTGCCTGGGGTTGTTGTTGCCTTGCAAGAGCAAGAGTGGCAGTCCCGTAGTGATCTGGGACAAATCTGAGTCCCAGCTCTGCCTCTGGCTGGCTCTGTGACCATGACAAGCCACCTCACATTTCTGAGCCAAGTCTTCTCACCTTAAATCAGAGGGTTGTACAAGGAGGTTTGCAAACTTTTTTTTTTAAGTAGTAGAATATTTTTTCCCAAATCATGGCCTGAGGGGCCTGTTTTGACATTCTTCACAAGGTTTAAAAAATTTTTTAGTTAATTGCCAGCTTCTGAACATCAAATTTTATGTAAAACTTTTGATTTCTACCTGACATTGAAAAGTCAAACCTGGCAGTCCTGGACCCACTTTCCTACAGGACAACGATTGGCTGCCTCCTTGAGTAGAGTGTGTGCTCTCCACTTTTCCACATCCTCACCACGCCTTACTGCCTCCCCAACACAATGGCCATGTGGCAGGTGTCATTTCTCATTGTGATCACACTGTTGTCTGTCTTACATCCAACCCAGTTCATCTGTTTCTGTTGCCTGCCTGGACCCTGTTGGCATGAGTTTGCATCTCCCACCTTTCAGAAAACTTAATTTAAAAAAAAAAGTCATTTCAACAAGGATCTGCTCTGAACAAAGCAGGATAAGCCGGATGGTTGACCTAGATCTCTGGTCTCTTGCCCTCCCCCTCTGTAGCACTACCCGTGAAACTCCTCCATGAGATACAGGCCCAGCAGGAAATCAGTGGATGCCACCATTTCCTCAGTTCACACTGCAAAGGACTCTGGCTCCAGAGGGGTAAACAGACAATAAAAAGTTCCGAGAAGTTATTTCCTCCAGAAAAACTGGCCAGACACACTGTGTGCTGAGGACCAGCAGTCAGGAATTCTTAGATTCACGTTTGGATGGAACCAGCCCTGGGCCACCTGCCGGGACTTGTGGGTTGTAGGGCAGAGTGATGATGTGGTGCCTCTGGGACCGCGGGCCCTTCAGTTGTCCTCAGGAGACCAAAGCCATTTCTTAAATAAATAGATGATCAAGGTGAGAACTCAGGTAAAGGATCCACTTGGTTCATTCGGTGACTGACAACCCAGCCGAGTGATTAAGCCGTGCTTTCCTTTACTCCTCAGTTCAGGAGGCTAATTTTGGGCAAGGGCGTGATTCTTCGAAGATATGTTTATTGTGCTTAGATCTCCCAAAAGGAGAGTAGTCAGTCAGCCTTGAAGGTTTGAAGGTCATGGTTTTTCAGGTACCGTGTTGAGAAAAGCCAGTAGCCGTTGTGTTTTTCAACAGTAGCATAAATTAGTTAGAAGCAAATTGGTCATCACGGTCTCATTGGTGATAGATATCGGCTCCACTAAATCATGGAATCGTGGCTTTCAAATCTTGCTTTCTCTCTTGCACTTTGTGGCTGGGAGTTTTTATGCCTGCGGTTTCTGCAGAGGGCGGCCCACAGGGTGTGGTACGTGGCCGGTCTCCAGCTTCAGTGTCTCTGAGTAGGCATTCAGCAAGCTATGGGACAGGCCTCAGGCTGCCTTCATGTGCCTTGGAAGACTTGTGGGTAGGGGTCACCTCTGGATTCACCAGCTGAGCAGGTCAGAGGGCATCCGGTTGGGAGCAGGAGCCTGCATGGGAGATAAGATAGTATGTGGTTGAGGAAGAAACTGTCAGTCACCTCCTGGTCCTGGAATAAGTGGCCCTTCATGTGTGTATGGGCACGTCCCTGTATGGGATTTCACCTCTGGTGCTGCATGTTGATTTTTCAGCCAGAGGTACTTGTGGCAAGGAAAGCTATTCAAAATGTGCATTATCAGCTGAGCAGTGTAAGAGTTTGCAGCCTCAATTGTGGTAAGTTTACCAGCATGCTGGTCAGAAGTCCTCCATAGATGAGTACCAGTCACCCAACGTACACAAGGATGAAGATGGAGTAGGCAGTCACTTCTCCACACAAGGCCTTTTTCAAAAGGAAGCACCTCCCCCTAAAGTGAAGTCTGATTCTGCCGTCTTGGAGGGTTAGGAGTACATCCAACCCCAGTAACTTGACAATCTCACTCTTTCCTCTGTTTTTTCACCTGTGAAATGGGAATGACAGTGCAGCCCTCACAGGGCTTTTGGGAGAATTAGAGGGAACTTGGATGTAAAGTATCTGGTCCAGTGCCTGGTACATAGGAGGTGCTCAGCGAATGAGAGCCCCCCACCCCCACCCCTTTCCCTAGACCGAGAACAGAGGGGCCTTCTGTGCCAATTTGTAGATGCTCCCTGGGACTCTCAGCCCAGGCATTTCACAGGCACATTTTGAAGGGAGGGTTGTCCTTGTAATGTTAGCTGCAGCCTCTGCAGGAAGGAGCCTGTGTCAGGAGACGTTGTTACAGTGGGATGACAGGGGTCGGGGGGAGGTGGGAATTGGGCAGGGTCTGCAGGCACTGCCTCTGGCTTCCTTTCCCATTGTCCCCATGACCATCCGCAACCCTGGCACCCACAAACTAAGCACTTGCTCTTCCGGAGCAGGGTGGACCAGGTGAGAGTGGCATTTCCCAAAGTGCATTCTCAAGATCACCAATTTTGTGAGATATTTCAGAATCTAATGTTTTAAAAATGGGGTTCTGTGGGAACCCCTCTTATGTTTGGGGAAGGCCAGGTTAAGTAAATCTAAATGGGTCTGTTTGCGGGCAGACTTTGCGGAGCCTTTGATATCTTTGGGCAAATTGTTTCTCCTTAAGAAATGCACTGGGTCAGCTGCACATCCCAAATTGACTGGTTCCCTGAGGTCTTTATCTCTGGGATCGTCCGGCATCCCCCTCATGCCTAGAGCACCTTGGAAAAGCTGGGCTGTCTTCCAGCTCGGATCATCTGTTTCAATACCTTCTGCAGGTGGGGGTGGGGGATAAAAATTCATGGTTTTCCACCTGGTTGGACCCTATCTCTGCATTGCAGGGTTTCCAGAGAGCACTTGGAAGAGGGTGGGCCCCTCAGGTAGATGGCAGCCTGTAAGCAGAGACACCCCAGTAGTCACTCAGGGGGAACCCATCCCTTCCGCTGGGGGAACAACTGACCAGACTTTGCCTGGGTTTGGCCTCTGGGGGTGTGGGGCTACCCCTGCTCTCCCTGTCACGCCATCTGTTGCAGGATACCCTCCCTGTCACCAGGGACCACCTAGCTGATGGAGCTGGAATCACCAGAAAACATGCTGTCATCATCTATGCACTTCGGTGGGGCCCGTGGCAGCAGAATCTGACAGGGAGTGGTGGGCGGTAGATCCAATGATTTGCTGTCACGGTTGTGGCTCTCCAGGAGCCAAAGATGGGAGACTCAGGCCCATTTGCCATCTGCTCTCCTGCTGGATTTCATCTTTGTGTTTTTGGGCATGTCACTCCCCCGGCCCCCGTGCCTGGGCCTCCTGGGCCCTGCCAGGAGGGTCTCTTGGGGCCCTGCCAAGGGACTAGGCCACTCAGAGGGTCCTGGGGAGATCTGGCTTGAGGTCCTGGAGCCCTCACGAGAGCTAGTTGGCCCAGCAGAGTCCTTGGCCTTCACCCAGCCTACCCCTCCCTTGAGACCTAGTGCTGACCAATCACCATTGTTTTCTTTCTCTCTCCTGTCCCCCACCCAGCAGAAAGCGCTTTCAGTCGGAGAGTAGAAGGCAAAGCACAAAACCACTTTGAAGAGACGAACAGCAGTTCGCAGAACTCCAGCGGTGAGTGTGCCCCTTGACAGCCATCCTGTGCGGTAGCTGCCAGCTTCGCCCGCTCCCCCCTGGCAGCCGCGGCAGCATCCTGTGGGCTGGGGTCTTTGTGGTGCATTATGGATCTTGTTGGGAGGAGGCTGGGAGCAGGGAATTAGAGGGAGACCACAGAGGCAGGAGGGGCCTTTTCTTCCAGGGACATTCCTCTGAGCCTTGGGCATCAGTGGACAATGCCTCCTCTCTGTCTCCCCCATGGAGAGAGCAACACCCCTCCCCATAGCCTGCGGCATCAACTCAGCTGACCCCAGATGATTGGGCCTGAGAGAGCCACTGCTATGTTTTTAGGGTAGATGTCTCAGCCAGTTTCTTTACAGGAGAAGCAAAGGAAGTGCAGTTGAGAGAGCTCTAAGAGGCCGGGCGCCGTGGCTCACACCTGTAATCCCAGCACTTTGGGAGGCCAAGGTGGGTGGGTCACTTGAGGTCAGGAGTTCGAGACCAACCTGGCCAACATGGTGAAATCCCATCTCTACTAAAAATACAGTAGCTGTAGTCCCAGTTACTCAGGAGGCTGAGGCAGGAGAATCACTTGAACCCAGGAGGCAGAGGTTGGAATGAGCCAAGATTGCACCACTGCACTCCAGCCTGGGTGACAGAGCGAGACTCTGTCTCAAAAAGAGAGAGAGAGAGAGAGAGAGAGAGAGAGAGCTGTGAGAGCCAGAGGCTCCAAGTTCTGGTCTCATTTTGGCCCTGGAGCCACTGGAACGAAGATTCCCTTCCAGCCCCTACCTGCTCAAGTGGGTTTAAACTGAGGCTCTAGGTGGTCTCTGGCGCCCCCTGACGCCTGCCTCTTCCAGGACCGCGGCAGAGCCCTAGAATGTCCAGAGCAGCAGCCAAGGGGCCTCTCCCACCAGACCCGGGGTCAGCCTGGGGGGTGCCTGGCTGGTCACCAGCAGCCTCTGTCCGAGCAGGGCACAGCAAGCTGTTCTGTACCCTGAGAGGCAGGGCAGGAGGGGAGAGGAATTCTCACATTGTGGTTACATTAGGGGAAGGCACCCACTCACTTTCTTGCATGGTTGAAATTTAATTCACTACATATTAGGTGTCAGCCTGTGCCAGGCACTGGGCTGGGCACTACTGCCTGGGTGTGGACAGGTGACGAACACATCACAACTGTCGGGGACCCTCTGAGACAGCCAGGAGCGCAGACTTGAGTGTGGAGGCATCTGCCTAGTAACAGGAGCTCCACTTCGGGCTGTTACTCACATATGAACCCCAGCTCCACCACTTACTAGCTGGTGACTTAGGCTAGTCTCTGAATTCCTCCTCTGCTGTAAAGTGGCTTGATGAACACACACAGCCCCGTGGTGGTTGTGAACATTCAGTGAGTCCCTGGCACAGATTACATACTCAGGTGTTAGGGTTTTTTGGTGGTGATAGTTGGTCATTTTTATTTTTTAAGTAAACCAAGTGATTTGATGACTGCTTTGCGGAAGGGAATGAGGTTTTGAACAACGTAATCCACCCAACCTCTCCAAGAGGTGGGCCTGAAAGGGATGGAGTGACTTGCCCAAGGCCACACAGGAATAAGTAGTAGCGCCGGGCTGGAACCGAGGTCTCCAGATGTGCCCTGTGCTCCCAGCCAAGCCATGCTGCACCCCCATGCGTCCCCTGCCCCCAGAGCTAATATTCACAATCGGGAACGATAGCGCAAGCACTGCTGCTGCTGCTGCTGCTGTTGGCAGCCACCATTGATTGAGCGCTTACTGTGTGCCTGGCATGTGTTCAGAGCTTTATATGTCTTATCTGTCTTCCTCCTTTCCACAGCCCCATGGGGGTCAATGTTATTGTTATCCCCACTTTTTGGAGTGGGAAACTGAGGCTCAGGAGAGGTGGATTGCTGCCCTAGGTCCCCCAGATTATAAGTGGTGGAGCCAGGATTCCCCATCTAGACCATCTGGCCCCGCTGTGCTGCCTGCTGCGTTTGAGGCTTGCCAACCTCTGGCAGTGCCAGGAAGTGAGGGAGAGATGCCAGCCAGCAGGAGCCCTCCAAAGCACAGCCGCTCTTGGTGGCTGCTCTGGTGTTTGGTACCAAACATCCCCACCCTGGTGCCAGAACCTAGAAGTAGCTGCCAGCTCCCTGTCCTGAAGTGAGCTGCCATGCAAGGATGTCTTCTCACCAGTACTCATGTGTCCTCACTCTTTCAGAGTGTAGGGTGTCCCGGAGGGATGGCAGTGACTTGTCTTGCCCTGCCTGGTGGCCCCAGCACCCACAGTAAACCTTGATCCTCTGAAAGGCATGGCCTCTGTGTCAAGCCTCCCTGCAACCCCACCCCAGATTGTGAGCCTTCCTCTCGGATGCTCCCCACTCCTCTGAAAGCCCCATCTGGCTCACTGGTTATTAAGAATAAAAATTATGACTATCAGCACAGAACAGCAGAACTAGAAGAGATGGCTAAACTGTTTCTCTTTTGCAGAAACTGCAAGTCCCCTGATTTCCAACCCTTTCCCTCTCCTACAGAGTAAGTGATGGTCCCGTTGGGGGGCTGGAGAGGGCAAGGCAGGGCAGGGAAGGAACTCAGCCAGCCACGTGCTCCTGGAGCCTCCAGGCTGTGTGAGATGGGCCTTGGGCTGCCCTCCCGGGCAGACCCGGCAGCTGGTGGAGGCAGGCCGAGGTCCAGCCCTGGGCGGGTGGAGCAGTTTGGACGGGGTGGGGCAGAGCCCTGACCAGCAGCAGCCTTGGCTCTGCTGCCCCAGCCCTGGCAGGAGCTCAGGCCTTCCCATTCACGGTCGTCGGGCAGCCTCAGGACACCTCTTCCGAGCCCCATCGCAGCCGTCTTTTTCTTCTTTTCCTTGCTCTTCTTCCCACCCCTCTTTCTTTTTCCTCTTCCTTCTGTCCTTCTCCCTCTTCCTTCTCTCCTCCTCCCTCTTCTCTGCCAGGCACTGACGTGAGTGCTAAGAGTAGAGAGCTGAGTGATCCAGGCCCCTGCACCCCTTGTGCCTGTTCCTACGCGTGCCCTCCCTCACTCCTCCCTCCCTCTCCTCCCTTTCCGCATCAGATCCCCACTTCCTCCTGCTTCTCTGTGGCTTTTTCCACTTCTTACCCTTTTCCTTCTTGTTTTCCTTATGTCTGTTACCTTGGTTTTTATTCATTCATACATTCATTCATTTGTTCACTTGGCAAATAGTGACCTCATGTGGTTCCAGAGAGAGAGCTGGGGCTGTGACACCCTGAGACTCAGTCTCTGCCCCAAGAGGGCCGTTGGTCTGTTGATGTTGATGTTGTCCTCCCTACCCCCATCTCAAGTGCGCCGAACAGTGGCTGGCACGCAGTAAGCACTCAATAAATAGCTGCTCAATTGAGCTAATGGTCTCTCTCTGCATGGCTTCCTCTCTCCATCATTCCTTCACCCAGCTTCTCCCTCATGGGTCTAGTGACGGGGGAGGCAGGCAGGCTGGGCCCGGAGCCCTGAGCACAGAGACCCGGTGTGTGTTTGGGTTCCCACTTGCAAAGCTGCCTGCAGCCCAGCAGAAGGTGTCTGCGTCGGTTCCACCCCTCACGTGGCTGCCGCATTTCTCCCTCCAGAACCCTACACCTGCGGCGCCTGTGGGATCCAGTTCCAGTTCTACAACAACCTGTTGGAGCACATGCAGTCCCATGCAGGTAAGTAGGATACGGCTTCTCTCCCCCTCTCCTTCCTCAGTTCCTGCAAATTGAAGAGATGGTTAGGGCCTGACCTGAGGCCCCTGGAGAAGGCCGCTCTTTCCTGGAAAATGGTCACAGGACATGGAACCTGCTTGCAGGGAGCCCCAGTCAGTCAGTTATTAACACAGGCTGGTCTGTGCTCTGCAGGTGGGGGCGGTGGGGAGGCAGCACAGGCTCTGTGGGAACACGGAGAGGTGGGACAGAGTTGAAGAGACTTCCTGGAGGTGGTGGCCTCTTGGCTGGTCCTAAAGGCCAAGTAGGAGCTAGCCTGGAAGCGAAATGTGCAGGTGGAAATGGAACATGGTTTGAGATCAAGGTGAGCAGAGACAGAAGGTGGGGATGGAGAGACATGCAGCCCAAGGCAAGCTGGGCTAAGGCCCACCTCAGAGCAGAGTCTCATTCACTAACACCCTATGTCCCAGAATGCAGTTGCGCCCAAACCTGAGGACACATCAGAATTACCAGGAGGGCTTGCTTGAGCACAGATTTCTAGGCTCCATTGTGAATTTCTGATTCTGTAGGTCTGCAGAGGTGGGGACTAGGATTTGCATTTCTGGTAAGTCTTAAGACAGTGCTGATGCTACTGGTTCAGGGACCGCCCTTTGAGAACCACTGCTCTAGAGCTACAGGTGCAGTCATCTGCTCTCTAGGCAGCCTTTTTATTACATTTCACCACGGCATAACACAAGTCTCAGGGAGACAGTATGTGCTGGAATAAGTAAATAATTCCAAATTCTCAGTGGTTAAACATACAGACCATTTACTTCTCACCCACATTATAGCCCAATGCACATGATCTAGTTGGGTGGCTTCCACATGGTGATTCAGGGATCAAGGCTCTTTTTTCTATTGGCTCCGTCCTCCTCTAGATCTTCAGCATCCTCTCTCTTTGTGGATGGGGAGAGAGACTATGGGGCAAGCACACTTCTTTACCATTTCAGACCACAAGTGACACCTGTAAATGCTCAAATTCCAGTGTGGAGAATTAGCCACATGACCAGCCTGAACCCATGGGTGGAAGCGTGTCCAGAGCCACTGTCCCGGGACAGTTGGCCACTCTGCAAAGGGAAACGTGAGTCTGGGGAGGCAGTTAGCTGTCCCTCCACCCCTTTCCCCAGAGGAATTCTCTAGAGGCATTAGAAATAATGGGTGAGACGTGCCTGACATAATGGTGCTCAGTAATTGGTAGCTGCTGTTATTTCACCTGTTATTGTTATTGTACAAATCTTTCACATCATCTCCCAGGTCTGGCCTGACTGGCATAGAGTATTACAGGACTAGAATCTCTTTTAGGCTAAGTACTGTTCTGTTAGCGTAGTCTCTATCATTCATTCATCCATCCAGCATATATTAATTGGGTATCTGCTGTATATTAGGCATGAAATCAGATGATCTTTTTGGGGAGCCTATTATTTATTTCTAATGAACTTAAAATCAGGACAGAGCTCTGGAGTGGCAGCCAAGGCACTTGCCTCGGAGACCTGCTCTAACTGGTGTGTCTGGGTGCTGTGTGACCTCCTGCAGGAAGCTGTGTCTCCATCTCTAAAGCAAGGGCCTGAAAATCCCCTTCCCCACACCACGCTTCCCGCCCCCTGCTTTCCTTTGCTGTCAGCTGTGCCTCACCAGGGAAGGCCTTGAATGCCAGCTCAAGGTGTTTAGACCCCATGGGGAAGCAGGATCCTCGGGCTAGGGACAGCAGTTGGCAGGCTGCTTGGGAACCACTGCCTGAACATATCGCTTGGTCCTGAGACTCCCACAGCACAGCCTTCTGCACTCCTCCTCTGAATCCTCGGCACTCTGCCTGCGCCCTGCCAGCTTCTGGAAGCTGAGCTGTGATTAGGGAAGAGCCTGGGTGCCAGTGCTTTCCCATCCCTGGAGGCCATTAAAATGCAAATCAGGTCTGAGCTTTGAGGTGGCCCCACCTCTCCCAAGCATCTTGACTTGTTTTCGGAGTGGAGCCGTGGGCTGCTTTGTTCTGGTTCAGCGCAGCCAGAGAATGCCTGGCCGGCCATCCAGCGCAAAGCCAGGCTGAATCCCAGCCACACTGAATCGGGATTAAAGGCTTGGCTCCATAGAGAGAAATTAAGCATCATGAGCTGCGCAGTTCACAGCGCCGACGATAAGGAGGATCAGCCTTGAATAACACCAATCTCATTATGGAGCTGCTGAATGGCACAGGGTAATTCCCGCTAATAAACTTCCTTTCTGTGCTGTAGGAAAACCTGGCGTGCCTTGGTGACGTTGGAGAAGCATGCTTTGGCAGTAATAATACCAAAGATAGCTACAATTTTGTGAGTGCTTTCTATGCGTCACTTGTGGCACTGAGAGCTTTACGCAGGTTATTTCATCAGATCTTCCTGATTAGGTAGTTGACGTTTTCATCCCCATTATGCAGATGATGAAACCGAGGCTCAGAGAACATAATCACTGGCCCAAAGTTGCACAGCTCCTAAAAAAAGTATCCAATAGCATTTGAGCTTTTACGTGGCGCCAGGCCTTGTTCTAAGACTTTTACATATATTCACTTATTTAATTCTCGGAACAACCCTCAGAGTTAAGTGCCCATAACAGTTCCACTTCATAGCTAACGAAACGGAGGCACAAACTGGTTAAGTAACTTGTCCAAGGCTATGCAGTCACTGTGGCAGGCTATAGATAGGATTCCAGTTCTCGCAGTGAACTCCAGAGCCCATGCTCTCAACATCCACCCTGTGCAGCCTCAGGTAGACCCTGATGGAAGGTTAGCAGAGATGGAAGCCCTCTCAGAGGTCATCTCTTTCAGCCTCCGCGTTAAAGTACAGCCAGGAGGACCGCAGCTAAGAGGGATTGGGAGACTTTCCAGACAGCAAGCAAGCTGGCAGCTCATGGGTTTAGGATTTTGGAGGTGACCACACCTGGTTTCTTTCTTTCTTTCTTGTTTGTTTTTTTTTTTTTTTTTTTCCTTTGAGACAGAGTCTCGATCTGTCGCCCAGGCTGGAGTGCAGTGGCACAATCTCAGCTGTATACCTGCAACTTCCACCTTCTGGGCTCAAGCGATTCTTGTGCCTCAGCCTCCCTAGTAGCTGGGATTACAGGCATACACCACCATGCTCAGCTAAGTTTTGTACTTTTAGTAGAGACAGGGTTTCACCACGTTGGCCAGGCTGGCCTTGAACTCCTGGCCTCAAGTGATCCGCCCACCTCAGCCCCGCAAAGTGCTGGGATTACAGGCGTGAGCCACCATGCCTAGCACCACACCTGGTTTCTAACCCCTTTGAGCCACTTTACCTCCCTGGACCTCAGTTTTTCTGTCTGTGAAGTGGGTTTATTGGTATTCTCAGCAGGGCTGGGTTGAGGGTTCCAGAGATGACGGATGTAGAGTATCAAGGGCCATGGCACATTCTAAGACCCAACAACAGCAGATGCCTCTTTTTCCATCCCTGTCAGAAATACCTGCTTTCTCCTGCCTGCAGTGGTCTCTCTCTGGGAAGCAACCTTTATTCCAGCTTCGCATCCAGCCCTTTACAAATGTACATGTGGGGGAGGGGGGAGGACACACAGGATAGCCACACCGAGGAAACCTTATTTTCATCTCAAGCTATAAATCAAGCCTTTCACAGAGCTTTTAACTCATTTGTATTGGGAGTGGTACCTGTGGCATATGGAGAAGAAAAAGTCTTAAATCAACCAATATTATACATTGTTATTTAATACAAGTTGAAGAATCTCAATTCTAAGTCCTATGGAAGGGCAGAGAATAAGAATCATTCCTGCAGCTTACCCTGCCCTAGCACTTTGGATGGAAGAGAGAAAACTGAGACCCAGAGAGTTGAAGTAGCCAATTCAGTGTCACACCATCGCAGAACTGGGTTCATATCCAGGGTTTTCACATCTCTGTACTGTAGTAGAGAAAGTAAGAAAGGCTACTTGTTTTCTTTCTTTTTTTTTTTTTTATTGTACTTTAAGTTCTAGGGTACACGTGCACAACATGCAGGTTTGTTACATATGTATACATGTGCCAGGTTGGTGTGCTGCACCCATTAACTCGTCATTTACATTAGGTATATCTCCTAATGCTATCCTCCCCCCACCCCACAACCGGCCCCGGTGTGTGATGTTCCCCTTCCTGTGTCCAAGTGTTCTCATTGTTCAATTCCCACCTATGAGTGAGAACATGCGGTGTTTGGTTTTTTGTCTTTGTGATAGTTTGCTGAGAATGATGGTTTCCAGCTTCATCCATGTCCCTACAAAGGACATGAACTCATCCTTTTTTATGGCTGCATAGTATTCCATGGTGTATATGTGCCACATTTTCTTAATCCAGTCTATCATTGATGGACATTTGGGTTGGTTCCAAGTCTTTGCTATTGTGAATAGTGCCGCAATAAACATACGTGTGCATGTGTCTTTATAGCAGCATGATTTATAATCCTTTGGGTATATACCCAGTAATGGGATGGCTGGGTCAAATGGTGTTTCTAGTTCTAGATCCTTGAGGAATCGCCACACTGTCTTCCACAATGGTTGAACTAGTTTACAGTCCCACCAACAGTGTAAAAGTGTTCCTATTTCTCCACATCCTCTCCAGCACCTGTTGTTTCCTGACTTTTTAATAATTGCCATTCTAACTGGTGTGAGATGGTATCTCATTGTGGTTTTGATTTGCATTTCTCTGATGGCCAGTGATGATGAGCATTTTTTCATGTGTCTGTTGGTTGCATAAATGTCTTCTTTTGAGAAGTGTCTGTTCATATCCTTCGCCCCCTTTTTGATGGGGTTGTTTTTTTTCTTGTAAGTTTGTTTGAGTTCTTTGTAGATTCTGGATATTAGCCCTTCGTCAGATGAGTAGATTGCAAAAATTTTCTCCCATTCTGTAGGTTGCCTATTCACTCTGATGGTAGTTTCTTTTGCTGTGCAGAAGCTCTTTAGTTTAATTAGATGCCATTTGTCAATTTTGGCTTTTGTTGCCATTGCTTTTGGTGTTTTAGACATGAAGTCCTTGCCCATGCCTATGTCCTGAATGGTATTGCCTAGGTTTCCTTCTAGGGTTTTTATAGTTTTAGGTCTAACATTTAAGTCTTTAACCCATCTTGAATTAATTTTTGTATAAGGTGTAAGGAAGGGATCCAGTTTCAGCTTTCTACATATGGCTAGCCAGTTTTCCCAGCACCATTTATTAAATAGGGAATCCTTTCCCCATTTCTTGTTTTTGTCAGGTTTGTCAAAGATCGGATGGTTGTAGATGTGTGGTATTATTTCTGAGGGCTCTGTTCTGTTCCATTGGTCTATATCTCTGTTTTGGTGCCAGTACCATGCTGTTTTGGTTACTGTAGCCTTGTAGTATAGTTTGAAGTCAGGTAGTGTGAGGCCTCCAGCTTTGTTCTTTTGCCTTAGGATTGTCTTGGCAATGCGGGCTCTTTTTTGGTTCTATATAAACTTTAAAGTAGTTTTTTCCAATTCTGTGAAGAAAGTCATCGGTAGCTTGATGGGGATGGCATTGAATCTATAAATTACTTTGGGCAGTATGGCCATTTTCACAATATTGATTCTTCCTATCCATGAGCATGGAATGTTCTTCCATTTGTTTGTATCCTCTTTTATTTCCTTGAGCAGTGATTTGTAGTTCTCCTTGAAGAGGTCCTTCACATCCCTTGTAAGTTGGATTCCTAGAAATACCAAGGCTATTTGTTTTCATTGGAAATTGTGTTTCCCCTTTGTGAATGTAAAGTCTGTCTATGAAAATAAATGCATTCTCTGCATTGGGAAAATGCAGAGAGGTTAGAAAGTAAAGAATCGACCATAATTTCACTATTCAAAGCTAATCGCTGTTACCAACTTAATAGGTTTCTTTACAGTTTATTTTAAAATATGACTTACAGAGATATAATTTACTAGACAAATAAAATTTACCAATTTGAAGAGTACAGTTTGATTGGTTTGGACAAATGTGTGCTGTTGTTTAACTACCATCACAATAAAAATACATAACAGTGGCTGGGCTTGGTGGCTCATGCCTGTAATCCCAACACTTTGGGAAGCTAAGGAGGGAGGATTGCTTGAGGCCAGGAATTTGAGACCAGTCCCTGGACAGGGACAACATAGCATGACCCTGTGTCTAAAAAAATAAAATTAAAATTAAAAAAATTTAGAGCAGGTGCAGTGGTTCACACCTGTAATCCCAACACTTTGGGAAGCTGAGGCAGGAGGATTGTTTGAGGCCAGGAGTTTGAGACCAGCCCTGGTCACCACAGCAATACTCTGTCTCTACAAAAAAATTAAAAATAAGCCATGCATGGTAGCACGCCCCTGTAGTCCCAGCTACTTAGGAGGCTCAGGTGGAGGATCACTTGAGCCTGGGAGGTTGAGGCTGCAGTGAGCTATGATGGTGCCACTGCACTCCAGCCTGGGCGACAGAGCAAGACCCTATCTCTAAAATATAAAAATAATATTACCATCAACCCAGAAAGTTCCTTCATGCCCCTTTGCAGTCATTCCCTTTCTCCTACCCTAGCCACTGGCAGGTAACACCTGCTTTCTTTCATTGTAGTTTTGCCTTTAGTGGATTTTATTATATATGGAGTTCTACGGTATTTAGCCTCTTGTGTCTAACTTCTTTCACTTAACATACTTTTGAGGTTTGTCCATGTTCTGTGTTATCAATAATTCCTTTATTTTGCTGAGTTGTATTTCATTATCTAGATATATCACAATTTGTTTATCCATTCACCAACTGATGGTCATTTAGATCTCCAGTTCGGGGCTATTATGAATAACGCTGCTATGAACATTCATGTACAAGTCATGTATATGTGTAGACACATGTTTTTAACTCTTTTGGGTATATACCTGGAAGTGGAGATTCTGAGCTGTAAGGTAATTCTGTTTAATCCTGTGAGGAATTGCCAGATTGTTTCCTAAAGTGGCTGCATCATTTTTACATTTCTACCAACAGTGTATGAGGATTCTAATTTCTCCATATCCCTGTCTACACCTTTTATCATCTTCCTTCTTGGTAATAGCCATCCTAGTGCATGTGAAATGGCATTTCATTGTGGTTTTGATTTACATTTTTCTGACAGCTAATAATGTTGAGCATCTGTTCATGTGCTCATTGACCACATTGGCAAAGGATCTGAATAGACATTTCTCCAAAGAAAGATATACCTAGTAATGGGATTGCTGGATCAAGTGGTAGATCTACTTTTAGGTCTTTAAGGAACCTCCACGCTGTTTTCCATAGTGGTTGTGCTAGTTCACATTCCCACCAGCAGTGTAAAAGTATTCCCTTTCCACCACATCCATGCCAACATCTATTATTTTTTGATTTTTAAATTATGGCCATTCTTGCAGGAGTAAGGTGGTATGGCACTGTGGCTTTGATTTGCATTTCCCTGATCATTAGTGATGTTGAGCATTTTTTCATATGTTTGTTGGTCATTTGTATATCTTCTTTTGAGATTTGTCTATTCATGTCCTTAGGCCACTTTTTGATGGGATTGTTTATTTTGTTCTTGCTGATTTGTTTGAGTTCTTCATAGATTCTGGATATTAGTCCTTTGTCAGATGCATAGTTTGCAAAGATTTTATCCCACTCTATGGGTTATCTGTTTACTCTGCTGATTATTTCTTTTGCTGTGCTGAAGCTTTTGTGTTTAAGTCCCATCTATCTCTTTGTTTTTGGTGCATTTGCTTTGGTGTTCTTGGTCATGAGTTCTTTGCCTAAGCTAATGTCTAGAAGTGTTTTTCTGATGTTATCTTCTAGAATTTTTATGGTTTCAGGCCTTAGATTTAAGTCTTTGATCCATCTTGAGTTGATTTTTTGTGTAAGGTGAGAGATGAGGATCCAGTTTTATTCTTCCACATGTGGCTAGCCAATTATCCCGCACCATTTGTTGAATAGGGTGTCCTTTCCCCACTTTATGTTTTTGTTTGCTTTGTTGAAGATCATTTGGCTGTATTTGGGTTTATTTCTGGATTCTCTAGTCTGTTCTATTGGTCTATGTGCCTATTTTTATGCCAGTACTATGCTATTTTGGTGAATATAGCCTTGTAGTATAGTTCGAAGTCCGGTAATGTGTTGCCCCCAGATTTGTTCTTTTTTCTTAGCTTTGCTTTGGCTATGCAAGCTCTTTTTTGGTACCATATAAATTTTAGGATTGTTTTTTCTAGTTCTGTGAAGAATAATGATGTTGTTTTGATGGGAATCGCATTGAATTTGTAGATGCTGTTGGCAGTATGGTCATTTTCACAATATTGATTCTACCCATCCATGAGCACGGGATGTGTTTCCATTTGTTTGTGTCATCTATGATTTCTTTCAGCAGCGTTTTGCAGTTTTCCCTGTAGAGGTCTTTCACCTCCTTAATTAAGCATATTCCTAAGTTGTTTTTTTTGTTTGTTTTTTTGTTTTTGTTTTTTTGGTGGGGCAGTTTTTTGGCAACTTTTGTAAAAGGGGTTGAATTCTTGATTTAGTTCTCAGCTTGGTCACTGTTGATGTATAGCAGTGCTACTGATTTGTGTACATTGATTTTGTATCCTGAAACTTTACTGAATTCATTAATCAGTTCTAGGAGCTTTTTGGACAAGTCTTTAGGGTTTTCTAGGTATATAATCATATCATCAGTGAACAGCCTTTGCCCATTTTTAATTGGTTTTTTTTGGATCCTTTTATGATTGAGTTGTGAGAGTTCTTTATATACTCTAGATACAAGATCCCTATAGATAGATTATTTGCAAATATCTTTCCCATTCTGTCGGTTGTCTTTTTACTTTCTTGATGTCCTTCAAAGTATGAAAGTTTTTAATTTTGAAGTCCATTCATCTATTTTTTTCTGTGCTTTTGGTGTCATATCCAGGCAGTGGTGTCAGGAAACCACTGCCTAACCCAAGTTCACAAAGACTTAATCAGTTCATATGTTTCCTTATAAAACTCTAAGAATTTTATACTTTTAGCTCTTACGTTTAGGTCTGTATTCCATTTTGAGTTTATTTTTATATGTGTGTGAGGCGGGAGTCCAATTTCATTCTTTTACATGTGGGTATCTAGTTGTCCCAGCACCATTTGTTGAAAAGACTATTATTTTCCCCCATTGAATTGTCCTGATAACCTTGTCAAAACTCAGTTGACCATAAATGTAGGTGCTTATTTCTATATTTCCAGTTGTATTCCTTTGATCTATATGTCCGTCCTGTGCCAGTATTACACTGTCTTAATTACTATAGCTTTGTAGTAGTTTGGAAATCAGGAAGTATATTCCTCCAACGTTGTCCTTTTTCTAAATTGTTTTGGCTATTCTGTATCTCTTGCATTTCCATATGAATTTCAGGATCAGCTTGTCAGTTTTTGCAGAAAAACAACAACAATATGGATTTTGATAAGGATTGTGTTTAATCTAGATGAGTTGGGACATTCCATGTTCATGGACTGAAAGACTTAATATTTTAACAGTAAGTCTTCCAGTCCATGAACATGGAATATCTTTTCATTTACTTAGGTCTTATTTGAGTTCTTTCAACAGTGTTTTTAGTTTTCAGTGTTTAATTCTTACACTTTAAAATTTAATGGTAAGTAATTATTTTCAAAGCTATTATAAATGGAATTGTTTTCTTAACTTTTGGAATGTTTATCACTAGTATGGAAAAATGCCATTTTGTTTTATATATTGATCTTGTATCCTGCACCCTCGCTGAATTTATTACTTCTAATTGTTTTGTATGTATGTGGATTCCATAAGATTTTCTATATACACAATCATGTCATCTGCAGTTAGAGATCATTTTACTTCTTCCATTCCAATCTGGATGTTTTTCTTTTTTTACCTAATCGTCTAGCTAGAACTTCTAATACAGTCATGCACCACATGATGTACATGATGGACTGCATATATGACAGTGGTCCCATAAAACTATAATATCCTATCTTTACTATACCTTTTTTATGTTCAGATACACAAATATTTACCATTGTGGTACAGTTGCCTGAAGTATTCAGTACAGTAACGCACTGTACAGGTTTGTAGCCTAGAAGCAGTAGGCTATACCGTATAGCCTAGGTGTATAATAGGATATACCATCTAGGTTTGTGTAAGTACACTTTATGATGTTTGCACAATGACAAAATCTCCTAACAACACATTTCTCAGAATATATGTCCAACATGACTCTACATGTTGAATAGAAGAAATGAGAGTGAGAGTGAACATTCTTACCTTGTTCCTGATCTTAGGGAGAAAGCTTTCAGTGTTTCATCATTAAGCATGATGTTCGCTGTGGGGGTTCTGGTAGATGCTCTTTATTAGGTTGGAAAACTTCCCTTCGATTCCTAGTTTATTGAGTGTTTTTATCATGAAAAAGGTGTTAGATTTTGTCAAATGCTTTTTCCGCATCTATTGAGATGACCATGTGATTTTTGTCTTTTACTCTATTAGCGTGGTGTATTACATTTATTTGTGTATGTTTAATCAACTATATTCCTGGAGTAAATCCCACTTGGTCATGGTATGGAATCCTTTATCTATGTTGCTGGATTATTACATCACAGGATCACAATTAGGCAGCCAGGTTCATAGCAGAACAGTAATATTGAAAACAGCAGAGCCAGAAACCTAGGACTTGGGAGTGTGGTTAAGCAAGCTGTGATATATCGTATATGATAGAAGTGCATGTGGCCATGGGTAGTGACAAGAATGTGACTCAGACCATTTCCTATTTAGAAATGATCCCATAAACATGTCAAGGAGTAACCATGCATCCAGGAGAATAGGCATATACCAATTACTTATAACTGGATACCACTGCATATGTGCAATTAACAAAAAACTAGAGAAGTATGTGGAGGACACATCCAGGAACTGGGAACCTGGGATTATGTCCAGCCCTGCTGCTGTTTTCTCTGTGATCTTGGGCAAATCTTTTCTTATATCCGAGCTTCAGTTTCCATGTCTTACAGTGAGGGGTTTGATAATTTGGTACTTTGTGTCACACATGGCTTTGGTTTTGTTTTGTTCATTTCATAAAATTTCTAGTAAATATACTTAAAAAATGCAAACTTTGCGAAAGTGAGAGAGTATGAGGAGTTTTTGGCCACTTGGGGGGTGTAGCTGGTACTCCCTCCCTTCCCTCCATATCAGCTAGAACTCTGTGGTTGTGTGCAGGGAGTAGGTGTGGGGTTCCCAGCCAGGCTTGGGATCCAGTGCTTCCCATTTCCAGAGAGTTTGCTCCATACCACACACTGTGCTCAGCTCTTCCTGGATTAGCTCTTGTTAGTCTTACCAGCAATAGTGTAATGTCCATATGATTACCTTAGTTTTTCTAAATGATGAAAATGAGGCTTTGCAAGCATAGATAGTTGTCTAAGGAGGAGCCAGGATTTTAACCCAGGCCTGAGTCCCAATGGCCACATTCTGCTGTTACCCACCACACTCTAGTTCTCATCTCGTTCCTCAACAGGCCTCTTACCCTTCCAGGTAACACACTGTCCCCTTTGTGCCCACAGCTGACAATGAAAACAACATTGCCTCCAACCAGTCCCGATCGCCACCTGCTGTTGTAGAAGAGAAGTGGAAACCTCAGGCCCAGAGGAACAGTGCCAATAACAGTAGGTCTCCCCAAGCAGGGCTGGACCTGAGGGTCCCCTTATGCTCCAGTTGTTCCTCTCTGCCCCCCATTCCCACCATTTGTGCTTCCTGTGATGTTGTAAGATGATGCATGATAGTTTCCAAAGCACTTTTACACCTAAGACCTTATTTGCAGGAGTTCTTAACTCAGGGGATGGGCAGAAGGAGGCCCAGGGAGAGGAGGTGACTTTTTTTGTGGTCAGAAAGCACCAATTTGTGGCAGAATCAGAACTAGAACCCACCTCTCCACAATTTCTGCTGGTTGCTCTTTCCTGACATGATGATCCCATGTATCTTATTTCCTGAAGATTCCCATATTAGAGGAGATTCCTGTATTGAGGAAGAAATTAGACTAGTTGGCTTCAAAGATCTAGGGGAATGACATAGACCGCAATTATGTTGCATACATACCACTACATTCTATTCCCATGCTCATGGCAGGCCTTACTAATCAATCATAGAACTTTATCCCTGTGAGACCATCATATATTAAAGGCAGCCAGCACCACCCATGTGTGTGCAAGAGGAAATATATTTGCCATTCCCAATACTAGATGTTTAGAGTGTTAGGCTACTGCCACTCCAAGCAGCCTTGAATGCCAGAATTAATCCCATCTGTCTTTGTGTCCTCTGCCAGCCACTACCAGTGGTTTAACACCCAACAGCATGATCCCCGAAAAGGAGCGGCAGAACATCGCAGAGCGGCTGTTGAGGGTCATGTGTGCCGACCTGGGTGCACTGAGCGTGGTCAGCGGGAAGGAGTTCCTGAAGTTGGCCCAGACCTTAGTAGACAGTGGTGCCCGCTATGGGGCCTTCTCGGTCACTGAAATCCTGGGCAACTTCAACACGCTGGCGCTGAAGCACCTGCCACGCATGTACAACCAGGTGAAGGTGAAAGTGACCTGTGCCTTGGGCAGCAATGCCTGCCTAGGCATCGGTGTCACCTGCCACTCCCAGAGTGTTGGCCCTGACTCCTGCTACATCCTCACAGCCTACCAGGCCGAGGGCAACCACATCAAGAGCTATGTGCTTGGTGTGAAGGGTGCGGACATTCGCGACAGCGGTGACCTTGTGCACCACTGGGTGCAGAACGTGCTGTCGGAGTTCGTGATGTCGGAGATCAGGACAGTGTACGTGACGGATTGCCGGGTGAGCACGTCCGCCTTCTCCAAGGCCGGCATGTGCCTTCGCTGCTCAGCCTGTGCCTTGAACTCGGTGGTGCAGAGCGTGCTGAGCAAGCGGACACTGCAGGCCCGCAGCATGCACGAGGTCATCGAGCTGCTCAACGTGTGCGAGGACCTGGCGGGCTCCACGGGCCTGGCCAAGGAGACCTTCGGGTCGCTGGAGGAGACGTCTCCACCACCCTGCTGGAACTCGGTGACGGACTCACTGTTGCTGGTGCATGAGCGCTATGAGCAGATCTGCGAGTTCTACAGCCGGGCCAAGAAGATGAACCTCATCCAGAGCCTCAACAAGCACCTGCTCAGCAACCTGGCGGCCATCCTGACGCCGGTGAAGCAGGCAGTCATCGAGCTGAGCAACGAGAGCCAGCCCACCCTGCAGCTGGTGCTGCCCACCTACGTCAGGCTGGAGAAGCTGTTCACGGCCAAGGCCAACGACGCAGGCACTGTCAGCAAGCTCTGCCACCTCTTCCTGGAGGCGCTCAAGGAGAACTTCAAGGTGCACCCGGCCCACAAGGTGGCCATGATCCTGGACCCGCAGCAGAAGCTGCGGCCTGTGCCACCCTACCAGCACGAGGAGATCATCGGCAAGGTCTGTGAGCTCATCAACGAGGTGAAGGAGTCCTGGGCCGAGGAGGCCGACTTCGAGCCCGCTGCCAAGAAGCCCCGCTCTGCTGCCGTCGAGAACCCCGCAGCTCAGGAAGATGATCGGCTAGGCAAAAATGAAGTGTACGATTACCTGCAGGAGCCCCTCTTCCAGGCTACCCCTGATCTCTTCCAGTACTGGTCGTGCGTTACCCAAAAGCACACAAAACTCGCCAAGCTCGCCTTCTGGCTCCTGGCGGTTCCGGCCGTGGGCGCCAGAAGCGGGTGTGTAAATATGTGTGAACAAGCGCTTCTAATCAAACGGAGGCGGCTGCTCAGTCCAGAAGATATGAATAAACTCATGTTTCTGAAATCCAACATGCTTTAAGACTTGACTTCGGGGGAAAAAAAAAGAAAAAGAGAAGATAACATTAGAAAAAAACCACACAACACTGTCACAAAGAAAAGGAATTTAAGTTCTAAACACTGTGGACCTCATTATAAATGCCCCCTGGAAACTTAAGTGCTTTTTTTATATGTGTGTGTGTGCGTGTATGTACACAGCCACACGTGTGTGCACGTGTCTGAACACGTGCTGTGGTTGTGGGGGTGTGGGGGGGTCTCTGTGCTCATCTCCATGGCCAGAGAAACTTTGCACACACGCACACACACACACACACACACACACACACACACGACCCTGGTGCGTGTACATACGCCTGTGCTTGGACGGGTGTGCATTGAACTGGGCGTGTCAGGAAAGCTGAGCGATTGGGAAAGAGGGAGATGTTTCACCTCCTTTTCTCAGTAAGGGGGCTTTAGAAGACTCCGCTTTCAGGTGTGCAGATTGGCAGAAAGCTGATGTTGTGAAATGTTCAGGCAGCTGAGATCTGAAGTGACTTGACGCTCTCTGTCCTTCACCCCGGTCCTCCTTTTCCCTCTTTGACCCTCTTCCAGCCCTCCTACCCTCCTGATCCCATTGTGCACCCCCCCACACACTCGGCTGCTCTGCTGTGGACTCTCCACACTGCATCAGATGGACGGTTTCTGCACTGGACTTTGTTTCTTGTTCACCTTCAGGGCATTGAGCTGCTGCCTTTGAGATACCCCTTGGGTGTCCCGGGGCAGCCGCCTTAGAAACACACCTATCTATCTCCCCAAATCAGGAAAGGAGACTTAAAGAGTATAAAGCTGACATTTTGCTTTTTAATATAAGAGAGGAGAAAAAGACATTTTTCAGAGAAGTATAGATACTGTCTCCACTCCCTAATAATTTCTCTCCCTAACATTTTAGCAATTTTTACCTTGTTTGGGGGTTCATTTTGTTTCTTCAGATTTGATTTAGACTCTGCTAGGAGGCACTGAATGTCTATAACTTATGTTTTGGAGTTTTGTTTTTTTACTTGCCCCTTTTGTTCCTCAAGTCACACTGTAAACTAGCTCATCTCTGTGGTGTACTCAGTATCCTACAGTCTTTCTTGGCCTTCCCTGTACAGTTCAGTTTTCACATATTCGAACGGCCAAGACCAGGTTCTTGGCTGTGCTATTTGGAGACCAGGCGTTGGGGAGGATTCACGGGTTCCACAGCTGCGGGGTTTGGTGGCCGTAGGGGAAGCAGTGGTTTGGGAGTTCTGAATGTAAGCGCCAGAGCTGCCCTCCTGGTCCGCTGTGCGTGGTACCCAGTGTGCATCACACTACTCACCCCCTCCCGGACCCTGGCAGTCCACAGCGACTCCGAAGTCAGCCCATAGTCACATCCACCACACCTCAGACCTGCCACAGCCTCTCCTCACTTCCCAGGACCCTGAGGCTTCCAGGAGCTCTGCTGCCCACAGCCCTCGGGGTCCTCACTCACACCTCCGACTTCCAGGACGGCAGTGAGCATGGTGCCTTGTGGCCCCAACAGTTGATGTTCCGAGGGTGGGATGGTGTTTGGCCATGTTCGACTCGATGCTGTGAAAGATGTCTTCAGGCTTTTCTCTCCTGTTCCCCCAGCTGTGAGCAAATTAGGTTCTACACACACAGTTCGGATGCCAAGGGTGACACCCCATTCCCTTCACAAGAGGCGGTTCTGTCACAAATCAGCACTCCACCCCCACCACACCTCTCAGTGAATGAAGTGCTGGTGGTCTCACTCCCCTGGTGACCCTTAGCCGTGGGATGGGGTGGTTACACTAAGGCTTCAAGCTGAGAATGGCCATCATGGCGGGAGGCTGTTTGCAAAGGCACCTTCTGTCATCCTGGGGTTGGCTAAGTCAACTCCACCCCTTCCCAATAATAAAGCATCACTCAACTGTGAGATACCTCGACTACAAAAAGCACTGTACCACAGCCCTCTCCCCCTGGGTCCATGACAGGAGCAGGGAGTAAAGTTGATTGCAAACCTCATGAAGGCTTAGGATCATGGACCTGGAACATAGTGTTTGGGGGCCAAGCCTGCACACTTTGCCTCATGAGAACTCACCCAGCTCTCCCCTTGAAACTTGGACACACTGAAATGGATCAAAGTGGGCCATTTCCACATTTGCTCCAGCAAACTGTGGTCTCAGGAACTACCATGCCATTTCCTCTCCTGGAGAAGTTCTAGGTATTACCTCCACAACATTTCCAACTGGGGGACTGAGCCCACTTATCAGAGAAGAGCCGCCATCCACACTGGAGCAGGAACAGGGAGAAATCCAGACAGGAACCTCATGTCACTTCCTAGGGAATATGGGAAGAAACATCAGCAGACTTTATGATGTCAGTTGGGCCTTTGGAGGCATTCTGGAAGGTGGCCTCAGCATCACTGATGATTGACAGATGCTACAGCAAAAGGTCCCTCTAGCGTTGCTTGACTGCTGGGGAAGGGACAGTGACCGGCACTTTGACCCACACAAGGATAGGAGCTGCCTACTTTGTGTGGTAGGTGAGAGCAGAGCCTGGGAGCCCATCCTCCCTCTACTTGGAGCAAAGTTGTGCTGGTGATGCCCCATTATTGGGCCAGTTGATTAGAAAATAGGCATTTCACTTTCTTGGAAAGCCATCGGACTAAGCCCAGATGTGCATTTAGAGCACTCAGCATTCTTCTCTTTGAAGCATGGGATGTCTGTCCTCCAGGAAGAGATTTGATCTTAGGTTGTTACCTCCCTTTCACTTCTTTTCCACCTCAATTCAATACTTAGGGGTTGGCTTGCCTCTGCAGGTTTGATGTGAATGCCACTGGGTACTCAGAAAGCTGTCCTCTGGGGCTGCCTTGTCCAGTTAGATAACAAGATAGCAGATGATTGTTTCTTGCAACCTCTGGTTCCCTCCGGAAACTGGTGTCACCAACAGGAAAGGCTGTACCAAGGTGCCCTCTTCTCAGACAGGCTGTTCTCAGAGTGCAAATCCTGCTGCAACTAACAGCTTAATAAAACCCAAAGATCTCACAGGTCCAGCCACTGGCCCCTTTATCTCCAACAATATCCACCTCACCAAATTCTAGTTCAGCCAAAGGATTGAGACAGGCTCTTCCAGTTCATCTCCTGGTGTCCAGCCTGACCTTCACATCTGGAAGGATTTTGTCGTCTGCCTCCCAGTTCTGGGTCCACTGTAGGTCTTTCCATCACAAGCCTTTGGGGGATCTGGGACCAGGAATTTGGGCCGTTTCTACCATATTCTCAGCAGCCTAAGGTGGTGGCCTGCTGATGTGGAGACTACTCACCTTGAGCCATGTGGTCCCCAGGACAGAAATGGCCTTTGTTTTGACATACATGGACCCAAAAGGGGAGGTGAAGAAAACACACCTCCACCTGGCAAGTTTTTCTCCCTCATCTGAGGTCAGTTGCTTCACCAACAAAGCCCAAGCCAAGAACTGCAGCGTTGAGGGTTGTCCCTCGGAGTGGAGTAGCCCAAGGAATCTCAGGTCCACCAAGAGCATTGGTACCATCTGGGCCACGGGTGGATGCCTTTGTTCTGGCACAGTTCTCCACTTCCCGATTCCTGGCTCAGCCAGCCAGGCCTCCCTCTAATGGCATTTAGTAACCAGGAAACAAAACACATGCCACCTGAGCAAAACTGCCTGCACTTCATCTCTGGAGGTTCGCTGCACAGAGGCCACCTGCCGCATCACCAGTGAGGAAGCTTTGCCACCATCCTGCTTGGCAGCTTCACACTTGACATCTGAGGATTGGTTTTTGGCTGGAAAAAGGGTACCAGGGTTTCCTGGCAAGGACAGGAGAGCAGTGCAGTGACACAGATGAGAAGCTGTGAGTCTCCAGGATTCAAGGAAGCCACCAGGTGTGCAGGCTGGGAAGAGACATCTCTTTCAGTTTGACCCTTTATCTCCTGCACTTTTAAAGAAACACCAGAGAAAAAATCTACAAGGCGTGTTTCCACTGAAGCTGAACCTCTGCCTTTAGGAGTCCCCTATATTTGAGCAAGGCCACCTGCTTCCCCTGGACTTGAGCTGGACTCCTTGAAGAGTGGGCTTCTGGAGAGATGTTAGGAATATAGCACATGCTCTCTGGGGGCCACAGGGTCATTGGGAAGGTTTGAAATGAAGATGGGATGTGGCTGGAACAGCCTGTGAGATGGCTCCATTGGGGACACTCCCCTCATCTTGTCATCACGATGGATATGCTGGAAGAGGAGGTGTCCCAGTGAGCCGCCCGAAGTTCATAGCTTTGCCCTCGCCTTGGCAACAGCGGCAATGCCTCTATCTCTGGGATGCATCTTAAGGAGGGCTCCTAACAAGGCCGATGATTTAGACAGAACAAGAGACTAAGTAAGGTCCGGCTATCCCGTGGAGCCAGTAGTAGGTGGGAGCTCCTGTCCCCGCCAGCCCTGCTCCAGCCCCCGTGTCCAGCTGGGCCAGTGGAAGAACTGGGAAGGAGGAAGCCCCTCCCTTTCACTGTGGCTAATGTTTGCTAGGCCAGTTATGGTGAACCAATGATACAGTGTTTTCCCTCTTAACGTTCCCCTCCTGGTTTTGCCTTTTCAGGGTTTTCTGGGGGATTTTGTTGTAGTAGTTGCTTTTCTTCCTCTCTCATTTGGGTTTGAGGATTGTGGTCGGGGGAGCCCTGGCTTTCACCAAAGGAGCCCAGTGGTTTCTGTGGAAGAGGCGCCCACTCCCACTTTAATGAGGGTGAAGATTGTCAGGTCACTGTTTGACATATTCATGCCCCGTCCCTTCCCCCCCCACCCCCCCGCCCACCCACCACGGGTGTCGCTTTAAAGAGTCAATTCTTGTACAGAGAAGGATTTGCTAGGTTTGCATTTGGGTGTTAGCATCACGACCCACGAGGGCCCTGCCCAACCGTGCGTCCCATGGGGCACCTTGACTCTTCAAACCAAAATTCCTTAAAGGGGCACAGCCCAGCCTTGTCCGCAACCTCAGGGGCCTGGGATTCCTGTGGCGCTTCCTGAATTCCAGGTTGGCACAGATGATGAGGTCTGAGACCAGCCGGAAGGAGGGGCTCCTGCCATAACCCAGGTGCCAGCCGGTCTCCGCCTAGGACCTTCCCTCCCGCCCAGCCAGGGTGGGCGGCATCCTACGCGGTGAAACGAGCTCATGGACTGACCCGGGGCTGGGCCTCGCCAGCCAGGAGAGAGCGAGGGCCGCACGGCAGGGCTGGCCCAGGCAGCTCGTCCAGGGCCATTCAGATCCCAAGCATCAGGAAATCATTTTGTACAACCACCCGAAGCAGAGATATTTTTTAAGAAGCGTAAATTATTTTCAGTTGTTTTCTGATCCTGCCTTTTTCTTTTCCCCACAACTTCACGCCAGTGAGTCGTTCACATCAGGTAAATCTTGAGAAAGCCTTGGTGCCCTCCTCCCCACCCCCCACTCAGTAACCACGTGCGTGCACCCCCGCATCCTTTCTCAGTAGTTAAGACGTTCTAGGCAATACCATAGACACATCTGACTGTGTCTCTCTCTTTGAGTGCAAGAAACTCAAGTCATCTTAAAAAAAAAAAAATACAAAAAAAATTTACAAAAAAACAAACACAAAAAAAATATCTTTTTTAGGCCAGAGTTTTCTACAGGTATTAATGAATATTTTTCTTAATCCTTATAAGTTTTATGTGTTTAATATTTCTTAATACCGGTAGCATTAATTTATACTTTTGTAGCAACACAATATTTTTATAAACAGCCGGTGCTTGGCTCAAGTCTTCACGAGGGGTTTAGGCAGGGCCATCTTGGGGACCCTGTGTACCATGTACTGTATTTAAAAAAAAAAAAAGTTACCTATTGTCACACTTGCTGTGTTAATTAACAAAAGATGTTGTGTGCGGTCTCCTGTATCGGTGTGGATCCAACAGCTCTCCAGGGAGTCACATTGCATGGGGGTTGAGTTGACGGTTCTTGTGATATGTAAACCCCCGAGACCAAACTTGAGGGTTTATTTAGGGTTTTCTGTTTGTCCTTTGGGTTTTTGTTTCACTTTGTTTTGGTGCCGTTTCTCCATTTACAGCCAAATCAGTTTCATGATGTTCAAAACATTTACTGATGTCAAATGGAGGAAAGGAACAGAAAAAAAGATTTTTACAAAGTAATAAAATTTAAAACTGAGCTGTTTAATGTTGCTGTTTTTACCTGTCTGTTCTTGTCCAAAAGTGGAACATTCCCAGGGAGAAGAGGAAGGTTCCACTCGGTTCTTTAAGTCGCCAAAAGCCCCAGCCCGGGATTCAGTACCTCCCCTGCCCCCCGAATTCTTGCAGCACTATTTCCCAGTTGGTTGATGCCAAGGCAAAAAGATAACTTTTAACAGTTAGAGAGGATCAGTTGCTTAAATGATTTCATGTCAGTGTTGTATTTATGGTTTTACAATAAAACAACCTTTAGGAAGATGCAGCGTATGGTGTTTTTTTTCTTGGGTTTGAGGATGGGCCATACTGTCCAGTTAGGAGCAGAGCACCTGCAGGGCCCAGGTGAGTGGAGATGGGCCAGAGACAGGGCACCTGGGGTGACAGCACACATCCATCCCAGCGGGACACTGTGTGATGCTGGCATCGTTGACTTAACTGTGGTGATGGTGGTATCAGTGACTTACCTGTGAGCTCGCAGCTCATCTCTTGCACCAGACCTGGCTCAGCCAGTGTTTGATAAATGAGGGAGGGACATGGTCGAGGAAGATGTGACCCTCCTGGGCTTGTGGAGCATTGTCCCATGGAGGAAGGGATGGATTTAGTCTCCATCCTCCAGGTCTAATGCCTCAGGCGTATGTGCAGGTTGGCCCTGCCCTGCGGTCATCGCGAGGCTCCTGTGCCCCTTTACCTAGTGGCTTTGGCCCCCTAAATGGTGTGTGTGTGTTATAACTGTTGTATGTATCATCCATGTGCTGGGGAAGAGTGTCCATGGCTTTTGCCAAATTCCTGATGGCATGAGGGACTCTGAACAAATTAGAAATCAGCGCCCTCCACCATGAGCTGCTAGAGGCCAGCCCTGGTGGGCTCACCAAGCCTGATGCCGTTCAGATGTGCAGACACCAATGTTCTTCTGGAATAGAAGCAAACCAAAGGCCAGTCAAGGGAGAAGAGAGACCAGCAGGCAAGCTGGGGCCTGAGCAGGAGGGGGTGACCACTCCTCCTAGTGGGCCCACTGTTAGAACAGCCCCTTAAGAGGTGAAGCCGCCATCCTGCCATCAAGGTGAGTGAGTGACAGACACCCCAGGCCCTGGCTTGACACCATCTTTACCAGGTGTGGGCAACTCTGCTTCAAAGTAGAGGATGTGTTACTTGATCACCTGGAAAAATTCCATCAAACCGCACGTGTAACAGCACAAAGAGCCCATTGGAGCACCAGCCCTGCCCTCAAAACCATCCTGCCTTAGGAGTTTCATGCTAAGAGAACTGTGTGGATGTTCTGAGCCGATGATTGAAGTTTAATAGAGGAGTTTCTATGTAGCCTACAATGAAGTCAGGAGTCCTGCTGTGGCCGAAGGAATCCTCCTCCACACTCTTGAACATTGCAGTCAAATAAGGCCAGGGCATGGCCCGGGAGCCCTCACAGCTGAAGGAGCAGCCTCTGGATTGAAAAAAAATGCTTTCAAAAGGGGGGGGGGAAAGATGTTTCTTTATTAAGCAGCTGCAGCTACATTTATTTTGTAATGGAAATAAATGAGTGTGCCCAGCACCTTTGAAAGAGAAATTTGAGGTGAGACTATTTAAGAATGGAGTGAATCGTCAAGGTAAGTGTGTCCACTGTGCGGAGAAAGATTCCTGGCACCTTCTGAGGTGAGCATTGTGAATTCCTCAGACTCGGGGTCACAAGGTGCCGCTCCCCCATCCGACCCCTGGGGTTTAAAAGCTAGGGTGCATTGATTTTTAAATTTATTTTTAGTGAAAAGTTATAGCAAGTGTCACAGAGTCAAATGCCCCTGGACCAGGCAGGTCGGTGAGCAGAGCTGGTTACACAAGGTGAGGCCCTTCCGGTGGGGGGGAGGGGGGGGGCATCTCTGCTAAGCCCCAGCTCATCGTTGGCATCAGGATGCCAATTATTTTTAAGAGAACTGAGAAACCCAGATTTTTATGTGGAAACTCAGTTTTCGAGTGACGAATTCAGAGCTGTGAAAAAATACCTCGGCCAGGCGTGGTGGCTCATGTCTGTAATCCCAAGACTTTGTGAAGCCAAGATGGGAGGATCGCTTAAGCTCAGGAGTTCAAGACCAGCCCAGGCAACATGGTGAAACCCCGTCTCAACAACAAAAATACAAAAATTAGCCAGGCATGGTGGCACGCGCCTGTAGTCCCAGCTACTCAGGAGGCCGAGGTGGGAGGATCGCTTGAGCCCAGGAAGTCAAGGATTCAGGGAGCCAAGATCATGGCACTGCACTGCAGCCTGGGTGACAGAGCGAGACCTTGTCTCAAAAAAATAAAATTTAAAAAAATACCTCGTGAGCAACGTTTCCTTCCACCAGCTGAAGCTGGCCTGTACACCTGCAGCTCACACCCTCCAATTTAAACATTTTATCTTTCAGTTCAAGTCACTTCAAAATATCACTCTTCAACATGGCCCCTTCAAACTGCCGTGGCTGGCTGGCCCTGGTATGGGAGGCACGTGTGGAAGGAACAGGATGTGGACACAGGATGGGAGGACCTTTGTTAGTCCCAGGCCGGAGGGCCTCTCACTTCTCCTGGACAATTGCCTGTCTCCCTGCACCTGACCCCACCTGCTTCTGCCCAGAAAGTCCAGGCCGTGACCACAGATGCTGTCCCTCAGGGCAGTCTTCTCTGTTGGAACCTGTAAGCCCCACACTTTGGATGTTGGGGGAGACAAAGGGAGGGTCTTGATGTGTCTGACCCAGGGGACTGCAAAGCTTTCAATCCTCAAATCCTTGTCTCCAGGTTCATCCCCTCAACCAGAAGTATGGAATCCCTCCTTCCTGCCTGCCTGGTCCCTCAAGCCAATGAGCTAAGGGCACAAGGGGCGAACCCAGGACTGAACTAGCCACCGGCCCTTAGGACGCTGGTCACCCACAGAGAAGAGGAGGTAGGGCCCCGCCTGGGTTTCTTCTGCCAGCGTCAGCTCTCCACTTCAGAACACACAAAGCTGGGGCCTCCAATCCCTCCACAGCCACAGCAGCCATCGGGGCTGTGGGTGGATGCAGTTAGCAAGAGATATTTATAAATCAGACGTTTGTAAAGCCTGTGTGTCTACACTGGAGTATCCTGGAGTTGTGTTCTTGGGCCAAGTTTGTCCTGAGCTGCTCTAGACAGCCCACCTACTCCCTTTCCCAAGGGTGAGGAGAAGCCAGCCCAAATCAAGGGCTTCTGGCCCTGGGCCAGGGCCCAGCAGTTGCACTGGACACAATGTGAAGGCCAGTGAGCACTCTCCTTCCAGGACAAAGGCCCAGGGGAAGGTCCCAGGGGATGGGCTCCCCAGGGCCATGCAGAGAAACAGCTGAGGCTTTCCAGCTCCGGTCAGCTGGTTCTGGGGATATGGCTGCAGCTGAAGTAAAACCCTGGGGAGATGTTTTGTACAGCAAAGGACAGGGGAATTATTTCAGGCATTTGTGGGCTGTCTGCCCTGAGCTCCTTGGGCACAGCAGGGCACAATCAATCATTTCTTCTGAGCCTGGGTCACTGATGACCCACCAAACCTCTCCCAGAGACAAGTCCCCAGAGTGTCTTCCTTTCTTTCCTAGCCTTATTACAACAAAACAAAATAATCCCATTTTACACTATTGTAAATAGAACTTTGATTTGTTTCAAAATTTGCATAGCCAACGTCATGTACTGAAGATAGTTCTATTATGTTTCCAACGCAGTTTTCACTTCTGGGGAAAGCTGGGGTTGCATATGGCCCCACCCTGGCTTTTTCTCCCCTCCGCCACCCTGTTAGTTACACTTGTGATGACAATGAACAATGAGGACACAGAATTTCAGGAGTTTACAATTTAGTTTTTATTTGGACCCAGGTTGCTTGGCGCTGCCTGCCACAGGACCCCGGGACAGACACTGGCCATCCTCTGACTTGCAGACCGGCCAGTTGTCAGTTGGAGAAGCGCAGCAGCTCCTCATCACCTGTGGACACAGAGAGACTCAGGGAGGGGTCCGTAGGCAGGGACACTCAGGGAAGGGAAAGCAGCTGTCGCCTGGGGCCAGAAACCTCTGCTTGCTGAATCATTTATCTCCAAAGGGTATTCCATGAAATGATCAGATTTTTTTTTCCTCTTCTGGTTTACCGCAGGTGCCATTTTCCAGTGGGAAAATCAAGGCACAGACATCTTCAATGGTTGCTCTTCCCTGGAATGCTATTACTGTTACCATTGTATCGTTGTCGTTATTATTAGGAGCAGTTGCTGTTAGCTGAGTACTAACTCCGCGTCAGGTACTGGGAAGGCTGGGAGGCAGGTGCTTTGTCCCATTTTACAAGAGAATACTGACACTCAGATTGGCACTTGCTCAACGTTGCAGGTGCAAAATTAGAACCCAGCTCTGCCCCACTCCTCAGTCAGCCCTGCATACCCTCTGCCAGTGCCTGGCTAATAACTCCCCAAGGCCCAATTCCAGCTGGGGTAAGGCCCCAGGCTCAGCCCCATTTCAGAGAGTAGATGGGCTGCTTACCAGGTACAGAGTCCAGAACTCAGCTCTCCAGACCCCTACTCCTCCCAGGGCTCTCCCACCTCGACTCCAACAGCCCCTCGGCCCAGCCTGGCACCCTGCAGGGCTGCCTACCATCACCAGGGACACCGCAGTACTCTCTGCACTCCTTCTCTGAGTAGAACTTGTTCCCGTTGCCCTGGCAGCCCCCGTAGGGGAAGAGGACGCACTTCCCCTTGACAGCATCAAATGCCCAGAGCTGGATGAAGGCTCGGCAGGGGCCCCGGACTATGGGGAGATTGCAGGCCGCTGTGGAGTGGAGAGAGGCATGGAACTTGAGAAACCCTTGTGACTGCTGATCAGACATACATGAGACTGCTGAGCCAGAGGGCCCTGCTCATCTAGAACACCTCATCCCTCGTTGACAGATGGGGAAACTGGGGCCCACAGGAAGAAAATGATTTGCCCGAGGTCCTCCACATCCAAAGGTGGAATTCCTAAGATTTCAGGAAACCGCCTGGAGTTCTACCACTGGAATGCCCTCTGTTAGCTACCTTTTCAATTCGCAGGTGGTTTACTGGAGGGACAGGGTCTTGAGGGTGCAGAGCGCACAGGGGTGGGGACCCGCACTCACCCACAGTTCGGCAGGTCTGCAGACACTCCTTTTCTGTGACGAAGTTGTTACCGTTGCCCATGCAGCCGCCGTACTGGAAAGTCTCACAGGCCATGGATGTACCATTATAGAAATACCTGCTGGTCATTCCCATGCAGGGACCGGCCGAGTAGCCCAGCTGGCAGGAATCTAGGGAGGGGCAGACCAGCAGCACTGACCAAGTGTTGACTGTGTACCCATTATCAGGCTGGGCACTTGATATGCGCCATCTCATTTAATTTTCACTAAAAGGATTATCAATTCTTTTTAGATAAGCAAACTGACTCTCAGAGAGGTGAAGTAACTTGGCCGGGGTCACATAGAGCTAAGATTCAAAACCCTGTCTCCAAAACCAATGCCCATTCCACTCCATGTCATGGGGAGTTACCAGTGAACCACAGGCCCACTGTCCCCCTGTATTGGTCTTGCCTGCCCCAAAACTCTGTAATAGTAGTTGATGACATATGTACCAGCACCCACACTGGCCAGCCTGACCTTTTCACCAAGTCCCACCCACCCTGCCTTTGCTCCCACTGTTCCTTGCTCCCTGGAATGCCACCCTCCATAAAACTTTACCTGGATGCCTGGACACAGTGTGAATTCCCCTTTATCCATGAAGTCCTCCTGATCCCCTCACCCCTCCAACGTCTCAGCTCCCCCTGCCCTTTAGCTGACCCTTCCTTTTGGGCCCATCACCTACTCCCTTGGATGCCTTCCCCACTAGACCAGAAGTTCCAAAATGACACAAGTGGTCTGTGTGACCCTAGTGCCCAGCACAGGGCCTGGGGCGGAGCAGGGTTCAGTGTTTGTTTGCTGATCGAGTTGGAGAGGAAGTTGTTATGTCATGGACACTGTCAACTACACAAAGCATTCACATGTCCCTCCCCGACTTCCTCCTACAAGAGCCCTGATGTTTAGCCCCACAGGCTATTATCCCATAATATGGATGAGGAAACCAAGGCTAGGAGGCCACACAGTCATACAGACAGGGCAAGAACCAGCTTCTCATCATGGAGTTGACAGTTCTCAAGCCCAGGACGATGCCTCATGCTCTTCTCTCTGCCCCCACAACCCCTGGCAGAGTGCAGAGTACTTGATTTGCCTTTTCTCAGTCCAGCCCTTGAGTCTCTAACAGATAAAGAGACTGCACTGATAAGAGTAGCCAGGGTGAGCCAACTGTGGGCCCTTCCTTTCTGGAGTATGGCAGAGGGGGTGAAAAGGCAGGTGTTCATTACCTTCTTTCTTGGTGACTTCAGTTACCAGTTGCCCACCCCCTGATCCTTCCTCTTCTTGGGGTAGCACAGCCCTCCGGACTCTCTGCGGGGGAGAGAAAGAGAAGAAGCAGTTGCAGACTCCTTGCCGCTATTGCTTTCCTGTACCCCTGGAATATATAAATGAACAACTTGCTTTGGGAATCAGGGTAGGTAGGAACACAGCTCTTAGACTGGTTAAAGGAGACTGTTTTCCCAAAAGTGTCAACCTGAATTCCTGAACAGGCATCAGAGGACAGATTTCTGGTCTGAAATGAAATTTAAAACCATGAGGTATGACAATAGCCCCATATCCAACTCCCAGTTGAAGTGCCTAAAGGAATATAGTAATGAAAAGGTACCTCCCAGAGTTGGAAACCAGGGGAGAGCAGCACCCTCACACTAAAGATGTGAAGGCATTGTTGCACAACAGAGCACAGGTGCAACTGGTTTACAGGAAGGGCTGACCAGATCATCATTAGCTGCTTGCAGAAAAAAAAAAAAATCCAGAGAGAAAGAAGGGACCCTGAAACTGATCCTAACTCCTTGCTGTGGTGGTGGGGACTGCAGAGCAGGGCAGGCTGCCAAAGCTGCCAAGAGGGCCTCTGGGTGTAGAGTCCTTGAGGCAGGATCCCAGGGCAATTATAGAAGAGATGAGCAGCCCTGCCCACAGGTGAGACCTGGAACTTGAGAAGGTAGCTGTAGTAATCTCAAAATTTCCCATCTCCTTTTCAGGGGCAACAAAACACTGTGAAAACTGTCAGGGACTTTCACTGTCTTCCAGACCAGTCTTAAGCTGGTGGCATATAGGCTTTCCTTGATGAGGATAGAGAAATGGAGAAAAATCGTGGGACAAGTTAAATACTGCAGCTGCCAGAATTGGGTTGGGATGAAGAAATACCCTTACTAAATGGGAGATATTCTGGATCTTCTGGAATTCAGGTTGATGGCAGTAAGAAACAGAAGAACACTTAAACCTTCCCTGAAATTCAAGATGACATGCATCCAAAAAAACAACAAAAAAAAGATGACATACATCCATATAACAGGAGCCAACAGTGATGGAAATGAATATGTGAAAGTAGAAAATTGTTGAACATTAAAATGATGTTGAATTTAACCACACCATAGAGATGATAAAGTGCAGTTTCCATGCTACAGGAAATAAATCCACATAATAGGATTTCCAGGAGAGAAAATCAATACAGAAATAATAGAAGAAAACTTTTTGAGTTAAAGAAAGATTTGAGTTGCCCAATTATAGGGAAAAAGGGAATCAGGCAAAATTAGGGAAGAGCTCCTTCTTGGACATTCCTAGGGACAAAGAATAAAGAGCCTGGTGGCCCTCAGAGTAAGTGACAGCATTTAACGACAGAAGTCCCAGAGCAATATCTGAAGGTTTTAAGAGGGAAAAGGTTGTAACCCAGGGATCCTTCACTCATCCAAGCCACTGGCCGTATGATATAACCACAGAAAGACATTCTCAGCCTTGCAAGGATTCAGACATTTGCCACCCATGTATCTTTCCTGAAAAAATTATTTGTAGAAATAGTCCCACCAATTAAGAAGGGAATCTAAATGCCAGAAATTAAAGATGTAATGTCAAAGAAATAATGATAAGGTATAAAGCCAATAAAATATAGAGTTTTACAATAAATAATTGCTAACATGGTTATGTGATTTACTGGGAATATTTAGAAACAATTTTTTTTAAAAAAAATAAAGGTAGAAAATGTAAACAATTTCAGATCATATCCACAAAAACAGGTATGGGGAAAAATCTGAAAGGATGAACATGGTGAGAAACGGGAAATAGAAGTGTGCTGTATTTCACTCTTTTGCAAGGGGAGTCATTAGCTTTGGTTTTATTCTTGACATTGATAAAGAAATACAGATTTAGTTGACATCTGGATTAAAAGAGCAGATTGAAACTCTCCTCTAGAGTTCTCCCCCCAATACCTAACATTTAGCAAAAAAAAAAATGAGTTTAAAAGCATAGCCCCAGCCCCCAAATTGTCATCAGTGTCACTCAAGGAAAGGATCCCAACTTAAAGCCAAAAACTTTAAAACTGGCAACCAAGGAAAAAAACACAAGACATTTTGGAACCGAATAGAATGGCTCAGCTGTGCCCTGCAACCTCCAGGCCTGGTATGTCATCAGATTTATTATTCTTCCTAATACTTCTAAATCCAGAAGGAGAAAACTGAGGGGCACCCCATCCCTTTCCTTTCCTGACAGAGGAGTAGTGAACATGCCTTTTGGAGAGAAAGGAGTAAAAAGCAAAAATGGAGTTCACAGAATGGGAGGAATGGTAGTAAAAGTTCCAGGGCTATACAATTGAGTGCTCCAGGACATGTTGTCGTAGGATGGATTATATCACACCAGCCCACCTAGGGATAATGAGCCCCATCCAGAACATTCAGCAGTCCTTCCAAACAGAAGCAGAGGAAGGATGTTATGGATTGAACTGTGACCCCCAAAATTCATATACTGGGGTCCTAACCCCCCAGAACCTCAGAATGTGACCTTATTTGGAAATCAGATTGTTCAGATGCAATTAATTAAGATGAGGTTATTAGGGTGGACCCTAATCCAATATGAGTGGTGTCCTTATAAACGGGTGATTCGCACACATAGAGAACTCCCTGTGAAGATAAAGGTGGGAATTGGGATGATGTTTTTAACAAGCCAAGGAACACCAGAGACTGCCAGCAAACCACCAGAGGCCATGGGAGAGACACGGCACAGATTCTTTCTCGAAGCCCACAGAAGGAACCAACCCTACCAACAACTTGATCTTGGACTTCTGGCTTCCAGAACTGTGAGACAGCAAATCTGTGTTGTTTAAATCCCCAGCTTGTGGTTCTCTGTTACGGCAGCCCCCGGAAACACACAGACAGTATTCAGACCCGCATGTGCACCTCGGGGCAGTTCATTACCCCACCCCCACCCCCACCCTCACCATTCCCTTGGACTTTACAAAAGTTGATGAACATAAAACACCCAGATCTTACACTAAAGTAGGATGGGGCTAGGGGGAGGTGGGATTGGGCTCAAATTTGATGGGAAGAGGACCAAGGAGTAAATGACACCTCCCATTGTACCAGAACAAACAGAAAGTCTGGATAAAGCTGACGAAGAAGAAGCAAGATGAAGATAAATGGTACAGAAACTACCCAAACCCACCTCAGAAGTGAATAAAAAAATAAATAACCTGAATAAGAGAAAGAGCCCAGCTGTGGTGGACACCTTAATAAACTACCTGGATTTCCCTCAGCAATGGATGTACTTTCTCAGTCGCTGGCAGTGCTACTGTCAGACAGCCCCCAGGGGTCAGCCCCTTTTGGGGACTGTGGCAGCTAAAGGAGCCATCTTACCCAAGGTCATGCGCACCTCCCAGACTGATCAACACAGGGGTATTAGGGCTCAGCCCCTTTGCAGCATCTTGGGACGTCTCTGAAATGTCAGAGGTCCCTGTAGTGTTGGCTGAGGCATTGTAACTGCATCACAGCTGGACTGCTTCCTCTGCCCTATCCTGCCTTCATGTCTTCTCCCCTACAGGTGTTGGTCCTGGGGAACCCAACCTGTGATACCAGAAGAAAACAGAACTCAAGAAACAGAAGGAAATTCCTCAATGCCTTCAAGCTATAGAATTACTTAATCAGAACATGCATTTATGTGCACGTGTGTGTGTGTGTGTGTGTGTGTGTGTGTGTGTGTAGAGATGGGGTCTTGCTATGTTGCCCAGGCTGGTCTTGAACTCCTGGCCTCAAGCAGTCTTACTGCCTCAGCCCCGCAGAATGCTGGGATTATACGCATGAGCAAAAACAACAGAATAAGATGAAAAGAGAAAATCCAAGCCTACAGAAACAAATTGAGAACCAAAACAACATAATTCAGAACCAGCAAATAAATTAGAAATAGAAATAGCAAGGAACAGAATGAAATGACGGTCTGCACAAAGGAATGACTGCTAAAAATGCAATGAATGTCATAGGAGAGAGACTAGTGATAATCCCAGTGAATGCAGATGGAAACGACAAAGAGATGAAAGCGACTGGGAAGAAACTAATAGATGTGGAAGGCAAAGATGCTCCTGGATGAGAGAACAAGTGTTCCCGAGGTAGCAAAACCCAACAAAAGGAAGGAAGATAAACTCAATGATATCAAGAGAGATTTCCCTCAAACACAGAAGAAATGTAATCTGTATATGAAAAGAGAACATTGAATTCCAGGATGTGTTGTTATTATTATTATTATTATTTTGAGACAGAGTCTTGCCCTGTCACCCAGGCTGGAGTGCAATGGCGCGATCACGGCTCACTGCAACCTCTGCCTCCCGGGTTCAAGTGATTCTACTGCCTCAGCCTTCCAAGTAGCTGGGACTACAGGCCTCAGCCACCACACCCAGCTAATTTTTGCATTTTTAGTAGAGATGGGGTTTCACCATGTTGGCCAGGATGGTCTCGATCTCCTGACCTCTTGATCTGCCCGCCTCACCTCCCAAAGTGCTGGGATTACAGGTGTGAGCCACTATGCCTGGCTCAGGATGTATATTTTAAATAGAGACAAGGTCTCACTGTTGCCCAGGCTAGAGTGCAGTGGCACAATCATAGCTCACTGTAACCTAGAACTCCTGGGCTCAAGCAATACTTCCTCCTCAGCCTCCCGATTTGCTGGGACTACAAGTGCCACCCACTGAGCTGGCTAATTTAAAACAAACAAACAAACAAACACACTTTTTGTAGAGATGGAATCTCACTATGTGGCCCAGACTGGTCTCAAACTCCTGGCCTCACGTGATCCTTCTGCCTCACCTTCCCAAAGTGCTGAGATTACAGGAATGAGCCACTGCACCCAACCCCCAATAAATTTTTAAATAGAATTTTCAACATCAAGACAGGTTTTGTTAAGATGTTGATTTTAATGATAAAGTTTTCCCAGGCATCTGAACAGAAGAAATAAATTGCCTACAAAGAGAAGAAATATCACACGGGTCTCGGGCTTTTTCATAGCAATAATCGGCGCTTGAGAACAATGGAGTAACATATACAAAGTTCTAAGGGAAGGAACACGCGACCCAAGACTGTTGCACCCAAGCAAAATGGCATCAAATATGAAGGAAACTGACTGACCTTCTCAAACATGGGAGAATTCATGGACTGAAACACCCATGAACCCTCCTCAAAAACACCACCTGGCAAAGAAATGGCACTAATTAAGAGAATAATAGAAATAAATAACTCGGGAACGGAGAAGCTGTGGTTATATTCACTACAGGTAAGAACAGAATCCACTAAAGTATAGAACTACTTCTAAAAGATGGGATTATGGAGACAGAGAAGACGGGAATGGTATCGATCTAGACAATTTAAAAGACAAAAGAAATTTTCGAAGAGTTGCCACAGAGTTTCACTCTCAAAGGGAGTGCTCCTGTCTGTCTTTCAAGTCACGGAGATAATAAATATACTCTTTAAAAATATACAGTGATGGCAGCCTCTTAAATGTCTTTTCACAACCTTGACTTTAGAAGAATCTTTAGGACATAAATCCTCTCATGACTAAATATTCATTTGAAGATCAAGAAGTCCACTTCAGTTTCTTTAAACAAAAAAAAAATCAAAAGTCCAGGCACAGTGACTCACGCCTGTAATCCCAGCACTTTGGGAGACCAAAGCGGGTAGATCTTCTGAGGTCAGGAGTTCAAGACCAGCCTGGCCAACATGGCAAAACTCTGTCTCTACTGAAAAAAAAAATACAAAAATTAGCCAAGCGTGGTAGTGGGCACCTGTAATCCCAGCTACTCAGGAGGCTGAGGCAAGAGAATCACTTGAACCCGGGAGGCGGAGGTTGAAGTGAGCCAAGATCATGCAGCTGCACTCCAGCCTGGGTGACAGAGTGGGACTCTGTCTCAATTAAAAAAAAAAAAATTCAAGTAAAACCACAATTAATGCTTTTAAAAATTAGAAATAGCACTTGTAATATAATCCCATTTAATAACAGTATATCTAAATTTGATCATCCATTTGTCCTTTTTTCTATAAGTCCTTTTATCCATATGTGTGGCAAGATTCCAGAAACTGTGTGACTGCTGATAGTTTTGAGGTGGTGAGATTAAAAAAAAAAAAAAAAAAAAAAAACCTTTACTTACCTTTATACTTTTCTGTGTTCCTCTAATTCTTTATAATGACCATTTATTAGTTTTGTAAGATCAATGGTCATTTTCTTTTAAAATATAGGAGCAAATATCTAATGTGTTAACTGTTAATTCTACATAGGAACAAGGACATTTTGTCTTTTGTGGGGGGTTTATAGTTTCGCAATTTTCAAGAATATTTTTCCAAATAAATATCACATATATTTATATATATACACATATATATATACACACACAGATATATACCCATGTACATACATACATACATTAGTAGAATAGGATATATAATTTTCCAAATAATCAGAGACAAGAGAATGAAGAAAGTGTAACTGATGTGGCAAAATGCAAGAAAATAAAAGAGAAGCATAGGAAAGCCCCAAAATCAGAAGGCAACATAGGAAAAGAGAAGGCTTGAGAAGCTGCTTGTTCTCAGGTTTGCTGATTTTTAGGGAAATCAATTGATTTCTTTTCATGCTGAATATCATTATTTCATTATTGAGGATTGTTATTTCATTATTGAGTGTTTTACTTCTTTTAGATGCTTTTAGGCACTGTGCTAAGAACTTTTCTATATGTCATTAAATTCTGCCACAAGCCCAGAAGGTAATTGTGATTATCCTGTTTTGAAGATGAGACAAGTGAGGTCCAGATGGATTGGCAACTAGTCCAGGTGGCAGAATCAAGATGGAGCCCCAGTGAGTCTGACTTCAACACTCATGGCCATCGCTGCCTTCTCTCACCCCCTCCCCATGACTCTGCCTCCCCCCGCAGCAGGATCAAGTGTGCAGCGTGCCTGGGGCAGAGTGGGGTGGGATGGGGTGGGATGGGGTCGGGGGATGAGGCACTCACCGGGATTAAGATGGGCTCTGGTTCCTGCTCCCCAGGGACACATTCACCTAGGTCACAGAGCAGGAGAGAGGAGTGAATAACAGGACCAGGCCCAGGGGCCATCCTAGACCCGGATTTGTATCTTTGGTGAGCATCGTGCTGGGAACTTGTCGTGCCTTAGTCCACTTCATGAATGGTCCTGCCTGTGTGGCTTGCTCAAGGCCATTCACTGGAAAAGCAAGAGACTGGTGGCTGCACCATCATTACCATCTATCCACTCCACCCCACCCCACTAGCATCATTTTATCAGCATCATGGAAAGAATAGCAATAGCTAACACTGACTGAGCATTTATGAGCACAGTGCTATTGTACTTAATGGTTTTATTGCATTGCCTTTTACAGCAACTTCTAAGGAAGGTGTTATTATGCCCAATTTACAGAGGAGGGAAATGAGGCTCTGAGAAGTTGACTAGCCAGAGGCCACACAGCTCAGTTCGAACCCAGGTGCTCTTGATGGCAGCAGTGGGCCATCCGGAGTGGCCGCGGCCATCACACTGGCTGCAGTGGGGAGGCACGAGCACTGGTGGTAGCAGTGACTGCGGAAGTGGCAGTGGTGGAGCTGGGACCCCTGTGGCTCCCACCCCTGAGGCAGGCAACTGTGCCACCCCCATCCTTATGCAGCCAGGTAGACCCCACTCCCAGGCCCAGAGCCTCTGTTGCTCCACACTCTGGCTCCACCTTGCCATCCTCGCCCACCATCACTGCGGAGAGGTCATGGGGAGGAGGCTGACAGCCCCCGGAGCCCACCTCTGGGAGCCCCTGGAGCCTGCCACCCTGGCGGCCGTCACGATGGGGCTGGGCTGAGTCACCTGCCAGCAGGGGAGCAATACAGTTGGGCAGAGAGGGCCCCTGAGGCAGAGCTGGGCCCAGGGCAGTGCTGCACTTGCACACAGAGCATGGGGCTGGGCCTGGGGCGTGGAGCTGGGGCGTAGCCTTGGGACCCTGGGGTGGGAAATGGGAGTGGCGTCCGCTTCAGGGACCCAGCCAGTGGCATGGCCACCAGGCCCACCCCACTAAGGGCACCAGGTTCCTGTGCCTTGGGAGGAGGCTGTGTGTGAAGCCACCAGGGGCCATGTCCCCAGGGTCCACCCCACATTGGGGTGACTGTCAAGCCTGATACTCTGGATGGCTGGGCCTGGGGCCTGCAATCCATTCCTGGAAGCACCCCTTGGGCAGGGCTGCGAGCCAGGCAAGGGGAGCCTCAGGCCACCCCTGAGTGCTGGGGCCATGGAGGGAGCTTGCCACGATGTCACCCCAGCCCCAGACACCAGCCTGGGCCCAGCAAGGGCCCACAGCCCCTGCCTCAGGCTGCAAAGGGGTGTGGCTGGGGCTGCACACCCCATTGAGCTGGTGGGAGCTGGGCACAAGTGGGAGCCCTGCCCCTTCTGAATTGGTGGGATAGGAGCTCCCCAGGTGCAGCAGCAGCCGCCCTGCTGTGGCTGTGGACCCAGGCATTTCTGCACTCTCAGGGCCCAGGAAGGTCCCCTGCCCACCACAGACTCTAGGATGCCTGCTCCCACTGCCTGGCTTCTCTCTGCTGTTGGTGCCTGCTTTATTTTGGAGCAAGATCAGGGCTGAGCCAGGGTGCTGTTGCAGCCTGGACAGGTATGCACATGCTCAGGGCAGTGCTGACGTGCCAGCTCCCAGCTGCCTCAGCCCCCTCCAGACTTTGGGTGCCAACAAGCGTGGAAGGGAGGCCGAGTGGGGGCTGATGGCAGCCTGACACTGGCCTGCAGGCGCCCCTTGGCATGAACAGCCTGGGTGCCATGAATAGCAGCAGGAGGCTGACAGGCTCCTGAGTGGAAGGAGGCTGGTCCCCAGTGAAGCCCCACTTTCAAGCTGGGGAGGGCCTGAAGCCTGGGGCCTGGGCCACCAGTCCTGTGAACCAGATGGGGAAGTTGGGGTGCTTTTCCCTGGGCCTACCCATGGCCGCCCATGGGCCAGTCAGTACAAACTTGCGTACAGAGCACCCATAAAAACCCCAGACTCAGCCAGATTCGAACAGAGGACAGAGAGACAAGGGGAGACAATGGGATGACTTGCCTGCAGAGAGGAGACACACACTCTAGGGCCTCCTCTCTGCTGAGAGCTGCAGCCTCAGCAGATGACCTGCCTGCAGAAAGGAGCTTCCCATTCCAGGGTCTCCTCTCTGCTAGGAGCTGAACACTCATCAGAACACCCTGGCTGCAGAAAGGAGCTGCCCACTGCAGGTCCCCTCCAAGCTGTTCTATTGCTCAGTAAAGCTCCCCTTCATCTCGCTCACCCTACATTTGTCTGTGTACCTCATTCTTTCTGGTCACAGGACAAGAACTTGGGACCCACAAAATGGCAAGGCTAACTGTAACACAAACAGGGCTGAAACATGCCCTTTGCTCACCACATTGCAGGTGAAGAGAAGGAGAGAAAAGCTGCAGCCCTTTGGGGAGCCCAGACCTGGGAGCTCCACCAGCCAGGACTGTAACTCCCTCTTTGGGGCCCTGCAGTTCTTGGCATCTCCGAGCTTCCAAGCACCACTCCATTCCCTGGCGCCAGCTGGGAAATCTGCTTGTGGTGCACCTGGTCCAGCCATACCCTTACAGAGTGCTGGCACCATGCCAGCACCTGGAGCTGCCCACCCCATGGCAGCAGCCAGTATGTTTGACTGCAGTGGCTGGACCCCACCCTCACTCACACATCCCTTGCCGCTTCATGCCTGAGTTGCAGTCTCCCTTGGAGGTGTGGGATCCAGGCCAGTAGCATGAGCCAAGCACGGTCTACCAGGCCAAGTGGGTGGAACAAGCCCAGCAGGCCCAAGCAAAACTCAGGCAAAGGCACCACTGGCCACAGAGGTTTCCAGCCAGAAAAGCAATGCCCCAAAGATCCCGTAACACTCTGATTCCTGAGCCCACTTTCTTAATCCCAAAACTCTTTTGCCTCCTAAGAGGTATCTGTGGATTCTGGCTACAACCTCCCTGAGACACATGGCAGTAGAATGAACACTGAATGGGTTCTAGTCTAAGCTCTGCTAGGAATAAGCTGTGAGACTTGGAGCAAATCCACTGGCTTCCTGATTCACTATGGAGGGGAGGCTGTGGCGCCTTTTTATCTCAGAGGGTTATAGTAAGGACCCAGGGGCTGGGATGGTCTCTGGCGCCCACAAGGGACGAAGAGGGGACAGGAATTTGAGGCGGAGGGGTGCTATGTACCTCGGTCAGCCATGGTGAAGATGGAGTCCTCAGGGATGCCCACACCCTGGGCAACCACTCTGAAGTCCTGCAGGAGAGTTTCCCTCAGCTGCGGCGCCCGCCCTGCAAGGAGGAAGCAGAGGAGACGCCTAGAACCACCAGGTGCTTGGAGTGGAAGGGCCTGAAATGATTTTGCCCAGTGATTTTCACTTAGGGAAAATTTGAAAACTATTGATGCAGTTTAATCTATTTGATACACTGAAGGAAAGACAGGCTCCCAAGAGGAAGAGGGGTCTCTCCCAGGTTCCCACCCAGGTCTCCTGAGTCCCCACAAAGGACTCTTCCCCTTTTTTTTTTTTTTGAGACGGAGTCTCACTCTGTCGCCTAGGCTGGAGTGCAGTGGCGTGATCTCAGCTCACTGCAAGCTCTGCCTCCCGGGTTCCCGCCATTCTCCTGCCTCAGCCTCCTGAGTAGCTGGGACTTCAGGCACCTGCCACCACGCCCAGCTAATGTTTTGTATTTTCAGTAGAGACGGGGTTTCACCATGTTAGCCAGGATGGTCTCAATAGCCAGGATGGTCTCAATCCCTGTTTTTTTTTTTTTTTTTTTTTTGAGACAGGGTCTTGCTCTGTTGCCCAGGCTGAAATGCAGTGGCACAATCATGGCTCATTGTAGCCTCATACTCCTGGGCTCAAGTGACCCTCCTGCCTAAGCTTCCTGAGTAGCTGGGACTGCAAGCACACATGCACTATGCCCAGCTAATTCTTTAATTTTTTGTAGAGATGCTGTCTCAGTATATTGCCCAAGGTGGTCTCAAACTCCTGGCCTCAAGCAATCCTCTTGCCTTGGCCTCTCAAAGTGTTGGGATTACAGGTGTGAGCCACAGCCCCCAGTCCCCACTGGTTCTTTTAAGGGCCTGGAGGCTCTGTAATTCTCTGGGCCTGGAATTTTAGAGATCAAAAAGAGAGAATTTCACCTCCTCCAGGGAGACTCAGTGATTGTACCTTTCTCCAAATTGGAGTTTTGTCAGAAGGAAAAAGCAAAACTCCCTGTGCTTACCCACTCCACTGTCCATAAATCAATGTCCTCCCACCCTTAACTCCAATGGGCACATCTAGTAATGAGCCTTTACCGTAGAGCTTGGCAGTAATGGTGGGTCCATGATGGCGGCTGAATTTCTTGGTCAGGAAAATGGCATACTCATCATAGTTGGTGTGGACCACATAGGACTCCATGGTTATGTTCCATTCTGCATGGGAGGTGCAGGCAGACCAAAGGGATCAGTGGTCAGTAGACTCTTCTAGCTGGAGGTCCGTCACCTGTTTACTCACACATCATCTCCTCATCCATCCATCTATCCACCCATGCCTTCCATATCTCCATTTATCAATTCATCCATATTCAATCTCTCCCTATCCACCCATCTATCTCCTCCATGTACTCACATTAATTCATCCACCATCACTCAATCCATCTATCCTCTCCATACATCAATTCTCCCTTCCTTCCTTCTTTCCCCTATCACTCCATCAATTTACCTATTAGGTAACTGACTCTTTGACTCATTTATCCTTACATATATTCAGTCACCAATCATTTGTTCATTCATCCATCTATCTAGCCAAACATTCATATATTCAGCCGTAACACAATTGTTTGGCACATAGAGCATATTCAATAAACATTTTCTGAACTAACAAATAAATTAATGTCCAAATCCCTCTCTCACTTAGCATCATGCACACTGTACGTGGTAGATGCTTAGTAAATTTTTATCAGCTGATAGCAGGTGCCTAAGAAGACATGAAGACTGGCGAAATCAGCACCATCACCCTACTCTGGGCATGGGCACTGGGTGGGGGCAGGGAAGGAGAGAGGGAAGGGGAGGAGGAGAGGAGGAGAAGGAGGAGGAGGAAGAGGAGGAGTTGTTTGGGGGAAGGCTAGATGACATCTCAGCTAAATGGGAGGAAAGGTTACAGAGGCAGAGGGAGCTGAGGACATCAAGGTATTTTCAAGCAAAGGAGAGAATGCATGTGTCTCTTTCCACTCCACTTACTGGATTTGTGATAGAGAAACTTCCCATCAGTATCTGTTTTCTCATAAGCTCCAGACGTCTCCTCACAGACACCTTTCCTAGAAATGAACAAATCAAAAGGAAGGTCACTCCTGGTAGAGATCATGGTCCTGACACTCAACCCTCCTGCAGGGCTCTTTCCAAATGCCTTGGTTTTGGGGTTTTTTTGTTTGTGTGTTTTTGTTTGCTTTTTAATTCGGAAATGAACATTTCCAAATGTCTTGTTTAATCCTCACACTAGCCCTGAGAGACCCCCATTTTCCATATGATGGAGGGACAAAGAAGAAGAGACAAATCCATGCCATCCTCCTGGCAAAGCCAGCACTAATGCCGCCTTCCTTAATCAAATCTACACATTATACTGAGGCAGGAGGAGCTGGAGTGATGAATTCCTACAGTCATCCATGTATTGTTCTGTGTCTCTCTTGCCCCAGTTTTCTCATTTATAAAATGGGGATCATGATAGTTTCTACCTCACATGGTTAGTGTGAGGGTCAACTGACACATATGTAAAGAACTTGGAGGAAGCACTATATACGAATTAGCTATTATTGTTACAATGAGCACTATTTATCCAATGGATATTTATTGGGCAGCACCTATGTGGCAAGCCCTGTGCTACATGGCAGGGATACATGAGAGAGCAAGACAGACCCCATTCCCTGGGGTTCCTGGAGCTTGCAATTGCGTGGGTCAGGCAGGCAGGTGAGAGGCAGATGCAATCAGTGTGAGAAGTACCACATGGGGGTAAGTGTGAGGTCCTCTTCGGGCACAAAGAAGGGCATGTAACCTGAACCTGGGTGTCTGGGAGGGCTTCCTGGAGGAGGTGACATGAAACCTGAGTTCTGAAGAATCCACAGGAACTAATTAGCCCAGGGAAATGAGGAGAGGTGCTCCCAGTAAAAGGGACATCAGGTGCAAGGACCTGGAGGCGTGAGAGTTCCAGAACTGAAAGCAGGTTCACGTGAGTAGGACTCAGAGTACATAGCAGAGTGTGTGGCAGGAGTTCTGGGTGCTGGGAGGGTCCTGGAAAGCCACATCAAGAGTTTGAATCTTACTCCCAGGGCATTGGGGAGTCATGGAAGGGTCTCGAGCAGATGTGAGTTTTCAAAAGGTCTTTCTGGTTACTGGGTGAAGAGGGGATGGGGTGGAAGGGTGGAGGTCAGAGGTGAGGAAAGAGTAGAGAGGTTGTGGCAGACAACCAGGAAAGAAAGGGAGGTGGCTTGGACCAGGATGGTGGCAGTGGAGAGGGGAGAAGTGAACAGGTTGGGGGGGATTTAGGAGGAGAATGGGCAGGACTTGATGATGGGTGACAGGGGAGAGAGGAGCCCAGTTCCCAGGTTGGGTCCCTGGGGGGCTGAAGTACCCACACTGGGCTAAGGAATGCCCAAGGGGGAGGAGCAGTTTGCAGAACAGGCACAGTGCTGGGACACTGCCCTCGAGGAATAGATAGGACACCTGAAAAGGGCCGTCCTGGTGGAGGAGCGTAGAGGGATCTGGGGTTCAGCGGGAAGGTCCTGACTGGAAGCAGAGATCTGCAACTTCCCAGGATGGACGGGGCTGGGAAGGTTGTGGGTCTCTGGGTCTCTCTCAGCTTTCCAGCCCCACCCTAGTGCTCACCGCCAACGAGTGCTGGTCATGCTGATCTCCGCCTCTGTAGCGCCCTCTCCCAGCACCAGCGTGCTCACTGTCATCCTGTCCATGATCTTCTTCAGCCAGGGGCAGGTGGAACCGATGGCCAGGTTGTACCACTTCCCATAGATCTAGGAGGCAGGTGAGCTCTGGGGGTCTGCATCAGTCTCAGACCTCAAAGCAGACCTGGCTGACATCTGCTCCCCACCCTCCACCTCCTCCTCTTCCTCCTCCTTCTCCTCAAAATGACTTATCCTTTTAAGGGATAATGTCTTACAACTAATCAGAGGCCACACACCTTCAAGGGAGGCCAGATCCCTAAGAGTGGCGTTTCAGGCATCACAGCGAACCCAGGAAGCAGGTGTGCGGCTGGGGTCCCAACCTGCCCTGCAGAAGGGCTAACTCTCTCAAGATGTGGGATCTGTCCATAGCTCCATCAACCACTGCTCCCCAAGAGCTGGAGTCCTGTCTTTTACTCCTCCAATGATGGGGTGCTCCCCACCTTGCAAGGCAGCCCACAGCCCCATGTTAGGAATTATTTCAAAAGTATAATGAACATGATGGGGTCATTCAGGATAGGCCTGCTTCCTCTTCCTCCTGAAAGTGCACGGGACAGCTGAAGGAGCCCTCAGGCTCCTACGGAACAGGCCAATGTGCCCCACACCCTTTGCGTCCCAGACTGCCACAGGGACCTGCTCCTCATTGCCCCTCTGCCACGACCTTTCCTTGTCCCTAAAAGTAAACAAAACCCACATGACACCACAGCTAGAAGGTTCTGAGACCCTTCATACAGACATGGAGACAGCCCCAGGTGGGCAAGGGTATTCTCAAAGCCACCCCGGGATTTAGGGCAGAGTGGGGGCTGGAAGGCAGCTCTGGCACTCCACACTCACAGGAGAGTGTCCTGCCCCAGTCCAGGTCTCTCCTTGTGCCCAAGCCTCTGAATGTCTCCCAACCCTAATCTCTGTCCTGCTTCACCTCTTCCCATAAGCCCCACATGCCCAACCCAAAAGCTGCTGGCCACATGCCCACGCTGTGCCACCCCAGGTGTCTGTCCACAGTCAGGCCAGGATGTGGGCAGGGGACACAGGAAGAGCTAAGGGAAAGATGCCACAGAGAGAGGGGAGTCATTAGAGAAGGAAGGGCTGGGAGGTCTGGGCAAAGCTAGGTGTCTGCACGGGGGCTGCAGGGCAGTGGCAGGCAGGACAAAGCCTTCTCTGGAGCAGGTTCCCATTAACACAAGGGTTCCCCTTGGAGCCCACGAGGACAGTGCAGAAGGTGAGGATGTTTGACTCATAGAATGTCAGCCAAGAGACCCACGGAATGGCAGGGGATAGAGCTGTACCTTCAAAGGATCCCATAATCCCAGATGATCTGAGTGGAAGCCTGAGACCCCGAGACAGGCCGCACTTGCCCAGCAGGGCCCATCTGCCTGGACTCCCCATCACCACATCCACCCTACCACAGAGAGCGGCAGCCTTACCCGAGAGATATTGAAGTTTTCCTGCACTTGGATGTTGTCGGGCGGCGTTGGCACAGGGCCAGCGCTCACCGCCAGGCAGGCGCTCAGCAGCAAGAGCAGGGCCCCGAGGCTCCTCATGGCTATGGGCTCCTCTGCCTTGGTATATCCCACAGGCTCGGTCTAGCAACAGAAGGGCCACCGCCTCCCTGCAACAGGGCAGCTGTGAACTGAGGCTGGGGAAGGGGCCTGTGGCTTGTAGTTGACCTCAGTGTTTGCCCTGCTCAGCTGGGGCCAATTACAGCCCCAAGGACAGCTCCAATCGATCCCTGTAGCCTGGCTGGGGTCAGCAGTACCAAGAGGCCGGGATGGCTGCTTCAGAAGAGGCATTGGCCAAGCACAATAGGGCCCTGGAGCACCAGGATTGGGCTCCGCCCCCCAAAAGTCCCCCACAGAGGGCATGCGAGGATGGGGAGCGACCTGGCCTTTCTGCTGAGTCATGCCATCTGGACCTCACAGCTCTGTGAGCCAGCAGGTCAAGCCTGATTGGGCCCATTTCTCACAGGAAAAAACTGAGGCCCAAGGAGAGGAAGTGACTTGCCAGAGACCTCAGGGAAGTCTATGGGCAGAGCCAAGACCAGAACCCAGGTATCCTGTCTCCAGAGTTCCTTCTCCAGCCCCCAGGCTTGCCCTAGCCTTTGCAAATAATAGAGACATTAACAATGATGACTGTTACGAGCTTCCGTTCACTGAGCACCTGCTATGTGCTGGCTGTGTACCAGGCACTTTACACGTGCCACAGGTGTCCAGTAAATCCCCACAACAAGCTTACGAAGTAGGTGCTATTTGTCCCCTTTACAGGCAGAGGAGTTGAGTCTCCAAGAAGTGAAGTGACTTGCCCAGAATCCCTCAGCCGGGAGTGGAGTAGCTGGGAAAGGCGTGGTAGAGACCATGGACGTGGGAGCCAGGCAGCCTACAGTGGCACTCACTGCTGTGTGACCTTGGGCAAGTCACTTTACCTTTCAGTGCCTTGGTTTCCTCATCTGTAAATGGGGATAATAATAGTTCCTAGCTCCTAGCATTGTTGAGTGAGCACCTGCAATGCGCTAGGACAGTACCCAGCATAGAGTAAGAGCTGAGTGTTTGTGGTGGGTTGAACAGTGCCCCCTCCAGAATCCATGTGCACCCCGAACCGCAGAATGAACCTGATTTGCAGATGTGATTAGTTAGATGAGGTTGAACTGGATGACAGGGGTTTTAAATCCAATGACCGGTATCTTTATAAGAGAATGGTGAGGGAGACTCAGACACAGGGACACAGAGAGAAGCACGGGGAAGATGTGGCGTGACGCCGAAGGCAGAGATGGGAGGGATGCAGTGACACGTCAAAAATCACCAAGGATTGATGGCAGCCACCAAAAGCTAGCAAAAGGCAAGGAAGGACTTTTCCCCAGAATCTTCAAAGGGAACATGGCTCTGCTGAAAATTTGGTCTCAGGTGTCTGACCTCCAGTGCTGAGAGAAGACACATTTCCTAGCAGCCCTAGGAAACTAATACAGTAGTTATTAAACTTAAGGTTTTATTTATTTATTTATTATTTTGAGACGGAGTTTCACTCTTGTCGCCCAGGCTGGAGTGCAGTGGTGCGATCTCGGCTCACTGCAACCTCCACATTCTGGGCTGAAGTGATTCTTGTGCCTCAGCCTCCCGAGTAGCTGAGATTACAGGTGCCCACCACCATGCCTGGCTAATTTTTGTATTTTTAGTAGAGACAGCGTTTCACCATATTGGCCAGACTGGTCTCTAACTCCTGACCTCAGGTGATCCTCTCACCTCAGCCTCCCAAAGTGCTGGGATTACAGGCGTAAGCCACTGCGCTCAGCCTAAATTTAAGATTTTAAATGAGAATTTTTTAAAACCCAGGTCCGTTGTCTGTGAGCTCACACTCTTGCCAGCAATACCAAAGGCCTCTCTATGAATTTCCCTTCTCCAGTGGTTAAATCTACTGTCCTTACTTCCTCCCTGCTCTTGGCATGGAACATTCCATACTCTCAGCCACCTCTCTGTTAGAGCTGGGAATGACCCCTTCGGGCAGGCAGTCCCAAGATTAAGACCCCTGCTTATGTGAGAATCAAAGGATTCCCCCATGTAGTCAGTGCAGAAACAAATGGTGTATCATGTCCCTTCTGTAAGATTCAGTCAGTACATCCCTCTTTCACTGGTATCCAGAACAAGTGTGCTTCTATTCATAAATGTGTTTCCTTTGCTCCGTCACCCTAACCTTGGCCAGTGATTATATTCCCTTCTTGCTTTGGCTGCTAGGAAGCTCAAAGCCATGATGTAAGTTTAAGCACAGTTACTGTCTTGGTTTAGCTTTCTGGGACAGTTATCTTCGTGTTCCTTGTGTTCACAAAGTTTCTCAATCTTTGATGTTTTAGTTAATGATGGTAATGAGGAGGTGGTAGCCCCCAACTTCTCCTTGTTCTGCATGATATTGGAGGTGGCTTTCCCTCGCTAAAGACCACTTTCCGTATCTGTGAACGGAAGAAAACAGTTCTTGTTCTGTCTGTCAAGAGGCCAAGAGAGACAATGTGTGAGGAAGTGAACTGTAAACTGTCCACTGCCTTACCTGTGTGGTGGCTCAGGGGTGTCTGCCATTGGAGGAGGCAGGCCTGGTATAAGAATAAATAAATAACAATGAATCATTAATAGGAATAAAATCATCCTACTAAGCCCGCTTACAGTGCACCAAGATGGCTCGCTGACCTTCATGTTGGGCCTGCGTGACTACAGTTATCAACCCCATGGTCCAGATGGGAAGCCTGAGACGCGCAGGGGTGGAGAAGCCCCAGTCCTAGCCTCTCTTGGACAGGGCTGTTCATTCAGTTGCACAGCCTCTCCTGGGGGTGGGGAGAGGCCCAGAGGATAAGTCCAGGATGTTGATTTCTTCTCCTGCCTCCAGGAATGTTTGTGCTCCTGAGATTATTAACCAGAGCAAACAGAGAGAGTAAATGCTGCCAAGGGCCACTTGGACTTTTGACTGCTTTTTAAAAATTAACCTGGGGACACAAGTTGCAAGACCAACAGTGGTCAGACAGCTGCTGCCCCCTCCTCCCCTTCTGGCTGCTGGGGTGGGAGGATGGAGGCTCTGGGGTCCCTGCCCTCCTAGGGGGCCCAGGGGTCTAAGAGTCCATGGGAATTGCTAGGTTCTGAAACCATTTGGTTGTGGGGGAGGGTCTTGCCCCTCACAGGAGGCCTCAGAGCCTCAGGGGTACCCAGTGCAATGTGGAATAGAGGCCTCGATTTTCAGATGCACATACTGGGGCTCAGGGAGGGGATGGGACTTGGTCAAGGTCACCCAGTGTGTGGCCGAGTCGGGGCCAGATAGGCCTGACTGTGGCACCCAGGCTCTCCCCTCATCATTTATTCTTGTGTCTACTTGTTCTTTTGCCAAATACACACTCCATGCTTGGTGCTGAGGACAGGATGGGCATATGACAGGCCTCCCAGAGCTCCCTTGAGGCCTGGGGTTGGGGAACAGACGAGGTGAGAAGGTGATAAGACAGGATGGTTGCTGCAGTGATCAGGGAAGCAGAGGCCGGGACAGGGGAGTCAGACTCCAAGAGTAGGAGTGAGCTAGACAACAGTGCAGTGGGATGGGTGCATGGGGGAGGGGAGTGGGTTCCATGCACAGGGAACAGCAATTGCAAAGGCTTAGGGAAGAAAATAGAAAATTATTTTTATTTTTATCCAAAAAATACAAATAAATCCACAGGTCTGGAGCTTGGGGACAGAAGGGAGTGGTGAGAGTGAGGCTGGGGAGGTGGCTGAGGTCCAGTAGGTGGGATCGTGTTGCCGTCCCAAGGGGTGTTGCTTGGGAGTGCACAGGGGCACTGGTGGGTTTTCAGAAGTCAAGGTCAACCAGATTAGTAATCGGGAGAGATCAATCAGGAGGTAACGTAAGCTGGAGACCCAGGAAAGCAACTCCTTAGGAGATTTTCCAGGAAGAAGGAAGGGGCCGGGCCAGGGCACTAGGACCCAGTGACTGGACCCACAGGGACATCAGGGACATTGACTGGGAGTCAGACCAGAGGGTGTGGTCAACCTTTGAGTCCTCCTCTGCCAATGGTGGAATGATAAGGTGACTTTCTCCGTGACAGGAGGCCTTGCCTCCAATGTCTGACCTTGCTCAATTTCCATGGCCTCGTGCCACAGCCTGTCCACTCAGGGTCCTCATGGCATAGCTGGAGGTGCACAGCACCCATAACTCCATGACTGGTGATGTGGAGGGGTGTTCTCACTGCCCTGTGATTTCTAGGCATTGTTACTCATCCCTACACCTCCAACCCAAAGAGCAAGTCCACCCAGAGACTTGAGTCCTAGTCCTTGTGGCTTGCTGCGGGACAATGGGGCAGTCATTTCCCTCCATGGCTTCAGAGCTGACATAATAACTGAATGAGGGTCACTTGTGAAAATGCACCCCAAGTGTGTAGATACGTAGGACCCCTGTCATCATGGGCGCTTGGTACCGCATGTGCTCCAGCTAAGGACTCCATACATAGCTGCAACTGCACTAAGGTGTGAACTTCCCTTGTCCACCAGGGGGCAGCAGAGAACTTCCCGAAAGAACCACCGGAGTTTGCTCACAGATTGTTCTGTACAGATGGAGACAGAGGCCAGGAGCAAAGGCTCAAAGAGCTACAATGCGGGCTCGTGTCCAGGCTTCCTTGCCCCAAGCCTACTTAAAATCCCCTGGTGAGTGTAAAACATTTAGCGTCTACCTTGCCCATCCCTACCCTGCTAGAGAGCTTGATGCTTGGTTGGGGCCCTTAAAAAAAATAGTTTTGCTGGGGAACCAGAATTGGGTGCAGTTGTTGCAGACCACGAAGGCTACTATAACTGTACTAAGTTCTTACTGTCTGCCAAGTCCACGCAGAGCACTACAAGAGCATGTCGTTCTAAATCCTCTATTAAGAATCTTTTTGGAGTGGAGTGGCTCAGGCCTGTAATCCCAGCACTTTGGGAGGCTGAAGGGGGCGGATCACCTGAGGTCAGGAGTTGGAGACCAGCCTGGCCAACATAGTGAAACTCCCATCTCTACTAAAAATACAAAATTAGCTGGGCGTGGTCGCGCACGACTGTAATCCCAGCTACTCGGGAGCCTGAGGCAGAAGAATCATTTCAACCCAGGAGGCGGAGGTTGCAGTGAGCCAAGATCACTCCATTGCACTCCAGTCTGGGCAACAAGAGTGAAACTCCATCTCAAAAAAAAAAAAAAAGGATCTTTTTGTGGGGTGGTGGGGAGGGAGAGGATCAGGAAGAAGAGCTAATGGATGCTGGGCTTAATACCTAGGTGATGGGTATATCTGTGCAGCAAACAATCATTGTGCCTGTTTACCTATGTGGCAAACCTGCAGATCTGCACATGTACCTCAGAACTTAAAAAAAAAGTTGAAGAAAAAAATAATCTTATTATGCTGGTAGCCCTATTTTGCAGGTAGGGAAACTGAAGCTAAGACATCAGGTGATCATGCGTTGAAGGTCACCCAGACATTAAATTCAAACCAAGATCTGTCTCTGTTAACACTTAAGGCACTCTGCTGACCCTATCTCTTGTCTCTTGGCTAGATCTTAGGCCACGTTCTTTAGACACTTGGAGCTGATGAGTCTCCCTTCATTGGACTCTTCACAGCCGAAGTCAGGCCTATTTCTCCCTTCCCCAGCCAAGGGTCACCTCAGCGTCTGCTATATCAAGTCCAGACCTTCTCTCCCTCCTTGGGGCCCAGCACTGTGCTGGGTGCATAATAGGCGCTCAGCCAACAGTGCTGACTGACTTACTCAGAACCATGGGGGAGATTTAGGTCGGATCCCAAGAAGGACCACCCACGCAGAAGACAGCTGAGGGAGACTGGGAAATTGGACTCACCACATCCAAAACCCCTTAACCTTATGTCCAATGAATGAGCAAAGGAAGGAATGACTGGGCTCTCAATGGCAAAATTTATAAAGCAAAGACCCCTTGCTCTGTGGTGGCTTGTCTTCGAGTCATCAAATTTGAGTTTGTCTGTGTATTATGGCCTGGAGTACACCCAAGGCATTGTCCAACATGCTGTGATGATTAAGCTGCTGAACTTTATATCCAGACAGACCTGGGTTCTAGTCATGACTGCAACCCTTTCCTGCCTGTTTGATCTTAGCTAAGTGACTTCACCTTTCTTTCTCTTCTGTTAAATGGGGTTAATAAGAGCTCATAGCGGTGTATGAGAATTAAATGATGAGAAGCATGTCATGTCCTTGCTCCTTGGAGAGAGCTTAGTCAATAATAAACGTTGGCCCTGGGTCGGGGTGCCCTTAGATGTTGTCAATCCAGGTTCCTGATTGCAGGAGTGGGTGGCTTAGCCTGGAGAAGCACTCCTGCCCTTATAATCTTTGGAGCTCAGAGTGTCTTTGAGATCAGAGCGCCCTGGGGACAGAGCTTGTGGCCCAGGATCTAGCTCCTTTTGCACCCCTGAGGAAAGGGTTACCAAAGAATAAACTTCCAAAGGCCTTGTCTGTGTCCAGGAAGGGGACGCAGGCATATTCCTGCTTGTTGCAGGCCAATCTTATTGTCCATTGAAGCAGGACCTCCAGGAACCTGCCCCAACTCCTGGCTGACCGAGTTGATGCAACCCAGCATCTCTGGAAGGACTAAAATTGCTCTTTCCTGAAACCACGAGGCAAGCTGAGCTCTCTGGAAATTCCCACCGGCCTTTCTTCAGTGAAGACAAATGGATTTCTCTGAATCAGTTGCCTTGGAAGGGCAGTGGGAACTCTTCCCTGGCTCTTGCCCTTGGGCGACAGAGTACTTCTTTCCACTCCTTTCCCTGGAAGAATCTGTGTTAGGAGGGTCTCCCTGGAGGAAGGAGCCAGCCGAGCTGGATGTCAACAAGTTCATGAGTCTGTAGTAATGAGAGTCCAGAAGTTGACACAATTCCTCCCCCGCAAGTAATGATAGAATGTTTGTGCTGAAAGCATCCGTTAGTAATAATAACAGCAATAACAACTAGCATTTATTTAGCACTAACCATGTGCCAGGCTCTGTTCTGAACAGTTTATACGAATTCACTTCTAGTTCTCACATCATCCCCTGTGAGCATGTATTAACTCCTCATAGGGTAAACCAATTTTATCCCCACTTTACAGAGGAGGAAACTGGGGTTCAAAGAGATTCACTCTTTTGCCCAGCCTCCCACAGCTGGTATGTTGGGCAGACAGAGGGTGAGAAAGGGAGAGGGTTTGCCCAAAGTTCTGTAGCCTGGAGACCACAGAGATGTCCTGCCTCCACCCAGGGCCCTGCCCCATGGAGAAAGACTGGGCTGCAGGGCTGCACTTCTAATTGTCTAGATTCCAGCTCAGGCACCGGGTAGTTTTTAGAGAATCCCTTTGGTATTGGGGTGGTGAAGGATCCACCACCGGCGGGGAGGTTGAGAAAGTCCCTTCCTCTGCCTCGTCAAAGTGCCTCTGCGTGGTCTGGCCTTGCTGGATCGTGCCGGGCTTTGGTGGAGAACAATGTCTCTAGGAAGGCACCCCAACTATCCTCAGGGGTTCCTAAGTTGGACAGAAGCTGATCCTCTACCTGTCCTTCCTCTGTGGTCCCACTGGGTGGCACCTGGCATGGTGGTTGAGGCCAGCCAGGTTCAAATCCCGCTTCTGCCACCCACTGGCTGCGTGACCTTGGGCAAGTTCTGAGGCCCTTCCTGCCTTGGTTTCCTCACTGCAACATGACAATACTGACAGTACCTACTTCTCAGAGTTGTGAGAAATGAGCGAGCTAACACATGGCAAGCGCTGGGAGCAGTGCCTGGCACCAGAGAAACTTGCTAATTGCTATTATTTGTTCCCTTGCCTCCTGATTGTCACTTTGCTTGTCCTTTCCCCCACTTGGTTGGAAGCTTCTTGAGAAGAGGGCAGTGGCCCAGGGTCAGGCTGCTGTCACTTGTATCCAGCAGAGGCGGCCTGGCCTCCAAGTAGGGGCTTGGTGAACATGTGATAATCAGGAGAGCCACACACTGGATGAGGGTTCTTGAGAAAGACACGTCTGCCCAACTTTCAAAAAAGTCCTCTCAAAGGTCTTCTTTGCCGGCCCGTGTAGATGCCAGTGACAGCCAGGGACTTGTCTGACATACACAAGAGGTCTGTGTCAAGGCAGGCTTTGAACCCAGGTCTCCAGATTCCAGTCATGGTCTCCAACCCCAGCACTAACCCATCTACAAGTTCCAGTAGCTTCCAGTCTGTGGTTCATAACAAGACCACGCCTACTTGCCCGACCTGCCCTGCCATGCTTGTTTGCCTAAAATAAAGGAAGATGAGTCGCTGGATGCTAAACAAGAAGATAGAAATGGAAAAAGGACATTGAAGAGGACACAGAATATGCCATGAAGGGGCTGAATCCTATCAGAAACGGGCTGGAAATGAATATGAATTTGGAGCAAATGTGTCATTAGGCAAAGAGAAGAAAGACCTTGTGGGAGGGAAAGCAGGCCCATTTGGGATGCTGAGAGAAGGCTGGTATGGCTGAAGCAACAGGATGTTCTTGGCAAGAGGGTCTTCACAAACTCTCATAACGACTCCAAGTTTTGGGGTCCATCTGGGAGTTGGCCCCCCAGACAAGGCCTCACAGCCTTTTATGTACAAGTGTCCACAGGAGTGCTCTTCTAGAAGCTTGTGCCATCCAACTGCAACGCTTTCTGCCATGCTCCTCATCGTGCAATGAGAGGGGGCTGAGAGTTGGGATCCCCAAGGATCTGGAAAACTCAACCAAGGATCTGGGCAGCCAGCACTCTAGAAACCCATGGGTGGCCTTCAGAACTCTGGTGAATGTCCCTTACCCACTACATCCCTGCCCAGCCAAAGATTCCAGAGAATCCCTCCCGACTTGTCTACAGTGTTTTAAAATTTCAGAAAGATCTTCTAGGGGTTTGGAATCCTGGAAAATTCCTGTAGTGTCTCAGGATTTCCAAGAGCTTCCCCCAATTCTAATGTTCCGAAGTAGCAGAGACTTTCTTTTGACAGTTCTTGAGAACTACTACCATGTTTCGGGGTCTAGAGAACTGCCCCCAGGTTCCAGCAATCTGCAGAAGGCCTGTAGATTGCAGGGCTCCAGAAGTGTCCTTCTGAGTCCACAAGTTCTCGGTAAGTACCAAATGAATTTGAAGGGTCTTGATACATTACTGGGATCCTTTGGAATTCCCTCAGGGTTTAGGGATCCTAGAATTATGGCAGTTCTAGAGGGAGGATGCTGACTGTATTAGTCTGTTCTCATGCTGCTAATAAAGACATACCCAGGACTGAGTGATTTATAAAGAAAAAGAGGTTTAATGGACTCACAGTTCCACATGGCTGGGGAGGTCTCACAATCATGGCAAAAGGTGAATAAGAAGCAAAGGCCCGTCTTACGTGGTGACAGGCAAGAGAGCATGTGCAGGGAAACTGCCCTTTATAAAACCATCAGATCTTGTGAGACTTATTCACTATCACGAGAACAACACGGGAAAAACCCCAGCCCCATGATTCAATTACCTCCCACCAGGTCCCTCCCACAATACAAAGGAATTATAGGAGCTACAATTCAAGATGAGATTTGGGTGGGGACACAGCCAAACTATGTCACTGACTGAGAGATGGATGCATGACTTATGAGACAAGGGTAGTGAAGGCCAGTCTCCTCGAGTCCTACGACTCTCTCTGGAAAAGGATGTGGGGTTTTGCCGAGCTGGAGTGTGAACTGGAACCAGGAAACTGGAAAATCGTGGCTGGCTCCAGCGGGAATCATCCAAACATGAATGAACCAGTGAGGCCAGGGTCCCCCTGGGTGGTCCCCCTCCATCCTCCCAAGGCGATTAAGGAAAGCTCTCACACTCTCATGCTTGGTGCCAGGGCCTCCCCTGCCTGGGGCTGAGGACCTCCCAGCAAGCAAGCCCACAATGCAGTGAAATAAGGGTTCTGGGGAGTGGGGAGGAGCCCAGGCAGGAACCTGCAGAGCCACCCAAGCTAACGTGGCATTGAAATTACCAATATTAGAAAATAAAGGCTTTAGGGCACTCATCAGGCTCAACCTCCCTGTTCAGGTCTCTGTACAAACATCACCTCCGACGGAACTCCCTGCTTAGGACTGCACCCCTGCCCTGACAGAGCTCTACTCTCCTGCTCTATTTTACTCCATAGCATTATCACCATCTGACATGCCACGTATTTTGCCCTCTTTCTCGTTTATTGTCTGTGTTCCATGAGGGTAAAAGTCCTATGCTTTATTCAGTGCTAGCCCATAGAAAGCAGGTTCTCATAGAATGTTTGCACTGAAAGCATCCATGAATAATAATAACAGCAACGACAACTAGCATGTATTTAGCACTAACCACGTGCCAGGCTCTGTTCTAAATAATTCTGATCAATATATATTGAATGAATTTTTTTTAACCTGATTGTCAATTCCATCAAATCGTCATGTTGACTAAAGGTTGCTTTTGGCGAAACTGTCTGCAACTGGCAAAGCTACATGCTCCACTCTTTCCACGTGTCAGGGAATTTCATTCGCAAGACAGTTTTGTAAGGGGGTACTCTTATTGCGTTCATTCTGGGTATAAGTGACTTGGGCTCAGAGCAGTTGAGTCACTAGCCCAGGATCACTCATGGGTTTGAGCTTGGGTGGCTCCGTCTGTGGCTTAACCACAGCCTGCTCTGCCTGGTCCAGTTGCCTGTGGTATCTGGCTGTCACCTTCTGTCCCTGGGCTCTGCCTCCACAGATTCTGGCCTTCCAGGAAGCCACCACTGTTGAAAACCTCTAATGTCCAGTCACAAGTGTGGTCTAACAATTCCTGCCCACGGGGGCTCCAACCGCAATGGACCCCACCAGTCCCAGCTTCAGGAACCAGCCCTGCATAGACTCAGGAGCCAAGGACCTGCAGTGGGGGAGACCCAGAGAGGCCCAGCAGCCTGCCCCAAGTCACACAGCACACTCAAGCATCCTTGAGACACCTTGCTCTTATCTTTGGGTCCTCATGCCACTGGGAAAAAGGGGGCACATTCCCAAAGCTAGTTTCCAGAATGATGGGAAGGAGAGCACTGAGTCTTTCCTTGCTTGGTCCTGCGCCGGGGAGTGTGGTGGGGTAAAGGGATCCTGATTTCCTCAGGCCAGGTCTGAGGAGCACAGTGGCCAGTCTGAGTTCTGTTCCAGATGATGGCTGTGACCTCCCTCCAGCAACCCCAGCTGCTCCCTGACTGGTCCTCTGGCCTCAGTCTGCTGCCTCCCAAGGGCTCCCCAAGCCTGTGGCTAAGGCTGGCCTGCCCGGACCTTGCCTAAGTCCAGGGCATGGGTCTGAGGGGATGCCCAGCCCAAGGCCCAGCTCAGGTACTACTGGCTGAGGTGTCTCATCTCCTCTGTGCTGGTCTCTTTATAGTCCCCCAACTCCAGCTCATCCTTGCCAGTCAGGCCACCTCCCACAGGTGGCCAGCGTGACCTAAATACGAATCTAGGCTGGTGATGCCTTAAGACCCTTCCATGGCTCCCCTCTGCCCTTGGCACAAGCCCAAACTCTGGCTGTGACCTGGAAGGCCCTGCACTTCCTGGCCCCGACAAGCTCTGGAACCTCAGGGGTCTGTAGCCTTTGTGTCCACAGCCCCTCCACCTTCCCTTGAACCCAATGCTGTCTACCTTCCTACAAGCCTTAGTCATGGCCTCCTTGGGAAACCTTCTCTGACCCCCTCAATGATCACTGATCAAGTGACCTTCCTTTGTGCCTCCACAGTCCCTTGGGCTTCCCCCAGCCCCTGTGAGGTTGTAAATGCCTGTCTGTCCCCCACCAGACTCTGAGCTCCCTGGAAAAGCCACCTTGGCCCTTGTCTCCATTGTCACCTTTTAGCTTGATTTGCAGTTGATGCCAGTGTTTTTGCTTTGTTGTTTTTCAAGGCTGGAGTGCAGTGGTGTGATCATGGCTCACTGCAGCCTCAGCCACTTGTTTTCAAGTGATCTGCCTCAGCCCCCTGAGTAGCTGGGACTATAGGTGTGTGCCGCCATGCCCAGCTAATTTTTTATTTTTTGTAGAGACAGGATCTTACTGTTTCCCAGCCTGGTCCTGAACTCCTGGGCTCAAGCAATCCTCCTACCTTGGCCTCCCAAAGTGTTGGGATTACAGGCACCCAGCCATCAGTGTTGTTTGTTGAATGAATGAATGAACAAATGAATAAATGATGTGGGTCTGTTTCCCTAACTATAAGTGAAGAGTTAGGTTAGCCTCATAGCTCTTTCTATAATGGGTCCTCTCTCTGCTTCCCGTAATTCCTCATGTCATACTGGACTTCTCCATAACCACAGACCCACTGTATCTGATATGGTTTGGCTCTGTGTCCCCACCCAAATCTCATGTTGAATTATAATCTCTAATATTGGGGGAGGGACCTGGTGGGAGGTGATTGGATCATGGGGGAAGATTTCCCCCTTACTGTTCTTATGGTAGTGAGTTTTCACGAGATCTGGTTGTTTGAAAGTGTGTAGCACTTCCCCCTTCATTCTCTCTCTCTCCTGCTCCGCCATGGTAAGATGTGCTTGCTTCCCCTTCGCCCTTCTGCCATGATTGTAAGTTTCCTGAGGCCTCCCAGTCATGCTTCCTATACAGACTGCAGGGCTGTGAGTCAAACCACTTTTCTTCATAAATGCCCCAGTCTCAGGTAGTTCTTTACAGCAGTGCTGAGAACAGACTAATACAGCATTTTACTGGGCACTTATGCCATGAATCAGATATTGCTCACAGCCTTGACCCTCACTAGAACTCAGTGGGAAGGAAACTGTGTCCCCCACTTAATTGACTGAAAACCAGAGTGGTCCAGAGAGGGAACAGGACTTGCCCAGAGTCCTAGCGTAGATCTGTGGCACAAGAAGCCAGGCCTCCTGATCCCCACCAGCGCCAGGACCCATAGTGACACAGAGTGAGCCCCTTGACCACCCATCTCCCTGTGCTCCAGGCCAAATCAGTTTCCCTCATGCCTCCTTCATGGAGATGCTTGCCATTCAACTCCCCCACCGCCTACCCAATGGCATATAGCAGTTGCTTAATCAAAACTTGTATAATATGTGAAAGGAGGCTGGCTCACGCCTAGAATCCCAGCACTTTGGGAGGCCGAGGCAGGTGGATCACAAGGTCAGGAGATCGAGACCATCCTGGGTAACATAGTGAAACCCCATCTCTACTAAAAAAAAAAAAAAAAATACAAAAATTAGCTGGGCGTGGTGGCGTGTGCCTGTAATCCCAGCTACTTGGGCGGCTGAGGCAGGAGAATCGCTTGAACCCAGGAGGCGGAGGTTGCAGTGAGCTGAGATTGCATCACTGCACTCCAGCCTGGTGACAAAGCTAGACTCCGTCTCAAAAAAACAAAACAAAACAAAACAAAAAACCATGAAAGGAGATGGGAGATGGAAGCTTGGGATATTCCAGACTGGAAGGGGACACACATCTGTGCCAAGAGTCCTAGCCCTTCCTCCCTCTAATTTCCCACGGGGAAATAACTGATAACCCCAGAGGATAGAACCAACCAGACTTGGAGCTGATGCCTCTCTTTATTCATGTATTTCATCCCCTGCTGCCTGGTTTCTCCTGAATCCCCTTGTTCCCCTAAATAGCACCCCCAGTCCCCGCCCCTAGCCCAGCTGCAGGTGGAGTAGCAGCTGCTGTCTCCATTCAGCAGATGGGCAGACTGAAGCCCAAGAGTGTGGAGCCCAGTCTGAGGTCACACAGCAGTCTCCTGGGTTCCCACTTGGCCTTCAATGGGGAGGGAGGACTTGGCCTGGGCTCCGTGCGCCCTCACTGCAGGGTGGCTGGCTGCGGCCACGTCGCAGGGAGCTGCCAATCTGGTCTCTGAGGGCCTCCAGTCTCTGGGCCAGGTTTGGAACCCCGGCCCCACCTAAGGAGCAGTGAGACTCGAGGCCTGCCCTCTCCAGGGCCCTTCCTCACCCAGGTCCATCTGGGTCCCAACACCCTCTGGAGAAGCCTCAGGGGGTAGGTACCCTCCACCCTTCCCCCCACCCCACCCCCATACACCATGGGCTCCAACATACATCTGGGCACGCAGATGCTCCTAAAAAGAGAATTCCAAGTTTGGGAAGTAGAAAGATCTTAGAAGCCACCTCTCAACACCCACCCCATTTCAGAGATAAGACTGAGGCCTGGAGAGGGTGGGTTCTACCCCAAGATCACAGAGAACATTAGGGGCCCCTCCCTCTCTCCCTTCTTCACCTCTGAGCCCTGGTGATGTCTTCGGGGGCCTCACAGGCAGGGGAGGTGCAGAAGGTACCACCTCCTCCTCCGTCAACATCTCTGCCAGGACTCGGGTCTGAGTCCAGTCACTGTGACTCCTGGGCCAGGGTGAGTTGGGAGATGGGAGGTGAGCCTTTGAGTTCCCCAGACCACCCCTCTCTGACCTCAGTGCCCCAGGAGAGACCCACCTCTCTCTTGGGCACTTGGCAGAGCCAGGGCTGCATGGGGGTGCCCAGGGTGGGGGCCGGGCAGATGGGGGCCTGCCACCTGAGGCCTCAGGGTCCAACACCTGTAGGAAAGACCAGAGTCCACTCTGGGTGACCTCAGTCCTGCCTCTCTGTGTCCCACCTACCTGGTGCTAGCCATGACACCCCACCATGCCTACCCCACAAGGTACCAAGAATGTCAGGATGGCATAAAGGGGTGGGGTCTTGGTCGCCTTCTGTGTGCAGCAGATGGTTCTTCTACCGTCCTCTCCTGAGACTAGAAGCCTCCTGAGAGCAGGAACCACGTCTGGTCTATTTCTGACTCCTCAGAGCCCAGAAGAGAGGCTGGTATAAAGCAAGGAGCTTGGGGAGTTACTGAAGGAGTAAGTGAATGTATGATTCAGTAAATCCATAAGTGAGTAGATATGTGAGTGAATGAATAAGTGAATGACAGAATGAATTCCTGGCCCTGACAGGGCAGGGTGAGGAGGGGGGAGGGTGAGGCAAACAGCTATTTCAAACCAGGGCAGAGGGAGCCCTAGGCCAGCCATTCACTCCCCATGATCTAGCCTGCAGCCCTGGAATCCCTGGGGCTCTGGATTGATGACTCCTGGATCAAGGTCTCCAGTTCTCCCAGCCTTCCCTCACTCCCACCATGGCCTTTCCTACCTGGGGCAGGTGGTGCTCCCCTGGCAGGCAGGCCCAGTGGGCCAGGGGCACTCGACACAGTGGGCAGATGTGGCAGCAGGGGCAGGAGTAGAGGGGTGGCAGTGCCTGCAAAAAGGTGCGTCAGAGGCTCCATGACATCCCTACTTGTCACCCCTCCAGGCTGGGCCGTGAGACTCACATGGCAAGGGGGAGCTGGGGCCATCAAGCAGGGACACGGTGGGGTCAGGCCAGGACCCTGCTGGTGATGGTAGCAGGCAGAGAGGAGACGCCTAGAAAGAACAGCAGGGTCTATGCCTGCAGCCTCCAACCCTACCACCAAGCTGGCTTTCAAATCCCCTTCCCAGCTAATACTCCTGGATCCCGTACCAGGTACCGGGCCCCATTCTCAAAGTTTTACATGTTAACTTATTCTCTCTGATTTTTAAAACAAGCCTATAAGTAGGCACGACGATGAACCCCATCTTACAGAAGAGGAAACCCAGGCAGTGAGAAGTTAAATGACTTGCCCCAGGTGACACAGCTAGTAGGTGGCAGAGCTGGAAACTGAACCTAGTTGGTCTGAATCCAGAGGCCAGCCTCAAGCAGTTCATTAAGCCATCCCTTTTCCCAGCTGCCCTCTGTCCAGAGGCCTGGCTCCAAGCTGGTGGCTCTGCTTACCTCTCTAGTGCATGGACCTGCTGGGCCAGGATGCGCTGCTCATTCTGGGCCAGGTCTCGGCTATTCTGCAGCTGGCTCTTTTCTTTCCTAGGGGAGATCACAAGCCAGGAAGGGGTAGGAAATGGGGCTGGGGTGGGGCATCAGTCAGCTCCTCCTCATTGCAGCATAGCACCAGTTCAGGAAGCAGGTGGGGACATAAGGGAGCCAGGGGCAGGGAGAGGAGGCAGTTTGCCAGAAGCAGCCTAGCAGTGATGGGTGGGGAGCAGCATCCCTCTGGCTGTGGGCTGTGCCCTACCTGAGCCTCTCATTCTCTAGCATGAACTCCTGTAGCATCCCGTACAGGTTCCGCTGGGCCCAGGCCACCCGGGCTCCACTGAGCCCTGAGGCTGCAGGGAAGCAGGAGGTGGTGGATCCACAGGAGCCCCAGACCCTATCCCCATCCTACTCTGCCTCCAGGAAGCCCATACCCTTGCAGTCCATTTGGTCCAGCTGGAACTGCAGGCGACGGTTCTCCTCCTGGAGCTGCAGCATCTCTGTCTCCAAACGCTGGGGCTGCTTTGCCACAGGAGACTGTAGGGAAAGAGGCCCAGAGCCACCTTTATGGTTGTATAAGTCGTGCACTGCACAAGAACTTCCGGGTGTGGGAAGTAACTGGGGCCTAAAATCCAGCCCATGCTTCATTCGTCAGCCTTGCATCTTGGCACAAGGCTGTATCTGCCTGGAAGGGGCACCTTGTCCTAAGTGCACTGTCCTGGAGGGCCCCACTCTGAGCTGGACTCAGCTGTGAGTCCAATCCCAAACTCAGTTCTGTCCAAACCTTGGGCCAGATAATGGTTCCAAACGAGACCCCACATTAGGCCCCACATCAACTCCCACTTAACCATGATACTAACTGAGCTAGACCCTGAATCATATCCCAACTCAAACTCCAACCCTAGACCTGCCCTAAACCTGGCATGACCCTGGCTGGGACCCTGACCCCATCCTATACAACCATGATACCGATTCCAGGATTCCAACCCTAATCCCAACTTTGACCCAGTCCAAGACTTCAATCAAGGGACTCAGGCTCCAACTCCTGCCTGATCCCCCAGCATCTCCACGCCTGTCCCTCAGCTTGTGCCTGCCTATACTCACCTTGGGGGCCTGTGGTCGGGTGGTGACCCGCTGAGCTCGGCTTGCATATCGCAGGGTGCTGAGAGTCTCAGGAAGGCACTGGGCTGAGGGGGACACGCAGGCCACCTGGGGAGTGCACTCCCCCTGAGCGCTCCTCTCTGAGGGCCCCTTCCTCAAGACCCAACCTTCCCTGCCAGGCCCCGCTTAAGTACCATGAGGGTGACCCCGCGCCCTCCCAGTGAGTCTGCCAGCAACTTGGTGAGCTTGCTGTCCCGGAAAGGGATGTGGCTCTGCTTCCGCTGTGGGTCCAGCAGCAGGGAGATGCAGTGACCTGGGGAGGGAGAGCAAGAGTTAGGAAGGTTACATCACTTGCCTAGGGCCATCAGGCTGGGATGCTGCAGAGTTGGGCTCTCCACCCAGGCCTGTGTTGCCCTAAAAACCCATCTTTCCACATGATCTCATGACTCAGTCAGATTGGTCTCCACCACCAGACTGGGACTCTTTGAGGGCAGAGAAGGCCCTGTATACCCTGACCCTCAATGCCCAGCAAAGTGCCTGGTACTCAGGCACTCAGAAGGAAACTTCTAACAAATGGATTGTACACAAAGGAGTTTCGCGGGCATCTCACATGCATGCCACAGAGGAATACTGAGGGCACAGCCCCTGAGGATCTCCAGGTCCAATACCCTGGGGTGGGGTTGGGGAGAAAGCTCAAGTCCCTTCCCCTTACTAGGCCTCAGTCTTCCCAACTGCACAAGGGACATGCCAAATGTCTCTGAGGGTTCATCTTCTGCAGTTGAGTGGTTCTATTTCCCAAATTAGCATGGAACTTTATACACCCTTAGAGTTTATACATTCATAAGCAGTGTTTTACGAAGGGAGAAGTCAACAGCAGAGCTGGGGCCAGAATGGGGCCTTTGGTTCCTGGATCGCAGCTCTTTAACCCTCTTCTATTTACTACAACTCCTCTGGTATCCCCCACTGTGGAGAGCTGTGAGCCAGGCACAGAGGAGAGACAGGAAATCACACCGGTGGCCCCCAGGTCTCACCCAGGGCCAGCAGGCTTCGGTTGATGCTGTTAGCCTCAAGCATCAGCTCCCCACGGGATCCCGTGGCTGCTACCTTCTCACTGCCTGCCAGGTCCACAAAGCACAGCTTCCCACCAACAGGGGGCTCCCCAGGGTCCACAGAAGGCATCTGCTGGGCCTGAGGGATCAGAGCTTCATGGGGACTTGGGAGGGACCGTCCCCATCAAAGCCACAAGGTTATGGGACCAAGAGTTTCCATTATTAACCCCCATGCACACCCAAGTTGGTTTATATGTCCAGATACAGACCCTTGCTTGGTGGCCCCGGGTAAGCACCTTCCCAGGCTGGAGCACTCACAGTTTGACGGCTGATGTAAAGGGTGAGCAGGGCATGGCTTCGGCTGGAGGCCTGGTTCAGGGTGTGGGCTGAGTTCCTTCGACGGCTGAGACCTGGAAGGGAAAAACATCAGGAGCTGGACCTGGTAGGAAGAACAGGTCATCATCAATGAAGAAAAAGGAGCAAAGGAATCCTGGCGGAAGGGTCAGCCTCATGCAAAGGCAGGGAGGCAACAGAGTGGGTGTTGTTCAGGGAACGATGGGATGTTGGGCCCTGCTCTAGCAGAGATGGGTGGATGGAGGATAGAGAAAACTGAGCAGAAGAATGACAGTCAGATTTGCATTTTATAAACATCTCTCCCACTGCTTCGTGAAAGGAAGGGGAGAAACTGAGGCAGGAGATCAGCTGAGAGGTGTGGCACAGTGCTGGGGCCAGAATCCACAGTCAGCATCTCCAGTGCCTGCCAAAGGAGGGGTGCCCAATAAATACTTGATTTAAAAAAAAGAATGAGGCTGAAAGGGCCTTTAGGCTAGGCTAAGAGGTATGACCTTGATCCTCAGGGCCCTGGAAGGGTGGAGGGTCTGGAGGCAAAGAGAGATGGGGTTTGCAGCATAGAGGAGAATGGATGGGCAGGGGAGAGCCTTGAGGTGCAGAGACCACCAGGGAGCAAGAATGAGTCCTGGCGGAGGCCGAGGCCCTGGGCTAGAGAGGAGAGGGTGTGAAAGGAGTTTGGAAGGCAGAATTAGCAGGCCTTGTTGGCAGTGCGGGGAGGCCCTTGGGCCATGCCTTTGAATTGTGGTTTACTGGTCCTTCCCCACCTCCCCCAGGAATCATTTCTGAAGCTGCAGCTGCAGTCTGGGCCCCAAGTCCACACTCAGTGAACAACTGAGGAATGGGCACCCCTACCCGCAAAACTCCCCGCTGTCAGCACACACCCGTTTGCAAAAGTTCCATCAGGGCCTCCAGACTCCCAAATTCCACCACCCGCAGCTGCTCCACATAGAAGCCCCGAGTCTTGTTCCAGCGAACAGGGAGGGGCCGGGGAGACCCCAGGCTCAGCAAGTCCCGAACCTGGGAGGGGAGGGAGGAGGGTGAGGGAAGGGGATCTTTCTGAGTCCACCCATCCCCAGATCTTACTGACAACAGTCCCCACCGCCTCTTCTGTCCTTTGATCCAGGCTCCCTGGAAAGAAGCGCTCCGTTTCCTCATGGGCTGTCTTTCTATTCCTCTCATTCCCTTACCTGCTCATTGTAGATCTCCAGATAAGAGGCGCGAAGGGTGACAGGGGCACCCAGGTGCTGCACGCGGTCCAACAGCCAGGCGAAGGTCCTCTGCATGATGCCAGCCAGGCTGGGGGGTACAGGCACCCCCTCCCCCTAGGGGCAAAACCAGCTGAGCCATCGTCATCTCCACAGTAATAACTACCCTCTGTAGCGCATGTATGATACCGTGCGCCGGGAAACGTGCCAAGTTCCCAAACAATGGCTCATTTAATTCATAGTCGGTACTGTCACTTCCATTTTACAGATGAGAAAACTGAGAGCTAGGAAGGGGCCAAAGTTGAAGCCCAAATGCTCCAAATTGGGCAAGTCCCTTCTCTTTGGTCCTCAGCGTCCTCGTCTGCAAACAAGCGGGTCAGGCGGCGTCGTCCCAGCCCCTTCCCTCTGGGAGTCTGCGCCGCCTGCGGCTCCCCAGGGCTTCCAGCCCACCCAGCCCCGCCCCGCGGGGGCGCCGCCGGCGCTCGCTCACCTGGGGAGGGGGTCCAGTCAGGGTGTAGGTCTTCCCAGAGCCCGTCTGGCCAAAGGTGAAAACAGTGCAGGAGAAACTGCGGGCGGCAAGGGCGTGGCTGGACTCCGGCGGCTACCCGGGGTGGGGGCTGGGGGTGCTTCGGGGCCCCGCCAGGCCCGGCGCGGAGCGGAGGCGAAGCTTCACTCACCCGCGCAGCGCCAGCTCCCCCAGGCGCCGCACGCCGCACGCCCGGAACACGTCCTCCTGCGTGCGCGCCGCGTCTAGCACCGCACCGAAGCGGAACGCCACTTCTGGACCCCCGCCTGGAGGACTCACCTGGCGCGGGTGGGGCGGAGGAGCGGGGCACTCTGGAGGAGGGCGGGGCACCCTGGAGGGGCGGGGCACCGTGGAGGAGGGCGGGGCACGCGGGAGGAGGGCGGGGCACTCTGGAGGAGGGCGGGGCACCCTGGAGAAGGGTAGGGCGCTCGGTGAGGCACTCGGTGGGCGAGCACCCTGGGTTGGGGGTGGGGTGGGGGACACTCACTAGGGCCGGGGCATTCTGGGGAGGGTAGGACACCCTGGAGGGGCGGGGCATTCTGGGGGGGGCGGGCACCTTGGGTGGGCGGGCACTCAGAAGGGGCGGGGCACTCGCAGGGGTTGGCGCGGCGCACCCTGGCGGAGGGCTGGGCATCCTGGAAGGGAGGGGCACTCTGGGGAGGGCGGGGCACCTGGGAGAGGACCACTCCGGGGGAGCGCGGGGCCTAGGGCAAAGTTGCCTGGGGGAAGGGATCTGGCGTCCCCGGGATTTTTTATTGGGGAGATAGAGAGAGGGGTTCCTCACCTGCAGAGTCCGGGTCCCTGAGCAGTGCAGCACGCTCTGCTGCCCTCGACGCAGCTCGGCCGCGCTCATGGGACGTACCCTGGGGTCCGACAGAAGGGCAGATGGTACATCCTGATGTCTTCCTCGATCCTTGTCTCGCCCAGGTGCCTCCTAGCCAATTTATACCCACCTGAGCACCACCTGGATGGGCGTTTCCGGCCCCTCTGGCCCTTGCTCCAGGCTCCGCGCGAGATCCCTGTGGGCAGCAATGCGACTTATCATACCTGCACCTAGCGGCTGTTCAGGACTCCTCGAACCTGTCTGAAGATCTGCTTACCCGTCGGGTGACCCGCGTTCTTCCATGTCCTGCTCTGCACACGGAGTTAGCTCCGCCCGCGTCTCCTTTATTTACCCCCCACCAATACCCTCCCTTCTCCACAACACTGGGACTGTCTACACACATCTTGCATTCCCACCCCATCCCCCATCCCAGGCAGCCATCCATCCGGAAAGACTCCAGCTGCCCAGGGCTAGCTCGTTAAAGATTTACCCTTCCTCACCCCTGCGGTGGAGAAAGTCTCTCCCAAGCTAGGGGACCCCTAGCTAGGGGGTTCTGGAGTCTGAGGATCCCTTGCTCTTGGCCAGTCCTCACAAGAGGAACCCGTGGGACCACCCAGACCGGCCTCCTTTGTGCCCAGTTGGGGATACCTAAGCAGATAGGAAGGACTCAACCAAGGCCACAGAGCTAGCCTGCACAGGACCAAGCTTTTCCCACCCTCTCCACATACCCCCCACTCCCACCCCCAGCAGCTCAGCTCAGGGCCCAAGGAGTGGCACAGGTCTCAGTCAGCTCTAGGGACGACCTGGCTGGATTGAATCTCTGAGCTGACCTGAGAACAGGTTTCCAAGCATCTGGTAAAACACTGGGGCACCTGCCTCTCTAATGCCAAAGTTAATCCTAGGCCAGCATGATTGTTTAACCCTCTCCTGGTCTGGCTTATGAGAACAGCAGAGATGTCTGTGAATGTGCAGGGATGGGGCAATCACTTATTCTGTACCAGTCTCCATGCTGGGCACCAGGGCAGAGGAACCCCATGCAGCCCCTGACCCTTCCCAGCTCACAGTGTGTCTGGGGAGATGGATAAGTACAACCCAGCAGCGTGTAGGGCCTTTAGGGGGAGTACAGAGGCCTGTAGGAGCCAGTGGGGGTGGGGAGGAGGTGAGGGTATTCCAGGCAAAGCAAACAGGAGTCAGGATGGCCAGGGTGGGGTGGGGAGATGAGTGTGGCATGGAGAGGTAGTTTGAGGCTGGATCTAGCTTATGGTGGGCACATCAAGGAGTCTGGACTCACTCTTCAGGGAACCAGGAAGCCATTGAAGGGTTATAAACAGGGATGTGACACCATCAGGTTGGCATTGTTATTATTATTGTCATTCTGGCTGTCTTTGTATGTTCTCTGAATATTTCTGCAAACTCTCCGGCCCCCAAACACACATTAGGGTGAAAGCCCTAAAAATCACTTTTTCTCAATGTGACACATTCTATACCACCACAAATTACAGCCAACTATCAAAGCCACCCTGCTGGAGAATGGGCTGTCTTGGATGGCAGTGAGCTCCCCAGGCAATGGAGATGTATAAGAAAGAGCCATTTGACCTTTTGGTTATAGGACCCTCTAGCAGGGGCCACAGGGAAAGTTCTGTAGAACTAATAACCACTGCCCCCAGCTCTGCCACTAACTTGCCACAGTCTTGGCTTCTCTTGTTTCCTTCCTGTAAAAAGAGATTAATGACTTCTCTCCTATTTGACATAGTTGTTCTGAGATTTCAATGAGATGTGTCATTGAAAGTGAAAGTTGTAAATAATTACCTAAAAACAAAAATAAAAATTCCTAGATGATCTCTAAGTTCCCTTTCAACTCTGAAGTTCCTTAATCTATTTTTTGAGTCCTTGAGGTGGATAAGACAAAAATTACTATCCCTGTTTTTCAGAGGAAAAAAAACTGAACTAAACAGCGAAAGGCAGGGAAAGTTATCTAAGGAGAAAACAACAAATGGCAGAACTGAGAGTTTAAACCCAGAACTATGAGCTGTACATCCTGATGCTGCTTGCTATGGCAAGTTGCTTTTGTCAGGAGTAAACCCAGTAAATGAACAAGGTGCTCCTTTAAAAGCTGTTGAAAGTGTTAAAGACTATCAATCACTAGCATCTTAGTGTGCATTGGTTTAGTCAGATTGCTGGCCCTCCTCAGGCTGGACTGAGATGAGCCACGCTGAAGGGATTTTTGTTTTTTTTGTTTTGTTTTGTTTTGTTTTGGAGATGCAGTTTCTCTCTTATCACCCAGGCTGGAATGCAATGTTGCGATCCTGGCTCACTGCAACCTCCACCTTCTGGATCCAAGTGATTCTCCTGCCTCAGCCTCCCAAGTAGCTGGGATTATAGGTACTCACCACTACGCCCAGCTAACTTTAGTATTTTTAGTAAAGACAGGGAGGGTTTCACCATGTTGGCCAGGCTGGTCTCAAACTCTTGACCTCAGGTGATCCACCCACCTCAACCTCCCAAAGTGCTGGGATTACAGGCATGAGCCACCATGCCCAACCTTGAAAGGATTTTGATAAAAGTGCAGAAACAGGGGATATGTTGCATGCTGGTCAGTGGGGGCTTGTGCACCAGGCTTCCCAACCTGGGTCAGAATGTGTACATGATTTGATGTCCTTTGAATCACAAATGCAGGAGCAAAGTCCTGGTTCTGTTCTCTAACAGTGAGTGCAAACATCTGCTACCCTTAAATTGAACAGTCATGAGCAAGTTTTTATTAAGCCTCCTCTAGGTGTCAGGCAGGTTTCTAGGCACTTGAGATGCATACATTAGTGAACAAAACAGATAAAAATTCTTGCCCTTATGGAGCTTACCCTCTAGTGAGGTGGGAAAGGCAGATAATAAAAATAAGCATATAAATAACTTACATAGTATGTTAAAAGCTGAAAAGTGCTACGGAAATAGTATCACTCAGTGTTGGCGATGGCGAACAGGTTGTTGTTTATATAGTATAGTCATGGAATACCTCATTGAGAAGGTGACTTTTGAGGAAAGACTTCAAGGACGAATGTGAGTTAGTCATGCAAATATTTGGGGGAAGATTATCCTAGGCAGAAGAATTGTCCGATGCAAAGGTCCTGAGGTGGAGTATGACCAGTGTGTGTTCAAGGAATGGAAGAAGGCCAGGGTGGTTGGAACACAGTTAGCAAGGGAAGAGTGGGAGACAAAAGATCATAAAGGTGGCTGGGTGCAGTGGCTCATGCCTATAATCCCAACACTTTGGGAGGCCGAAGTGGGCAAATCACGAGATCAGGAGTTTGAGACCAGCCTGACCAACGTGGTGAAATCCTGTCTCTACTAAAAATACAAAATTAGCCAGGCATGGTGGCACAGGCCTGTAATCCCAGCTACTCAGGAGGCTGAGTCAGAAGAACCACTTGAACCTGGGAGTCAGAAGTTGCAGTGAGTCAAGATGGCACCACTGCACTCCAGCCTGGGTGACAAAGCAAGACTCCATCTCAAAAAAAAAAAAAAAAAAGAAAAAGATTATAAAGTTAATAGGAGCCTGGTTATGTGCAACCTTGTAGCCCACTTTAAAGATTAAATATAAAGAAATATCTAGCACATCTTAAGCTGCTGAAAACCAAAGACAAAGAAGAAACCATAAAAGCAGCCTTAGGGAAAAAACCATAGCCTTCAAAGTAGCAATAAGAAGACTGACAACTACTTTTGAATAGAAACTATGGATGCCAACAGACAATAGACAGTGTATCTTTAAAATGCTGAGATTAAAAAACAAAAATCAACCTGGAATTATATGTCTAGCAAAAGTATCCTTCACAAATGTAGGTAAAATAGACATTTTTGAACAAACAGAAGCTGAGAAATTCACCTCCAGTTGATCATCACTACAAGAAATACTGAAGGAAATTTTTATATGTTGAATGAGATAGAGCTCAAGGAAAAAATAAAGAGCATGAGAAAGAATAAATATAGGATGTATATAAAATCATTTTGAGGCCAGGCACGGTGGCTCATGCCTGTAATCCCAGCACTTTGGGAGGCTGAGGGGGGTGGATCACCTGGGGTCAGGAGTTCAAGATCAGTCTGGCCAACATGGTGAAACCCTGTCTCTACTAAAAATACAAAAATTAGCCGGGCATGGTGGTGGGCGCCTGGAATACCAGCTACTAGGGAGGCTGAGGCGGGAGAATTACTTGAACCCAGGTGGTGGAGGTTGCTGTGGGCCGAGATCATGCCACTGTACTCCAGTCCGGGTGACAGAGTAAGGCTTTGTCTCAAAAAAAAAGAATCATTTTGACTGTTTAAAAGAAAGTAACACTAACTTTTTGCTACCATTATAATATATATAGAAGCAAACAGACATTACACTAGAATAAAGGATAAGTGGAGTGAATGGAGTTAAACCATAGAATTGTAGCATTGGTTCTTCAATTGTTTGGGAAGTGATAAAAGTACTAACTTAAGGTAGACTGTAGTAGTTCAGGGATGTATAGTGACATCTTTAAGGTAACTATCACAAAAACAAGAGTTAAAACTAAGAAGCTAATAGAGAAAAATGAATTAAAACTACTTGACTGATTCAAAAGAAGACAAAAAATGAGATATAAAGTCACAAAGATGTCGGGTACGGTAGCTCACACCTGTAATCCTAGCATTTTGGGAGGCTGAGACAGGTGGATTGCTTGAGCCCAGGAGTTCAAGAGCAGCCTGGGCAACATGGAAAAAAGCCATCTCTACAAAAAATACAAAAATCAGCTGAGTATGGTGGCACAGGACTGTAGTCCCAGCTACTTGGGAGGCTGAGGTGGGAGGATCGCCTGAGCCCAGGTCAAGGCTGCAGTGAGCCGTGATCGTGCCACTGCACTCCAGCCTGAGCAACAGAGTAAGACCCCATCTCAAAAAAAAAAAAAAAAAAAAAAAAAAAAAAACAAAGAAAGAAAGAAAGTCACAAAGAATAAATGGAACAAATAAGAAACAAATAACAAGATACAATTAAACCCAATTATATCAGCAAGTATATTAATTGTACATGGGCTGGACACTTCAAATAAAAGACAAACATTGTCAGACTGGATACAAGAAACAAAATGTTTCTATATTGAAAAAAATGAAAGCCAACTTCAAATTTAAGAAAAGAAACAATTGAAAATGAAAGAATAGAAAGTTATATCACACCAGCCCTAACCAAAAGAAAGCAGTACAGCCACATTAACATCAGACGAAATGGACTCTAATGCAAGAAGCATCAATAGAGACACTGCGAAGCATTTTATTATATTATGTGATTCAACAGGAAGACATAATAATCTTAAATTGTATTCATCTAATAACTGAACTGCCAGAAGGAATAGACAAATTCACCACCATAGATGCTAATCTCAACCTAACTTTCTCTGTAACTAAAGAACAACAGGTAAAAATTTAGTAAAAATATAGAAGATTTGAACAACACTGTTACCCAACTTGATCTAAATGACATAGACAAAATACTATACCCAATAATTGCAGAATACACGTTCAAATGCACATGAAACATTTTCCAAAATAGATGTTGGGCTGTAAAGCCAGCCTCAACAATTTCGAGTGATCGAAATAATATTGAGTATGTTCTCTGACCATAGAGGAATCAACCTAGAATCAGTGAGGGAAAGGTAACTAGAAAATCCGCCCCCCTCCCCCGCTGCCAAATAATTGGAAATCCAACAAAAATACTTCTAAATGACCTCTGGATCAAAGAATAAATCATGATGGTTATTAGAAAATATTTTGAAATTAACAATAAGGGAAGTAAACTATGTAGTTAAGCAACGCTGAGAAGAAATGCATAAGCTCTGCTTATATTAGAAAAGAAAAAAAAGATTGAAAAATCAGTCACTGAAGTTTCCATCTTAGAAAACCAGAAAAAGAATAGCACATTACACCTAAACAAAGAGGGAAAGAAATTATGCAGCTAATAGCAGAAATGAATGAAACCCATAGCTGACATACAATAGCCAAAACTTGTTTCTTTGATGAGATCAATAACTTGTATAAATGCTTAACAAACTAAGAAAGAAAATAAAAAGAGAAAATGCCAAGTACAAATATCAGAAATAAAAAAGGGACTTTCCTACCGATCCTACAGATATTAAAAGAATAATAAGAGGATATTATGAGTAACTTTATGTCAATAAACCTGAACTTGACCATGTTTGTGAATTCATGAACAAATCACTTAAAAATCTCAATCTCCTAAAATGCATAAGAGAAAAGAGTAGGATATCTGAATCGTTTTATATCTGTTAAACAAGTTGAATTTGTAATTAAAAACCTCCCCGCAAAGGAAACACTTAGCATGGATGGCTTCACCGGGGAATCTTCCAAACACTTAAGGAAGTAATGAAATGAATCTTAGACAAAATGTCATCAACAGAGCCAGAGGGAGAATTTCCAAATTCATTTTTAAAAAAATGAGGCCAGCCTAACCCTGATATCTGATCCTTACAATGACATAATAAGAAAAGAAAACTGCCGGCCATTAGTTCTCCTGAGCACAATTGTTAAGATTCCAAATAATTACTGGCCAATCATTTCAGCAATACAGAAAATGCGTAATACATGTGGATTTAGTCCAGTAACTCAAAAGTTGCTTGAACATTTGAAAGTCAATCAGTGTAATTCAACACATTGATAGAATAAAGGAGAAAATCAAATGGTCATCTCAATAAATACAGAAAAGACATTTGGTAAAATTTAACACTTGCTTATGATAAAAATAAAAGCTTTCAACAAACTAGAAATACGATGGAAATTTATTAATTGAATAAAGGTTCTTTACCAAAAAAAGCTTACAGGTAACATCATATTTAATAATAAAAATAACTTCCTCTTCTCTTACCATCATCCTAGTACAGTAAGGCAGCAATGTATGTAGAAACTGGAAAGAAAGAATTAAGTTAATAAGACTGTCATTTTTCACAGCATACATACATACACAGATGTATAGGTATATAGAAAATTCTTAAGAATCTCCAAAGTCTCTGATACAATGTCAATATGCATATATTATATATTACTTGCTAATTACATATAAAATACACAATTGGAAATTAAAATTTTAACATTTAGAGCAGCATCAAAAAACACAATGTCTTAGAGATAAATTTAATAAAAGGCATTTGAAATAAAATGTGAAAATAGCAAAACATTGCTGTTATTTAGGAAGACCTGAATAAAAGGAGATAATTACTATGTTTATGAATTAGAAGATAGAGTATTGTGAAGATGTTACTTTTCTGCAACTGACATATGTAGATTCAATGCAGTCCCAATCAATATCCCAGCAGGAACTTTTAAAAATGAAAATTGACAAGCTGATTCTAAAATTTATATGAAAATGCGAAAGACTACAATAGCCAAGATAATAATGGAGAAGAGCAAAGTTGGAGGACTTATACTACCAGATACCAAGACTTAATGTAAAGCTACAATAATCAAGACAGTGTGGTATTGGTGCAAAGACCAGCAAATGGAACAGAACAGCCTCCAGCAACGCATCCATCCATATGCATCACTTGATTTATGACAAAGGAAGCGCTGCCCTCAGTTGTGAGAATATTGTTCTTTTCAATCAATTGGGCTGGATTAATTGGATATCCATTTAGGGAAAGAAAAAAATCCTTGATTTCATACCTTACATCATTCACAATATTAATTTAAAATTAATGATGGATCTACATTTAGAAGAAAATCTAGATAATATCTTCCTGACATTGACAGTAGACAAAAGTTTCCTAAACAAGTCACAAAAAAGCACTAAACATAAAAACTATTGATGTATTGGACCACATTGAAATGAAAAACTGTTCATCAGAAGATTGCATTTAAGAGGTAAAAAAGCAAACCAGACTGGGAAAAGTTATTTGCAATACACATATCTGACAAAGGACTTCTATCCAGAATATATACAGAGCTTCTACAAGCCAGTAAGAAAAAGACTAACAACTCAACTTAAAACTGACCAAAAGATTTGAACTGGCATTTTGCAAAATATGATATCCAAATATTTAATAAACATATGAAAATTGCCCAACATAATTAGTCACCAGGGAAATTAAATGAAAACCATAGTGAGATACAAGTACACACATACCAGAATGAAATGAATACAATTAAAAAGACAGGCAGTACTGTTTGTGAACCATTTTCAGAAAACAATTTTGCAGTATCTACTAAAGCTAAACAAATCCCTATCCCATGATCTAGCAATTCCACTTAGGTCTCTGCCTAAGAGAAATGAGTTCAAATATCCAACAAAAGACATATATGAGACTGGGCATGGTGCTTCTCATCTGTAATCCCGGCACTTTTGGTGGCTGAGGCAGGAGGATCACTTGAGCCAGGAGTTCAAGACCAGCCTGGGCAACACGGTGAAACCCCATCTCTACAAAAATTACAAAAATTAGCTGGGTGAGGAGGCTGAAGTGGGAAGACCACTTGAGCCCAGACGTTGAGGCTGCCGTGAACCGAGATGGTACCACCGCACTCCAGCCTAGGCAACAGAGTGAGATCCAGTCTAAAAAAAGAAAAAAGAAAAGAAAAAAAGACATATATGAGACTGTTCATAGTAGCTGTTTAGCCACCTCCTTCATCACCACCACCACTGTTTCTACTTCCATCATCCTCATCATTACCACCACTATCACCATAACGCCATCACCACCATTACCAAAACTCAACCATCACCACCAATACCTATGTAACCAGCAGACGCCATAGTCATTTGGTCACTGCAACCACTGTCACCAGCATCATCAAAATCTCTACCGTGACCACCACCATCATCACTATTACCACGCTTCCATCCTTCGGAGTCTGGGCTTATTCATTCCAGGAAACTAAAGCTGTTAAACTGGGCTCCCAGCCAGCGGCACCCCCATTGACCACGGTGCTCCCTGTTCCCACAGCTAGGGCTGAGTTCCTCTGTGTACCCCCTCTCCTCTTCACCCTGTTTTTGTCTGCAGACTGCATTCCTTCCTCAGGAGCAGTAAGTCTCCACTTCTCCTGACGCGATTGAGGATAGGACAGATGGAAGGCCTGCAGGGACCTTAGCAGCCGGCTGGGCCCCGCAGGGCGCATACCCAGCCCTCGCTAGAGGGCAGCAGAGCACCATGCCCCTGCGACCCGGGTTCATCACAAAGGAAGCTTTGTGGAGTGCAGGCCTGCGCTTTGCAGCTCGCTCCTGAGCCAGTGCCCAGCCCCAGGAGGGGCTGACCAGCTGATGCGTGGTGAGAGACGAGCAGGCCCTCAAGATGCACTCTCCGAGAGAGTGAAGAAAGCAACACGAGTAATCAGGGGGCCCTCCCACCAACCCCCTGCCCCCCGGTCCATCCTCTTCAATCCACTCTCCTCCAGTTAGCCCAGCCATCCTTCCCTGGAAAAACCCTGCCCTGGCTTACTCTCGGGCCTCTGAAGAGTGTCTGAGCTCCCAGCTTGGGACTCGAGGCCATTTGGGCTCTTGCTCCTGCTGATCCCTCCGGCTGTGGTCTCCACCACCCTGCACCCCTACCTCCCGCGCTCCAGTCCCCAAAGCTTTGCTTCCATCCTCTGCTTGTGCCGGTGGTTCTCCCTCTTTCAGGAGTGCTGTCTTCCACTGGGTGGACTCGTCCTGCAAGCTTTCCCTAGAACGCCTTCCCTGCCACCCCCTACCCGCCAGGACAGGTCAGAGCCCGCCTCTGAGTCCCCACAGTCTCCCGGGCTCCCCTCCGTTGCAGCACTGATCACACTGGGCTTCTCTCTTCCTGTCTGCTGGGCAGCAGAGACTGTGGATGCTTCATCCCTGAGGTCTATGAGCCAGCGCAGGGCCCAGCACACACTGGGAGCTTAGCAAACATGGGTGGAAGGAAAGAAAGGAGCCAGGAAGGAGGCAGGGGTGCTGGTGAGAGGCCTGCTGGGCGCTTCTCTGTGTCCTTCCTCAGCCTCCATCTCTCTTCCCTCCCTTCCTCTGGGGGCTAACAAAAAACACTCAACTCCATGATGCGAGGATTCATTTAGGGACTCATTTGTCATGGAGATCATCAGCTCCTGTCACAAAGCTGCTCTCAAATGCACCCAGAAACAGGGTGACATTCTTCTCGCTTGGGCCAAGCTGGCCTCTCAGACCAAACTGTCCGATGCAAATCTAGAATCCCCAGAGGGTGGAGGCCAGGCTCTACTAGGCCCAGGTGAGCCCCCGTGTCGCTGCTCTCTGCTCTTTCCAGCACCCCAGCAGCACATTACACAGGAGGGCTTATGGCCATTTTTCAGCTAGAGACTGAAGTCTTGGTGGGAAGAGGCAGAGCCCAGTCTGGGGCTCACCCTGCAAGGCAGCGTGGCACAGTACTGAGGTGGAGCGGAGATGAGAAAGAAGGTCTGTGAGGAAGGAGGTTCTTCTTATATCACATGACAATCATCTATCATTGCTCCACTTGTACCCCACGCAGAGGAAAAGCCAGATGGGTCCAGGGCCTGTTGTGAAATTTTTGCCAACAGAGCTTGCTGTCCATCTATAATTAAAACATGAGTGGAGGCCATAGGACTCATTACATTTCCCAAAATTCTCCATGCAGAGATCATTGAATTCACTTCTGTCTGGCTCACTACTGCATTTTACAGATGGGAAAACGAAAGGAGGCCAGTACAGGCTGGGGCAGCAGTTGCATTCGTGGGAGAGCCGAGACTCTAGGGAGAGATGGAGAGCCATAGAAACCCATTGGTGCCCCTGGGCCACCACTCTTTCCTCTAACTGCCTGCCCCCGCCACCCCCACCCCAGAGGATACTAAAGTCAGGCTTTCCACTAGACGAGGAGCTTTTTTTTTTTTTTCCTTTCTTTCTTTCTTTTTCTTGAGACAAAGTCTCACTCTATTGCCTAGGCTAGAGTGCAATGGCGTGATTTTGGCTCACTACAACCTCCGCCTCTTGGGTTCAAGTGATTCTTCTGCCTCAGCCTCCCAAGTAGCTGGGATTACAGGCATCCACCACCATGCCCGGCTAATTTTTTGTACTTTTAGTAGAAACAGTGTTTCATCATGTTGGTCAGGCTGGTCTTGAACTCCTGACCTCAGGTAATCCACTCGCCTCAGCCTCTTAAAGTGCTGGGATTACAGGCATGAGCCAATGAGCTTTTTGAGCGTGAGGATCACATCCCAATGCCCAGAACAGGGCCTGATGCAGAGCCGCATCCTCTAAATGTCTGTTTGGTGATGGGATGATGGTCCAACAAGAGGAAATGAAACATCCTAAAGCCTGGTTTTGTCTTTTAGTAAAGACAAGCCTCTATGGATGGTTGGGAAATCAAAAGACTCCAGGGTTGTTGAAACTCCCTGTCATTTCCAGGATCTAGCTCTTCTTCTAGGAATATACATAGCTTTCCCCTGAGTCAATGTCTGCCTACCATTCGCCCGGGAATGACTTACCTATGAACTGGATATTTTCCTCTAAAAATGGTAAGTCACTATGTAAAAATGTCAAGGGCCATTAAAGTCCATCTCTTGCACAATGATGCCTTCATGTATCTGGAACCTTCTGGGTCAGAGGATGGGAATTAATATTTATTGAACAATGGGCACTTCTTTACTTCATTTTAACTAATAGTCAAAGTCTGGGCCTGACACCATGATTGTCCTCATTTTACAGATGAGGAAACGGGCTCAGAGATGTTCAGTAACTTGCCCTAAGTCCAGAACCACTTTGGGCAGGTAGGCAAGTGGCAGAGCGGGGATCTTTCTCTTGCCAGTCCCTAGCTTCCATCCTCTCCTTTCTGCAGCCTGCTTCCTTGATCTGTTTTGCAAAGCTGAACTTCTTGGATAACTGAAGTTGAACTTTTAAATAGACAACTTGCCTTAGTTTAACCATCTCTGTTGAAACATGTTTCCATACCATCTTGCACACTGCCCTGCCTTCTTCACTGGGAGACCCTGAGTGATGCTTTAAGCCAGTGGATCTCTACCCTGGTGTCAGAATCACCTGGATACCCTAGCCCCAGCCACAGAGAGTCTCATTAATTGAGGTGGGGTAGGGGCATGTGCATTTTTTAACCACTCCAGGTGATTCCCTTCTTTCTTTCTTTCTTTCCTTTCTTTCTTTCTTTCTTTCCTTCTTTCTTTCTTTCCTTCCTTCTTCCTTCCTTTTTCTTTCTTTCTGTCTCTTTCTTTTTCTTTCTCTCTCTCTCTCTTTCTTTCTTTCTTTCTCTCTCTCTCTCTCTTTCTTGCTTTCTTTTTTGACAGAGTCTTGCCCTGTTGCCCAGGCTGGAGTGCAGTTACACAATTGCGGCTCACTGCAACCTCCACCTCCCAGGTTCAAGCGATTCTTCTGCCTCAGCCTCCTGAGTAGCCGGAACCACAGGTGCGTGCCACCACGCCCAGCTAATTTTTGTAGTTTTTAGTAGAGACGGGGTTTCGCCATGTTGTCCAGGCTGATCTTGAACTCCTGACCTCATGATCCACCCGCCTCGGCCTCCCAAAGTGCTGGGATTACAGGTGTGAGCCACCACAGCCAGCTTCTTTCTTTCTTTCTTTCTTTCTTTCTTTCTTTCTTTCTTTCTTTCGTCTCTCTGTCTCTCTTTCTTTCTTTTTTGTTTCCTTTCTCTCTTTCTCTCTCCCTTTCTTTCTTTTTGACAGAGTCTCACTCTGTTGCCCAGGCTAGAGTGCAATGGCACAATCTTGGCTCACTGCAACCTCTGCCTCTTGGGTTCAAGTGATTCTCCTGCCTCAGCCTCCCAAGTAGCTGGGATTACAGGCATGCATCACCATGCCCGGCTAAATTTTTGTATTTTTAGTAGGGATAGGGTTTCATCATGTTGGTCAGGCTGGTCTTGAACTCCTGACCTCAGGTGATCCACTGGCCTCAGCCTCTTAAAGTGCTGGGATTACAGGTGAGAGCCAATGAGCTTTTTGAGTGTGAGGATCACATCCCAATGCCCAGAACACTGTGCTAGGATTACAGGTGTGAGCCGCCACGCCCAGCCCACTCCAGGTGACTCTAATGCACAGCCAGGATTGACAACCTTGGCTTTTCGCTTTTCTTGATGTCCAAAGTCATTAACCCAGCATATGTATTGGGATAGCTTCTGATAGAGTAATTTCCTGGGTCCTGTGGGCATTTTTTTTTTTTTTTGAGATAGGGTCTCGGTCTTATGCCCAGGCTAAAGTGCAGTGGTGCAATCATGGCGTACTACAGCCTCAACCTCCTGGGCTCAAGTGATTCTCCCACCTCAGCCTCCCAAGTATCTGGGACTACAGGCGTGTGCCACCATGCCCAGCTAATTTTTGTATTTTTTGTAGAAACAGGGTTTTGCTGTCTTGCCCAGGCCAGTCTGCAACTCCTGGGCTCAAGTGATCCACCCACCTTGGCCCCCCAAAGTACTGGGATTACAGGCATGAGCCACTGTTCTGGCCCCTGTGGTTATTTTGAGGATTGTGTGTGTGTCCTTCCAGTTTGTCCACCCTTCTCTTGGGACCAAACTTCCTGATGAGCCATTTCACTGAGGTTCCTGGAATCCCTCTTTTCATTGCTAGCTTGGAATTCACCGAGAAAACATGAGCCAAATAGAGTGAGCTGCCTACAAGCCCTGCCTGAGGGGCCCTTGGGATCCTTTAAGAGTTTTCCAGACCTTTTCTCTCTCCTAGGTTTTTCCACCCAGATGCTGATGACCCACTGTGTTGTTTGGTTGTGAATACAGATGCATCCTCTTCCAAGAAGCCCTGCTGGATTGGGGCTGGGAGCCCTCCTCTGAGGACCAGCAGCCTCCTGCACCAACCAGCCCTATGACCTTACCCATTTGGTGGTGGGGAGAAGGTGTCCACATCTGTCTGCCTCATAGAACTCTAAGCTCTCTGAAGGCAGGGGCAAGATAATCTGATAAACCGAATAGGTTTTCTGGGCATGTCTGTGAAACTGAACAACAACAGCAGCAGCTGGAACTGAATTTTCCTGGGAGCCCAGGATAGGAACTAGACTCCTGACCAGAAAGCAAGGGATGGAGAGTCCAGGAGAGCTTCCTGGAAGAGGTGGCATTGGGACAGGCTTGAAAAGATGGGCAGGAATTGGGACAGGCAGAGGAGAAGAAGGGAAGCATTTCAGGCAAAAGGGAACAGCAGAGGTGAGACAAGTGGAAGGGTGAACTATAGTTTAGTGGGGTGGAAGGCTGGGAAGAATGGGGGGATCATACTCCAAGCCTTCAGAGGACAGAATCCCAGGGTACAGTCCTGGCTAAAAACTGATTTCTACTCCGTCTTCTGGATGAGCAGAACGTGGGGATGCTCCCTCCTTCAGGCTTTTCCTGGGAAGCCCCACCCGCCTTATCTGCATGGAGGACACCAAGTTCCCAGGGCTGGATGAGTGCCAGCCCCGGCTGCTGACTTGCCGCTCTGGCAGCTAAGGAGCTGGAACGTGGAGCTGGGACTTCCACATAAGTCCAGCATCCAAGTCCTCAAAGTTGGTCCCTCCGGAGCAGCGGGAAGCACGTCTCCCAAGCTGGAGTCACTATTCCTTGCTCTGTTGCCCAAGAGAACCCTGCAACATGCACCCAGAGCCTCAGTGTTGTCATAGGTACATGAGGAGGAGTGTGGGCTAGAGGCATCAAAAGCCCTGCCTGCTCCAGGGACCTGGGATTTCTGAGAGCAAATGCTGCCTCTGCCTCCCTGGGGGGAGACACAGCCACCCCCTCCCCCAACACCAGATGAGACTCTCATCAATCCCAAGACCGAGTCCTATCCGGCTTAGGTGGATTGATTAGCACCACTTTCTAGGGCTTTGTACCCTTCATTTCTTCTTGCCAGCTCCATCTACCTAGACCCCTCTCTTTTCCAGTTCTCAGAAACTGGACCCTCTCTTTTCTCCCCAGAATTAAAGGGGTGCTGGATTCTCTTAGTCTTGCCTCCCTCCCTTGGCACATATGCCCACTTTGGTACTACTACTACTATGACCTCTACTAGTATTGCTGCCACTGTCTTCTCGTAGTCCTTCTAGTCCTTTACTACGACCCTGCCAATGCTTCTACTATTACTGCTGGCACTTCTTACTATGACCACCACAACCAGTACTTCTACTACTATTGCTTCTACTGCCTCTACTGCATCCCCCGACAAATCTCATCTTGAATTGTAATCCCCATGTGTCAAGAGAGGGACCTGGTGGGAGCTGATTGGATAATAGGGGCAGTTCCCCCCACACTCTTCTCCTGATAGTGAGTGAGTTCTCATGAGATTTGATGGTTTTAAAGTGTGGCACTTCCCCTTTGCTCACTCTCCCTCTCTCCTGCCATCTTGTGAAGGTGGTGCTTGCTTCCCTTTCGCCTTCCACATGATTATAAGTATCCGGAGTCCTCCCCAGACATGAGGAACTGTGAGTCAATTAAACCTCTTTTGTTTATAAATTACCCAGTCCCAGGTAGTCTCTTTATAGCAGTATGAAAATGGTCTAAAACATAGTACTTCTTACTCTATTACCACCAGTATTTCTACTGCAGTACTGCCACCAGGATTGCTTCTCTTGTTATTTATACTACTACCACTTTGCTACTACCGTAATGATGACTACATACTATTTGCAGCTACTGCTAATAGCAGCAAACGTTATGAATCACACACAATGGGCCAAAGACTGAGCTAAGCACCCTGTGTCAATTGATACAATTTAAACCATGGCAACAGACATCTGTGGTGTAATATTATTGACAAAAAGAGTCAAACTCTGTAAAATGTTTATTTTATTATTAAAAATTATTATGAAATTGAAAATTATTATTAAAAAGAGATTTATTCTGAGCCAAATAAGAGTGACCATGGCCCATGACACAGCCCTCACTCAGGAGGCCCTGAGAACACGGGCCCAAGGTGGTTGAGTGCAGCTTAGTATTATACATTTTAGGGAGACATGAGACATCAATCAAATACATTTAAGATATACATTGGTTCAGTCTAGAAAGGCGGGACAACTTGAAGCAGAGTGCATGTGGGGGCTCCCAGGTTTATAGGTAGAATAAAAAAATTTCTGATTGGTAATTGGTTAAAAGAGTTATTATCAATAGAAAGGAATGTCTGAGTTATGATAAAAGGTTGTGAAGACCAAAGTTTTATCATGCAGATGAAGCCTCCAGGCAGCAGGCTTCAGAAAGAATACATTGTAAGTGTTCCTTATCAGACTTCAGGTCTGCGTTGATGTTAAATAGGGGTCAGCTTTTCCTGAATCCCAAAAGGGAGGAGGGCTACTGAGGCATGTCTGACCTCTGCTTCCCATTATGGCCTGAACCAGTCTTTCAGGTGAACTTTGGAGTGCCTTGACCCAGAGGAGGGAGTCCAGCTGGTTGGAGGGCAGGGGGCTTAGAATTTTATTTTTGGTTCACAATATCCTCCCTCCTTTATTGATGGGGAAACTGAGCTTTGCAGAGGCTAAGTAACCTGCCCAAATTCATAGAGACAGTAAAAGACTGAACCAAGACCTCAACCAGCCACCTAACGACAGGGACCAAGTCTGAGATCTAGAACCTTTCTCCTTTGTCCTTTGTCTACCTTCAAGAGTATATCCTTGTCTTCTCTTCAGTCCTCTGGAAAGAATTACTTGAAGTCAAAGAAGGAAAGGGGGCCTACCTCTACAGATGTCTAGAATGCTGTGAGCAATGTACATAGTAGGTGTTCAACACATACTGTTTGAATAAATTGGATTCTAATGATAACCTTTTGAGGTAGGAACAAGGATCTTGATGTTGCAGTTGGGGACACTGAGATTTTCAGAAACGCTGTGGTCTAGCTAAGAGGTGAAGTTGGGACCAGATGCTAGAATTCAGTCCTTTCATGACCTCGAATACAAAGTGAACTGTCCGACCCGACCACAAAGTCTTCTGTGTGCATTGTACGTCACGGTTTGCAAAGCTCACACATCTGTTATTTAATTCTCACAACAGCCCTCAGAGGGGGTGATCGGTTCCACTGTAATGATAAGGAAAACCAGATTCAGAATGCTAAGGCAGCTTTGGAAGGGCTCATGGAGAGGCAGCAGCAAATCCAGGATTGAACCAACTCCTCCCTACTAACCCAAGGGTGGGAGCCTCCCAGCGAAGACTCCAAGAAGTCTCTCTTGGGACAGCCCACCGCCACTCCCTGTCCAGCCACCTCAGCCCCTAGGGTGGGCAAGCCCATGGCCCCAAGGGGTGGAGAGAACCGGTTATTTCCAGCCTGGTACTTAAGGGCTGGCCAGGGAGGAGGGAGGAGGGTGTGAGCCGGCTGGCAGGCTCTGTGCTCCCAAGAGGGTCTGGCCTTTGGCTGCTGAGAACTGGGCAGGGGGTCAGGAACTCCTGTCCAAGCCACCCAGGCCAGCTGAAGCTGGGCAGGTGTCCCAGGAGAGGGCAGGCCACTCCCTCCCCAAAAAGGCAGGAGTATGCAGCCAATATGCACACAGGCGGCTCATTCAGCCCCTGCAGCTCCTTGGCCCTGCCCTGGGCCGTGGCCCCCAGGCTGAGGCACTGCCCCTGCTGTTCTCGGGAGATGGAAACAGACAGCAGTTCTGATCAGGACCTGTGGGTCAGTGAAGAGCAAACACATCCTGCTCTGAGCACCGATTGGGTGCCATCCATCCTCTGCAGCTCTGTAAGGTGGAAATTCCCGCCTCCCACGGTTCCTCTCCCACTTGTGTGTGGAATGCGATCACCACGCTGCCTCCCTTTCAAAGCGCCCAGTGTTTCCTAACTCAGGACCTTTGCACATGCTGTCCCTATGCTGGGGGTACCTTTCCTTTGGCTTCTCACGTGACTGGCTCCTTTGTCTTCAGGTCTGACTGTAAAAGGTCACCTTTCAGTGGCATCTTCCCTAGCTCCCCTCACTCATAATTTTCCCCACCTCCCATGCACACACCTTGTCTCTGTCACCCTCCTCTACTTTCTCCTCAGCATTCTTATTTATTTATTTATTTATTTATTTATTTATTTATTTATTGAGATGGAGTCATCTTGCTCTGTCACCAGGCAGGAGTGCAGTGGCGTGATCTCAGCTCACTGAAACCTCCGCTTCCCGGGATCAAGTGATTCTCCTACCTCAGCCTCCCGAGTAGCTGGGATTACAGACACGTGCCACCACGCCCAGCTAATTTTTGTATTTTTAGTAGAGATGGGGTTTCACCATGTTGGCCAGGATGGTCTCGATCTCTTGACCTTGTGATCCCCTCTCCTCGGCCTCCCAAAGTTCTGGGATTACAGGTGTGAGCCATCGCGCCCTGCCCATATTTATTTTTTATTGATTTTTGTTTGTCTCTCTCCCCATAGGAATAAAGAATCTATTTTATGAACTATCAGGTCCCCAAGGTCCAGCAGAGGGCTTGACACATAGAATCAACATTTATTGAATGAATAGATGGAAGGGAAGTGAAGGCTCTTGTCCACCTTGTCCATGTTCTCATTGTTAAAGAAGGCATCACCAACATTGAAACTCGGGTCTGTCCGTCTCTAAAGAGGCCCCCATTTCACCTGTGGGTGTGCTCAGTGAGGACACCATCTTCCCTGCAGTGATTTTTTTTCTCTGCCCCAAAGGCACGTTCTTTATACATGGGGCATGGTGTCTCCTCCAACTTCCCATCACACGTCCTCCCGCCTCTGCTTGCATATCTCCAAAAGACAGGGAGCTCACCCCATCCACTGCAATATTAGAAAGTCCCTTCCAAGACTCTACGACCTTCAGAACAATGGAACGGGCAGTTCTTCACAATGTTCTCAAATGCTGAAGAGGAAGAATTGCTGTCGTTAGCACAAGGCTGTGGACTTGGACAATACACTTTTCTGTTTATTCATTGATTTTCTGAGCCCCAACCATGGGCCAGGGCTGTGGTGTCGAACTAGAGAGCAAAAGAGCCTTGGTGGCCGCCTTCTCGATGATGTGTCAGGTCCACTGTGGCCTTTGGGCCCTAGAGTGGTGGTGGCAGGGGGGTGATGGAGGAGGCATGTGGAGTGGATCAGATGCTTCTTGAAGTCGATAGTGCACACAAGTCACCCAGGGATCTTACTAGGATGCAAATTCAGGGACAACAAATCTGGGTAGAGGTTCTATGTTTCTCCTAAGCTCTCGGGGGATGGTGATACCACTGGTGCATGGACCACACTTTGAGTAGCAAGGTAGAGACTCAACTGACAAAAGAAGACAGTGAAGCCTAGAGCAAGTCAGGGACTTGCCTCGGGTCACTGGTCAGGCAGCAGGAGCTGAGAAGGGACGGCCTACCTCCGCGGGCCAGGGCTCTGGAATTCGTGGGGCAGGCTGGGCTGAGTATGCCTTTGTGAGGCATGGCATACCTGGACTCACCCGAGCTGCCCGTCCCTGCCCATGAATAGTGGGCCTCTTTCCTTCCTGCATAAGGCTTGGCGGGCGCAAGCCCACGGCCGCCCCCTCCCCTGCACACACACTTACACACACTCACACACCCCTGCCGGCTCAGCTGCCCTCCCTGTTTGGGGAAAGTCAACAAGAGCATTTGAAAAGTCTTTCTGTGTGGAGAATCTGTTTGTATAGGGGGAGGAAACGGAGAGCTGGCCAATAGGTAGAAATATTAATGAAGCTTGTTATAAAGGGCCCATTCACGGCTCTCCGAGTAAATAGGGCTCTTGTCGGGCTGCCACGTTATCTGCCAAGTTCAAGAATGTGGTTTGAAAAAATAGAATTTAAAGGGGTGAGGTGGAGCCTTCAATGGCTGGCCTGCTGGAGCTGGAGCCAACTCCAGGAGGAGCCTGTGCTGTGGGGGGCTGTGGCTGGGGACACTGGAGGTGCTGGGTCTTGTGGTGAAGGCTGCCTGGGAAGAGGGGCTGGTGAGGAGCCGCTGGAGTTCCGACTTAGAGAGAATTCCTGTCCACCGGTGTGGAATGCCCCGTGCCATTCCTTCCTCCCCTTGGTGCCTGGCACAGGGCTTGCAGATCCTCTGCTTAGCCCCCCAACCCAGTCTACCTTAACTCTCCTGCCTGGGGATTTGCCTCTTGGGATGTTGGTGGAGGGGATCTCTATATGGTAGGAGGAGGGCTTTGTAGTAATTCTTAGCCATAATGCTGTGCTATTCCACAAACCTCAGCCATCTTCTCCCACGCCCTTACGAGGTCCTACTTTATACATTCTTACCAGATGCTACATAAGAAAGAGCATAAGAGACTGAGATGTTTGACTCAGAGAAGGAAAGTGACCAGCTCAAGGTCACTCAGCAAGTGTGTAGCAGAACTGGGACTTGCTTCAACCAGTTTCCTGTTGGGTCATTGTTCCCGGCACTGAAGATAGTGCCTGGCCTGAGGGGCTGTCTTGTCATTTCACATGTACAGTGTCTTACTTTTAGCCCTGGACTTAAAGCAACTTATAAGCAAGGACCGTGTCTTATGCTTAGTTTTCCCCTGGCCAGCTGTGTGGTCTTGGACAGGTGACTTTGCCTCTCTGAGCCTCAGCTTCACCATTTGTAAAATGGGGTCATTGAGACCAAGCCCTCCTTTCCAGAAGACTCAGTGAGAGGATGTTGGTGAAGTGCCCAGTGCTATGCCAGGCCCTCGGTGGGTGGCCCAGGAACAGTGGCTGAGGGCACTTCTTTTTCTGTTCCAGCCCACAGTGCAAGGGTAGAGACTCCAGGAAGACTGTCTCCTTTACACTTGGACCCTAGAAGGCTGGTCTGTGCTGAGGGTCATAAGAAGCTGGTAAATTGAGAATCAGGGGTTTCTGCCACCCATGGCATTAGGCGGCAGAGATACATGTGTGTGTGAACTATCACGAGGGTCTGTCAAACAGGCCCTGCAGGAAGCCCAGGCAAGCCCGGGTGACCTTTCATCCTTTCCCCCAGAGAGCTGCACAGAATACACCTCTGTCAGACAAGGGTTAACCTGGGTGGGAGGGAATATTTACACTGGCTTTTCTTTGCAAATAAAAGTTGGTGGCTGGGTGGGGGTGGGGGGGTGGGGAGGGTCGGGGGGTGTCCCATAAAACAAAAAGGAAATAATCTATGCAAAAACTAAATGGAAACGTGTTTTAAAAGACTCTACCAAGAGCTTGCTGAGTGACCCTGAACAGTGGGGACTTAGGGAAAAGTTGACAGCATCCCCTTTAAGAAGAAGTGGTGTAGCATAGGTAGGGCCATGAGCACAGGCTTTGGGGCTCACAGACCGAGGTTAGAATGTGGGCTCTGCTCTTCTCTGGCTATGTGACCTTGAGCAAATCGTGGACCTCTCTGGGCTTCCATTTCTTTGATTTGTACAAGAAAAGAGAAGAGAGGGTTAAAGTATGTGAAGGTCCCTGGCACTTCATGGATGCTCATTAAATGTCAATTTCCTTTCCTTTCTGGGCCTCTTGGCAGGTCGAGGGGAAGTGTCTGACAGGTCTCACCAGCCAGACTGGAGAGAGACACAGCTCTGCAGGTCTCAGTGCCTGCACACCAGCTCAGTAGCCTGATGCTGACTATGCCCCTAGAGCCCTTTACAGTTTGTAAGGCATTCACCTACTTGCCGTTAAAGCCTCCCAAGAATCCCATAAGGTGGTCATGGCAGCATTTACTACCTTATGGTGCTGTGACTGGGAAAGGGTAAGGGACAAGAACCCAGTGCTCTGGGGCGGGGCCCAAGTCTGTCTTCATTCCTTCATTCCTTTAGCAAATATTGATTGAGGACTTGTTATGTCCAGGCACTATGCCAAGCATGGGAGATACATAATGAATAAAAATCGACACAGATGGGTGGTTGATGGATGGGTGGATGGGTGGATGCTGGTCAGATTATGGGTGGGTAGATGGATAGATAGATGGATGATGAATGGATGGGTGAATGGATAGATGAATGGATGATGGGTAGATGGCTGGCTGGCTGGATAGATAGATGATGGATGGATGGGTTGATGGATGGATGGATGATGGATGGTAGATGGATAATGGATAGGTTGATGAATAGATGGGTGGATAGATAGATGGATAGATGGTTAAATGATGGATAGGCAGATAAATAAATGAATGGATGATGGATAGATGGGTAAATGGATGGATGGATGGATGGATGGTGGATGGGTGGCTATGTAGATGAATAAGTGAGCGAAAGAAGGATGACAAGTCCCTTGAGGACAGAGCCCTGGTCTATTCTTTCCACCACTGGGTCCCCAATACTGAGGATGGTGCCTGATACAGAGGGATTAACACTTGCCATATGAGTGTCTTCTTTGGTTGAGTAGACTCAAGAACCAGGCTGCCTGGGAGTCTGAGACCCAACTCTGCAACTTCGTAGCTGTGTGGTCAAGAAGAAGTTACTCAATCTTAAGTGTCCTCAGTTTCCTCATCTACAAAATGAGGTTGACAATACTTTATAGGTTGTTGTGAGGATTAAATGAGTTAATACATGGACATCCCTTAGATCAGAGCTGTGCCTGGTGCACACCAAGTCCCACGTAAGCATTGGCCACATTGATCATTTTTATGGTTTCACATCTGTGCTCCCTCCCGTCTCCTGAAAAAGATAATAAATCCTCTTAAGGCAGGGCTCTGGGCTCTGGGTGCCCTGCCTACTATGCCTCCTAGTAAAAATATGTGTTGACTCTGTGGCTTCAGAGAAAGGAAGATCTTAAATCCAAAGCAGGGGCAAAAAAACTCCAGGGTACACATTCCACTGGGGCCAAGGGCACAGCTGGCCCCTGACTGAGGGAGGCAGGATGGCAGGACAGTCAGAGCCTTGGGCTGGGAGAGGAAAGGTTGCATTTCCATGCTGGCCCTGGCATGGGCCTCCTCCTGGGGCCCAGGCTTCTTTGAGCTTGGGTCTCCGCAGCTCCACATTGACAGAGATAGTCTCCCATGAACCATTCAAGTTACAGACTGAGGAAACACAAATCAGGCTATCTTCGGCTCCTCATCCTCAATTTTCCCTTCTTTGAACAGATTTTTCCGGATCGGAAAAACTGAGCCTTTGCTAGCCTTGGAACACACATGCTCTCTCTCTCCAGGATGAAATGCTGTGTCAGCGTCAGCTAGTGGTTGAGGATGGCACCAGATGGAGCGCTCATTAACGCCCCCGAGCAGCAGCTCAGGGTCCCCCCGGGTCACCTCCCCAGAGTACACAGGCTCAGCTTTCTCTCTGGGGCCGCCGACAGTCCCACCTTGTCCTACCCCTGCGATTTACAGGAGTCAGTGGTTGACACAAGTTCCCACCCAGCGTGGGCTCGTGGGCCCGTGGGCTCAGCTGGACGCCAAGAACCACAGAAACAGCTCCCACCCGCCTACCCCCTCACTCTGCAAGTGACTCATTGGGGTTTGGAGTGGGCCACCCTAGGGGTGGCTCCTTGTTGGAATAAGACAGTCACCCTCTAACAGAGCAGGCAAAGATGGCATGCCAAACCCCTTGCTTGGCAAGGTTTCTGACCAGAGGGCACCAAGGCATCTCCTTCCAGCCAAGGAATGGCAGGCACTCGATTGGTCATGGCCCTCTGGGAGCCTGGAGCCCAGATCCCCGGGTTCAGAGCGGGAGACAGAGACACAGCCAGAGAGGGAAGTTGATGAGGTCACAGTCACACAGCAAGTCAATAGCAGAGCTAGAACCCTGCAGACCAGGTTCATGGACATCTCATGCTCCCCTAAGGCTCTGCTGCTGAAGAAACCCAGGCTGGTCTTCTGGGTGCCAGATGAGACTCCTGGACATCTGGTCTTCAAGGCAGATTGCTGGGTCTTCCAGGCTTCCAGGCAAGCCAATGAGGTCCCTTGTGTATGACAGAAAGAGAAAGGGATGTGGTGTAAGAGAAAGGCTGGGCTTTATAGTTGGGCACAATGGGCTTTATAGTTGGACACAACTGGGTCTGCCAGTTACTAACAGGATAAACACAGACAGGTTACTTTAATCTCCCTGAGCCTCAGCTTTCTCATCTGTACGATGGGGTAACTTATCACCTCTACATGTTGGATTGTTGGGAGGATTGCAGATATCAAGTGTCTGAGGCAGAGTAGGCTCTTCATAATAGCAGCTACAGCAATGGCGAGGACTTCTGCTCTAACTGGCCGGAGCAGCTTGAGTGGAGGGGGTGGCTGGGACAGGATGCAGGCCTTTCAGGAGCTGGAGCACCATCCTGTAAGCACAGACAGAAGAGCCCTAGGGCTGAAAAATGGGTGGCCTGCCCGGGTCATCAACTTGCTAGGGAATAACTGGGCAAGTCTTGCAGTTCTCCAGGACTCAACAATGGGGTGTTGGGACGGAGGAGCTTACCGCTGCAAATTTCATGTTGGCCTAGCTGGCAGAACAAGGACTGCACCCATGCTGGGGCTGCTCCCTGTCTAAACAGATATTGCTGGAGGAGGTGGAGACTCCAAGTGGGGCATACAGGCAGGAGGTGGTGGGAGGAAAGGAGCTGGCTAAGCTGGGATGGGCCTGGCAGAGCAGGGGCTACTGCCTCAGGCTTCTGGGCTGATTACCCAAAAGTTAGTGAAGGTCTAGTACCTTCAGACAAGGCCCAGATGCTCAGGACCAAGGGTCTTTTGCAGTAGCAAGGAGACCGCTTCAGCGCCTCCCTGTAATGCTGGGAGTCCTGGGCTGCCACCACCCTGGTTTGGGGTTCAGACTTGCTTCTTTGGGTGAGGCCCAAGCAGGCCTATCAGTTCTCCAGGAAGAAGGGAACACACGGAGAGGCCCTGGCTCTGTGGGCCAGGCTGTCACAGTCTCTCTGCCCAACAATTAAGCCTGCACCTCTGCATAAGCACCTTCCTAAAGTGCAGCTCCACGTCTGCCCTCTCCTCAGCCCTAAAACCTCCCATGGCTCCCCAGGGCCTGGAACCAACTTCATATCCTGGGTGTCTGTGACTTATGGAGGCATTTCAGAGGGTCCCAGAAGCCTTGACCTGGGTGCCAAACATTAGGCATGCACATTTGTCTGGGGTGAGTTCCGTGGTTTCATCAGATTCACGTGCAAAACCTCCACCCCATGGGCTGAAGTCCACACTCTTGATTGGCATTCAAGGCCCTCCCCAAGCTGGCCTCAGCCTGGATTCCTGGTCTCAGCACCTGCCTCTTCTCATGCCTCTCCCTACCCTACCCCATTCACAGACCTGGGGTTCAGCCTAAATGATCCCCTTGTACTTGCTCACACTGATCCCCCCTTCCCCTTCACTCTTCCAGGAAGTTTTCCCTGACTGCTTCTCCTTCTTCCAAACACATAACATCATCCGGGCACCCCGTTTGCAGTCTTTCTCACAACCACCCTCCCTTCAGCACCCCATTGCTTTCACTGGGCACAAACCTTTCTATCTCTTGCCTGGACCCTCACAGTAGCCTCATGTCCACTCACTCTGCTGCCCCCACCCCCACCCTACCCCTGGCTACTTGGCCAACCTCCCAGCCCTGCTTGTGTCACTCTCTTACCCTGGGGTCCCTTATCTCCTCCCAGGGAATCTGGGTGATAGGGCAGAGGGGAGAGAGGAGGAGGCAGAGGAGGGGGAGGAGGGAGAGGAAGGGAGAGGACAAAAGACAGAAACAGGGAGGGAGAGAGGGACCTCGGAAAGGAGAGAGAAATAGAGTCAGAGCCACAGAGAGGCAGAAACAGAAAAAGGTGTGGAAAGAGAGGATGACAGGAGGAGGGGGAAACAGGGAGACAGGATATAGAGGCAAGGGGAACTAGAGAGGGATGCAGACAGGAAAAGACAGCGGGATGCAGAGAAAGGCAGACAGGGAGAGGGCAGAGAAACAGAGACCACCAGAGATGATCAGGATGCAAACACAGAGACTGCTGACAGAGAGGGCCAGAGCAGGCTTTGGGCAGAGCTAGAAAAGAAGACTGAGGCTGGGATGGCCTCCACCTCCCCCAGGGAAATTTCTCTCCAGTGCCTCCCATCCCGGGAGCCCTAGCCCTCCTCTCCTTCTCTGAGCAATTGATCCTCCCCAGGGCCCAGACCATGGGCAAGGAAGCAGGGCCTGGTACCCGATCCTGCTTCCTGGTGGCTCCCTGCCCTCCCCACTCTGGAGGCTCTGGCCTGGCTCCTTGTCCAAGACAAGGCTCCAGGAATCCCCATCACCGTCTCCCCACCCCCTAAGAAGTGATTTGGGCCAGGTCAGTGGGCATAAGGAGTCACAGAGATTTAGAATTAGGGACCTCCAGGTTCAGAAAGTCCAAATGGCTGCCAGATAAGCTGTGTGATACTGACCCAGGACTTTAACCTCTCTGAGCCTCTAGGGACGTGGAAGGAAGATTCGGTGTTGTCTGGGAGGGACATTGAGAGAGCTTGTGTTACACCCTCAACCTGCCCGCTCCCATCTCCCAATACTTTCCCAATCCCAGTCGTGCTTGAAGCCGATCTCATTTCACCATATCAATGACCACTGCTCTGGAAAGTGGGAGAAGAAAGGGCTGGGGTGAAATCTCTGGCCATTTAGCTAGGGCGCACACGGCCCAGGGCCTATCTCAGGTTCCAGCTTCACCTCTGCATTGGCCTCCGCCTCTGCTTCTGGGAGATGGGAGTTAAGTTACCTGTCAACAGACGGAGCCTGTTTAACTGTTTTTCGCCTGGGAGGATGGCCTGGTCCTGCAAAGCCAGGGTCTTATTGAGAACCCTGGCTGGGGTACGGAAGAACAACAGATGTGGCCATGGTGATGATAACCATGGCTGAGCTCGCTCCGCTGTACTCTGCCCAAGCACTCTGCTTAGCATTGCGCATCCTGATCTCAGTAACAGACTGTGTGAGATAGTACACGGATCCCCCTCCCCCAACCCACAGTTAGGGAAACTGAGGCTCAGGGCCAGTCAATGGTGGTACCAGGATTCAATTCCAGGCAGCCTGACTTCAGAGCACTCATATCCCATTAAAGGATATAAGAAGAGTGACACTGGTATTGGTGCCCATCCTGGCAACCTTCCTGTGGATCCAGCCCAGTCCCGGGCACTGGGAGGCAGGAATCAGCAGCCCGACCCTAGAGGTGCTCACCACCCAGTGGGAGAGAAGAGAGTCACCCAGTGGGCAGAGGATCCACCCCTCAATGAGCTCCTTCTGCAGGTCAGGCTCTGGGGAGTGCGCACAAGTGCAGGCTCAGGCACTGCACTGCCTGGGTTTGAATCACGGTACGTGGCTTTTCAACTGTGTAACCTTCAGCAAGTTACTTAACCTCTCTGGGCCTCCATTTCCTCATCTGTAAAATGCTCCCTAAAGTTGTCATGAGGATGAAATGCACTGACTCTTAGTGGTCTTAGAGCTATGCCTGGCCCATGCCGAGGGCTTAGGTGAGTCACCCACAGCGTCTTCATCAGCCCTTTTTGGAGATCTCTTTAATTATCCTAGCAATTCTCTAAGGATGCTATGATAATCCCCATATCACAGATGAGGAAACTGAGGCTCAGAAAGGTAAAATGACTTGAGAGTCAGGTAAAAGGCAGAGCCAAGATTTGAACCCAAGACCACAGAAACAAGATCCTATATTCTTAATGATTTTTGTTGTGTAACAGAGAAAAAACTTTTTCTTTCTTTCTTCCTTCCTTTTTTCTTCTCCTTCCTTCCTTCCTCCCTCCCTCTCCTCTTTCTTTCCTTCCTTCCTTTCTCTTTCTTTCTTTCTTTCTCTCTCTCTCCTTCTTTCTCTCTCTCTTTTTCTTTCATTTTGCTCTCACTTTCTTTCTCTCTCTTTCTTTCTATACATATTTATTGAGCTTCTTCTACACACCAGGCCCTGTGCTGGGGCTGGAATCCTTGGCCTCCCCAGGAAGGACCTGAGTTCCCCTTACAGACCCTGAGGACTAGAGCAAGGTTTTCTCCTGCTCTTTCCTGACTGGCTGAACCTGGGGCTGCCTCCTCCCACTTCCTCAGCTGTAGCTGCTAAGGGAAGAAAGCTTTGATTGGGCCCCGAATGGTGGGCGGCTGGGCAGGTCTGGGGGTATCCGGTTCCGGAGACAGGCGCCCCTGTGAACACTGCCTCCCTGTTCCCCACTGGCTCTATTTTTCTTAATGCGAAAGTGCGCTGGTGGAGCCCTCGCGTAATTAGGTAAGACTTCATCTAGTGGAGCCGGTGAAAGGACGTCTGTGAGGAAGGGCTGGTGACAGGGGATGCAGAAAGAGAGCCGACCCAATTCCCAGGAATCAGAGGCCACTACCAAGGTCTGCCTGGGCCGTGGGCACCTGGCTGGGACACAGGCATCAGGGCCCCAGACCTGGTGGGGCCAGAGTGAGAAGTGCGTGTGAGCACCAGTCCTCGGGTGGTGGGAAGGGGAGTGGAGAGGGGTTGCCAAGTCCTCCAATGATCATCAGTCGCCAGCCCTCTACTCAGACCCGCCTTCCTTCAGGAGCCCTCTCAGGCCATGTTCTGTGCCCTCAGCTGGGTTCCCATAGCCCCTAGAGCCTGCATCACTTGTCATACGGATTGGAATTGCCTGGTATCTGCCTGCCCCCTTCTCACCTCTGGGCTCTGCTCTTGCTGTTTTCTCTCCTTGGCACTCTCTGCTTGCTTTCCCTCACTTTGCCCAGGCGCTTTTCGAATGTTACTTCCTCAGAGTCTTCCCTGACCACCCTAGCTAGATTAGCCTCATGGTGACTTTTAAAACATGGCTCTGAATTCTCTGACCTTCCTCCTATCAAGAGGTGGGGTCTCTGTCCCTTCCCTTTGGATCTGGGTGGGCTGTGACTGTTTTGACAGTGTGCTATGGAAGGGACACTGGGACATCTGAGGCTGTGTCATAGAAGGCCATGGAACATCTGTGGTTTTGGCTGGGACACTTGTTCTCAGAGCTCTGAACCACCCCATGGCAAAACTAACCACTCTGAAGCTGCCATTTTGTGAGGAAGCCCAAGCTACACAGAGAGGTCATGTGTAGGTGCTGTGGTCACTGTGCTGGCTGGGCTCATTTTTCAGTTATCCCAGCCAACAGACTGGCATGCCATATTAGCTTCCCAGGGCTACTATAAAAAATTTCCACAACCCTAGTGACTTAAAACAACACAAGCTTATTCTCAGACAGTTCTGAAAGTTGGAAGTCCAAAAGGAGTCTTACTGGGCTGAAATCAAGGAGCCAGCAGGGAGAATTTATTTCCTTGCCTGTTCTAGCTCCTGCAGGCCTCCTGCATTCTTTGGCTCACAGCCTCCTCCTCCATCTTCATAGCCAACAGAGTGGCATCTCCTGATTTCTCTCTGTCTATGACCTCTGCTTCTGTCATTAGCTGTTTTTCTGACTTCCCTGCCTGTTTCTTTCCCTTCTAAGGACTCTCAGGATGACTTCAGCTCTATACAGGGGATCCAGGATAATCTCCCCACCTCAAAATCCTTAATTTAATCATATCGCAAATCCTTTTTGCTGCATAAGGTAGCATATTTCATGGGTTTCAGGGATTTGACTGTGGACATCTGTGTAGTGGGGAGGGCATTATTCTATTTACTGCATGCGAATGAAGACACCTCCAAGTGATTCTAGCCCCAGCTGTCCCAGTCATCCACAGCCATTTGAGTCTGCCCAGTTGAGGCCCCAGACATCATGGAGCTGAGACGAGCCCTTCCACTGTGCCCTGCCCAAATTCCTGACCCATAGAATCTATGAGCATAGAACTGGCTGTTGTGTTGTGCTCCTCAATTCACAATTTTTTTTTATATAGCAATTGGCAATGTTAACAAGCCCCATATTTCTCTTCATATTGAATCCACTTAGCCTGCTTTGTTTTTCTTCATGGTACTTATAAAATTACATTATACATTTATGGGATTCCTTTATTTTCTGTCTCCAACTAGAATGTAAGGTCAGGGCAATCAATACTTGTTGCTGTATTCTTCTTCTTCTTCTTTTTTTTTTTTTTTTTAGACAGAGTCTCGCTCCGTCGCCTAGGCTGGGGTGTAGTGGCACAATCTCAGCTCACTGCAACCTGTGCCTCCCAGGTTCAAGCAATTCTCCTGCCTCAGCCTCCTGAATAGCTGGGACTACAGATGCATGCCACCACGTCCTGCTAATTTTTTGTGTTTTAGTAGAGATGGGGTTTCACTGTGTTTCCCTGGTCACAAACTCCTGAGCTCAGGCAATCTGCCTGCCTTGGCCTCACAAAATGCTGGGATTACAGGTGTGAGCCACTGTGCCCAGCCACTTGTTGCTATATTCTAACCAGGCATATTAGTCCATTCTTGCATTGCTATAAAGAACTACCTGAGACTGGGTAAAGAAAAGCAGTTTCATTGGCTCCTGGTTCTGCAGGTTATACAGGAAGCACGGATGGGGAGACCTCAGGAAACTTACAATCATGGCGGAAGGCGAAGAGGAAGGAGGCACATCTTACATGGCCGGAGCAAGAAAGAGAGCGAACAGGGAGGTGCTACGCACTTTTAAACAACCAGGTCCCATGAGAATTCACTATCACAAGAAACAGCAAGGGGGAAATCAACCCCCATGATCCAATCATCTCCCACCAGGACCCTCCTCCAACACTGGGGATTACAATTTGCCGTGAGATTTGAGCAGGGACACAAATCCAAACCCTATCACCAGGCCTGGCAGATATTTGTTCAATGAATAAACTCGTGTCTCCTCCATCAGGCTGTAAGCTCCCCGAGGTTAAAAACAGGTCTGTCTTGACAATCCCTGGTTCCCCAGAACACTGGCCAAGTAACAACACTGAGCAGGGACTCAGTACATGTTAAACAAGTGACTCTCTTACCTTCATTTACCCCACACCTCCCTGAGAATCATGAATTCAGGGGGACTTGGAAGGTACATCTGAGTTCATCTTTCCAGGAGTCACACACTTAAATGCCTCGGGGTCAGCTAGGAGCATAGGTACAAACTAGGTCATGACCTTGTAAGGCACTTGGGAGTGCTGAGGCCTGTGGCCAACTAACTGGTGGGCATGTTTGGATAATCAATTAAAACACATCTCTTTTGGTTATTCTTTTCTTCCTCTCTGGTCTCCCTGTATTAGTTGGTGTTCTCCAGAGAGACAGAGCCAAAAGGATATGTATATCCTATATGTGTGTAACACACACACACACACACACACATATATAGAGAAATTTATGCGGCATTGGCTCACACAATTAGGAAATCCAGGGGAGCTGATGGTGTAAATCCCAGTTCGAAGGCGAGAAAAGATGAGCAGCTTAAGTAGTGAGGGAGAGGAAAAGGTGGTGGGAGCATGGGTGGGAAATTCCTCCTTCCTACAGGTTTTGTTCTATTCAGATCCTCAACTGATTGAATGATGCCCACCTACATTGGGGAAGGGGATATACTTTACTGAATCCACTGACTTAAATGCTAATCTCACCTGGAAACACCCCAGAGACACACCCAGAAAGCAAGTTTAATCTGGGCACCCCGTGGCCCAGTCAAGTAGACACATACATTGAAACACCACACCCTCTATCCACCCTCTGCCCTTCGTCCCCTTCTCTGTGCCCCAGAGGGCTGTCCTCTCCAGGTGGGACTGCCGGACTTGGCTTCGTTGCCCCGATTCCTGAATGGATTTGGCTTACGGGAGACACTGGCCAATCCAAAGGTAGGAAAGGAGTGAGGTCAGGGTATTTGCTTCCTCTCTTTCCTGCTGTGGCTTTGGTAATGACTGCTCTCCTGAGGCCACAGGTCCTGTCGGGCACCCCCTTCCATGGCTCTTTCTCTTGCCTGGCCCCAGTAACACATTTCCTTACCTTGTCCCTCCACACTACAGTCACTAGCTCCAGGGTGCTTTACCAGCCCTGGTTGGTTCCCATAACCCCGCCCATTGTAGATGCCTTGCTTTAAATATTTCCGCTGAAAAGTTTTTATTATTATCAATAGTAGTAGCATCTTTATTTATAAGCTACTTGGTCATTTTTCCTGGAGCATTAAATGCTCTTTCAGCTGACCCCTTTGGAGTATGCTGTCTCCTGCCAGAATCCTGAGTGTGACAAACATTTGTAGACCTCATTTGGCCCTGGATTCTGGTCCAGTTCCCTAACCAGGCCAGAAGTTTCCCCTCCAGTCTCTGCCAGGGACATTGATTTCTGCTTGCCCCCTTCCCCCTCCAGTACTGGTTGTTTACCACCTCCCATTTTCACTCTTTCGTTGTTTGGCCCTCTTTCTCAGCATAAGTGGAAATCTCCCTCCAGAGGTTCCTCTTAAGGCCCCCCGACCCCATGGACTATCTTATACAGGGGTGATGGTTAACACTCCCCCATTGAGAGGATGGTTTCAGCTCAAATGCCCCTGGGACTTCACCTGGACCTTGGACCTCCCATCTCTGCCAGTCCCAACTTCCTATCTAGACTTACAATAGTTTGTCCATATCCACTGATTTTGTTCCTGGGCATTGGTATCCAAGGGTCCAGGCAGAGATCAAAAGGTGGATGATGGCCGGGCATGGTGGCTTGCCCCTGTAATCCCAGCACTTTGGGAGGCTGAGGCGGGAGAATCGCTTGAGCCCTAGAGTTCAAGACAATACTGAACAACATAGTGAGATCCTGTATCTGCAAAAAAAAGAAAAAGAAAAAATTTAATTAGCCAGGCATGCACACCTACAGTCCCAGTTACTCATGTGGCTGAGCTGGGAGGATTGTTTGAGCCCAGGAGGTAGAGGCTGCATGAGCTGTGGTCATGCCACTGCACTCCAGCCTGGCTATAAAGTGAGACCCTGGCTTTAAGAAAAAAAAAAAAAAAAGGTGGATGAGACAATTCTGCCCTTGGTCCGGGCTGTGGTTTCTGGTAATAGTAACTGAGTCAGGTTTCCATGAGACAGATTTCATGATCTTTGGTGACAACTTTCTAATGCACTTGACTTCAATCAGTGTAATCAATGAGTTCCCCACACCAGATCTTCCTCACATATTCCCCCACTACCAGAATCCCATCACTGTCCGCGTTGCTCTGCCATGACCCAGTCAAAGGGAATGGGTGCAGCTCTGGCTCTGTTCCCCTTTCTGGGTTCTGGAGAGTCCCTGTCATACCTATTTTTCTTCTTTTGAAAAAATGAGACTTTTAGATTGGGTGGTTAAAAAGAAAAAAGCCAATGACTGACTGATATCCTCTATACGTGAGCCTTCTTTTCATAGCACTTTATCAGCAGTTGTAAGTTTCTATTTATATGTTGATTATCCCACAAAAGTCCCTCTTCCTACTAAGCCATGAGGCTCCACCAGGCTAGAAGCCTTGGTATCCTCGGGGTGTGGCACATCATCTGACAATGCTGGGTGCTCAGTAAATTTTGGTTAAGTGAGTGACTGCCTGGAGGAATTAAACAACACCCTCCTCAGCTCAGCATTGAGTAGACAGCTCCCCAGATCACCAGGGGACTCTGTTCTGGCCCCCTGCCCAAACTGAGACACTCAAGAACTTCCTTTGGGGGAAAAAAAAGTATTTTTTTCCTGGTGGCCTGCCTAGCTGCCAGGCCCCCTTAAATGCCCCAAGAATATTCCTTCGAGGCTGCGCTGGTAGAACAGCCCAGAATTCTTTGAGGAGCTACATTGGGTTGCCTTTTTTTCCCTGCTGCCTCCTAATATTAACCTGGCGCTGGGCCCCTGGCCCCCACGCAGTGATGGGAGGCCCTGGATGGAGCCAGCTAACGGATCCATCTGGAAATAGAAAAATAATCCCAACACTAGCGGTTTTGTCTGGCGCCCTAGTGGGGTGTGGAGCAGGGCTGTGAAAGGGGCTTTGAGGGCCAGCCGGGGAGGGCTGTGGACGCCTCTGCCCCCAGCACTGGCTGGGTACCTGTGCCCAGTCCCCCAAGACAAGGGGCAAACCTGCGGGGAGAGGGGCCTGTGTCACAGCTGACTGCGAGATGCCTAGACTAGCCAGTGTTCTAACCCGGCCTTGAAGCTGCGTGACCTTGAGCGAGTGGCTCAGCTTTTCTAGGCCACATTGCCCCTATGTTCATAATGGGGGTTATAAGGCCTGTGCCTTGGAATTGATGTGACAGTTAAATAACATATGGTAGCTAACAGAGCACCTAACATGGCACCTGGGGCTAGAACAAGGGCTAAGCAAATATGCTATGGCAGTGACTATTATTTCTGACTTCGGGAGATGTGGCTGATAAACCACAGGGGGACCTTGGGCAATCCCATTGGGCCTCCATCTTCCCATATGGGTGGCAGGAAGTGGCCCAGGTCCCTCCAGTCCCAAAAGCCAGTGAGGCAAGGTCAGCAGCTGCTTATCTGCCCCAAGGAGAGAAGGAGATGCCTTATCCTCTGGGGAGCCTGCCGTGTGGCTAGAACCCAGACAGATCACTCAGAAGCGCGTGGAAGCTCCCAGGGGCCTGTTGCCAGCATCTCAGAAGAGTCTCTGAGCATCCTCGGGCCTCTCCTGGTGCTGCTCATTACTTCTGTATTTCCAGGGGGCTGAGCAGAGGAGGCGGGGCTGGGAGGAAGGGGTTCTTTCCAGAGACTCAAAGGGCCCAGGATGGAGGTCCCTTTTCTGGGTTCCGGAGAGTCACTGTCTGGAAAGGGGCCTCAGGCTGGCTCCCCACAGCTCTGCTGCCTGCTCTATGCACAGAAACCTGCGAGGGGAGGAGCCCTGGGTCTGAGGTCCTGTATCCACCATGCTTTGTGTGTCTTTAGGCTAGTTATGTCCTTCCTTGTTGAAGTTTCCCATTCATCCATTCAGCAAATATGTCTTGAGTGTCACCTCTACTCCAGGCTCTGTCCTTGTCATTACAAATGTAAACAAATGGCATAATGTTTATGCTCCTTGGGGACAGGAAGATTACTGTGACTGGTAACTTTTCATGACAAAGGAGAACATCCAGGATGATTTCTAGATTTCTGTCTTGTAAAATGGTTATGCCAGAAGGTGGGAGGGACACCCTGGAGAGGGAGCACGTTTAGGGTATGAGGAGATGACAGTTTCAGTCTTGGACAGGTTGAGTTTGATGTATCCAGAGGACAGCTGTGGAGGACCAAGGGGAGTTGGATGGAGGGGCATGAAGCTCATGGGAGATGACTGTGCCAGAGATAGAGCATGGGACAGAAGAAGGGCCTGCCTGGGCTCACTATCCCAGTTTCTCCACATCCCTCTGTGGTGGTGACAATGATGATGATGATAAGAATGGTGATGAAGGCAATGGTGATGCTGGTGGTAATAATGACAATGATAATGATGATGACAACTGGCATGTATTGATGGCTTCCTTCGTGCCAGACATGCCCCATACCAAGTGGTTTCCATGCCACCTTCCATTTAATGATCAAAACAGCCCTGAGGAGTCAGCCTTAGTACCCCTATTTTCAGAAAGAATTGAAGCTGAGCGGTGGTCATCTTTGGCTGAGTTTCCTAGAAACAAAGACAGAGAGAGAGAGAGAGAGAGAGAGAGAGAGAGAGAGAGAGAGAGAGAGAGAGACTGAGATTCAGATGTGTGGGATTTAAGGTCTTGCTCTGTTGCCCAGGCTGGAATGCAGTGGTGCAATCATGGCTCACTGCAGCCTCAACCTCCTGGGCTCATGTGATCCCCCGACTCAGCCACCTGCGTAGCTGGGACTACAAGTGTGAGTCACCATACCCAGCTAATTTTTGTATTTTTTTGTAGAGATGGGGTTTTGCCATGTTGCCCAGGCTAATCTTGAACTCCTGGCCTCAAGGGATCCAAAGTGCTGGGATTACAGGCATGACCCACCACGTGTGGGATTTGTTGACACAATCCGGGAAGGGTGAGGGCAGCAAAGGGGAGCAGGAGAGGGAAGGGGACAGGCGAGAGGTGAGTCTGTGGCATGAGCTGCACAGCAGGCACAGCCAGGCCTCTGATCCCCACCCCAGGCACTGGCCTCTCAAGGCATCCCCTGGAGACCAGCAGCCACACATCCACTTTGGCATGGGTGCACACAGGTACAGGGAGCAGCATCCTAGTGAGAGAATCTGCCACGTTCCCAAAGCTATGGAGGGCTGAAGCCTAAAAGACAGAGCTTGGGGTAGCCTTGCTCAGGCTGATCCTAGCAGGTATTCAGGAGATATTTGTTAAATGGAGCCTGGAACTTTCTAGGAGTCCTGACCTAAGGGGTCTCTTTGTCTTGCTTGTCCCAGAGCTTGGGATCTTCGAATCTCTGGCTGGGATGCACCCCAGAAAAAACACTTCCAGTCTGCTGGGTCTCCAGCTTCTCTCCCTGTGTTGCCTGGGCCATAGCCCAGTCCTCTGTCACGGGAGTCCTGAGTGGCTGCCTGAGGTGGGGCGTGGAGACTGTGCCTGAAGGGGAGGGGCTGTCAGGACAAGAAGCCAGAGGCAGGGGCAGCTGGACAGACTCTTCCAAGGCCTGGGAACACCCTCACCCCTAGCTGCTGAAGGGAAAGGGTCTCATTCACAGGTGTAATGTCCAAGGTCCCCTGGCTGGTGAGCGCTAACCAGGCTCTCAGCGTCTGAGGGCCTCTGAGGGGCTGTGAGGGTCATTGCTGGTCTGGCTGAGTGTGAAGAGCACTCCTGGCTAGAGGGGTGTCTCCCATCTCCTCTCTGGGCCTGTGCTTGGAGTGTCTGAGAGTGTGTGTGTGAGAATATGAGTGTGAGAGTGTGTGAGTGTGCATGTGTGTGTGAGAATGTATGTGTGTGTGTATGAGAATGTGTGTGTGTATTAGAATGTGTGTGTGTGTGTGTATGAGAATGTGTGTGTGTATGAGAATGTATGTGTGAGTGTGTGTGCACACACACACACGTGTGTTCTCTCTCTCTCTTTGGTCCATGCCTCTCTCCATTTCTCCTTCAGTCTCTTCTCCCTTTCAAAGCTATCTTTCTCCCAGCCCCATTCCGTATTACTCCTCTTTCTCTCTTTCTCCATCTTCCTCTTTTCTTCTCCATGATTCTGTCTCCTTATCTCTGTCTTCTCTCTCTCTCCTGTTTCCCTTTCTGCTTCCATCTCTTTCTCAAATTCTGTCTCTCTCTGTCTTTATCTCTCAGTTACTCTGTCTCTTTCTTTCCTTCTTTCCCATTACTGCTGATGCTGTGTGACTGGGCAACTTGGGCTTCAGGCAGGGACTAGTGACACTAGTCATAGGGCTATAAAGGTCTGATAGGGCTGGATCACAGGGACCTTTGTGGCTATGGGGTAGCGAGGCCTTGAGAGCAGCCCTCCAGGCTCTGCAGCCTTGGTTCCTTGGCTGCCCTCCTTGCCAGGCAATGCTGATTCTCCTCCAGAGGGCCAGGCTACATTTGCATGTGTGTGTGCATGTTGGGGGCTTATGTGTGTGAGGGGAGAGGCTACCAAGCTGGACCCTGCAGCTGGGAAAAAAAGAGCCAAGAGATGCAGCCGCTTCCAATGGATGTGTGCTCCACCCCATCCCCAGCCATCTTGGAGCTGTGATTCCAGACCAAACTCCACTTAAGACAACAGCCCTTGGTCTACTCTATTAAAGATGGCAGGAGGGACTCAACAAAGACCAAAGTCAAGGATGGTACCAGACAGCCAGTTGGAGATAGATATGCAGTTATGGGCATCAGGCAATCAGGACCAACAGTACAGGAGGGGAAAGCCTTTGTACCATCCCGACTGATGCACTTATTCACAGATGGAGCCAAGCCCAGAGAGGGAACTTGCTGAAGGTCACATAGTGAATTATGGCAAACCCAGGGACAGAAGCCAGTGCTCCCAACTCTGTTTTGCACAGCTGGCAGAACCTGTCTCCCACCCCTCACCTCCCACTCCTCGGAAGGTGTGGCTTTCTCTCTCCCTAGCAGTTTCAGGCCCCTTCCTAAGGCTGCAGGCAGAGCCCTGGGGATGGCTGAGCTAGTCAATCCTCCCCAAATGCCATCTCCTTTCCAGACCCCACCCTGCCAATATTGCCACACCCAGCTATTTACTTATTAATTTTGGGGGTTCTCACTCTGTCACCCAGGCTGGAGTGCAGTGGTGCAATCATGGCTTACTGTAGCCTTGACCTCCCAGGATCAAGAAATCCTCCTACCTCAGCCTCCCAAGTAGCGGGGACTACAGACACATGCCCACCATGCATGGCTAATTTCTAAATATTTTTAAGAGATGAGGGTCTCACTGTGTTGCCCAGGCTGGTCTCAAACTCCTGAGCTCAAGCAATCCTCCCACCTTGGCCTCCCAAAGTGCTGGGATTACAGGCATGAACCACTGCACCTGGCTACACTCAACTTTAATTTCCCCAAGGGCCCCAGTGCTCAGATCTTATTACCTCCTTGTTGACCCCACAACCTATCCCTCTGCTGATACAGTTTGGATGTCACCTCCAAATCTCATTATAAGTCTCATGTAATCCCCAGCATTGGAGGTGGGGCTTCGTGGGAGGTGTTTGGGTCACAGGGGCATATCTTTCATGGCTCGGTGTGTCCTCACGATAGTGAGTGAGTTCCCACCAGTTCTGGTTGTTTATAAGTATGTGACACCTCACTCCCAACTCTCTCTCTTGCTCCTGCTTTCGCCATGGCTTGTGCCTGCTCCCGCTTTGCCTTCTGCCAGAGTAAAAGCTTCCTGAGGTCTCCCTGGAAGCTGAGCAGATGCTGGCGTCATGATTCCTGTACAGCCTGCAGAACCGTGAGCCAATTAAACCTCTGTTCTTTATAGATGGCCCAGTCTTTGGCATTTCTTTATAGCAACGCAAGAAGGGCGTAACACATATGCCGTGCCCCATTCCTCCAGGGCCCAACTTGTGTCATTGTCAGCAGGGAGCCAGGCAGCTACTCCAAGAACTCGCCCAAGATCATGTGCAAATCACTGTGTATGGGGTGATGATTGTGGGTGCTCATCTGTATGCTGCTTCCTGCATCCCCAGTGCCAGCGGGTGGTCAGCCCTTTAGATGTTCTGGTTGCTGGAGTGGAAAGGGCTGAAAGCCGGAGCTGTGTGATGTTAAGTCTTTTGTGTGCTCAGTGAGAAGATGGGGGTCCCAGAGGGGAAGAAGAGAGGCCGAGCACCTCTGAAGCAAGGAGAAGAGGAAAGGGGGCAGGTCCTTAGATTTGTGGGGAACACGTAAAACCTCAGGGGAGGAGGGGATGCTCCATGGTGTTCCTAGGCAGGCTAGACCCAACATATTTATGTTCCAGCTTCAGTAGAGCTTCCAATGTCCGAGGCATGTCACCAGGTCACTGGACATAAAGGGACATCTGGCCCAATGAGCACCTCAGGGGCCACAGATGGGGGCAGAAGGACAGAGAGACTTCTAAGAACGTGGTATACTGCATAAGACCCCAGGACTTTTGCATAACCAGGGTAGGGGCTGTAAGGGCGTCTCCATACTGACCAAGATGAATTTCCTACCAGCATGGTGATAAGTAAACTCAAAGTGGAATGTTTAGCTTATCCGAAGGAAGTAAAGGAAGGTCATATTTCATGTACCCTGAGTTGTGGGCTGAGATTTAGCTCTCGGGCATGGTGAATATATGGATAAGACAACGAAAAAAAGAATGGAGAGTCCCTGTCTCCCCTGTAGCACATTAGAGTCTTTCCAGAGACCTTCACCTAAAGGAGCACCTCCTATACATGGGATTTCCAACAGAGGTAGGCCATGGGCTATTTTGAGGCCGAAAGGGCCTCTGAATCACCCAGATATGGCTATTCTGGTGCTCATTGGGTCCATCAGGATGAAAACGGTAAGGACTGAGTCCAGGGACAAGCCCACCTTCTCTGCTTTCTTGGATTCTGAGTTCCCTGGGGGGCCATTACACCCCAAGGGGACATATTTACTGCCTCCTTTCTCCTGGCCCATGGGAGTGGATGCTGATAGAGAGAGGCTGAGGCATTGGTGCCAGCTGCTGCAGCATCCCGGCCCACACCTGGTGACGCGGGCTGTGGGGAGCTGCTCAGGGCTAGGTGAGGGCCAAGTGAGTATCTGGCCAAAAAAGTCAGGAGGTGAGCTGGGCTCTGGGAGCCTTGGGCCATGGACTGCTGCCCATCATAGCTGGAGGAGCGGTCAGCTGGCCACACGGGGCTCCTCCACACGTAATCCCTGCCGGGAATGAACGCCCCCTTGTGCAAGATCCTTGTCTGCCTTGAAATAGGTCACAGAGTTGAAGGATCACAGAAATCCTAGCCTCAGAAGCATGGAATCATAGAAGCTGAAAATCAGCACCAGGCAGGATTCCAGGTTTTCTGAGCTTCTGAGCTCTGGCATCAAAAGGCATTAGAAGTCTAGCACTTTTGGCATAAAATTTTATGGCTCAAGTGATCTAGGAACCACAGACGCCATAGAACCTTGTACTTGGATGACCCTTGAAGATTCTCAAGTCAGATCGACACCCCGATGCAACATTCCCTTTTAGAAATTTCCAGAAGGTAGAGCAAGGAGGTTATAGCAAGGAAGGACAGGACACAGGAGGTTTCTGTGTGGGATGATTTTAGGAGTTCTGGGTCAAGATTCCTGACCCCGAATGTCTTTGTCAGCGGCTATCACTGAAATTCCTCCGTCGGCTGTTCTTCCTTTGGATCTTGCAAATCCATTAATCTCCAAGGATCTGCTGGGCCATAAACCCCTCCCTGGGTCAGCAGTGCTCTCAGGGCCTCTTCTGCGTGGCCTTGATGAGCAGAGCAACTCAAGATCCAGATGGCAATGCCAGGCCTCTTCCCAGCCCCCATCCTGGGGGCCCTCTCCCTGCCCCCAGCACCATCTCCCACCCCCCAGGGCCATCTCAGGGTCCTCCCTTCCTTTGCCTTGACCACCCAGCTCTGGGCAGGAAACCAGCCGCCTGGGAGAGGCTATTCCAACAGTTCTGAGGCTGGCCGTGGTGGTACAGTGTGGTCCTACCTCTAATCCCACCACCGCCTGGGGGCAGGCGGCATGGGCAGCAGCCTATAATTTGGGGGTGAGAGATGGGACACCCAGGTCAGCTTTGACCACAGGGTCCCCAGAGGAAGGGAGGGGTCCAGGGTCTTGGAGAATCAAAGCCTTCCTCTCAACTCCCTTGGTAATCATGAAGATGAAAATATTTATGGACAATTTTCCTCACTCTGGGGACAGGCTGAGCATAGAACACGGCTTTTTTTCCCCCTGGCTATGGCTGATCTCTCAGGATGGCAGGAGCTGGGACAAACACAGGTTGTTTACCAGGTCTACAGAAGCCCCAGAGAGACACGGCCACATACAGTTTCCCCTTTTTTAACAGGGACGTGAGCCTCTGGAAAGATGCCCAGAGGAACAAGGGTGAGTTTCTATCCAATGTTAGCTTAATTCTTGATGGGATTGAAGGGATTTTTTTTTTCTCCCTGAGAGATGGGGCGAGTGTGTTTTGGTGAATAACATGTTTCCCATAATTTGTCTTTTGAAAACACAAGGAAATTTGCGTATGTGGCTGAAACAGCCTGGACAGAGAGCCTTCTGGAGAGGCTGGTCCTTCATTTCCTCACCGTGTCAAGCTGCTCGAACTCAATAAACACTTGTTGACTGAATGAATGGGTCATAGAAATGGTAAGCTGGAGCTGGAAGGAAGGCCCCGTGGAGATTCTCTGGGCCAAACTACTCAGGTTTCAGGCAGGGAAACTGAGGCCCAAAGAGGAGAAAGGGACGGAGACTGCGTACAAGTACAGATGTATACAATTATAGATTACACCTTAGAATGAAGATAAGGGCAATAATGATAGTAATAAAAGTCTTTTTCTGAGTATTGGGTGTTTTCCAATTTACCAAAAGCTTTTTCACTGGCCAGACTTCCAGTAAGACTGTGGAGGAGGCAAGAGAAAGATTAGAATTATCTGCCTTATGGACCAGGAGAGAGAAGCTCAAAGATGTCAAGCAATCTGTCCGCTCAGCCAGAAAGGGGTGATGTGAGGTTCAGCAAACAAACCAGGCTGTTTTCCATCACTCCACAGACAGACACCCATCCTGTGAAATTCACTCCCCACCCTGAAAGGAGGGACCTACCTAAGCCTGAGTTTAAATCCCAGCTCTAACACATATGAGCTGTTGAAAGAGCTCACTGCACCCATTTAAGCCTCAGTTTTCCTAGCTGCCATATGGGGCTTGTACTCCGCATCTATCTCCATGGCCTCATGAACTGGCATGAGAATAGCATTCGAGAATGGATATGAACCCTCCTTGGAAATTGTCAAGCAGGGGTCGGGGGTCCTGATGCTAGAATGATGATGTGTTAGTGGATCCCTCTGTCCATCCAAGGGAGACAGTGTTTCAATTCCAGCTCTTGAGATAAAAATAGCTTTAAGGGAGGATGGGGGGAGCTCCCTAGGATATCTGGGCAGGGTAAAAATAATCCTCAAGAACAGCTGGCTCCTTTCCTCCACTTTGGTATTCACCCGCAGTCTTCTGATCTCTTATTTGGTTTCCCAAGTCGACCTACCATCCCAGGCAAACAATCCTCCTTGTTCTGGGGCCAGGCAGTGGCAAATATATTCCAAGCTCCGGGAGTAGAGGCTTTGGAAGCAAGAAATATGGGTCCCATCCCAGTTCTGTTTACAACTCACTGTGTGGCTCTAGGCAAGTCATTCTGAGTCCTTTTCCCACAGGCCTCGTCTTCCTCAGTGCAGGGCTGGCCAGTAGAACTTTCTGCGAGGATGGAAAGGTTCTATATCTGTACTGTATGCACGGTAGCTACCAGGACTATTGAGTACTTATAATGTGGCTAGTGCAACTAGGAAACTTAATTTCTATTACTTTTTAATTTTCAGGAATTGAAATTTAAGTAGCTACATGAGACTAGTGGCTACTATATTGAACAATGCAAGTCCTTAATATAAGGATGAGAAAAACACCTGCCCCCTCGTCCTGGGATGAGAAGGACCCCTAATGTGTGCATAGAGCTTGGCAGATGAGAGATGCTCACTGCTTCTTCACTTCCTTCTCCTCTCCTGACTCCTCCAAATGAGATGAGTGTCTTTGAGTGGAAGAATTTCCCTTTAGAGACATTCAACTCCCCTGTGGACACTGGCTGGAGAAGTGGATGAGTGGTAGGGGGAGAGACCCTGGGAGCTTCTGTGATGGACAGGCTCGGAGAGCAGAGGACAAGGCCAGCTCAGAGAAGGACAAAAATGACTGCATCTGCCAAATCCCACCTCTATTTTTGGTGTTTACAGGCACTAGTGCTGGAAAGGGGCCCATCTTCGAAATTCCTTTTCTTTGCATAGAGTGGTTAAGATCATGGGCTCTAGAATCAGATGGTTCTAGGTTAGTGTTTCAGTTCCATTAGTTACCAGCTGTGAGACCTTGGGCAGGTTGCCAGCTTCTCTGCTACTCATCTGTAAAAGAAGCAGAATAATGTCTACATCTGAGGATTTTGTGAGTAATCAATGAGCTAATATGTGCAAAGCTCTTTACAGGAGACCCGGCAGATATCAAGTGCTTAAAAAACAGATGCCACGGCCAATCTTATGTAAACAGAGCCTCTTAACGTCCACGCCCATGCAGACCAGAGTCCAGTGAGATGTCTGCAAAGCCCATGATTCCACATCTCCAGACAATCTCTTTTTTGGTGGTCTTCAGAGTGAGGCAGTGACCACACACAGAAACAAGTCCTGGTATCCTCAGACGGCAGCTGACCCATCAAATTTGACACTTGGAAGCCATCCTGAAGTTTCTAGTGCTTGGATCTCCTTTCCATTGCCCTTGCCAAATGGAAATCTCCTAGGACTCATCCAGAGGCAGGAGCTCTGAGGCCTGGGGGCTCAGGGATGGCTGCCTCTCTGCGACTTCTCACCCCTGGTCCTGGTGGAGTCTCCACTTTCCAGACTCATTTTCCCTTCATTGTTTCCCCAGGCTGGAGGCGTCTGCAGATCAGCCCTGGTCAAAATGCCCAGCACAGGAGCTGGCTTCCATAGGTCAGGGGCAGAGTAATCTTTGCTGAACTGGAAGAGCTAAAACTCAAAAACTAACACCTGTCCCTGGTTAATAGCCAAGGATGACTTTCATCAGTGTGTCTTATTTTGTGGGCAAAGAAACTGGGTGATTGGTTCATCCATCTGCTCATCCACTTCCTCACTGGACAATAGTTACTAAGCACCTACTGTGTGCCAAGTCCTAGGAACACAAAAATGGATTCCTGTCCTTAAACTTCACAAGTTGGTGGGGGAGACAGCTATACTGAAATTAATTGTAACAGTGTGATATGGGCTATTAGGTCAGGACTAGGATGAGAAGAGGTGAATAAGACACTTACCTCAGGGTCAAATTCAGTGTGGTGCCAAAATCCAAAATCTCAGTAAACAAGATAAATAATATTTTAATACCGTTTTTTTTTTTTTGAGACGGAGTTTCACTCTTGTGCCCCAGGCTGGAGTGCGATGGTGCAATCTCGGCTCACTGCAACCTCCGCCTCCCAGGTTCAAGCGATTCTTCTGCCTTGGCCTCCCAAGGAGCTGGGATTATATGCGCGCGCCACCACATCTGGCTAATTTTTTGTATTTTTGGTAGAGACGGGGTTTCACCATGTTGGACAGGCTGGTCTCAAACTCCTGACCTCAGGTTATCCACCCCGCTCAGCCTCCCAAAGTGCTGGGATTATAGGCATGAGCCACCGCGCCCAGCCGAGATCAAACTTTTAAATGAAGACAGGATCAGTGTTATTAATTTTTCCTTTTGCTTCAGGCTCCAACATGGCTTGGCATGGCACTGTATTATGAGGGCTGTATGGGGGTGTGGCTGCTGTGAGACAGAAAAGACATCTGATCCAGTCAGTGATGTGCTGGAATTGGCCCAGACCAGCTGGCACGCCTCTTCCCAAATTTACTCTCAAAGACTGCATGTTGTCAGCTCAAAATTGGCCACGATGGGCATCTTTACACCATGGAAATTGGCAGATGCTAAAAATAAGGACTTTTTCCCTCCCTTTTCAGAAAGTTGGCTGTTAAATATTTACCAACACACTGCTATATGCAGCCTGCAGTGGGGTGGGATGAGGCAGGTGTGGGGGATTTAAGAAAGGTTCCCCAGAGGAGATACTTTCTGACTCTTGCAGAATAAAAATCTAGAAAAGGAGAGAAAAAACATCCCCCCTACCCTAGCCAAAGAAGGAAATTAATATGCAAAGCACCAGAGGAATGGGAAAACCTGTATTTTATTTAAGAAACTGCAAGGAGCTGAGTGTAGCTGGAATGTGTGATGCTGTGGAAGAAGGAAGTTTTGAGGAGGCCACGGCACCAAATCATGACCCCAAATTGAGCAAGATCTGGGTCTATGCTCAAGGGATTCGACTGTAGATCCAGTGGAGAAGGAGGGAGGGAGCTGCTTCTGAATTGTCCACAGTACTGGCCTAGGTAAGAGATGGAAGTGTGAGCTAATAAATGTTTTTAGAAGGAGTTTCGCTCTTGTTGCCCAGGCTAGAGTGCAATGGCTCAATCTTAACTCACCGCAACCTTCGCCTCCCAGGTTCAAGCGATTCTCCGGCCTCAGCCTCCCGAGTAGCTGGGACTACAGGCATGCGCCAGTATGCCTGGCTAATTTTGTATTTTTGGTAGAGACGGGGTTTCTCCATGTTGGTCAGGCTGGTCTCAAACTCCCGACCTCAGGTGATCCGCCTGCCTCGGCCTCCCAAAGTGCTGGGATTACAGGCGTGAGCCACTGTGCCCAGGTGCTAATAAATGCTTAATACCAGGGTCTCTGGGGGGAAAAGAGCCCTAATTAATAGCATTTGCTAATTTCTGAGGTGTAAATACTCCCATCACAGCCTGTTTGAAGCTACCTTGGTGAGGTCACTAAACACCAAGTTGAGAAGAGGTGCTTGGTAGCGTGTCATTATATTGAATTTCCACCCCCACACTTACAGTAGATGTAAATAACTTCAAGCCTATAGAAAACAGTAAAATATAGTAAAATAACTTGAAAGAGATGAGTTTGGGGTATGTATCACTTTTACTTTTAATATAACTGACCTAATTGTAAGTTTACACAATTAAAGTTTTAATAATGGCTTGTTTAACAGCAGCTCACACGATTCTTGAAAATTTAGCCGTCTGTCCTCTTGAGCTTATTCCAGGTTTCTCCCCCTGGGAGAAGGGATTTTGGTCCATTTCTATGGAAGTGCTGGGGGCTCTCAGATGTCCTGGGCTTCATTTTACTAACCCGAGGGACTAGAGCAGGTTTACCATGAAGTCCTAAGGATCCCACACATCCAAGACTCTGGGTGGCTTCCTGGGATAAGGCAGCAGTCCCCAGGACACCAAAGTTAAGAGCAAATGCTTCTCAGAGAGATTTTCATCCAGGAAAAAGAACAGTGTGATGCCAGCTTTGGCATAATATTTCATGTCCTCATCAGCTGTTCACTTCAAGAATGCTGTTTTATTCGGAAGCCACTGGCACCTAAACCATCTGAGAAAACAATAATAACGATAGTAGTAATAAATACAACCTATATTTATTTGACTTTTTCCATGCACTAGACACTGTTCTAACTGCTTCATATATAATAGCTTACTTAATCGTCAAATCCTAGGCACAAGGTAGATATTATTATTAAGATACCAATGTAAAAGATGAGGATGCTATTATTATCATCACAATTCAAAAGGTGGAGAAACTTGGGTACAAAGAGTTAAACAGCACACCCAAGACCATAGAGCCAGAGATGGAAACTGGGATTTGCACCAGGTAGCCTGCTATTAGCTACTATCCACATGGACCACAAGGGCGGCAAGAGAGAAGGAAAGTGCTTTTGCAGTCCAAGGCAACCAGAGGAGACCCCATTAGCTTGAGGGGCATATTGTGCCAAGATCAGCTGGATTTGACCTGATAGCTCACCTCCCAGGGACTGGTGAAGTTGGGAGAAATGAATAGTTACCATGGACGTGCATGTCAGTTCCCCCAATTTTGTAGGTGAGGCAAAGGCTCAGAGAGGTAAAGGGAGTCTGTTTCTCAAGGTCCTATGGCTACTATAAGGTGGTGCTGTGTGTCAACTTGGCCGCACCCTGCAACCAGCCTCAGGCAATGGGCTTCATATGAAATCATAACCCCTCCTAGATATCTGGATAGGTGAGACCCCAAATAGGAATCTGGTTGCAGAAATACCCCTCAATGATACATTAGCCAATCTAAGAGGGAGAGGAGTGGTATTGCCCACCTCTGATTACCTATTAGAGCATTTGTTGTCATCTCTCTTTCTAAAAATTTTTTAAAAAAATATTTTGAGACAGAGTCTTGTGCTGTCACCCAGGCTGGAGTGCAGTGGTGTGATCTCGGCTCACTGCAATCTCCGCCTCCCAGGTTCAAGCGTTTCTCCTGCCTCAGCCTTCTGAGCAGCTGGAATTACAGGCATGCACCACCATTGCCTGGCTAACTTTTGTATTTTTAGTAGAGACGGGGTTTCACCATGTTGGCAGGCTGGTCTCGAACTCCTCACCTCAAGTGATCCACCTTCCTCAGCCTCCCAAAGTGCTGGGATTACAGGCGTGAGCCACTGCACTCAGCCTGTCATCTCCCATTTGCTTGTATAAACGCCTGAGGCTGTGGTAGGATCCTGCCCTAAGGATAGCAATTAGGGCTTGGCTGCAAGGAAGGCCCACAGGACTCAAAATGACAATGTGTACACACCTACAGTTCTTTCAGGAAAAGGGTACAACATTGCAACTGCATTAACGTAAGAATCTGCTTCACAGCTAAAGACCACCTCATAGCAAGGGGTCTGGAGAGGCCAGGCGTGAGCCCGCATTGTCCTCCCCTTGAAAGGCCATACCAATATGCACTTCCTCTCTCAGATCAGAAGCACAGACGTGAGTATGGAATACCTAGAACCCAGGAGCCCCACATGGGAGTCTCACCTGAAGTTTTTCATTCCTGTTTGGTCATTTGAGGTATATTCTTGCTACGAAACCAGCGCCAGTGGCAGTTCCCTCCAGGGGTCTCACGAAGGCCAGGTACAAATTGTTAGTCCCTTGTTATTAGAAAACAATGCTGACAAGTTGGCACGAACCACCCTGAAACTCCTCTAAGCAACACTATTTATCTGTATGTTTCATGCCTTAACAAGGTCATGCAGTCACAGACCCTTAAGCCACATATTCAATAAGCATTAATCCAGATAGGCGAAAAGGATAGATGATACTTAATAAGGACTCCACTCGGGGACAAAACTTTACTGCACCAGAGAAGGCACATGAGAAAATCTTAGGAGTTTCTAATGGTCATCAGCTCAGTGTGAATGTTGTGGTGTGGTCGTCAAAAAAGCTAACATGCACTCAGGTTGCATTAACAGGAGCATAGATTATATATGGGAGGAGGTGATAGTCTTGCTCAACTCTGTGCTAGCCAGATGCCACCCAAACCCTCGAGCTTTGCTGTGGTCACTTGGCAGTAGTTGGGTACTGACTGCAATGCGCTTGGAGGAGACAATGATGGAAGATATGAAAGGGGTACCAGATGAGGAGTGATTAGCGGAAGTGAGAATGCTGGGACTGGAAAAAGGAGGGCTTGTGGGGAAGGCAAGGGTGTTACTTTCAGAGAGTGACTGGAGCCACACAGTCAGGCTTCAGCTGATTCCAGAGTTGCATTTCTCGATAGTCACTGTAAAAGGAGCTCTAGCATGATAACAGTTGGAGATGCATCTGAAAAGCTCTTTGCAGAAATGGCTTCTTGGATGGGAGGCATAGTGGGGTGTGTGTGTGTGGCTCCTCTGTCCTCATTTTGTGACAAGGGGAAGCATCCAACTTTTCCTGGAACTACCCGCAAGCAGTAGTGTATCACATTGCGTGGTCTGGGCATGGGGTAATGAGGCAGCCAAGATCTTGGAGTGCAGATTGCAGCTAGAGGAGGGAGAATGATGTCTCTCTAACACAGTTGACTCTCCAATGTGGCTGACAGCAGATTTGCCACATAAGAGTTGACTGACCACATCATGGAACCAACCAGGCACTGGACTGGGTGAATTTTCAACTCTGAAATTCACTTAGTGGTTCCGTCACCGGCTGTCGCTGACTGGCTACTCCTTGCATTGTGAAGGGAATTCATCCCCTGCTTATGCGCGTGCGTGCACACACACACTCCCATACACACACACACGCACACACACACACACACACACACACACACAGGAGTCTTGGTATAGTGTAATGAACACTGGACTTAGGGCCACAGTTCTAGTCCCAGTTTTGTCACCTTGCTGCTGGCTGAACTTGGGCAAGACCCTTTGTTTTGGATTTGGTTTATTCATCTCTAAATCAGAGATGCAGATATCTGTCTTGTCAACCTGATGGGGTTGTTGCATGGCAACCCAAAATGCTAAATGTGACATTGTTTCAGCCATGAATGGAGGAAGGGATTATTATTTTATTATCACTGTCATTGCGATCCCCTGGTCTGTTTGGTACAGACCAAAGTTTTTGTTCCATTGATATATAAGCTAGGATGCTTTCAGCTGCCAGTGGGGAAAAGCTCAACTAAAAGTGGCATCAACAATGAGGGACACTTGTTTTGAAAAAGGTCAGTCCAACAGTGCCTAATTCAGCATCTCAATAATGTTTTTAAGAATCCCATTCTTTCTTTCCTTTTTTTTTTTTTTTTTTTTTTTTAAGATGGAGTCTCGCTCTCTTGCCCAGGCTGGAATACAGTGGCGCAATCTCATCTCACTGCAACCTCTACCTCCTGAGTTCAGGCGATTCTCCTGCCTTGGCCTCTCAGGCAGCTGGGATTACAGGCGTGCACCACCACGCCCAGCTAATTTTTGTATTTTTGGTAGAGACGGAGTTTCACCATGTTGGCCAGGCTGGTATCGAACTTTTGACCTCAAGTGTTCCCCCCACCTCAGCCTCCCAAAGTGCTGGGATTACAGGCGTGAGCCACTGCACCCAGCCAGGATCCCATTCTTTCTGCCTTTCCTCTTGGCCACCCTCAGTCTGTTGGCCATGGACCTAGGGCTTGTCACCTCATAGTGGCAAGATGACTGCAGCCTCTCCACACAGTACAATCTCATCCCCCAAAGTCCAAAGGGCAGAAAGGGACATGTCGCTGGTCTGTGTCCACTTGTAAAGGTGGGGAAAACTTTCTCAGAAGGCCTCAGCATATGCAATTCTTCTCATATCTCAGTGGCCCGACTGTGTCTAGTGTCCATGACCAAGCCACTCACTGGCCAGAGGAAGGAGGCCACCATGCTAGGCTTTGTTCAAATAGGGTTCAACCCTTGGGGTTTGGGAGGGACACGGTCTCCACTGAAGGACAAAGAGGTTGGATGAAGATGAAACTCTGTTAGCAAGGACACAACAACAGTGTCCGCCCCTGTTGCAGGGATGTCCTTGGATGATGGTCAACCCACCCCCAGCTCTGCCTCTCTTCCCTCCCTCCTTCCTTCCCTGATTCTTCCCTCCCTTCTTTCCTTTGTCCATCTAAGATTTACTGAGGGGTTCTATGGACATAAGACATAGCCGTAGCCTTGCAGGGCTCCCTGTTGTATAGGTGTGTGGTGTACCAGGCAGGATGGGGGCTGGCATGGCAGAGCGGAGGGAACACCGAGACAGGACTCCAGTGAAGAAGAGCAGGAAGGGCATTTCTAGGCGGAGGTGGCCACAGGAGCCAAGGCCTGAAATCATCAGTTGCTTTCATCCCCACCCTGGGCTGCTGGGGGTGGCCCAGAACTCATCACTAATGGCTTGTCTGGTATAGCCAATGGTTCCGGACACATTACCGGGCAGAGGCCAGAGACCTTAACTTGCCACAGTGCTCACATCTGGAAAATGGATCTAATTCTTCCAAGGATGACTAACTGTGCTGAAGGCTGGAGAGACAGGTTTGACCCTCTGCGGTTAGACACAAAGGTGGGGGGCCCTGCTTCTTCACACCAGCCCCACCATTAACTTTGTGTGGCTTTGAGAAAATCATGAATGCTATCTCTGAGACTCAGTTTCCCCACCTGTAAAATGAGGAATTTGGGCTAGGCAGCTCCATAGGTTCCTCCAGGTCTGAAAAGTCTCACGGGGCCCCACATCTGGGTCAGTGTTGGCCACCATAAGTGGGCTTTGGATCTCACAGCCCTTTGCCACTTGGCCTAGCCCTTGGGAAATAAACCCAGAGAGGGGAAGAGGCAGAAGGGCCCAGATGGTGGGACCATGTGCCTAGAAGGTGCTGCCCTCCCAATGGTGGCCTGGGAGCTTCTTTGACCTCTGCCCTTATTCCTTCTGGTAGAGTGATTGTGTTTGGAATTTTGGCAGCCACCAGGCCAGAGTGACGTAGTCCTGCAGGCAGAACCCAGGCCCTAGGAGACCAGTGGGCCATGAGGACAGCCAGCACTGACTCCAGCCACCTGCCCTGGGGAGAGAAATGGGCCCACATTGCCTGGAGGGGGTGAGAGAGACACTATTAGAATCTGCCTCACTCCAGCCTGGAATTCAGTTCATTTTACCAAAATGCTTTGTCCTGGGTGTTAGGAATACCGCCATGAGCAGGGCAGAGCAGCTCCTGCCCTCAGGGAATGTAAGGTCTACATTTAACCAAGGAATTACAGGAATGAAAAGTCAGTGGGGACCCATTCTTGCCTTCCCATGGTTCTTCTGCTGAACGTGACTCACTCGCTCATTTCTTTCCCCCCATTCTTTCTGTCCTGCTTAAACATCACCTCCTCAGAGAAGGTGATATTTAAATAAAATAGCCCCTATTTAAATAAAATGGCCCCACTCATCATTCTGCCACTCCACGCCCTGCTTAGAGGTCTTCATAGCACTCATTACAACCTGATGTCATATAACAGATTTGTGTATTTCCTCTTCCTCTGTTAAGACAGATGCTTTGTGTGTATGCTCTTCAGTATATCTACAGCACCTAAAATCGGGTCTTCCATATGCTTTGGGTCTGCACGTGCCTAACAAATATCTGTTGGTGGGTGAGGGTCATCATGGAGGAGAGGGAGGAGGTGGCAGCGGGGGTTAACCTGGTCTAATCTGCTGAATTTACTTTCTTTCATGTTTTCATTCAGGCCTTCATTCCGTCATTCGCTCAGCACTTGTGGAGAACTTCCTATGTGCCAGGCACTGTGCTTTGTGTTGTTGTCAGAAGCTAAACAAGGCAGCCGCGTCCAGCAGGGACCACAGCTTGTATTTGCCAGTGGCCAGCTCAGGGCCTGATGCGTGACAGCATCTCCCTACCAGGGAAAGAATGACTCCATGGTTAGACATGTATTGTGTGCGTATCCTTTGCTACACGCAGGGTGGGGCCGCCAAATGAAAGAAAGACCCAGCCTGGTATGCCCACAGCAGTGCAGGGTATTGGAAAGACTGGCAGACTCTAGCTCTTCTCCTAGTGGGAGGAATCTGGTTCTCCTCCAAGCCCTGCAGTACCACTTAAACAGGCTTGATTTGAGGCAGGACTTCCTGACCTGCATTTTTTATCTGTCTTTCTCTTTGCTGGCCTCCTTCCTCAGACCATAGCGCTTCTAGAGCAGAAAACCCAGCCTGGTGCACAGTGGGTCTTCAGAAGCAGCTTGGTGGGTAAACGGACGTGGATTGATACTTGGGGCAGTATGCAACCTCTGTCCTGCAGGTTAAGACTTCCTCTAGGGCCAGGTGCAGTGGCTCATGCCTGTAATCCCAGTACTTTGGGAGGCCAAGGTGGCAGTATTGCTGGAGCCCAGGAGTTCAAGACCAGCCTGGGCAACAAAGTGAGACCCTGTCTCTACCAAAAAACAAAACAAAACAAAACAAAACAAACACTTCATCTAGTGGTTCATTCATAAATATTTTGTGAGCATCTACTGTGTGCCCAACATTAAAGCTATTGCAACCAACAGCTTCTCCTAAGGCAGATGTGCCACAGAGACCGATGGGTCCATGGCTGAGCTGCTTGAGCAGGGAACAAACTATGTGTTCCCTGAAAGTCCCCACCAGGCCAGGAATTCTCATCCTGAGGCATCTACAGAGGCCTGGCAGCCCCTGCCCACCTGGTTCCCAGGCTTACTGCCTTCTGCCCCATAGAAATGGGCCCCTTAGGGCTGTTTGGTGAGTGTGCTGTCCCCTTTGAAGGGTGGGTAATGGCTTGGTGTCTTCCAGATTCAACGTCCATCAGAACAGTTCATGCCCAGTCACTGGCTCTGCGCCAAGAACCTGCCTGGCAGGAAGACTGCTTGTGGGGAGACGGCAGAGGCAGGATACAAGGCCCTTCCTTGGAATTCTCCCCAGTGTCCCTGCCTCCTCTTCTCAGCTGCCCATGAGCTCCTGGAAGGCCATGAGCCTCATTTCCCTCCCGACCTAGCAAAATGCAGTTAGCCCTCAATATTCACATACATAATTGGATTTCTTGTTGAAGGACAGTCTCATGCCTCCAAGCTCAAAGGGCCCACACAGATCATCACGTTTGATGCACCTATTTTACAGATGGGCAGAGTGAGGCTCTGAGAGGGGATGTCCTCAATCCTTTTGGGTTCTCATAGCATTCTCACGGGTCTTTTGGGCTGACCTGGGTGAAGCAGGCAGCATTCCCTGGCACTAAGCCTTGCCTATTCACATTTGTGAGTGAAATTTGGAAAGGCCTTGGTGCTTAGCCACTGACCTGCTGCCTGCCTGACCTTTCAGGAAATGCAGTCCCTTGCCTGGAAATGGCTTTGTGGACAGTGAGTCGTGTGGTATCACCCACACAATACAGTGGGGAGAACTGGACAGTTTCCCCAGTTTCTCACTGGGCCCCACCGCCTCAATCCTCCTTCAAAACCTGCCTGAAATCCAACTCTGTCCTCTTGGTCTTTTTGTGACTCTTTCACCGGAGATGTCCTTCTCCTCTGTGGCTGCACATTTATCCAACACACCCTTTAAGATCCAAATGCCACCTCCTCCTGGGGGCCTTCCTCGGTTTCTTTCCATCCCTTAATCAGCTTCACAATTCAATTGATCTGCATCTCTTTGGTGGCATTTATCACATTCTCCTTATATTATCTTACCTTTATGCAGTTGCAGGGGGTTCTCCATGACATAGTGATGTCTGATGTCTCCCATCCAGACTCTCTTCCCTACCCCAAGTTGCTGTGCGTGTCTCCTGTCCACATTACAAATGCGTGCATGACCAGAAGGCAGGACCATATGGAAATTTTTGTCCCTGCCCCCACAGTGGCAGACCCTTTTCCCCCAGAGTCTTGTACAGGGGTTTGCATACTGTAGGAGTTAAAACAAATAACTTATTTAAATTACCAACGGTTTGAGCATCTATTGTATCCCAGGCTCCATGTGTCAGGCTGGGTGTGGGGACACAGAGATGGATCTGACAATGACAGCGCCATGTGATGTGTGCTGCAATCCCGGTGTAGGGCAGAGCAGCTCACCAGAGTCAGGTGAGCTCTGGCCTGCACCTAGAAGAATAACCAGGTTGTGAACAGGCAGAAAAGGGGCAGAGGGAGAACCTGGGAGGAAACAGTATGGAGAAAGCATCGAAGTAGTCAAGCTTACCTGAGCCTGGGTGCAGGTATCAGAGAGACTGGAGCTCAGGAGGCCGGATCTGAAGCTGGGGAGGCTGCTGAGGATCTGCACAGAACCCCTTAAAGCCTAAGATTTGGATCCTTATGACAAGATGCAGAAGTTTGGAGTTAGGTTACCTGGGTTCAAATCCCACCTCTACCACCTACCCGTTTATGTCAGCTTTCCCATCTGTAAATGGAGAGAAAAAAGCAGGCCTCCCTTAAACCCCAGCACTGTGTGGGTCAGGGTCTGGACTAGGGTGTGGCACATGCAGAGATGCAGCATACCAGGAGATGCCAAGAAAACTCAGCAACGGAGGTAAATTGCCCAAAGCAGTGCCCCAAACCCCTAAGTAATCAAAATAATATTTTAATTTTTTACTTTTAAAATATTTTTAAAAGTATCAAAATTAATGCAAAACCCCACAATGAACAAAATATCTAAAATGTAAATAAAGACAGGGTCTGCATGGTACCAAGTATGCAACTAAAAAAACATCAGTTATGATTGAAGAGGGAGTTCTCAACCTTAGGGGGCCGTGGACTTCTGAAAACCGGAGGAAAGCCCACGGCCCCTCTCCCCTGAAGAATGCACAAACATGCTCAATTTGTGCACAGTTTGGGGGTGTTCCTGCACTCCCTGGGGTTCGTGCACATGGAAGTTAAGAACTCTGGTTCAACATTGGGGGTGCGGGGGTGGCGGGGGTGGTTCCACGCGCCGGCCAGCAGCCTGCCAGTTCCCCAGTCCCGCGACTGGCCTCCCTCCTGGCAGCCATGGGTGCTCTGCCCTCTGCAGGAAGCAGCGCACAGCTATGCAGCTCCCCCAACCCCCCTACCTCCCCTCTCTCGGCTTGGGACTTTTCCTAAAGTTTGTTGAAACCAGACACCTTGCTCGACCGAGCCCGCGTGCAGCCAGGGTTTAAAAGGCCGCCTTCAGCGCCCCCTCCCCGCCCCCAGCGGAGACTTCAAAAGGCCCGGCGGGCGCCGCCGCCCCAGCACCTATGAGCCGCCCCCAGCTCTCGGAGCCCGCGCCGGAGCCCGTGGACGCAGAGCTGCCGAAGTTCGAGCGCAGGCGGACCGGGTCGGCGGCGCAGTCCCGCGCGCCCATGCCCCTCCCGGTGCCGCTGCGCTCCGCGCGCCCGCGCCCCGTTTAGGGAAGGGGACCTCGCCCCCCGCCCCCGCGCCCACGGCTGCGGGGACCCATGAATACAAATGCCGTTAGGCGCCGGAGGAAGGACCGACCGGCCAGCCTCGCACGTAGGGACCCAGTAAGTGCTTGGGGGCTCCTGGAGCGGTGCGAAGTGTTATATGCCTGTGTGTGCGCGCGCCTAAAGGTGTGCGCGTATGGGGAGGTGGGTACACGCGTGAGGAGTGAATGCGTGTGTGCACATGTGCGGTGGGCACTCTCGGAGAACTGTGTGCAAGTGAGGGTGTGCGCGCGTGTGTCCACCCGGGGTGTGTACATGTGTGGGGGCGATATGGCCAGGATAGCGTGCATTTGTGCCTGTGTAAGCATCCGTGTGCATGCTTCTGCGAGTGTAGAGTATCAGCGTGCGCCTGAGCCCAGATATCTGAGGATGCGTTTCGTGTGAACCTAGGAAGGGTGCGTGGCTGTCCCAGAATGGGACCGTGTGTGAGCGTGTGTCTGAGTTTGGGGAAAGGGTGGATACGTGTGGGAGTGTGTGTGTGCACCGGTGAATAAGTGTAACTTTGCTCGTGAACGAGTGGCAAGAGGTGGTAGAGGCGGAGGGAGCTGTGGTCCCAGGGCTGGACTGGAGTTTTGGGTGTGAGAATTTGCCCGGGGGCCAAGGTGTGCAGCTCTTAGCTCCCGGATGGGATCCGAGGGAGTTTTTGTCGATTCTGGGGAGGTGCGTGGTTAGTGGTGGTGGTGGGGTGCGGTTAGATTCCAATTGCTGACAGAAGGGAGAGAGAGGGTGGCAAACCCTTAACAAGCCCACCCTATATGTTCTCCAGGGCGCTCCGAGTCTGGGAGCGCAAACTTTTGGTGGGCGGTGGGGATCACGATACTGGTTGTCGTGGGCGTCTGGACACCAAGTTCTGGTCCTAGCTCCGTCCCTGAAACTGTGGGTTTCTTCCAGGAGTAGAATTTGGCCCTTCTCCCCTACCCCAACCCCCCATTGGAGGACCCCCAGCCTCACCAGTCAGAAGTTCCTAATCTCAGAACGGTGATCAAATCACCGTGAAGCCCTGGGCAGCCCCTTCCTCTCTGTGAATCTGTTTCCCCATCTATACAAGGAGGAGGGGGGCGGGTGTCCCATCGGGGCTGTAGTGGGCCAGCTGAGGCTGTACCCTTGGCTCCGGCCGGCAGGGGGCAGCAGGGGGCAGCAGAGGGCGGCCGGGAGCGGGGAGGAGGGAAGGTGGAGAGCCACCGCGGGCCGAGACTTTAAATCGCCTTCATTTCCCCCAAATCCTTCCTTTTCCTCTCCTCCCCCAGGCCGGCGGGGAGGCAGCTTCCACCGCCCTCCGCGCGCCCTCACCCGGCCTTGCTCTGCCTCCGGGGACCGCCAGCAGCCCGCCTCCAAAAGTTTGATCATCTCTCTCTCTCTTTTTCTTGCTTCTTCTTCCTTTTTGGTGGAAGCAGAAAAGGACCGAGGCAGGGGCGAGCGCGGCGCCCGGACTCCTGGGACCATGGGCCTGGCGCGGGCGCCCGCGGGGCCCCAGCCGCGCTGCCTGCCTGCTCGGGCGCCCCTGGGCGCGGGGCTGCGCTGGGGGCGCGGGGGCCGCGCGCTCTAAGCCGGCCTGGCGCGGCGGGGCGGGGGGCTGGCGGCCCCATGGGGCGCGCCCACACTTGCCCCCCGGGCTCGGGAGCATGAAGTAGGGGCCTGCCATGGGAGCGGGATCGGCGCGGGGGGCCCGAGGCACAGCGGCGGCGGCGGCGGCGCGCGGGGGGTGAGTACGAACTCGGGGACGCCCCCTCCCTAGCTTCCTGCTGCTCCAATCTCGGGGAGGGCCGGGGTTCCCCGCCATGCGGTCGCTTCCAGCGGAACGTCAGCTTCCTGCCCCTTCCTGCGCCCCCGCGAGGCGGGACGCCAAGGGTTAATAGGGGCTGCGCCCCCGGCCGGGCGAGAGTTGGCGAACGCTGCCCGCCCTGCCGCGCCTGGCCCGGCTGCCCGATCCCGTTGGGGCGGGGGCAGAGCCAGCCCGGGGGTCGGGGGTGGGGGTGGGTGGTGGCGCCTGGAGCGGCCGGCGGGGTGCGGAGGGGGGCTTTTTGGATGCTTGGGGGAGGAGGGGGGTCTCCGTTTGGGGCCGTCTCGGTGTGTTCCGGTGTCTCAGTGTCTGCAGGTCCCAAGCCTGTACGTCTCCGTTTCTATCTGTTCTTGTGAAATTGTCCGCAAGTTTCTAGGTCACCAGGTCTCGGGTTCTGCTCCTGTCTCCGTGTCTGTGTGGCTCTGCACGTCCCCGCGTTTCTGGAAATCTCCGCGTGTTTGTGTTAGTCGGCCTGGGTCTGTGTGTCTGTGTTTCCTGCTTCTCGGTTCCTGTCCCTTTCACGTGTGTAAGAGAGAAAAAGTGAGAGCCAGCATGTCAGAGCAGAAAGGGCCCTGGGCGATCACTGTGCGGAACCCCTCAGTGTACAGATCGGGAGACAGGGCCGGAGAGGGGCAGGGACTCTCCCAGGAGCGGCTGCGCGGAGCTGGGGCCCAGAGGCTGGGATTCCCAGCGTGTGGAGTAGGAGTTGTAAGAGAGAGTGAGCCTGTGCTGGAGCCGGCGCAGCGTGTGGGTGTGTGTGGGAGCCAGCAGCATGCAAGCAGCCCGTTGGGGCCTGTGGACGGCGCTCCTCTCTTTCCATCCTGCCCCCAGGACACCAGGACACTCCCCAGAGGCTGTTAGGGCTGTAGCTGGGCCCTGCCCCCTTTGAGCTGGAGTCCGCGGGATGACACCCCCTCCTTTCTTCCCCATGTCTTGGAAAAAGCTGGCTGTTTGCGATTCCCCCGCCCCGCACCCCCTCACCACAACACACACACACACACACACACACACACATACGCGCGCGCGGCACCAGTGAGCACACTGCTGACTCATTTTCTCCAGAAGACCCTGCGCCAGGGTAGATGCCAGCAGTTGGGCAGAAAAGTGGTGCCAGGCGAGCACCCCATGGTGGGGCTCCAGCTGTGGGCAAGTGGGCAGTCAACACTGCTCGGAGGCCCAGTCTCTGCCTTCTCCTGCCTCCCTGCCTCCCTTGACATCACGTTGTCCTGCATCATGTGCGCTCTGGCGCCAGCATACCTCTGCTCTCCAGCATGCCTCTGCTCTCCAGCATGCCTCTGCTCCTGGACCCTTCTGGCCGGACCAAACTCCATGTCATGTCTATGGACACATCCCTGGCCTCTGCCTCCTTCTGTTTCCTCCCTGTACTCAGAACATTCTCCCTCTCCTGTGCCTCCACCAGCGCTGCGGACCCTCAGCAGCCAGCAGCCTCCTGGTGGTCTCTGTCCCTTTCTGAGCACACTCCCCTGTTCTTTGTTGGCATTTTCTCTCCTCCATCTCTGTCCAGGGACCCTCTTGATACCCACATGCCTGGCTTGGCTACGCAGAGTAACATATCCACTGGTGGTAGGGGACAGCAGTGAGACACTCACAGAATCATGTTGGTGGGAGGCAGGCGGCACCACAGGAGGGCCATGAGGCTTGCCATCAGGCAGGCTCGAGTTTGAATCCTAACTCTGCTGTGCCAGCTTGGGTGAGCCACTCTGCTGCTTGTTTTTCTCTTCCACAAAACCGGCACCTTATTCCTAGCTGGCTGGGTTTTGTGAAGATGAACAGGACCATGCTTGTAAAGGGCTTAGAACAGGGCCTGGCATGTAATAAGTGCTCAGTAAACGGCAGCTGGTATTTGTATTATTCCCTTCATGTTGAATGGGTGTGTGAGTCAATGGGAAAGTTCTGGGCTGCATCCTCTCCAGACGATGACCTGTCTGTGTTCCCATGGAGGACGTGGAAGCTGTGAAGAAAGCCCAGGCATAGCCGTCTGGGCACAGGGGGTCTGGCCAGTCCATGGAGGCAGGTGGGACAGGTCCACCCCACTTGATGAGCTGTAGTTCCAGCTAGCTCCCTTTTCAGCTTTTACCCCATGCGTGAACAGCCAAGCCTAGTGTCCACAGGGCCACTTTCCCTGTGTGTTTCTGTGGCCTGGGTCTCAGCTCAGAGCCCTCAGTGACTGTTGAAGCTGGTGTGGGTTTCTAAGATCCTGTGTGTTTCCAGGTAATAAGGATGGAAGAAAACTATCCAAGCAGTCTGCCGGTTCTGGCAGTGTGGTTACCCAGGAGTAGCCCCATTTGGTGCACTGGCAGAGGGCCTTTTGCAAGGGCATAGAAACACCTGGGTTTCCTCTTTGGAGGGCTGTGTGGCCAGACGATGTTTCCATGTGATGTTTCCTCGCGGCTCCCGTTTCGGCTGCCTCCTGGCCTCCCTGGCCTCTGTGCTCTGGTCTTCCTGACATTCTGGAGCCCTGGGTTTGCAGAGACAAGGCCCACAAGACAAGTGGTGAAAACAGAAGTCTGGAAGAACAAAGCCCTGAGCCAGCACAGGCACTAACCATGATTAGCAGTAGCCTAAACAGGATTGGAACGGGAGCAAAAGAATCGGCAGGGCCTCCCTCTGAGAGCCAACTTTCCAGGCCTGGAGCTGACTTAGATGGCTCGTTGGCTCCCTGGGTTGCATCTCTGTTCCTGCTGGTGAAGGCTGGGGCTCGGGTCTCTGGCAAGTAGGAAGTCCCTGCAAGTCTCCAATTTCTGCTCCATGGAGACAAGTCAAATGAAAAGGACTATCTGTTAAGTCATAGACTTGAAGCACTGTGTGACTTCGGGCAAGTAACTTGCCCTCTCTGGGCCTCAGTTACGCATCTTTTCAAAGAAGGGAGAGAGAGGACTAGAATCTGACCCCTAGATGATCTTAAATGGCCTTCTTCCACTCTGACATGCTCTATACTTGGGAAGTTTATGGGTCAAGTGCACACAGAATCCATTTCCAAGAGGGTCAGCTGCATTTGTCAGGGAGAATGAATGGAGGTTGAATACTTCTGTAATAGGCCTTCAGGGCTGAAGTCCTCAAGTTGGAAGCCATGGTGTTAGGAAGCTTAATTGAAGAGAAGATTCTGATTCCATGTCTCCTGTGGACTTCTTCTTCCTGATTTTCAGAGATTACAAGGATTTGCCCTCTAATTCTCTGCAGAGTAGTCATTTTGGTATAGCTGTAGCCAGGGAAACTGACCGAGAAGGACATGTGTCGTTTTTGTACCTTCTCTTCCCCACCTCGCCTTTCTTTATCAGTTTGGGAAACTTCCTAGGAAGTTTGGTATGTGACATAATCCAATGAAGGACTCAAGGAGTGAGGGCAGGTGCCAGACAAGGGCCAGGAAGAGAGGGGGCTGGAAGGAGATGGAACAGAAATAAATGGGATCGCAGGAACACAGGAAGGCAAGGGGTAGTCTCCTCTGAGGAGGCATTCATGGAAAAAATGATTCTAAATTTGGGGACTGCTGAATGACAGAAAGTACAGTCAACTTCTTTATTGCAGGATTTCTCCGAGCCTTTGATATACAGTTGTGCTTTCCGGATTGTCAAGACTGGGATGCAGGGTACAGCTCTTCCCTAATGTATCTGGCCAATTTCCTAGAAAGCATGTCCCTGGTGGGTGTGGGAAATACTACTGAAGAATTATGAGCCCAGACGTTGCCCAGGATGGAAGTACCTGCCTTCCCTGAGCCTTGGTATTCTCCGTTTGTGTAATTAAACAAAGCTGCCTTTTATTTCTCTCCAGGGCTCATGCTATTGCCATTTGCTTCAAGTAAGCAAGTCATGCCAGAAAGGTTGGCCCTGCCCTTCTCCCCAGGCAACCCCAGGGCAGCTTGACACTTTGACCTTTAGTCGTTGCCCATGGTGAGCTGGGGGCCTGGCCCCATGAAAAGGCATTCTCACAACAGTGGCAGCAGATTGGAGAGGATGAAGAGGAAGGACCAAGGATTATCTTGGAGCAATTCTGGAAAAAGTCAGAGTAGGGGAATTAAGGCTTTGGGAAGACACTTTTTAAAGTCTATTTTTTTTTTTTTTTTTGAGGCAGAGTCTCGCTCTGTCGCCCAGGCTGGAGTGCAGTGGCATGAACTTGGCTCACTGCAAGCTCCGCCTCCTGGGTTCACGCCATTCTCCTGCCTCAGCCTCCCAGGTAGCTGGGACTACAGGCGCCCGCCACCACGCCTGGCTAATTTTTTTGTATTTTTGGTAGAGATGGGGTTTCGCTGTGTTAGCCAGGATGGTCTTGATCTCCTGACCTCATGATCCGCCTGCCTCGGCCTCCCAAAGTGCTGGGATTACAGGTGTGAGCCACCGTGCCCGGCCGTTTTTTAAAGTCTAGAGTCCTGTCATATCAGGTGATATTAATTCATCTTATAAAAATATACTGGACACTTCCTGTGTGCCTGCCAGGGGCTGGAAATATAAGCCCGGCATGGTGGCACATGCCTGTAATCTCAGCTACTCGGGAGGCTGAGGTGGGAGGATAGCTTGAGCCCTGGAGTTCAAGTCTAGCCTGGGCAACACTGTGAGACTCTGTCTCAAAAAAAAAAATGAAAAAAAAAAAAAGAGTGAATAAGACAGGCATCCTTGCCCTTTAGAGACTTCGTCTAGACAGGGAAATAGGAGAGTAGACAATGACCACACATGTGAGACCTGCTGTAGTGTGGCATGTGCAGTGAGCTGCGGGAGGTGACACCCAAGCTGGGATCTAATGGATGTGTAGGAACTGACCAGGCAAAGGAGTAGTGTCTACATGATGGGAGTAGCATGTGCAAAAGCCCAGAGCTGGAGAAGGCGTTCAGGGGACCATCACTGGCGTCTGAGTGCTATTTCAGCTGGTTTACATTATGCTGCAAGTAACTGAAGACCCAACTCAAAATAGTTTAAACGATAAGGGGGGTTATTCCCATATCAAGAGGCCTCAAGGAAGAGCAGTACTAGGGTTGGTGAATTCAGCATCCCAACAGTGTCTTCAGACACCCACTATTTTTCTGTTCTGCTATCCTCACGTGCTCATGGGGCTTGTTACCTTATGTGCCCAAAATGACTGCAGCAGCTCCGAGCAGTATGTCCTTACTCAACAACATATAAAGACTTGAAGAAAACCTTCTCTGTCCCTTTGAAATGCTTTCCCAGGGTCCCTAACAGGCATCCCTCACCTCTTATTGGCCTCATTTGGGTCATATATGCATGCCTAAACCAGTCACTGGCATGGCAAATGAAATTCTCGGGATCAACTTAGATTTATCCAGATTCATGTAGGATCCTCTAAGTCCATGCCTACGTGAGCAAGCAGGAAGGAGGGATGCTGTGGGCATGTAATCACCAGTGTCTTCACCATGCCCACAGTGACAGAAGCTGTCGTCTAAGGTGCCCAGGGAGTCTGGGAAGAACCTAGGGTTCCAGTTATCAACCCTGGCAGACAGGTTTCCTAGATTATGTGATTCCACAGAAGCACACTATCCTAGCTTTCCTCTTGGAAATACATCCTGGGCCTGTCTGTCCCAGCCTTAGCCCTCACCACCCACCTGACACAGCTCTCTTGCCTGTGTCCCGCCTGTCTCTGGCCACGTGCCGGCCTCCCCTCTGCCTGCCTGGGGATCAGATACCCCAGGTGGCTTCGGGTGTCACTGGTGGCTGCTCCCACAGGAAGGTGAAATTGTATCATTGCCTTTGCCCATCTTGGCAAAAGCCACAGAGCAGAGCTTTAACCCTTCCTGGCCCTAGAGTGTAGGGACAGTGGGGACCATCTAGGGGAGTATTTTTGTGGCTGGCAGCAGACTGAGCCCTTGCCATGCATGAGCTTATTGAATCCTCATGCCCGGCCTGTGAGATAGGGAATATCAGCCCATGTTGCAGAAGATAAGACAGGCTCAGAGAGGCTGAGCAACTCATTCGGGGTCATACAGCTGATAAGTGACAAGGCCAGGTTTGCACGTGGCTCTGTCTAACTCCCCCTCGTCCCCTCTGTTTTCTTTCTCCCACTTTCCATTAGGATAAAGCCAAGTTGGGAGCTGCCTTCACACAGCACTGGTTCTGGTTAAGGGGTCTCCTCTCTCCTGCCCTGTGTGGGAATTGGTCTCCCAAGCAGTCCAGCCTGGTCTTCCCGCTGACCTTTCACCCCTGGCTCTGCTGCCCATTGGCTGGGGTCTGGGGAAGGGTCTAAAGATCATGAGGCTGTAGTACAGATGGGGAGACTGAGGCCCAGAGAAGGGGAGGGGCTGGCCCCTGGTTGCTCACTGAGTCAGCATCAGATTTTGAGCTGGACCCTAGATGTTCCAATGACCAGGGCAGGGCTTTCTATGCACTGCTTCTTCCCCGTTGACGTTGGCTAATTGATCTGTGAGAAGTGAGGCTGTGTTTGTCTATATAAGCAGGTCCTCACTGAGAGGCTGTGCCTGGAGGCCGGGAAGAGTGGGCTGCTGCTCTGATGGGGTCCTAGAGCCTGTACCTGGCCTCCTGCCTCCCGTGGGCAGGACTGGGGTGAGACTGGGACTGGTTTCCACTCCCAGCTTCCCCAGCCGGATCCGGGTGTGAGGGGTGGAAGCTGATGCCGCCTCTGCTTGTGTCTCCTGGTCTCTAGGGGGTTTCTCTTCTCCTGGATCTTAGTCTCGTTTGCCTGTCACCTGGCCTCCACCCAAGGAGCTCCTGAAGGTAATTCTCTCTTCTCTTTGTCCAGGGGGAGACAAAGGAGAACGGAAGGGGCCTGAGAACTCAGGGGTAGGAGACAGCCGTGCCTGTAATTGGAACTCAATGCCTCAGTTTTCCCATCAGTAGAATGGAGATGATAATTGGCAAATTCTCTTTAGGCTTGAAAGAATGACATTTGAGGCCAGGCTCAAGACTGCAGTCCCAGCGCTTTGGGAGGCCGAGGTGGGTGGATCACGAGGTCAGGAGATCGAGACCATCCTGGCCAACATGGTGAAACCCCATCTCTACTAAAAATACAAAAATTAGCTGGGTGTGGTGGCAGGTGCCTGTAGTCCCAGCTACTCGGGAGGCTGAGGCAGGAGAATCGCTTCAACCCAGGAGGCGGAGGTTGCAGTGTGCCCAGATCACGCCACTGCACTCCAGCCTGGCAAGAGAGCGAGACTCCGTCTCAAAAAAAAAAAGAATCGCATTTGAAGTTTTTGTAAAAGGGTAGGAAGGACTCTGTGCAGAAATGTGGAAGGGTGATTCTTGTGTTCCTTTCTGGGGCAAAATTTGAGTAAGTTACTCCGGTTTTAAGCCTCAGTTGTCCCTGTTTGTCCAATGAGTGCTCTAAGAACTGCTAAAAAAAAAAAAAAGGCATTAAGCATTAACTCTCATGGCCCAAGCCTGGGATCCCATCTTCCTCTTCCCGTGAGATCCTACTTTTCCCTGCTATCCCTGAGGGGCTGTCCAGGGGGCCGGGGCAGCGATGGGCTGGCTTCACATCTGCCCAGGGAAACTGAAACCTCTCCCACATCTGTTTGTCAAGCAGCCGCATGCCTCTGAAAATAGCTGCCCTTCCCCCGCCTTCACGCCCAGCCCGTGTGCTGGGGCAGGCAGCCCGGCACGCCGGGAGTCCCTGTGGCCTGACCTGGCCACTCGGCAGGGATTGGGCCCCTGGGAGGGCAGGGCTGTGCCCGGAAGAGACTTCTGCTGCCCAGCAACATTTTGTGCAAATGTCATATTTTCCAAGCTTGCTGTTTCCCCCACAAAGTAGGTGAACAGCTGTCCAGAGTCCTGAGTCAGTCACTGGGGCGGGGGGCGGGGGGAGAGGCTGGAGCTGTGTGGAGCCAGGTTTATGTAATGAAGGGATCTTGTGGGGGCCAGCTGGCAGGCTCCTTCTATCTTGGCGTTGGGCTGAATTCATTCCCCTGTCCCCCATCTCTTCACCCTTGATGGGGTGCTGGATGTGTCTCCACCCTGCTTTCCGACAAGCCTGGGAGGCCCCAGGCAGAATAGCATCATGGCTAAGCACAAAGACCCCAGAGTCAGGTGGCCTGGGTTCAAACCTTGGCTGTGCCTTTTTTAAGCTGCAAGTTATTCCCTCTGACTCTTCTGAGCCCCCTCTATAAAGTGAGGATAATAAAGAGTACCTGCTCCATAGATTGCTGAGAGAATCAAGTGAGATCATGCCTGTAAAGTATTTGGTATCTAGTAAGTGCTCAACAAGTATTAGTTTTTCTTATTGCTGTTAATTAGTTACCTGAAAAGTTTGGGCAAGAACAGCCCTTTCCTATGCCCTGCAGGGCTCACAGTGGTCTGACTCATAGCAGCTCTGTGCTGGTCACATTTGCCAGGTGTCAGGGCTTGAGACTTTGCCCTTTAGCTGCAGATGGTCTTTGGGGGACACCTGGAGACTGCTGGTTGTCAGCTTAGAAACCCACCCAGTGGATAGGGGAAACCTCACCCATGCTGCCTGGCCCAGCCAGTTGTGACTCTCTTTGGGTGAGTGCAGGTTAGCCCTAAATTCCATGTGTGGAGAAAGATGTGAGCAGGCCTGAGGGGCCCTCCGGGGGTTGTTGAGCAGGGACTAAAGGAAGGACCAAGTGGCTTCCTGCCCTTACCTCTTGTCCAACCAAATGGCTCCTCCCATTCTAAGTCCCAGTCTATAGTGAATAATAGTGAATAGTATTTCATGATAATAAGAGGGTTTCAGTGACTAAAACATATACCACTAAGAGAATCCTTAATCAGTAGTTTATTTTAGCTTAGAACCTGAGGACAGACAGATGGGAGAAAGGATGGGAAAGAGGAGTTTGAAATGAAATGAAAGCCCCTTGGGTCCTAAGGAAGAATAAAGGTCTTAAACTCAAGCCAACCTGAACCAGCAACACAGAGCTATAGAATTCTTAGAACATTGTAACACCTGTGCTATCTCAAGATCTGTTTCTCTTGTCTTACAGGCAGGGAATTGAGGCCCAAGGGTCAGTAAGACACTTAAGCAGAGTTACTCAATGTGGGGCTTGGGTGAAGATGATGAGGAAGATGACCATTTCATCCTCCTAACAACCCTATGGTGTAGGCGCACTTTATAGCCCTGTTTTACAGTGGAGGGAACTGAGGCTCACTGCTGGTCTTCTCAGGCTCTAAATTTTGGCCTTCTGACTCCAGAGTCTGCTATAGAACCATTATAACATGCTGCCAGCACTCAGGTTCTCAATTTCCCCCAGGGAACTGTCCTTCTATCCATTCATCCACCCATTCATCTGCCTATCCATTTACCCATCCATTTATCTATCCATCATCCATCCATCCATCCATCCATTCATCCATCCATCCAATATCCATCCATCCATCCATTCATCTGCCCTTTCATCCACCCATCCATCCATTCATCCATTTATCTATCCATTCACCCATCCATCCATCTATCTACCAATTCATCTACCTATCCATCCATCCATTCATCCACCCACCCATCCATCCATCCATCCAGCCAGCCATTATCCATGCATCCATCTATTCATCTATTCATCCATCCATCCATCCATCCACCCATCCATACATTTATCTGCCTATTCATCTACTATCCATTTATCCATCCATTTATCCATCCATCCATCCATCCATCCATCCATCCATCTACCCTTTCATCCACCCATCCATCCATTCATCCATTTATCTATTCATTCGTCCATTATACATCCATCCATCTACCAATTCATCTACCTATCCATCCATCCATTCATCCACCTACCCATCCATCCAGCCAGCCAGGCATTATTTATCCATCCATCCATCCATCCATCCATCCATCCATCCATCAATCCATCCACCAATTCATCTACCTATCTATCCATCAATTCATCCATCCACCCATACAGCCAGCCAGCCATCATCCATCCATCTATCCATCCATCCATCCATCCATCCCTTCATCTATTCATCCATCCATTCATCCATCCATTTATCCATCCATCCACCAATTCATCTACCTGTCCATCCATTCATTCATCCACCCACCATCCATCCAGCCAGTCATTATCCATCCATTCATCTATCTATCCATCCATCCCTTCATCTATTCATCCATTTATCCATCCATCCGTCCATCCATCTACCTGTTCACCTGCCCATTTATCCATCCATTTATCTATTCATCCATCCATCCATTTTTCTATCCATCCATCCATTCATTTATCCATCCATCCATCTGTCCATCCATCCATCCACCCATCCATCCATCCATCTATTCATCTATTCATCCATCCATCTATACATCCATCTACTCATCTATCCTTTCATGCATCCATGTATCCATCCATCAATCCATCCATCCATCCATCCATCCATCCACCCACCCACCTATCCATTTATCCATTCATCCATCCATCCATTCATCTATCCATCCATCCATCCATCCATCCATCCATCCATCCATCTCCCAGTTGTCAGCTGAGGGCCAAATGCCAAGTGTTGCATTCAGCCCCCAGCACAACCTTTGCAGGGGGTGATAGGGAGAGAGCATTCAGTACTCAGGGCCTATCTTGCTGAGCTTAGGGGAAGGGCCCTGAGGACCTGACCCAGACTCAGATTCCAGAGGCAGCTTTTCCTTCCCTGCTGAGTCAGAGCTCAGGAGCCTGCTTTGCCAACACTGGCAGCTCAGCTGACTGAAGGGGTCTAATGACCTGGGAGGGGAAAGGTCAGGAAGCCTTTCCATAAACACTCTGGAAGCCCTCCTTTTCTTTTGCTCTGGCAAGCCCTGCTGACATAATTATTGGGCGGATGTGACCTGGCCAGACCACAGTCAGATATCCATACGCTTTGCCAGGGGACAGAGGTTGCAGGGATGCTTTGATTGCTTCCTCTCCTCTCCCCAGAGTCCTGTGGGGAGAAGGAGGAGTCAGCGGAAATGCCATCACCCTTCTGATAGCAGATGGCAGCCCCGTAGCCTGCTAGAGACACCTCGGGAGTGGGAAGGGGAATGGGTGGGTCCCTGAGGAGATGGTGAAACCTGTCAGACCCCTAGGACATCTTTACCAAGCTCTGGTGACAGGTCTATTCTTGTCATCCTGGTCCCTCACTTATGGGGCTGCTTCCTGGAGGAGATGGCTTTCCAGGTGGAGAAAAAGGAGTATAACGTGTCATTGTTGGGCAGCCTCTAACACTCTCAGCAACAGCATTTGGTTATTATCATTATTTTTAGTATTAGTTATTATTTGAAAGGGCTTCTTTTGTACCAGGCACTTAAAAATAAATGTATTCATCATGTAATTGTTACATCCTTCTGAGGTTGGGACTGTTACTATCCCATTTAATAGATGGGAAAACTGAGGCACTAAAGTCACAAGATTAGTAAGTGTTAGAGGTAGGATTTGAACTCAGGAAGTTTGGCTCCAGAGTCTGTTTTTTAACCCCAACATGCAAGATTATGCAGCCAGATAAGGGGTCACAATCCCTGCCAGATAGTTCCAACGCTGCCCTCTCAGCCACCACCATGGGGCGGTGTCATTTTTAGATGAATGAACAAAGGACCAGGTAGCTGTGGGTGGACGGTCCACATTGCCTGTGCCCCTTAGGGGGTAGGGGGTGGGGTGGGCTGGAGCAGGCCCTGACTGCGTCCTCTCCCCTTTTCCCTCCCTCTCAGATGTGGACATCCTCCAGCGGCTGGGCCTCAGCTGGACGAAGGCCGGGAGCCCTGCACCCCCGGGAGTCATTCCTTTCCAGTCGGGCTTCATCTTTACGCAGCGGGCCCGGCTCCAGGCTCCCACGGGCACCGTCATTCCTGCCGCCTTGGGCACAGAGCTGGCACTGGTGCTGAGCCTCTGCTCCCACCGGGTGAACCATGCCTTCCTCTTCGCTGTCCGCAGCCAGAAACGCAAGCTGCAGCTGGGCCTGCAGTTCCTCCCCGGCAAGACGGTCGTCCACCTCGGGTCCCGGCGCTCAGTGGCCTTCGACCTCGACATGCACGACGGGCGCTGGCACCACCTGGCCCTCGAGCTCCGAGGCCGCACAGTCACTCTGGTGACTGCCTGCGGGCAGCGCCGGGTGCCTGTCCTGCTGCCTTTCCACAGGGACCCTGCACTCGACCCTGGGGGCTCCTTCCTCTTTGGGAAGATGAACCCGCATGCAGTCCAGTTTGAAGGTGCTCTCTGCCAGTTCAGTATCTACCCTGTGACGCAGGTCGCTCACAATTACTGTACCCACCTGAGGAAGCAGTGTGGACAGGCTGACACGTACCAGTCCCCACTGGGACCTCTCTTCTCCCAAGACTCTGGCAGACCTTTTACCTTCCAGTCCGACCTCGCCCTGCTAGGCCTGGAGAACTTGACCACTGCCACACCAGCCCTGGGGTCACTGCCAGCAGGCAGGGGACCCAGGGGGACTGTGGCACCCGCCACGCCCACCAAGCCCCAAAGGACTAGCCCCACAAACCCTCACCAGCATATGGCGGTGGGAGGCCCAGCCCAAACCCCGCTGCTACCTGCCAAGCTGTCAGCCAGTAACGCACTTGATCCCATGCTCCCAGCCTCTGTTGGCGGCTCTACCAGAACGCCTCGCCCTGCGGCCGCTCAACCATCACAGAAGATCACAGCCACCAAAATCCCCAAAAGCCTCCCTACCAAGCCTTCGGCCCCTTCTACTTCAATTGTGCCCATCAAAAGCCCCCATCCTACCCAGAAAACAGCTCCATCTTCATTTACAAAGTCAGCCCTACCCACTCAGAAGCAAGTGCCACCTACTTCCCGTCCAGTTCCTGCCAGAGTCTCCCGTCCCGCAGAGAAGCCCATCCAGAGGAACCCGGGAATGCCCAGGCCCCCACCGCCCAGCACCCGGCCCCTACCTCCTACCACCAGCTCCTCTAAAAAACCCATTCCCACACTAGCTCGGACTGAGGCCAAGATAACCAGCCATGCCAGTAAGCCGGCCTCTGCCCGCACCAGCACCCACAAACCTCCCCCATTTACTGCTTTATCCTCATCTCCTGCCCCTACTCCTGGTTCTACCAGGAGTACTCGGCCACCAGCCACGATGGTACCTCCAACTTCGGGCACCAGCACTCCCAGAACAGCACCTGCCGTCCCCACTCCTGGCTCAGCTCCCACTGGAAGCAAGAAGCCCATTGGATCGGAAGCCTCAAAGAAAGCCGGACCCAAGAGCAGCCCCCGGAAGCCTGTCCCCCTCAGACCTGGGAAGGCAGCCAGGGATGTCCCCTTGAGCGATCTGACAACCAGGCCTAGCCCCAGACAGCCCCAGCCCAGTCAGCAGACCACCCCGGCCCTGGTATTGGCCCCGGCGCAATTCCTGTCCTCCAGCCCCCGGCCCACGAGCAGTGGCTATTCGATCTTCCACCTGGCAGGATCTACGCCTTTCCCTCTGCTGATGGGGCCTCCGGGACCCAAGGGAGACTGTGGCTTGCCGGTAAGACTGAGTGGGGTCTGCATGCTGCTTGGAGCTCCAGTGGGGGACTGGGGCATTGGTCAAGTGGTTGCCCCTAGTAAAGACAGGAAAAGGAGCAGCTTAGAGCAGGGAGCTGGTTATGGGTACATCCTTGGCTCCAGCCAGGCCCCCGGCTCCTCTGGCTCTGCTAAATGCATCATTGCCCACCCTGCTCCAGATTCATGATCCGCTGGGACAGACTCAAGTCTGGTGGCTACCCCCAGGTGAAGAGCATCCCTGGGCTTTGGTTGGCCCAGGTCCAAGCCCGTTCTTTGCTAACCCAGCTGCAAAGCTCGAACAGCTTAAGGAAGGCCCGTAGCTGACTGGCTCCAGATCATGCAGTGAGTAAGCAGCTTCCAAAGCCCCGTTCTCCCAGCTCATGGAGCAGGGGTCCTTCTGGCCCATCAGCTTGTCTGAGAGTTGCAGACAAAGGTCACACATGGGGAGCTCTGGATATGTTTTGTTTGGCACGTGCAGTGTTCTTTTTTAAAAATCCAATAACTTACTAACATTTTAAAAATGTGAGAGATTTCTTATAAAAAGACTCAGCAACCAACTTCTCTTGGAAAGTGGGAGATGCGATGGTGCTTGAGCCACCCCGTTAGGACAAGTCCACTCCTGTCTGTGCTGGTCCCCACTTCTCCTGACTGAGTCTTCCGACCAGTCCTTTCACCCGTTTATGTTACCTGCCTGCCTGGCACCTGCAGGGGTTTGATTTGTAACCCCCGGTAGGAGTTTGGGGTGCAGAAGGTCAGCGTGGGCCAGAAGGAAGAGGAAGGGAGAAGAAAGAACACGATTTGCAGGATGGTCTCAGGGTCGATGCCTCCGGCTTGCCTGGGACCGTCTCTAGGGGCAACGACCTTCCCACAGCTGGAGGCCAATTCCTCCGGGTGGGGAATGATGGGATGGCGTTTCCAGAAGGCTCAGGGCTCTGCTCTGTTCTCCCGCCTTGGAGATGACCACCGTGTGGTGGCCTCTCTCTCTCCTTCCTGAAGCCGGCTCTCCCACTGGGCTCTGTGTTTGAGGTTAGGGCTCCCTACAATGTGGAGACAGTGGCAGATGCTGGGAATTCCCAGGCCTTCCAAACACACTTAATGAGTTTTAATAATCATTAGGAATAATATTTATCCAGCCTGTCTCCAAGAGGACGGAGAGTCTGCCTTTATTATAACCATATTGTCGAACTTATGGAAACTGTATGCATTGCTTTGCAATTATGTCAACGTTCTGCTCAAGTTCCGTGTTCTGAAATTGGCAGCGTAGAGAGTTGGGAGCCACCACTTTCTTGTGGAAAGAACGAGGAACCCTTTTCACCTCTCCAGCCAACCCAGGCCAACTCTGGCACCAGGTGCCTTGGGGCCCTGACAGCTCAGCTTCCCACGCTGTGTGCGTGCTGGGCTCAATGGCGGTGAGGTCAAAAGGGGAATTGCCCCCTCCTGACATGGTGAGGTCCATGGTCTCAATTCTGGCCACACAGCACAACCCAGCCCTGAGGAGGAGGCCGGCCCTCCCTCCCAAGAATTTGTGTGGTGTGGAGAGAGGAGCGGAGCTGGCCCAGGGCAGATTCTATAGTATCTTGGGTCTGCTGTATGTCTGAGTCAAATACTTTTTCCTGGGGCTTGGGGCTCTGGGTCAGCAGGAAGCGAGGCCTCCTTCCAAATCTCTTTGAAAAAGAGGAGGCACTGAAATGAAACTGGTCAGTCAGTGGTTGCTTGGGGATGACTTAGTTCAACTTTCCTCATTGGGCAGGTGAGGAAATTGCGCTCAGAGAGGGCCAGGACCTGCCCAAGGCCACGCAGCACGGAGGAGGTGGAGTTGAAGTTTACATTCCAGACTGTAGCCTCCAAGACTAGCACGTTCCATCCCACTGCCCTGAGTGTCCACTCTGAGGCTCTGGGACTCAGATCTGGGGGACTGGGGGCTTCAGACAGGAGTCACTACTGTCCCTGGCCTCAAAGGAAGGGCTCAACATCTAAAGAATCTTTTTCTTTTTTTTTTTAGAGACAGGGTCTCACTCTATCACCCAGGCTGCTGTGCAGTGGTGTGATCACAGCTCACTGCATCCTTAATCTCCCAGGCTCAATTCATCCTCCTGCCTCAGCCTCCCAGGTAGCTGGGACTACAGGCACGTGCCACTATGTCCGGCTAATTTTTTCACTTTTTTTGTAGAGTCTGGGTCTCACTATGTTGCCCAGGCTGGTCTTAAACTCCTGGCCTCAAGTGATCCTCCTGCCTCAGCCTCCCAGAGCGCTAGAATGACAGGCTTAAGCCACTGTGCCTGGCCTAAAGAAGCTTCCGATTCGATAACCCATCAAGTTTATGAGCTGCTTCCACAGGCGCGGTGTCTCCTTTAGGACCTCATGAAAACTGGTTGAGGAGGGCAGGCTGTGTGTGTTCATCCCTGCCCCACAGATGATCCAAGAGGGGTTGGAAAGAGATAAAGGACCCCGCCAAAGGCTCCCAGCGTGTTCCTGAAGGAGCTGGGATGCAACTTGTGGTCCCTGACTTCTGGCCAGGGCTGAGGCTCTTTCTGCTCCTTCAGCCCTGACTACTGAGGACAAGGGGAAGACACCAACCTGCCCGGGTGACATCCCTGTCTCAGGCCCCATGCTATCCCCTGTCCCCACCCTAGGAGGAACCCGGAAGCTGGTAGAATCTTTGTCCACTGTGTAGCAGATGGCAACCTGGTCACTTCTTCACCAGATACCAGAATAATGTAATGGAAGAGGCATCTTTGAACGGTGATGAAATGAACTCTCATTCTTTCTGGCCTCTGCTGTCTTCCCTTGACCCCCATATATATCCAGGATCTAAGCCCAGCAGAACAGAAGCTCCAGCTGCCCAGGAGAAGAGCTTAATTGTCCCCCATCCAGGCACATGCAGACTTGGGTTCAAATCCTGACTCCACCCCTTTTAGCTCTGTGACTGATCCATGCTGAGCCTGTTTTTGTAGAACATAAGATGATAATAGCTCCCACCTCTGGTGGGGAGGGTGGCCTGAAAATGTGCGTAAATTTTATTTGCATATAAAGCTGTAGTAGAGGCTGGGCGTGGTGGCTCACACCTATAATCCCAGCACTTTGGGAGGCCGAGGCAGGCGGATCACTTGAGGCCAGGAGTTCGCCAACATGGTGAAACCCTGTCTTTACCAAAAATACAAGAATTAGCCAGGCATGGTGGTGTGCGCCTGTAATCCCAGTTACTTGGGAGGCCGAGGTAGGAGAATCCCTTGAACCTGGGAAGTGGAGGTTGTGATGAGCCGAGATCATGCCACTGCACTCCAGCCTGGGCAACAGAGTAAGACTCTGTCTCAAAAAACAGCTGTAGTAGAAATGAAGTAATTTGGGCTATCTTATCTAGTTTTGCTGAGTGACTTTGAGGAAATTCTTTCCTCTCCCCAGGGCTCAGTCTTCCACTGAAATAGGGTGTTGGGACAGCTCTCCCCTTAGAAATGACTGTGGGACCTTTCAGTGTTTGAGAAAGGTGCAGTGGCTGTGTCTGCATGTGCAAACCTGCTCCTCGGGGTTCAGGGCACGAGAGCAACTGGCAGAGGCAGAGACAGAGTTCTGGGCCCAGGCCTGCCAGGAGTTGTAGCTGCTGAGTGAGGAAGCTCTGTGGGAGCCCCAGGAGGGGGGAACATGGAAAAATTGAGCTTGGCCCTGGGTGAGTTGGGGCGGGGAGGCCGTGGTTCACAGCCCTGCACAGAAGCTGCACAGAAGCCCCACGCCTGAGAGGAGGCGAGTCAAGGCCTTATTTATTCACGATCAGGCCACTGGCATTTGCCCGTGCTTGCACTTTTTGCAAATGTCCCCTCGGGAAGACGCCGCTAAGGGCCTGGCCCACACCACGTGCTCTGTGACTATCTATCTATGAAATGAACAAAAGAATTTGATCCTTACGAAATGCAGGTCGTCCTGACTCCCAGGCGGGGTTCCTTGAGGTTACCCAGAACTCTCCTGCCAGGGAGATGAGGAGGCCATGTGGACTGCAAAAGAACATAGGCTTTGGATTTGGGACAACCTGGATTTGAACCATTCCCTTATTCAGCCATCCATTCATTCTTTGCACAATTGTTAACTGAACGTCCTGTAGATGCCTGGTGCTGTATGACCTTTGGCAAATCACTTAACCTCTCTAAGCCTCAGTTTCTGCCTCTATAAAATGGGGATACGGTGCCACCTACCTTTCCAGGGTCGTTACATGGATTCAGTGAGATGCGGGGGTCGGGGGGAGGGGAGTAAAGCACATATGAAACCTGGGTCCTGGTAGATTGTCATGGCTGTGATTGTGGACTGATGGTGGGTGTTGAGGTGGGGACTTTGGTGCACTGAGAGAACTGGGAGGGTCTGGACATAGTCTCACATTTGCTTGGAGAACTGTGCTATGAAAATACTAACCTGGGGTTAGTCGGTGGAGCAGGGACAGCAGGGAGCCTGAATGGATAAGAGTGTCATGACACATGTCAGCTAGACAGCGGGGGTTTGGGGGAGGACTGCCCCCATTTTTTTTTTTTTGAGACAGAGTCTTGCTCTGTTGCCCAGGCTAGAGTATAGTGGTGCGATCTCAGCTCACTGCAACCTCCGCCTCCTGGGTTCAAGCAATTCTCCTGCCTCAGCCTCCTAAGTACCTGGGATTACAGGCATGTGCCACCATGCCTGGCTAATTTTTTGTATTTTTAGTAGAGACAAGGCTTCACTATGTTAGCCAGGATGGTCTCGATCTCCTGACCTCCAGGCAGGGCCCAGACTCACTGGGGAGAGTTAAAGGAACAGACTATTTACGGAGGGGTGGACAGCATCAAGGGAACCAGCAGAGGCAGGTGAAACACAAGGGGCCTGGAAACTGCAGGAAATTGTTACCACACCCAGACCAGAAGGTCCCAGGGAAAGATGTTCCCAGAACCCAATAAGAGTTAAAACCTTGAGCAGGGGTCTCCTCACAGAAGCAGGGGCCATGGGCGAATACAGCTGCAGCCAAATTATAGCACAGCAGAGAGGGCACAGGGAGAGAAATATACCCTGTCCTCCCTTCTGTGCACTCTCTTCCTGGGGTCTCCCATTGGCCAAACCCAGCTGGAAGCCAGAGGTCAAGGAAGGCCGGGGTATAATCTGTAGAAGTCAGCTTCCCAGGGCACGGCACAGATCTGGGGAGTAAATGGAGAAGAACCAGCATGCATATGCCATCTCAGAATATGGGTATTACATTCCCATTTCACAGCTGGACAAACTAAGGCCCGGAGGCCCAGGGAGATTAAGTAACTTGCTCAAGGTCATACAGAGCTGTACTGATGCCAAGAAGCTCTGTTCCAGCAGGTCCTTCCCAGGACAGAGGCTAGGGAAGTCTGGGTGCCCTGTGTGAATTCTTAGGAATAATCATGAGCTCAGATGGTCAGAGATGGGAGAGCCCTTTGAGGCCCCCTATCTACCCCCAACAGGTTACAGACACAGAGTCGAGGCCTAGAGATCAAAAGGACATTGCTCAGGGTCACATGGTAGGTAGCAGCACACCTAGGATCGGACTTTGGTCTCCTAAACCCCAGGCTTGTAAAACCTCTCATTGCTTGGCAGGCAGAGGCTCTTCCAGCTGGACACAACGGTGGACTTGTTCCGTAGGATGGGGTTCCCCTAGATCTGGCTGTCAGAGGCCAGGACCCTTGGGGGAAGCCCCGAGGGGTCTGCTTGGTTGTTTCCATGGCTCTGTTTGCGTACGCCTGGAGCCCAGGCCTCCTCCACCTCCCCCAGGCAGGCCTGAGCCCCCGCTCTGCTCCCCCTCAGCTCCAGGCCCTCTCAGAGGCCCCGTTGTTTGCAACGCAAAGTGGAAAATCCCACCCCGGCCTCGTGAATCATCCCAGAGTCACCCGCTCAGGCTTCAGGCCCTGGAAAGAAATGGCAGCGTTTTTCCACTGCGGAGAGAACAGGCAGGGTCTCGGATCAGGGGAGAGGGGCCAGGGGGCACCCGTGCTCGCCACGAGCAAAGTGGGCACTGAGTAGGGGAGGGTCCAGCCCGTGGCTAGCACTGGGCAGCCGGCGGTCCCCACCCAGGTTGAAGGTGGAGTGAAGGGATTGGCCAGGCCCGAAGCTGGGGCCGCCCCGTCAAGGAGTCCGCCTGTGGGCTGACATCACCAGGCTGGACCCTGGGTCCTGAGTGGCACTCAGAGTCTGCTCTGCAGATGTGGTGGATGAGGTCAGACTCTATCCTGGATGCCCCTATTTCTGGGGCAGAAGACATGCCAAGAGGGAGTGTCCAGGCCTCTGCAGCTGCAGCCCCACCAGGGTCCATGAAGGAGCTGCACCCACGGAGCCTGTTCCTCCCCGGAGTCCTGGACAAGCCCTTCACCCTGCTGGGTCTTTGCCTTCTCTGTGAGATGGGAAGAATCTCGCTTTTCCTCTTCACTTGATAATGTAGCAGAGGAAATTACCCCCACCTTGGCTTTCCGCAACTCAGGAAATGCCAGTGCCAGGAAGTTTCCAGGATCTTCATTTCACAGATGTCCAGAGAAGAGAAGGGACTTACTCAAGGCCATATACCTAGTTAGAGTCACACTCAACCAAGATTGTGTGGCAGCTGCCCAGGGTAGGAGAACAGGTCCAGTGGTCCTGGGTTTGAATCCAGGCTCTGCCTCTTGTTAGCTGTGTGGCACTGGGCAAGTCACTTTTCCTCTCTGAACCTCTCTCTGGTTTCTTACCTGTTGAAACGGCATGGTATACCTACAGTATGCTTCGTCTCAGCCCCCTGCTTTTTCTTTAATTCTGGGTCCACCTGGGACAGTTGGGTCAAGGAGGGCCTTCTAAGAAGGGACATCTTTTGCTGTCCCCTAGAAACAGATGTGAAGGAGGATGGCTTAAAATTTTGAGTTGAGGACGTTCCAGAAGCTTGCTTCACAGAAATAACAGCTAACATTTTTTTTGAGCATTAATTGGGTGCCAGACACCAGGATTAGCACTTGTTATAGATTATCTGTCGGCTAGGTGCTATTATTAACCTCATTTTACAGTAATAGAAAAAAGGCTTGGAGCCTGGAAATAGCTTTGCTCAAAGCCACCCAGATAGTAGGTGGGTGGGGGGGGGTGCCCTATGTGAACCCAGGCCCGTGGTGTTACACCATACTCTACTGCCCAGAGACAGCTGGAGAGGAGAAGTGGGTAAGACTGGCACCCAGAGTCCAGAACCCACAAAACCAGACAACCCCTCTACCCACCCCTGGAACTCTGCCGCCAATTTGGCCAGAGGTCTCTGGATGCTCAGAGGTAGCTGGGACTTGCCCGAGGTCACAAAACAGACCCTCCTCCTTCTGCTCAGGGCTCTTGCCCAGTGACCTTGGTACCCATATCTGCCTGTCTGGATCTCTCCTCTGATTTTTATTCATGGACGAGCAAGCACGTGGTGTTCACAGGCCAGAACTGTGAGCCGAGACTGCCCAGCATGAGATCTGGATTAATTACCAGCCAAACCAGACTGGGTTTTCAACACCGATTTTAACTCTGGGCAGGAAATCTGGAATCTCATTGATGGTTATTTGAAACAAATGAATTCCCCAGGCCTCACACATCCTCGAAAGCCTGGCTTCCTTCAAAGGCTGCAGGCACAGTTCTTCACATCAGGCGCTTAGTTAATCCTCATTTACTCCTTCGAGGTAAATGCAGTGGTAGCTATTGGACCCATCTTAACGGGGAGCATCTGAGACTCAGATAAGTGGGAGGAACTGCAGGAAGTGTGCAGCTATTAAGTGGTAAAGCCAGGATTTGAACAAAGATCAGCTCATCCTTCAGTAAGTCTGCTCGGCTGCCTCCCTTCCTGTGTAAAGAGAAAAGAGATGAGGACACACAGATGCTCCTTAAATGCTGAGCTTCAGGGTTAGGTTTTTCACTTGTGGGAAATGGGGAGCCCTTAAATGTTGTTGAGCAGGGGAGGGCTTTTGGAAGGTGAATGAGGCTGTGTGGAGGAGGACTGCAGAGGGGAGGGAGGAGAGAGTAGAGGCAGGGAGACCACTGAGGGGGCTGCTGCCGGTTCTTGGGGAGTGGTGATGAAGGCTGGACCATGCTGTGGCCATGGGAACAGATAGAAAATTTGAGTGCCAGTTACATACCAGGCACCGTGTTAACATTTATCATCTCTCATGTCATCCTTGGAATCCCATGGGGAGTGTTTTATTGCCTCCGTTTGTATGGGCACAAGCTGGCTAAAGACTTGTGCATTTTGTCAGCGGCAGGCAGGGATCTGAACCCAGGCATGTCTGATTCAAAAACCCATGCCATGCTCTGTGTGCTGTGCTGCCTGTTTGTGGGGCAGAGATACTTGGTGTGACCTTGGCCAAGTCCCTTCTCTGTTCTGATTCTGCAGAGAATTTGGCTGAGCTCTGAGGTTTCTGGCTGTTTTATTTTATCAAACGTTTGGCTGAGCCCTGGGGATAGGCAGATGACTCATATCCCCTTAGTTCCTTTGAGGAGACTGTCATCTGATGGGAGACACAGGCTTCTAAGCAGATAATTCCCCAAGTAAGATAGCGGTCTTTAAAATAGAGGAAAAGAAGGGACTTTGTCCAACTTGGGGAAGGTTTTCTGGAGAAGGTGACACCCTAAGTTAGCTGGGTGATAAATGATGAGGGCGTCAGTGACTGAATAGTAGCTATGAAAGCCCAAAAGCCCCAAAGAGCATGAATTTCTCAGGGCAGGGACCTCAGGGGACTCCTCCTCTTAGCCGCGGACTATCCATGCCCACAGCTGCAGGCGGGATTGTTGAATGACTGCTTGAGCCCATTCTCTGCTGCCAGTGGGCACTGTCTAATGCTGTCTTCTTGTTTTCTCCTCAGGGTCCCCCTGGGCTACCTGGGCTACCTGGAATCCCTGGTGCACGTGGGCCTCGGGTGAGTTATCTCACACTGTCCTTTGGAACTCTTGGTGGCTCTTTGGCCTGCGTCTCACTGCCCCTGAGGTCTCGGGTTTGCTGTGTGTCCTCAGGTTCTTCCCTCCCCCTCTCTGGCACCCATATTTGGCTTTATCCATTTGGAGTGGACTTAGGGCTCTCAAGGGTGCTATATGGACAGATATGGCATGGAACAGCAATGACCTCTTGTAGGTCTCAGTTGTCCATTGGGGATATCACCCTTTGCAGCCTGGGGTGGGGAAGGGGCTCCAGAAGATCACATCCCTTCGGCTGGTGAGCTTCAGTGTTTGGCCAGGAAAACTGCCTTGGGGAATATATGACCCTTGCATCCCTCTTCCTGTTTCTGCAGGGCTCTCCTGGAGTAGGGGTGCGGACATAGGTACCTGGAGGGGCCATGCGGGGAGGAGTTGAGTTCCTCCTGCTGGAGAGAGGCTGGGGGACAGCTTGGCAGGCTGCGGTGGCTGACTGAGCTAGCCCAAGCCCGAGAGGGAAAATAGCTCCTATGTGATGTGCCTGGCACCTTCTTTTATGCTGCCTTATTTGACCTCTCATGCCCACCCCAAGTTCCCATGGGACAGTGAGATCATTCTCATTTTAGAGATGAGGAAACTGAGTAGGAAATGGCAAAACCAGGACTGGAACCCAGGCTCTTACCCATATACTGGAACCCTTGGAGATCCCCTTAGAGGGAAACCTACCTGCTTCCCTTAGAGGGCTGAGACCAACAGCACCCGGCATCTGTGCCCAGGCTGAATCAGCCTTTCCCACGCTGGGTGCCTGGTGAGGCCCTGGCAGAGGTAGCTGCCTGGGGCATATTTTTAGCTCTGAGCCCAGCGAGTGGTTCTGGTTATGCAATTACCCAAGCCCTAGTTCCCTCCAGACCTGGCCCTGTGCTCCCTGGGCCCAGGGCTCTGGAATCTGCCATCTGAAGCGGCATTTCCTCCTGGCTTCAGAGCCTTCATGAAGCACGTGCCCTCTGGGGACCACATAGATATCACAGACGCTGCTAGCCCATGGGACCTTGCAGCCTGGGACCAGGATGAGGCCGTTGACCTAGGCAGCCTACTCCCTTCCCCAACCTCCTGAGCCCCCAAGCCTCTGCGGTTTTGCTCTGGCTGTCCTCCTTTGTAAACTTGTCCTCCATTCATGTCTAAGAGCAAATGCCACCTTTATTTCTGATGACCACTCCCTTCTTGGAACTCCCGCAGTGGTTCCCCTGTCCCCTCTGGATGGCATGGGCCACTTTCTCAAAGCTCTCATTGACCACTAAACTCTGTTTGCTGAGCCACATGTGCAGGATCTCATTCCACCTTCCCAGCCATTCTGAGAAACAGGTTTCAATCTATTCCCATTTTACAGATGAGGAAACTGAGGCTCAGAAAGGTTTAGTTACTTCAGATAAAGTCAAAGAGAGTAAATGGCAGAGCCAGGATTGAACCCAGGCAGTCTGCCTCCAGAGCCTACCATCTTTTTTTTTTTTTTTTTTTTTTTTTTGCCAGAGTCTCGCTGTGTCTCCCAGGCTGGAGTGCAATGGAGCAATCTGGGCTCACTGCAGCCTCCACCTCCCAGGTTCAAGGGATTCTCCTGCCTCAGCCTCCCAAGTAGCTGGGATTACAAGCACACGCCCCCGGGCCCAGCTATTTTTTCGTATTTTTAGTAGACATGGGGTTTCACCATGTTAGCCAGGCTGGTCTCAAACTGCTGACCTCAAGTGATCCACCTGCCTCGGCCTCCCAAAGTGCTGGGATTATGAGTGTGAGCCACTGCGCCTAGCCCAGAGCCTACCATCTTAAGCATCTATTGTGCTTATTTTTCTGAGTATTCACCTGAGCCCCTCCAGAGATAGGCCTCGGTTACCTCTCTCTCCTACGTGATGCCTGGCAGAGCACCCTGCGTGCTGGAGGTGCTGGGCAAATGATTGGTGAAGAGTTCTAATGTAGGAGTCAAGAATATTTCTACCAAGAAGTTGTGGAATCTTAGGCAAGTCCCTTCTGTCCTTCTAGGCTCAGTTTCCCCATCTATAAAGGCTGGGGTCATGGTAAGGCATTTCTAAGTTTCCACCTAGCTCTGGGTGAATGACTCTCCTGACACGCTTCTAGGCTCTTTGCCTGCACGCCACCCCAACTCTCCCTGCCCGCCGTCCCACCATCATCCTGTTTCTAGACTGGAAATTCCATAGATTATAAAATTCCAAAGATAATAGAATGCTGGATTAAACAATCCCAGCTCCTCTCTGCACAGATGGGGGCTCTGGGGCTTAAGGAGGGGCATTCTTACCTGAGGTCGCCCAAAGCTCTCTGTCTTGCCCCTTCCTACCTCCACATATTCCCCCAGCCCATGGAGGGATGTTGGGGAATCCCAGAGCCTCCCCCACCTGGCTTTCTAGGCTGCAGCATTTATAGAATTGGTCTGCTTGGCTTTCAGTCAACTATGTGCCTCGTTTCTCTGCAATACTGGAGAGGGTTGGGGACGGGGGGGCAGGGAAACAGGAAGCCCCCACCTTCAGAAGCTGCAGATGGGGGAGCTGAGTGCTCTGGCCCACCATCTGTGGGGCAGCTGGGGCACGACTGGGGAGAGGCAGCCGCCCTTGACCTTGTGCAGCCTACGCCTGGCTCTGGTGGAACTGGGTGTCAGGAACCCCTCCTTGAACACTCCCTCCCAACCTCTGTCCAATTCCCACTGAGCTTGTGGTTAGACCTGGTTAGACCCCACAAGCCTGGGCTGGGGTGAACATCGGAGGGTGTTCCAGATTCCTTAGAGACTGCTGGGTCCCAGTCACTTACAGAACAGAGGGAGAGACCGAGGCTGGGGATTATGAGGTGGGGCTCAGAATTGGGACTCAGTCTCGATGCTTCCAGGTTCTGTCGCGTGCCAGGAGACAGTGTTTGGTGGACTGCAGGGGAGGGCAGGAGGGCTGATTATTTTGGAAGGAGGGTCACAAGAGGCACTGAGAAACTCCCCAGGCTCAGTGTGCTCTGGACACTGTTCCTTGCCGGTGCATTCGGAGAAGGGGAGGGTCCCAGTTCAGGCATCAAGGAAGAGAGGAAGAGGGAGGTGCCTTGGTTGGAATGTGACAGGCTGCAGCTGGGAAGCTGGCCTCAGAGAGGGAAGAAGAAAGCAGTTCACACACAGTTAGCCCGATGAATCAAGAGGGACGGGGAAGAGGGCAGTGTGCCTAGAGGCTGGTGGGGTTGGGAGGACCACTGGACCCTTGAGGGTGCCTCTCCTCACCTCCTATGCCCCAGATTATTCCTGCTAGACAAAAACCCTCAAGTATTCCCCGGCTCTTAGGGCTCTATTTATATTACTGTGCTGGAAGACTCTAGGCCAGGGCCCTTGCTGGAGAAAGTGGACATAACAGGACCCAGCTGTTATCGGGGAACTTGGATATGGCCTGGGAAAATCCAGCGCCATGAATAAACTCTGGACTTGAAGCCACCAGGCCCTGGACCCTGATCTCACTTGGCCACAAATCTGCTGTATGACCTTGATCAAGCCTCCTGGACTCTCTGGGTCCAGTGTTCCCAGGTGCTCTGTGGTCTCTGGAAGACCTTGAAAGCTTGGAGCTTGCAGGTGTCTAAGGGTCTGATCACGTGTTGTAGCCACAGGAGAGGTGCACCTTTGTTCACAAGAGGTCAAATACATCCTTCTTGAGCTCTCAACTCCAAAGACTCATACAAAAGTCCAGTTGGGGCCAGCTGCCGTGGCTCACGCCTGTAATCCCAGCACTTCAGAAGGCCAAGGCAGGAGGATTGCTTCAGGCCAGGAATTCGAGACCAGCCTGGGCAGCATAGCAAGACTCCATCTCTATAAAATAATAATAATAAAATAATAAAAATAATAAAATAAAAATAATAATAAAATAATAAAAATTAGTGGCCCATGCTTGGAGTCCCAGCTACTCAGGAGGCTAAGGTGGGAGGATCTCTTGAGCCGAGGAGTTTGAGGCTGCAGTGAGCCATGATCATACCACTACAGTCTAGCCCAGGCGACAGAGCAAGACCCTGCCTCTAAAAAAAAAAGTCCACTTGAGACTGGAGGAGCCCTAGAGGGTTCCCCGGAGGAGATGGCACTTTGAGCCAGGCCTGAAGGATGGATCAGGTTTCAAGCAGAGGAGATGGATGAGAAAAGATGCTGCCAGATGAGGGAACAGCATGGGCAAACGCAACGAGGAGAGAAAGTACCAGATACGTGGGAGGGAAATGCATAGCTAAGTGTGGTTTGAGCCTGAAGAAGCTGGGAAGGGCTGACGGGGCTAGGCTGAGAGATGTGGAGAGGTGGTAAAATTTAGGGGTGAAGGACTTGTGCTCCGAGGTCAAGGTCCAGCTCTGCCTCTTAGCAGCTGGGTGATCTGAGACAGTTACGAACCTCTGTGAACATTGGCATCCTCGTCTTCAAAATAGTAATAACAACACCACCTACCTTCCAGGTTAACAGGATCAAATGAGATGGCACATGGGATGTGCTTCCCACTGGGCCAGGCATGGAGGGTGTACTCCCAAAAGTAGGCTGAGTGGCCACGACAGTGTTGCTAGGGCTTGGCTTGGGGAGAAGATAAACCAGTGGGTGGAGGGAAGGTGCCAGGCATTGCTGTCAGAGGCGAGATGGCCCCTGTTTTTTGTCACCTTTTTTTGTTTTTGTTCCTTGTCTCTTTCAGGGTCCTCCTGGGCCTTATGGAAATCCAGGTCTCCCCGGCCCTCCTGGAGCCAAAGTGAGTATTTGCTGGAGATGTGGCCATGGAGTGGGTGCTGGGGTTGGAGCCATGTTTGCAGTGCTTCCCAGGGGTGCCTGGTGGGAGGGCTTCAGGGGAACTGAGGGGGATTCCCGCCTAAGCCAGGGGCACCCTCTGGGCCCCTTTCCAGGGCTGGGCCCTGTGCCTGGTCCGGAGACACAGTGCTTCCGTCTGGGAGAGACTTGGGAGAGTCGGGCAGTTGGAACCCAGAGCCTTCAGGGGAGTGGGCAGAGAGGTGATTTCTTGCTAAATAGGGAAGGCTGGCCTTGAATGTCAGACTAAGAACATAAGGCTTACCGGGTTGTAAGATGCATCCTGGGGAGGGATGTGGAAAGATGACGTTTTAGAAAGCTCACTGGATGCCCTGAGGAGGATGAATGCGGGGTGGGGAACCAGAGCCAAGGCCGGGAGACCAGGGGTGATATGGGGGAGAAAGGAGGCTAGTCCGGGCCAACTTAGGGGTGTGGGAGGAGGTAGGGTGGAAAGGATGGTGGTGGGTGCAAGGTGAGAGACAGTTACAAACACCAGACAGTTTTTACCTCCCTGATGTTAGCCTTGGGGACTGAACTGGGTCCCAGGAGGAGGAGTAAGATGATGTTGCACGCAGGAACATGTAGCCCGGTCAAGTGATCATTCATGGACAGATATTCTGGAACTCAGGATTGCTCTGAGCTGGAGACAGAGCCAGGGGGAGGCTGGCGCAGAGATGCCACCTCCCCCAGGGAGTCTTCTTGGAATACTCGAATTCACTTTTAATGAGACCTTAGTGGCTGATGCTTTGATGATATGGGAACACCACTTGCTGAGCTCTTCAGTCTGTTCCCGGAGCTCTGGCAGAGGGCAAGGTTGTTGGGGCACTGCATTGGAAGTGAGAAACTCAGAGCACCAAGAGGATTGCCGGAGCCAGCAACATTTAGGTCATGGGAAAAGAAAGTTTGTGGAATGGCTGGAGAGATAGGAGGGGAAGGAAGATGCTAAAGTCCCTGAAGCTAAGAGAACAGTGCCTGTGCCGAAGGAGCTGTGGAGGGGGCAGATGGGCTCCTGACTCAGGGGCCTCCCAGCTCAGCCTGTGTCATCTGTGGGGTAACCAGGTGAAGAGCACCCCCGTGCTTTGGTTGGGCCAGGTCCCGGGTCATTCTTTGATAACCCAGCTGCAGAGGTTGAATGGCTTAAGGGAAGCCCTTAACTGATTGGCTCCAGGCCATGCACAGTGAGCTGCTGAGCAGCCTCTAAAGCCCATCTCTCCTGAGTCATGGAGTAGGGCTCCTTTTGGCCCATCAGCTTGTCTGGGAGCTTTGGACAGAGGTCTCACATGGTAGCCCTGGGCATATGGATCTGTGGTGTCAGAGTCTTGGGGCAGAGCAGAGTGCAGGAGCACTGGCCTCAGCCCCTCTAGATCTGTGACTCTACGTCCAGGGTTGGGCTGGGCTGGGTTCCTTTCCGGAAGGCAGGCAGTGGAGGCCTCAGGTGTCCAGTGCTTAGCAGCTGCCTGGAGGTGCTCTGGGCTTTCACAGGGTGAACACTGATGATAATAACAGCCATATACTGAACCCTTCCTGTGTGCCAGGCACTGTTCATGCGTTTGATGTGGCTTGTCTCATTTGATCACCACAAAGACCTAAAGAGATGGGTGGAGATACCGTACCCATTTACAGATGGGGAAACTGAGGCACGGGTCGAGTAAGACATTGTCTAGGAAATGGCAGTGGAGACTGCCCCCATGGGTCAGGCAGAGAGGCAGGAACTCATTTGGAGAGTTCTGCTTTGCAGAGGCCATGGCACATCAAGATGCCGAGCATCAGCAGCTGTTTTGAATGGCCAGGCTTGCCCCTTCCTGGCCTGCTCTGGGACCAGTGGAGCCTGTCTCCTCCCACCCCCAGACTCACTCCCTGCTCCTGTGGTAGCAGATGCTCCATCAGCCCCTTCTGCTGGCCCTGCTCAGAGCACTGTGGAACCTCAGTACCAGGCCCATGGTAGCCCACCCCAATCTTGCTAACAGATGTGCCATGGTAGGAGGAGGGCCTGCCAGCTGTTTCTCCTCGCATTTTGAACACATCTCTTAGTATGACCACTGAGGCTCCTCCCTAGCAAGTGAGTTCTCCTGCCACCACATGGAGCTGGGAACCATGGACTCAGGGCCTCATGGACAGGACTCCCATTTGCATCTGTGTATAATAGATAAGGATGTGGGTTCTATAAAATACACTGGAATCAGAGGCTGCTTCTCTCATTGGGACTTGCATAAAATGCCAGGGGGAAATGTCATGCCCTTTGCCTGGACACTTGGCCCTGAGGCCAAGGGTGAACAGAGGTGGCCCCAGAGCAGGCTGGTGGGAGGCCCAGTTAACTGGGCCAGGGCCCTAGGCTGATCTGTGGCATGGGCAGGACAAGGTTAAAGCAGAGGCCTTCCCTGGATGGAAGTAATGACTTGGCTGAGATTGGCTGAGAAAGCTGTGTGTCTGCATGAATGGGTGGGACCCTGGGAAGAGGGTCCTAGAGTCCTTACTGTTCAGCAGATCCCCTTTGGGATGGGAGGTGACCTGGTGGGACTGTAGGGCTGGCCTCCCCCAGGGCCTATGCTGTCCCGTCCTCTTCCAGCATGGTGTCTGGGGCCACACATCCATTCATCCTCCTTCAGTCAACAAACGTGTATTGAGCACCCACTACGGGCTGTTGACAGATAAATCAGTCACACTGTCAGGGCTTGCCCTGGGGGCACGGAACTGGATCAGCCCCATGCAGTCATCCCATCAGTGCATCTCCACCTTCAGGTGCTTATGGCCTTGTGGGAAGACGATCCCTCTGCTAGACTCAAGGGTGGGAGAGATGGGTGGTTTGAGGAAGACCAAGAAAGAGAGAAAGCAGAGGTGAGGGACCTCATCCCTCCGGAGGGTGCAGAAGAGTGAAAGTTCAGGAGGCCAAGGGACCTTGCCTAGATCACGGCTGGGCAGTGGGGGGACTGTATTTCAGATCCTTGGGTTTGCCTGCCAGAAGGAGCTTTGTCAGGGTGTCACAGCTGGCACAGGCCAGAGCCAGGCCACACCCCATCTTCCTCCTCCAGAGTCCAAGGCTTTGCCTATCTGCCAGCTACCCACATATCCCATGTTCCAATCCAGCAGGGAAGGGAGCTTGTCAGCTCCAGCACAGAGTTGGATCCAGGACTTTGAGAATGAGGCAGAGAAGCTAGGACCCTGAGAGGATGTGTTTCCGCTTAGAGCGGTGCTGACCCGTGGCAGGTGCTGCAGAAGGGGCAGTTGTCTGCATGTGTGAGGCACTGGGGCTACCAGGGACACAGGCAGGCATGGTCCCTGCCCTTGGGGAGTGTAGAGGTGAGCGAGAAAGCAAAACAAGCCAACCATATTGACAAATGCAGACTTACACCATGATTAGGTCTCTAGGGCTCCATGTGAGAGGCCCGGAGTGCTCGGAGACCCCACGATATGGGGATTGATCTAGTCCGGGAGGTGAGGGACACCTTCTCAGAGGGCAGGAAGGTTGAACCAAGGTCTAAAGTATAGTGGACGACTAGGCAAAGGGGCTGGAGGAGGCTGGTGAGGGCAACAGGCCTGGTAGTTTGCGGTATGATTTTCGGACTTTATCCAAAGAGCAGCTGGAAGACCTGGAAAGGATTTCAGCAGAATTGACATGACTGGATGAGGTCTGCAAACGCCATTTAGGCCATTTGAGAAGCAGAGCTTGGCTGGTGGCCAGATGGAGGGCTGGAGCTGCCCCTGGGGCAGGGTGCTGATGCTGGACCATGGTGGAGTCAGGTGGGATGCAGGTCCTTGGTGCAAATGAGGAGCTCTAGGGCAGAGGTGGGGGTCTCCTTCTGGATAGGGAAGCTAGTGCTCCCCGCCAGTGCTCCCTGCACTGGGCCATGAGGCTCCTGGTTCCACTCTTGAGCAGCCAGCCACCTTGTCTCTGGTCTGGTCCACTTGGTCTGCAGTGAACTAGCCAGGATGATATGGCCCTCAGACACTGGGAAGGAGATGTGGTCAGCAGAGGGCAGGCTCCATGGCCCAGGTGGCTGCTGGCAGAGCTAGTGTGAGCTTTACCTTTCCTCTTCCTCTAATGTTCCTTCCTTTGGGCCAGGCCCTGTGCTGGGCACTTGAGATCAGAGATGGAGTATGCAGGGGGCTTCCAGCCCAGAATATTTTAATCCTTTGTGATTTAGTGCTCATTTGTCTCAGCCCCACCCTGGGCCTCAGCCACCCAAGGAAAATATGGAGAAGTCCAGAAGATGTCAAGAAGAAAGTGAGCTATCTGTAGTGGTCCTGCCCAGTAATAAGCTCTGAGAGCACTTTGAGCAACCTTTGGGCCAGGCCCCGGCCAAGAGCTTTATGTACTTTGCAGGGCAGGTATTATTACCCCCATTTTACAGATGAGGGAATAGGTCCAAGATGCTAAATAACTTGCCCAGTGTCACATTTCTAGTAAGTGGCAGAGCACGCATTCAAACCCTCAACTGTCTGACCTCAAGGTGTCAATCTAGCCCTCAGCTCCACAGCTCTCTGGTCTTCCCTGTGTGTGTCACATATGTGAGTGTGGATCCACTTTGTAGTGGCTGGGTATCTGGCCTTCCTCACTTAACAATTATTGTGAACATTCTCCTGTGTTAGCAACTTGGCATCCATCACATATGATTTAATAGCTTCATGGCATTTTATCAACACTAATATCCCATGCTTTATATAACTTACTCCATTAGTAAAAAAAAATCAGTTCCACTTTAAATTAATATACAAATATTATCTTGATTAACATTACTGTATGTAAATGTTAGAATATCTCCAATTATTTCATTAGGATAAGTTCATCAAAAATAGAATTGCTGATGTGGTCTCAGGAGTCAGTGTGCCCAAGTTTGAATCCTGGCTCTACTGATGCAGGGCAGACAAGCCCCAAATTGGGGATTAGCCTGGGAGGGTTTTTGGCTTCACTCAGGAAAGAATTCAACAGCCAGCTGGTGGTAGAAGAAAACAGCTTTATTGATGTGGCAGTACAGCTCCGTGACTGCTCCGGCACAGCAGGGCTACCCCATAGGCAGTGTGCTGACAGTAACGGTTCAGAGGCAATTCTGCAGTCATATTTATGCCCACCTTTAATTATATGCAAATTAAGAGGCAGAGTATGCAGACATTTCTAGAAAAGTGGTGGTAACTTCCAGGTCATCAGGTCATTGCCATGGAAAGGGGCAGTCACTTTCAGGTTGTCACCTGAGAGGTGATTCTACCTCATGCCTGTTTTAGCTAGTCCTCAATTTGGTCCCAAGTCCAAGCCCTGCCTCCAGAGTCAAGTCTCATCTCCCACCTCACTACCATTTGCTGCTTGTATGACTTTGGGCAAGTTACTTAAAACTTGGAGGGCCTCAGCTTCCACTTCTGTAAAACAAGGATGATCATAGTTCATACCTCATAGGATTGTTCTGAGGATTAAACTGTGTGTGTGTGTATGTGCACACATATATGTGTATTTATATATGTATATGTAGACATATATCAAGACATATACCAAGATATATTTGTATATACATACACAGGCATACATACACATATATACAAATGATTTATAATATGCCTTGCACATGAGAGACATATAAGTGCTTAGCTGTTATTTTATTAGCAATTGCCTTCTAGAAAGGTTAAACTGATTTATGCTGCTGCTAGCATTAAAGGAAGATATTTTTAAAAGAAGATAATTTATTATCATTTTCACTTCATTGATCATCTATGAGATGTATGTTTTTCTTAAATCTCTTTTCCATTTGTACTTCACCACTTATGAGTGGGTTTATTTTGGAAGGTTGGGATGTTGCCATTTGTTATTGGTTTGTAAACATTATTTTGAGGTTATTAAGGCTTCATCCACCTTACAAATATTTTCTAGTTTGTTGTTTGCTTCTTAAGAGTATTCATGATGATTTTCACAAATAGAAATGTTATCCTTTAAAAAAAATAATGTGTCAGATAATCTCAGGAGGGCTCTATTCATCTATAAAATCTGTGGTTCTTTATTTTGCTTTTATACATAGGAATGTTTTTCCCATTTTAAGGTCAGATAGGTATTCATTTATATTCCTTGTAATTTCATAAAATCATTTGTACTCTTAAAAAATTAAAACCATCTGGAATTCATGTTAATGGGGGTGATGGAAATGAAGTTGGGCTCCAGCATTATTTCTCCTCCAACAGTTAACCACTTGTTAAACCATCTTTCCTCCACTGTTTACTCTATGATAGACATGGGTCTAATACAAGCCATTGTATTATGTTTCATTGTTTATTTATTTTTATGCTAGTAAAATACCAATTATATGACATTTACTATCTTTATTCTGTGTATCCTCCTTCTTTTCTTCATTTAAAACATTTCTGGCTATTTATTCTATCAGATGAACCTTATGCCTATCTTAATAATTTCCTTGAAAAAACGCTTGGGATTTTTACTGGAATTGTAATTAAATACATATATTAATTTGTGAAGAATTGCCGTCTTTAAAATATTACATTTTTCTATCTAAAAACATGGCATGTCTTCCTATTTGGTTGAATTTTTACAATGTCTCTTAGTAAACTTTAATGGTTTTTATTACATAAGCCCTGCACATTTCTTATTAGGTTTATACTTAGAAATTTTATATATTTTTTTGCTGTCCTGAATGGAATATTCTCCCCATTATATTTTCTAGATAGCTCTCATCTAGTGAAAATAACTATTGATTTTTGTATTTTTTTACTTTTTGTATTTAATTTATAACCATCCCCTTACTGAATCACCTTATTAATTCTATTAGTATTTCTGTTGGGTCTCCTGGATTTTATAGATAGGCATTCACATTATTTGCAGAAAAGAACATATTGTTGTCTCATTTTCCTCAAAGGTTAGTAGTTCTTATTTATTTTTCCTGCCTTATTGCATTGTCCAGAACTTCTAGACCCATGAAAATAGTCGTACTGATAGTGAGAGGCCTAGTGAAAATTCAGAGACAGTTCTGGGGCAGGAGCCAGATTTGACCCATTCCTATCCCTACCATTGTCTCTTGAGACTCTGTTCACTCATTTGCTCATTTGTGAAACATTTTATGTTGACTTCTCTGGGCCAGGCCCTGTGCCAGATACTGAGACCAAGGATGACATATATAGGAGGCTTCCAGCTCAGAATTTCTCAATATTTATTCATTTATTTGTTTGTTTGAGACAGGGTCTTGGTCTGTCATCCAGGCTGGAGTGCAGTGGTGCTATCATAGCTCACTGCAGCCTTGACCTCCTGGACTCCAGCAGTCCTCCCACCCAGCCTCCCAAGTAGCTGGGACTACAGGTGTGCACCACCACACCCAGCTAAATTTTTTGCTTTTGTGGAGACGGGCTCACTTTGTTGCCCAGGCTGGTCCAGAACTCCTGGGCTCAAGTGATCCTCCTTCCTTGGCCTCTTAAAGTGTTGGGATTACAGGCATGAGCCACCATGCCTGGCCAGAATTTCCAAATCTTTTGTGATTTATTCCTCCCTTGTCTCACCCCATCTCTGGGCCTCAGCCACCCAAGCCTTCTGTTCTATTTCCCAACCCTACCTGCAGGAAAGGTATTCACCATAGTTCCCATTCCTGCTATGTTCTTGGCACTTAAGGCTCCCATCTGTCTTCTAGTACCACCTGGCTCTGTTAACTAATCCAGGCAGAGTCTGCCATTTCACATACAGAGAGGGAAAGTGGCTTGCTCAAGGTCACACAGGCTCTGTCGTGGTCACACAAGCTCATTGGCTGGAGAGCTGGTCTGGCAACAAGATTCTTGTTTCTATGAAGGTGTAAATGGTTAGTTAGACTTTGTATATAACTTATATTTCTTATTGGAAGATTTGCAGGAGCCTGGCTGGGAAGACATATAGTGTGCTCTATCCCAGAAGTCATACCTTCACCTGTCTAGGGGTACCTTGAGCATCCCTTAAGCCGCCACTTCATCTGGTTCCTCCTTGTCTTTTTCCAGCCTCAACTTAGCTGTAACTCCCTTCAAGGATTTACCTCCGTCTAGGTGAAGTTCTCTCCAACTTCTTCCTGTCCTCCACTTACCACCGGATTGTAGTTTTTCATCTGCAGTATATCAAAATGTAAAGAGTTCAGGCTCTGGAACCAGACTGCAAGAACCTAAATCCCACTTTCTTTTTTTTAATTTTTAATTTTTATTTTAAGTTTCGGGCCACATGTGCAGGATGTGTAGGTTTGTTACATAGGGAAACGTGTGCCATGGTGGTTTGTTGCACCTATCAACCCGTCACCTAGGTATTAAGCACAGCATGCATTAACTAATTTTCCTAATGCTCTCCCTACCCCTACTCCCCTGCCACCGACAGGCCCCAGTGTATGTTGTTCATCCCAGTGCGTCCATGTGTTCTCATTGTTCAGCTCCCACTTATGAGTGAGAGCAGGCAGTATTTGGTTTTCTGTTCCTGCATTAGTTTGCTTAGGATAATGGCTTCTTCATCCATGTCCCTGCAAAGGACGTGATCTCATTCCTTTTTATGGCTGCATAGTATTCCGTGATGTATATGTACCACATTTTCTTTATCCAGTCTATCACTGATGCGCATTTAGGTTGATTCCATGTCTTTGCTATTGTAAATAGTGCTGCAATGAATATACAAGTGCATGTATCTTTGTAATAGAATGACTAAATCCAACTTTCTAATTGTATGACCTTGGACAAGTGACTTATTCCTACCGTGCCTTAGCTTCCTCTTCTGTAAAAGGGGGATAGTGATCGTTGCCAACTTATGGATTTGGAGGATTAAATGAGTTAATATGTGTCCAGGGCTTAAGGAGCACACAGTAAATATTAATGCTTATCATCATCACTGGTCTCTCTGGTTTTTCCATCATGGACATGAGTGTGTCTGTTCCCCACCATGGCATTCCCTGTCTTCTGTTCAACTTGAGATTTGGCTTGTAGCATCTGTACTTGTAGGTATCATACTCGGGCAGGCATTGCATCTTGAGCACTGTGCTGGCTGCTGAGAATGCAGAGAGACATCCATGAATAACTAAAATGCCCTGGGTAAGGACCTTGGGCAAGGGAGCAAGTCATCATTTTGGGTCTCAGTTTCCTTTTTTTGTAAGATAACAGAATGGGATACCTGAAGGCCCAGCCCTGAAAGCTTGTTAAGCCCAGCTCCTCTATCAGCTGCAGATCGAGGTGGGCACAGGCTGGCTGAGAAAGAGCTGCTGTCCTTTTTTGGCCATTGGAATCCTCGGTAGCCCTAGGTCTGGCCTTGTACCATGGACATAAAAGGCATTGAGCTGGGCTTCTGAACAGCCCAGGGTGGGAGGGTGTCCGGGAGGAGCAGCTGCAGTGCAAGGTGAATCCCAGAGGTGAGGTTCTGCAGAAGATATGACCTGGAGGGGCCCAGATGGACAGAGTTGGAGTTCTGGGGACCTTCAGCCTGGGGTTGCTGGGGGGATGGGGAGTGTGGGAGAAGCACCCAGGCCTCCCATTTGCAAATGGGGCTTTGAAGTCAGACCTAGCCTGGGGACAGACTCAGCCTTTGTCTCTTCCCTGCCAGGGAAGGCCAGCCCAGGCTGGGACTTGGCCTTCTCTGAACCCACCTTTGTCCTTCCTTGGAACAAATGGGTGCTATGAGGACTAAAGGAGTTGGTGCACAGAGTGGGGCTAGCTCAGTGTCTGCACATAGTAGGTGAGCAGCAAAAGCTCATTCCTTTCCCTTCTGGAGGCACTTTCTAGTTCAGAATGCAGTGATGTCTGGTGGAGGGTGACCGAGTCAGGATTTGGAAAATCTGAGTTCTAATGAAGAAAAGAACTGAGTGGGAATTAATTAAAGTTGCCCAAACCACCCTTCCCATGTGTTATGACCATTATCCCACTGGCTCCTTGCCTGGAAACCTGGGAAGCTGGCGTGTGTTTGTGTGTGTGTGCACGTGTATGTGTGTGCGCATGTGTGGTCCCCACTTTAAAGGTGAGGGAGCTGAGCTCAGGAAGGTGCAGTGACTTGCCTGAGGTCCCACTGTGAGTCTGGCAGGTCCAGGACTTCTGACTCTGGGCCCAGCTGAGGCAGGGAGGGGAGAGGGCTCAAGGTGGGATAGGAATGGGGACAAAGATTAAGAGCTCTTAGAAGGTGACACAGGGTGGACTGACTTTCCACAGGGCTGTTTCCTGAGTCATCTGATCAGGTTTGGCCAAAGGAGAGGAGCCGCAGCCAGGAGCACCCCGTGACAGACATGGCTGGTGAACCTGTGGGCCCTTTTCCCGAGCCCCATGCTCTCAGGAGCCAGGATCTGTGTGACAGGGACTGTCCCCTATGCTAGGCACAAAGAGTGCTTGCCTCTGATGGGGGACTCACTGCTTGTCAGTTTCTCCTCAAGTTACTGCCTGTTCTAACTCAGCAGGAGCCAGGGCATCCTGGAACGCAGGTCTGGGAGTCACCAGTCAGGATTATAATCTCAGCTCTGCCAATGCTTCATCTTGAGGCCCTAGACAGTCCCTTTCCTTCTCCTAGCCTCAGTTTTCCCAAATATATTATGAGAGGAATAATGCTTCCTTTGCCTCACTAGATTGTAGAAATCTAGTGCGGTGAGGGATAGTGCCAACTGTGAAGGGCTGTACACACCTGTAAGTGGCTGTTCGTGCATTGAACCTCATGTAGAGACCCATGAAATGGATATCAACATTCTGGAAAATCAAAAAGTATTGACACGCCTCTTGGACATGTCTCTCAGAAACCCCTGAGAGCCCCAGGGGAACAAGCCAGGAGACAGTCCTGGCCACGTGCACGGGCAGAGACTGGTCACCTGGAGGATGGACGCAGAGCTCTACAAGTAGGATGTGAAGGACACATTCCAGCTGTGAACTGAAGAATGTTTGTGGTTTGGCTAACGATGATTGGAGAAGGGGTTTCTAGGTGTGGGTGACTGCCTGAGCAACAGCCTGGTCGCAGGACAGTGTGGGACATGGCTGGGGCGTGGGCTGTGGTTTGAGGATAGAGCAGAGGGACCCTCTCTGTGGGTTTGGCTGCTGAAAGGAGAGCAGAGTCTAGATAGGGTGCCTGGGACTGGCTGGATTACAGAAGACTTGGGATAGCAGAAGGAGGAACTTGGACTTTGTCACCATGCAGTCAGGGGAAGCTGTGGAAGGTGTTAGAGCAGGGGAGTAGTAGAATTGGAGAAGACCCTCTGGAGGTGTGTGAGTGGGAGGATGGATGGGAAGGCATTTAAGCAAGGGAGCAGGGCTTTGAGCAGAGTTTGTGGGGAGGCAGACATCCTTTCTAGATGACTTGGTGGCCAAAGTGGAATTGTTTTTGTTTCAGGGACAGAAAGGGGACCCAGGGCTCTCACCAGGAAAGGCCCACGATGGGGCAAAGGTAGGTTTCCAGGGACCCCAGTTCTCAGGGAAGAGGGGAGTGGATGATAGTGAAATTGCCACACTTTAAAGCTAGCTGTCCTGCCAGAGGCCATGCATGGCAAAGGCAGGGAGGTGGGAACATCTGGAAGGGTTAGGGTATGGTTTGGTTTTTTCCTTGAAGTCCTTTAGCCTTTCCCAACACCAAACCCACCCAAGGTTATTCCCAGCCACCTTCTTTCCAGAATGCAACCAACAAAACTGACAAAAGATTTCTCCTATGGACACACGCTTGGTGAATGTCCTTTTGCCTAATGTCCTGCATGGCTTTCTGCGGGGTCTGCTAGGTGACTGTGGGCATCCAGAAGTTTCTTGGTAGCACATGGCCAGGAAGCTTCCAATAGACACTCAAAGCCTTTGCTGAGGTTAACTCCAGCAGACGGGTCTGTGGATTTCTAGGAGGCTAGAGATTCAGGGCTCCCTAACTCTGAAGGGCTATGAAACCAGGCTTGCCTGCAGAAGGAAAAACACTTTGGCTAAAGGCCTTCATCCGTCTCTGAAGCATCCACCCCATAAACTGAGCAAGGGACTTGGAGGGAGTGCAGGACAGATGGGAAGAGGGGAGCCCAGAACTCCAAATGAGATTGTCCAGTGTGTCAGTCTTCCAGGCACACACACCCTGGAAGCAATGCCCAGGTCTGCCTGACTTCCTTCTGGACACAGCCCCAGAGCCATCCTGATGGATGGAACACTGCTTCTCAGCCCAGCCTCCTGTGCTTAAAGGCACCTAGAATTGGCTGCTTTCTTTGATTTCCCCAAGACACGAGTTGCTTATTTCTTCACATCCTCACTGCTAGGTGTTTGCACTTAGCACATATTTACTGGGTGACCCAGGGTCCCAGGAGAGTGTTCCCATATACTACCACTTGACCCCCATCATACCCCATGAGCCAGGACAGACGGGCCCAGCTTACAAATGAGAAAACGGAGGCCTAGGCAGGGGTGGCTTGCTGGAGGTCATGCAGCTGATAAGTGGCAAAATGAGATCGGCACCCAGGAGCCCAGGCTTCCCTCCTGCTCCTGTGTGGCCTGTTCTCAGGTCTTGGGGTGGTGGCAGAAATGCCCCCTGCTTGGCCAGTGGCATGCCCAGCAATGGAAGGTGTCTTAGGACTGCAGGGAGAGATGGCTGATTGATATGGGACTGATAAGGCACATGTCCTCTGGAGCATAGTTTTCAAACGTGGTTTTAGTATCGGAACCCATTCTTCAAGTGGTGTCTTCTGCTGAAGCCCAGTATGTAAAATAGATCAGATGGAGCCGCTGAGTTGAGTGGGGAAGGGGCTGGGTACACCACTCACTCTTCTTGCTGGGCAGCCCCCGAGTCTCCTCTGAGGCCTCTACTTCTCTATGAATCTCATTTGGAAACAACCAGCCATTGGAAGTTACCATTCCAATTTGTAGAGTGTAGCAGAGTGTCTCTGCTCCCGTTTTCCTGCCTCACCCACCTTGTCTGTGTCTTCCAGGGTGACATGGGCTTGCCTGGGCTCTCCGGGAATCCAGGACCTCCGGGACGAAAGGTACTGTTTGGTTTTGATGCTTTGCCTTGCGCAGTGGGCCTCCTAGCAAGCCAGGTCTTCAGGCAGAAGAGCTGTGGGCCCACCTGCCTCTCCCCAGCCCCAGCCCAGCTCCCCTGGGCACAGGGTACATGGGTGAGAGGTGAGAGAGCTTTCCAAGGGTTGTGCCTGTTGAGGGCAGGGAATACCTCGGCTCGTAGTAGGTGCCTCCCACCACGGTTAATGAGGTAGCATAGGAAGTATCCTTGGTTTGCTGTCCTTCCTTTTGGGGGCCCAGCCGCTCCCAGGGAGGCCACCTTCAAGAAAGCCTGTGGTGATGGAGTAACCTGTGCTGGCCCTGGCTCCACCACCCACTGTCTGAGAGGCCGTGGGCCTGCGAGTCCTGTCTCTGCCCCTCAGCCTCCTCCTACATGAGATGGAGACAATGATCCCCGTCTCTGACCCTGCACAGTCTGGGGCTGTGTGACCAGGAGCAAGGCCTGGAGCGGAGAAGTTGAGGGAGTGGACCCTGGGGTCAGTTGGACCTGGGTCCTACTCCTGCTTCTGCCATTTCCTGGCTGGGTGACCTTGGGCAAGTCAGTGAGCTCTCAGAGTCTAATATGCGGCCCTCGCTGATGCTCTGCAGGGGAAGGGGAAGGGGAATGATCTGGAGAGGCAGTGGGTTCTCTCTATCTTGCTGGCTGTTGTTATGTCACGCCCATCCCATCCCCATTTCAGCCATGCTGGGGGAGTTACCTGTCCAAACGCCTGTGTGAGGAAAAGACTGGCATTTCCTGGGTAGTGGGTCTGTAACTTACAGTCCCCCTGGATTTCTGTGACTCCTCCAGCCTGTGTCTCCCTTCCTTCAAGACTCTACTCTAGTTGTGCCTACTCCAGGAAGTCCTCCTGGAGCACCCAGCTTCAGGCCATGAGGCTCCTCTCTGCTCAAGAACACTTAAGCTGTCTTGGCTTAGTTATTTTGAGCCACCAGGCATGCCTCACCAACCAGGGTGTGCAAATCTGGTTTATTGCTCTTCCTACTGAGCCTAGCATGAAGCCTGTGCATAGCAGGTGTTCAGGAAATGGGGGGAAGGCAATGCAGACTAAGGATCGATTGCTTTTTCCAAGAAAATCCCCAACCGCTGATGGATTGTCTGGTGAATCCATCGGCCTACCACTGTGTCTTAAGCTTCTGCCCTGGCTCCCAGCTGTGGCCACAGCTGAACTCTCTCTAGGCCATCTGGCTCTCATCTGGACAGCTGGGGTGTCTCCCAGCTCCATCCTGTTCTTGCCTTGAGAGCCCCATGACACAGGGGGCCTTGCAGGACCTCGTTCCCCCATTCCCTTCTCCATGGCCAGAGCAGGCCATACCTTCAACCTGAGAGGCCCACCCCAGAAGCAGTGGCTGTTTGTGAGCTGGGAAACATGGTCCTTTCTGGCTCACAGAACACAGAGGGACTTGCGCTCCCCACTTACTTCCTCTCTGGGCTCTAGCGCTTTCTGATGGATGAGGTGTGAGTGGAAAAGGCTCCTTCCGGTCCCAGCTCATAAAGCAGCCTCGGGTGGTCTTGTTCTGCATGGGGGTGGCAGCCTAGCAGAGGTGGCAGGAGATGGGGAAACCAGACTGGAACCAGCTCCTCCCTGGGGTGCCAGGGCTCCTTGCATTAAGCAGATGTCCGGGGAGGCCAAGGACCCCCAACCAAGAGGAGCCAACTCACCTGAGCAGGGAGAGGCAGCTTCTCCAAGTTAAGGAAAAGCCACTGCGCAGCTGGAAAACTATTTGGCAAAGCCAATTGCTCTGAGCTCCCCTCTGGCCCTGGCCTAGACATGCACAGAAGAGTTTCGTCTGTGGCAGGCTGGCGTCACCCACTTACAGAGGGTGCTGGGCGAAGTGTCGGGGAGCTCAGGTCCCAAGGCAGAGACCCCTGACCAGTGGTGGGGATCAGAGAAGAGAACCACTGCCATGGGCAATGTGCCTGGGGCCACCATTGTAGATGGTCTTTCCTATCACACACATCTTTGGTGACAATAGCAGCCACTTGGCTCTGATCTTGCAGTGTGGCTTTTCTGCATTATTTCTTGTGGGAAACCTTGAGGGGAGAAGGGAAGTGAGTGGATAAGAGGTGAGGTTAGCTTCCTCTTCGTGCTTACCAGCACATTGAATTTTTGTCATTCTGAGGCAACACAGATAATCCTATTTATTCATTTATTTAACAAGAATTATTGAATGCCTATAATGTGCCAGCCACTGAGCTGAATGGACAAAAATCCCTGCCCCACAGGGCCTGCATCCTTGTGGGGGTGTGGGGAGACAGAAGATACAAAGAAAAACAGTAAAAATAAAAGGTACACTATAAGACAGAAAGGGCTATGGAGAAAAATTAGCAAGAGAAAGGGAGTTTTGGTTGGAGGGTGCAGTCTACAGCAGTGGCTCCCAGCTGGGGAGCTCAAGCCCCATCGTGGTGATTCTGGCTCAGCTGGTCTGAGTGGGACTCAGGCATCAGTAGCTCTAAAAGGCCTCCAGGTGTTTCCCACATGCAGTCAAGAATGAGAGGCACCAATTTAATGGAAATACCTTCCATGGGTTTCTAAGCTGCAGGGCTAGGATTCGAACCCAGGTCTTCTGACCCTCAGGCCCTTTCTGTCACCACAAGGCTGATTGAAACAGTTTCTCAAACAAGACAGTGTCCATCTGGTAAAAAAAGAGGCTGCCTGCCCGAGAAGGTTTGTTTCTCTGCCACCGCCTGAGATACTTGTGGAAGGAATTTGCTGGGCCAGTTCCCAAGGTGGGGAAGACACGCAAACCAGGTCAGATAGACCTGGATGGAATCCCCGCTCTGTCCCTCTCCTGCTGTGTGAGCTTGGGCAAGTTGCCTCACCTTGCTGGGCCTCAGCTGCCTCATGAGGTGGTTGGGAGGATTAAATGAGATGTAATATCCCTGCCCTCAGCACAGGGCTGGCACACGGCTGGCACTTTGTATGTATTTGTGTGATGAATAAATAATGATCATGATGATCACGAAGAGAAGCATCTGAAGAAGGTCTTGCCAATCTGGTAGCACTAGTCATTTTGCTAGTTTCCAGCTAACCACCCTCCACTAGCCAAGAAGGCTGCCAGAACTCCATGTGCACCTCCCATGCTTTCTCTCATCTAACCCTCCTGCTTTCTTTCCTGTAGACCAGTAGTTCTCAACTTGGGGTGATTTTGCCCCCCAGGGAACAGTTGGCAGTGTCTGGAGATATTTTTGGCCATTACCTACAACTGGGAGGGAGGTGCTACTGGCTTCTAATGAGTAGAAGCCAGAAATACTGCTAAACATTCTGCAGTGCACGAGATAGCCCTTCCCTCCCATACACATACAAGATGTGTTCAGCCCACAAAGTCAGTGTTGAGAAACCTTGCTGTATAGAAACCCTGGCCCCATCCAATCCCATATACCCTGGGCCTTCCTGCCTCCCTGGCCCCCGCTGTGTAGAAACCCTGGCCCCATCCAATCCCGTGTACCCTGGGCCTTCCTGCCTCCCTGTGTTTGCTTCTGCTGTGCCCTCCCCAGGCATGCCCTCTCCTCCACACTCATCCTCATGTGCCTACTCCTTGGTTCTGTTCTTAGAGAAGAATAGCATCTTCTTCAAGAACGCTCCCCAGCACCTCCAGGCAGAAGTGACGCCTCACTTCCTGACCATTTGGCCTCCCTTCTCGGCCTCTTTGGGCTAGTGGGCAACCCACTAGTGTCAACACATTGCTTAGACTGGACAGTGGACAGAACCCAACCTGTTCATCTTTGTTTCCCACGTGGGGCTTAGCGCAGTGCTGACCACATTCAACTCCCTCGCTCCTCACCTCTGGCAAGCCTCACGAATTGATCTTTCTGGCCAAGTCCTGACACAGCCCCTGAATCTTTCTTACCATACTGCCCCAGATAGACATGATGCATGGAACAAAACTGCTACTCAAATCAAAACCTGACTTGCTTCTCTCCAGCCTGACATCCCCCCAGCTCCCTCCTGTTGCCCCCACCCTGCCCCCTAGCAGGAATGCTGCCTGAGTTGGCCATTATCCGTGGAAGCTGTAATAAAATGGGAGAGCACAGGGGTCATCTGGAAGTGTGTCTGGGGAAATGTGATGGAGGCTGCCTGAGACAATTTCCCACCTTTCTGCTGAACTCCCGGTTCTGCCTGAGTGTGGCACCCCCAATTCCATAGAGTTCCTCTCAAGAAACTTCTCCAGGCTCCCCTGCTTCTGCAGCCCATACCCACTGGCATCCCTCCTATCCCATCCTGTGTCTCCTGTCCAAGTCCTGCTCCTCCCCCAAGCCTCAGTTTACAATGTCACCTCCTCTGGCTGGGTGCATCTATATTCTTCTAGCACTCTTCTTCATTCCACCTAATATGCATTTAATGCCCACATCCCCTTGTAGAAGGTAGAGAGTTTTTTCTGTTCACTGGTGTATCTCTAGTGCCTAACACAAGGTCTTGGTCATTGCTGGGACTCAACAGACATTTGTTTGATGAATGAATAACTGGATGAATGAATGAGCCATGCAGAAAATATACCTTCCTGCCTGGAGCCGTCTCAGGCATCCACGGAGCAGAGTTGGGTGTCAGACACCTGGCTGTGCCATGATGGACTGTGCTTTTTGACTAGCCACAGACTTTGGAATCCTACAATTTCTGAGCCCACAGGACACTTGGAGAGGCCAGCTGGGGAAACTGAGGCCCGGAGAGGCACCTTGTCCAGCATCACATAATAAGACCCTCTACTCTAGGCATGTGTTTCTCACTCTTTGATTCTTTCTGTCCTGCTGATGGCCCAGTCTGGGGTGTGGGCTGCCCGGGAGGTAGCGAAGTTCAGCAGAGATTCATGGAGAGCTAAGCAAGCTTGGTGAGTTTCATGTCAACTACAAGGGGAGCTGAGGCCTTGCACAGGCGGAGGTGGAGCCTCGGTGGACAGCCGATGTCTGAGTACATATGGGTCCCTAGGACCCCCAGGCAAGGACGGGACCCCTCCCCTCCCTGCCCAAAGCCCAGAAAGCAGCCCAGCCAGACGGGGAGACGGTTTGTAGCAACAGTGAGGTGATGTCTGGTTTCTCCTTGCGCATTGTAAGCAATGATTCATCTGGCTCCCAAACCAAAATATAGACCGAGTTCTATTATAAACACAGGTTCTGTGGAGACCCGCCTGCTGGGCAGCCAGAGGCCCCTTGCAGACACCACGTTCCCTGGAGCTCCCCGAAACATTCCCTCTCCCTTAGTGCCAGTCAGGCACCGATCGCAAACTGGAAAGTCACTGCCCACGGGCCCACTTCTTGCGGTCAGCACCCGCCCCATAATTGGCGGGGCGCTGCACAAGATAATGGTTTAGATTCTTGCAGGTCTGGGGCCCTGTCATTTGAAGCTATTTGCTGGCCCCAGCTGGTAAACATTGTTAAGATGCTTCCAGGGAGCATAAGCACCTCCCACCGCCTACCTCCCGCCTTGGCTATGCTCGCTCTTCTGCTCCTGGCCATCCAGGAGAAACTGGGGTGTTCACGGCAATGTTCAAGGCCCTTCAGGGTCCCTTGATCAAGAGATACCTAGAAATTGTATATCCCAATGGGTCTGGAGTCCTAGGGAAAAGTACTGGCTTGGCCATAACTTGCTAGGTAACTTTGGACAAGTCCCTTCCCCTCTCTGAGCTTCAGTTTCTCAGTCCGTCCAGTGAGAAAGGAGATTGTCAAACTAATGGTTTGGGGCTCTTTCAACTCAGTTACTCCAGGGTTTCATGACTGACCTCTGCCTGAATAATGCTGCAATGATGTGAAGCTTTCATCCCAGGGAGGCGCATCTATAAGGGGATCTCTCCTTGAGTGGCTTTGTGGCTCTTCTAGGCAGGTCTTAGGCCTCAATGAGCATGTTTCATCCCATGCTTTTTGATGGCTAAGGATGCGGGATTGGAGTCACAGGCCAGGCGCTGCCCCTAGAAAGCTGTGTGGCCTCAGCAAAGTCTCTTTACCCCTCTGAACATCAGTTTCCTCAACTGGCAAATGTGTATGGTAATTTCTGCCTCCTAGGAGTGATAGCAAGGAGTCCATGAACTGATATGTGAAGGCTTCAGTGCTGAGCCAGGCATAGGGCCTGCCACTGTGCATGCCCGTGATGATCATTCACTTCCATTTAGCTGCATCCTGAGTAAAAGGGTTTACTTGAAATCTTCTCCTGGGATTTCACTGGAGAAATGCCTCTGCTTCCTTTGTGGGGAGGTTTGGGGGCTGAAGAATTGGTTTTCAGCAGAGTTCTTGTGGCTGCAGATGAAGCCACAGGAGCTGGTGATGGCCAAGGGCCCCCTGGACCCCACATTATGGTTCTCTTGGGGTTCTTGCCCTGTTACTCCATTGGATCTTTGCAGGCAGGTAGAATACGGCAGAGTGAGCTTCAGAGAGGATAATTACTCATACAGAGTCACATAACCAAGAGTGCAAGGCTCCATTCAGCTCTTCACTGGGAAAAAGTTTCACTTGTTCTTCCTAATCTGCAAGCTCCAGGTGGAAAAATGATGATCACGGCTGTTAGTTACATCATGTCGCGCTACCTCCCTGCTCGAAGAGCTTCTGTGGTTTTGCATCATATCACCGCCAGCATGCTCTGACCTCCTGCTTCTCCAACCACCGCCATCCTTCACCCTCTCACCCACTCTATTCCAGTCATACAGGCCTTCCTGTGTTCCCTCCAAGCCACTTGAGGGCATTCTTGCCTCAGGGCCTTTGCACTTGCTGTTCCCTCTGCCTGCACTGCCTTTCTCCATGGAGCCAGCCCTGTGTTCATCCCATTCATCTCCTTAGAGCAGCCTTTGCTTGATCCCACCCTCTCTTCACCATCCCTCCCCAATGCCGTGTTCTCTGTCTGTAACTTTACTTCCTTTTCTTCACAGCACTGATCACTACTAGACATTTTCTCTCTGTTTCTGAAAAGATTTTATTTTAATTGTGGTTAAAAAGCATATAACATAAAATTACCATCTTAACCAATTTTAAGTGTACAGTTCGATAGCGTTAGGTACATTCACATTGTTGTGCAATCAATATCCAGAAATGTTTCATCTTGCAAAACTGAAACTGTACCCATTAAGCAACTCCCCATTCCTCTCTCCTTGCAGCCCAGATGTTATTTTTGTTTGCTTTGTTTTTATACCTCCTTAATTAGAATGTAAACTCCTTTAGGGCAAAGGATGTTGTCTGTCTCATTCTTCCTGTGCCTAGAATGGTGCTGGAGCATGAAAACTCGGTAAATGTTTATCGAATGAATGAATGAAAAATGAAGATTATGATAACAGCAGCTAACCTTTTCAGCGCCCTTGAATCCAATGCCAAATACTGCGCTTTACACACTTTCTATCCTGCCATCCCTGCTCCAACTTTGTAGCCCCATGTTATAATTGAGGAAAATGAGATTCTCAGAGGTGAAGTCATTGGCTTTGGGTCACCCAGCCAGCCAGTTAGTACAGTAGTACTGGAATCCAGATGGGTCTGAAACAAGAGGTTGTATGCCCCGGTTTGCCCACTGGGGAAAAGAGTACACGCCCCAGCTAGAAGAATCACACCCAACCTTGTTGCATCAATCTCCATAGGCCCCTGAATCTGAGATACAATCATGTCACTGAGGGCTCTTGAGACATGAATAGGTGCAGAAAGAATGCTTGTAAACTCTCCAGACCTCTTAGATCAAACTGACTCTGCTGTTTATAATAAAGAGTCCCCACTTCCTGGGGGCTGATGGGGGGTGTTGAGTGTGTATGCCTGTGTGTGTCTGTGTAAGTGCATGGAGCTGTACATGTCTGGAGATGTTTGCAAGATTTCCAGCGTGTTCCCAGATGTCAGAAGGATCTGGTAGTGAGTGCCTGTGGCTTGTTAGCAATGGGACTCAGAGTAGGCGTCTTCAGTTCTATGAGACTCAGTGTTCTCTGTAAAATGGAGATGATAGTCGCCCCCGAGCCCAGCTCATCTGACTGTTGGAAGGAGTAGATGAAGTCATCTATTATGCACGTAGTCCTGGGTAAACGGCAGCACATAGAGAGGGTCTACAGGTTTGAGCGTGCATGTGCGCGTGTGTGTATTCTGGTCTTGTGTGTGTATTTTAGACTCTGGAGGAGTCTTCAAATTCTAGGGTTCTAAAACATCATAGCTGAAGAGGACTCAAGAGTTCTAACTCCCTTATCTGAAGTTCAGAGAAGGGTAGGAACCCACCCAAAGTTGCATAATAAGTTAGGGACAGCATCTAAAGCAAGCCCAGAGCTCCCTGCGTAAGAGGGTCTAACATGGATGAGTGTGGCTACCCTGTGCACAATGGAAGCCCCCCATCTGATGGAAGCTTGAAGTCTGAGGTTTCCTTTGGAGACCTTACTCTTATGAAATGGCTCAGGTGATTATACCTGGTGCCACCTGAAAGCACACAGTCAGCTTGGTTCTCTCGACTCAGAGGCCTGGCCTGGACATGCCTTTTGGCCATCAGGACAGAGGGTCAAGGTTGGTACTGGGGCGTTGCCAGAGTCCTTCTCATCAGTATCTGGATGGCCTATCCCTCCCTGGAATAGGAGCTGGGGCCGGTGGGAGAAGGGAAACAACTATTTGGGTTAATAAATGTGGTCAAGGCGTGTGATGGGGGCTTTATGAGAAGGGGCAGGTCTTGAAAGGGGAGGGAATCCCAGCATCCCGTGTGACGTGGTGGCTCAGCACAGTCCAGACCTCAAGTCCTACTCAGTTTACTCCTCCATTGACAAATCCTAGCCCTGAGAGACGGTCTCGCCTTCTCTCTTGATTCAGAAGGAATGGTTGCGATACACCATCTCTTGGTCACAGTTGCTCTGTCCCAGTTCAGCTCACCTACTCTGCCAGAGCAGTGAATGACCCTCCTGATGTCCTCTGGCCTAAGAACCACTGGGAGCAGAGAGAAAACCTTAGGAATATGTGAACCCTCACATGGTATCTGCATCCATCTGGGGAACCTTTACTGAGTGCACACTCCATCCCGGATGCAGTACATACGGTGCTGAACAGGGCAGGCCGGGAGGCTGGGCCCTTGCGATCTCCAGGACCAGATGTGTCCTCCCTGCCTGATGCAGCTTCTTCCCCCTCCAACAGGGACACAAGGGCTATCCTGGACCGGCAGGGCACCCCGGAGAACAGGTGAGGGCCTCAGCCTCAGCCCTGCCCTGGTCGCTCTCCCTCCTCCCAGCCCCTACCTGTCTCTGGCCCCCTCCCTAGATCCTGCTCTGTGAGCCAGCCCCAGAGCCAGGCTGTTTTGCCTCTCACCCTGCTGGAGCCCCCAGCCCACTCCAGTCCACCCCACCTCTCTCGCCCAGCCACATTTGCCCAAAAGAGCCAGAGTCCATGCCAGCCTGATGTTGGCATGAGCCGCACAACGCCAGTTGGAGCCATGAATAGCTGGCCTGTTCCGGGCGATGTTAGGGGATATTATACTCACCGCCACGGGGTTTGCAGGAATTTTGGCCAGCCTGGCCCAAGTGAAACAGCAGCCCTGCCAGCATGGGAGAACCAGCCAGGCCTCCTCAGTAATTTCTTATTCCTGGGCTGCAAGCAGAGGGGGTTTTGTCCCTCAGAGCTGGTCTGACCGGTTTCACAGAGGGGTGGGCTTGGGGGCCCTCCCCTTCCTCCTGTTCCATCTCACATTCCTGCCCCTCTCTTTATTCATTGTCAGCCCCAGTCTCCCAGGGTCCCCCAGACCCAGAGCTGGGCAGGGTCTTTCTTTTCCTTATGTTTCTCTCTGTTCCTTTGCAGGGGCAGCCAGGACCTGAGGGCAGCCCAGGGGCCAAAGGTTACCCTGGCAGGCAGGTGCAGTATATGGCTTCTGGAAGCTCTGTGGCCATGGTGATGTGAAGATGGCCACAGGTGCCCCGAGGCAGAGGGAGGTGGTGGGCTGGGGGCCAAGGAGCTGCACCTGCTGGGTGGACCCTAAGGAGGGGGCTTTCCAGGGGACTGGACCAAGGAAGCCTGTCTTTGCAGGCACAGGATAAGGCTGCATAGTAAGAGGAGGTCTGGTTCTGCGGGGCTGGGGCTCCAGAGGCTCCTCCTACTCAGTCTCCCTCCTACCCACCAGCCACCTCCCTGGGATCCTAGGGCTGTGGGGGTCAGGCCAAAGATCGCTGATCTAACCCCACCCCCATTCTACAAAGAGAGCAGCAGAGGCCCCAAAGAGGCAGGACTTGCCCCAGGATTGGCAGCAGGTAGAGCGTCTCCATATGTCCTTGCCCCTCTGTGTTTTGTGTTTCAGGGGTTACCTGGACCGGTAGGAGATCCCGGCCCCAAAGGCAGCAGGGTAAGTGGTTCCTGGCCAGTGCCACATGGGTGGGGTTCTAGGTGAGCATCACCTGTCCCTCCAGTGGGCTTGATGGGAGGTCAGAGCTATAAGGAGAGCCAAGGCCCTCCCACTTGAGTGCTCCCGGACAACAGAGGGGCAGCAGGAGGGATGGGTGATGGGAGACCCTTGAGCCAGGTAAACTGCTTGGTCCCCATGGCCAAGAAGTCTGGGAAGTAAAGACTCTGCTGGGGGTTTGGCCACAGTCCAGCTGCAAACAGCTAGGCATTTGTTTGCTGTGTCTCCTGGCTCATCCCAAGTTACAAGGGAGCCAGTATGGGCCACTTGAATTGCCTGTCGTCGAATCTTCAGAGGCCTCCCTCCTGCTCCCAAATGAGGGCTGGGGGGAACCACTCTTTGTGGAGGGCACCTGGTGTGGGAATGCTGCCCAAGCCTGCAGCCTGGTGGAGTTTCCAGATCTCCCCTTCCTTCAAGGCCCCCATGGAGCAGACCCCGAGTAGCGATCAGCCTCAGTTGCCTACCTCTACAATGGTCATGATGTCCATTTGTACCTCTAGTCTGGTTATGTCAAGCTGACTTGACAGCTCAGGAGGGGGCCACCAGGTGGGGACTCCCATGTGGGTTGTGGGAAGACAGAGAGGGTTCTGGGTGGACCGAATGGGGTAAATGGAGTTGGAAAGATTTAGAGCTGATGTGGTGGAATCGTTTCTTTTACACACAAAGAAACTGGGTTCATGGCGGGGCCTGGATGGCCCCAGCTTACACTGCACGCCTAAGGCGGATCTGGGATGGGGACCCAAGTCTTCCGAGGCCTGGACTTGCTGCCTCTCAAGGAATGCTCAGGAAGGGGGTCACACAGTCCTCGGTCAGGACAGATCACGTATCCTTTGCTCCTGAGCCAAAGCTATTTATATTTTGGCAGGAGGGAGAGGACAGAACAGTTGCAGTCTCAGCCCTAATCCCTGCAGCTGACTGGTGGCTGTTAGGAGAGTGTGGGGAGGCGGGAGTGGGGGCGGGGAGGTGCATTCCCCAGGAGGTTACTGTGACAGGCAGGGCCTAAGGAGGCTCTTGTCCCAGGGTGCTGTGCCTCTCTTCCTTTATTCTGCTGCTCCCATGGGCCATTCCCCCAGAGGGACCCCCTAAACCCAAGGAGAAAGGTCTTCTCAGTCCAGCCCCAGTCCTGATCTCCTGACCTGCCAGAAGGACAGGCATGTTAATGACATCTGGGGTTGCTCGACTTGCCTGCCAGGCTGGTGGCATCTCAAAGTCACATAGCAGGAGAGGACTGGTCTGGCCCCAGCACTCCTGTCTCTTACAGGCCACACAGCCCTGGGTGGGAAGCCTGGATGAGCAGTGAGTCACTCAAGCTGCCCTTCCAACCCTGCCACCACCAGCCTCATATTTCTGAAGTAGGCAGAGGGCAGGCTTTGGAATCAGGATGACAGGCTTTGAGACCTGCCCTGCCATTAGCTAGCTGTGGGAGCTTGGGCAAGTCACTGGGCCTCTCTGAGCCAATTATTTTCTCACCTGTAAATCTGGGAGATAAGCACTATTTGGAATGGCAGTAAATGGCACTCTTTCAGATTATGGATATTAATCATGCTGGATGCCAACGAGGAGGCTCAGTGGCTTCTTGGCCTTCCAGGGAAGGAGAGATGGTTGTGAGCCTCCATTGGTTGCTTGTTTGAGGAGAGGCAGTATGCAGAGTGGTTAGGAGCCCAGGCCCAGGAGTCAGAAGACTTGAATTTGAATACCAGTTCTACCACATTTCAGCTGTTTGGTCCTAGGCAAGTTGCTTCACCCCTCTGGGCCTAAATGGTCTTACCTCTACAGGGGGCTGAGTAATAATACTTCCTCAGGGCTGGGCGCGGTGGCTCGTGCCTGTAATCCCAGCATTTTGGGAGGCCAAGGCGGGTGGATCACCTGAGGCCAGGAGTTCGAGACCAGCCTGGTCAACATAGCGAAACCCCGTCTCTACTAAAGTAACTACAAAAATTAGCTGGGCGTGGTGGTGCACACCTGTGATCACCTGTGATCAGCTATTCAGGAGACTGAGGCAGGAGAATCGCTTGAACCCGGTAAGCAGAGGTTGCAGTAAGCCACGATCGCACCACTGCACTCCAGCCTGGATGACAGAGCAAGACTCCGTCTCAAAAAATATATATAAATAAAAAAATAATAAAATATAATACTTCCTCGGGGTGTGATAAGGATGGAATAAATGCTTTAATATATGCAAAGCACTGGCAGCAGGCCTGGCCTATCATTCGTGCTCAATAAACATTAGCTTTTGTTAGAGTTATTATTAAATCATTCCACCAAGAGTGGCACGCAGATAGTGGTAGAAGCCCCGGGCGAGGTTACTGCCCTTTAGAAGTTCCCAGGCTAATGAGGACGTGAAGCATGAACACAAATAATGAAGATACAAGGGAGAAAGTGGAGAAGGATGCTACCGAGGTGCAAAAATGGCACTGGGGATGGGGGGGAGAGATTGCTTCCGGCTTGGGGTATCAGGGATGCTTGCCCAAGGAGAGCGCTTATGAGAGCTGGGCTTTGAAGGATTTGGCTCAGAAGTCATGAGGGATGGGAAGGACATGCCTGGTGGAGGGGACAGAGTGAGGAAAGGCTGGGAGGGAGGAAATGAGATGCATCCTAGGGAAGAGCCCCAGAATGGTGACGAGCCCCAGCTGTGGAGTCAGCTGGCCCTGGGTGACCCTTGAACTGATTAGGAATTCCCGAAGAGAATTCACAGCTCCACTACTGACTAGTCGTGTTGCTTTATCTACAGAGCCTCAGTTTCTTTGTCTGTCCAGTGTGGGTGGTGACAATCTGGGGGGTCCTTGTGAGAGTCTAATGTGGTAGCATGCATGTGCCTGGCACAATGTTGGCACTCCGGGTTCGCAGCCGCTGTTAGTTAATGCCAGCACTCAGGCGGCCAGAGGTGGATGTAAGCCCTACATCCAGGACCTTGAAGGCCTAGGAGGAGCCATGGCAGGAGCCACGGGCACCTACCAGCATCCCTGGGGGTGGGCAGGGCTTGGTGCCGTGCTAGCATCTAACCCAGCCGCGAGCTTCCTTCTGCAGGTCCTGGAGCCCTGGCGTGGGGCGGGCCTCCTGCCGGCGAGCGCCTGCGCCCTTCCCTGGCGTGAGGGTATGTGCCTTTGGACTACATCGTGGAAGCCAGCACCATGCAGTCCATGGGCATATACACTTGCCTCAAGGCCTATGTCATCGAGGAGCCACCGGAGCTGCCACTGCCACCAGGGAGGAAGAGGAGGAGCCGGGATGTGGGATGGCAGTGGTGGGTGGGCTGCGGCAGGTTGGGCCAGCCACACCTCACTGCTTGACCGCTCTGACCCCCTTTCTTCTCTTTCCTAGGGCTACATTGGGCTCCCAGGGCTCTTCGGCCTGCCAGGGTCTGATGGAGAACGAGTAAGTTTGCTTCTTTGGTTATTCACCATCCACAGCCACCCCTGCCCAAACAGAGCAGAACCTGCCAGGCACCAGCCTGGGGAAGTCAAGGAATTCCTCCTGGAGGAGGTGCACTTGAGTCGAGTAGGAGTCTGATAAGGGGACAAGTCAAGGCAGATGCATTCCAGGCATAGGGAACAGCATGTGCGAAGTCAGGGATTTACGGTAACTTGGCGAGTTTAACACTCAACACTGCCAAAGTGCTGCGTGAGAGGGTGAGAGTGGTGGGAGTTGAGGCTGGAGAGGACCCTGGGGCAATGTCTTAGGTGCCCAGGACTAAGGTTAGAAAAGGAACTCTGTTCTGAGGGTATGCGGAGCCTCTTGAGGACTTGCAACCAATGAACACCGGGCCCACTTTATAATATAGATCAGGGGTCTGCAAACGGTGGCCCATGGGCCAAATCCAGCCAGTTGTCTGTTTTTGCAAACAGTTTTATTGAACTCAGCCTTGCTCATTTGGTTACATATTGTCAATGCCGCTTTCTCACTACAATGGCAGAGTTGAGTAGGTGTGACAGAGACCGTATGGCCCACAGAGCCAAAGATATTCACTATCTGCCCCTTTCCAGAAACCATCTGCTGATTCCTCTTTTAGACAGATCAGTTGGTTTACTTGAGTAAAATGTGTTGGTTGGGGGTGGGGACAGCAAGAGCAGGTGGCAGGAGTTCCAGCAGCCAGGGGGAGCGGCTGTCTGGGGAAGGTGGTGGGACTGGTTTGGTGGTGGGCAGTGGGTGCTAAGATTTCCTAAGACACCCTGTCCTTCCAGACCAAGTATCTAAGTCAGAGGAGTCCAAAAGATGGTGTGGGAGCTTCTCACAGACCCCTGGCCCAGCCTGGAGGTCCATTAGAAGCCCCTGGGGTGGTGGCCTCGGGATCTTCCTCCCCGCCCCCTCCCAACCTGAGCCCGTATCTATGGGAACTCACTTGTAACCTCCATAAGCTGGGTATAGAGAACCTTAGGACAGCTGGAGCCTGAGCATTTATGAAGCACCTGCTGATTACAGGAACTGGCATTTCTCTGTCTCTTAGGTCACCACAGACCCCGACCCTGCCATCCGTCTGATGTGCATGTCACTGGGGCCGCCACGCAAGTGGCACACATTCCAGGCCCTCTGTGACTTCCTGCCGTGGGTGGCTCTGGGCTGGTTTGGGGCAAGCCTGGCTGTCCCTGCTGGCATCCTGCCCTGACCTCTCCCCTGTCTCTCCCCTGCAGGGCCTGCCTGGCGTTCCTGGCAAGAGGGGCAAGATGGGTATGCCGGTAAAGATTTTCCGTGTCTATTACGCAGACTCTAGCGGGGAACCCCACCTCCCACGGCCACGCTGCCCTGGCCACCTGCTGCCTGGCATCTTCTGCTTCTCCCCCTGCTTTGAGTGTGGGGGCCGCATGTGGGGTTGTCTGGCCACAGGACCTGCTGCTGGCACACGGCGTGACTGGGGCCTGGCTGGGGCTGGGGCTTCCATGGGCTCTGGACCCCTCTGGGGTAGCTCCTGTCTCCCTGTGGGCATCAGTGGCTCTCCAGTGCAGTTCTGTGTCTGGGGGCTTCTGTCTAAGGTATTTGTGTCTGTGGGTCTGCTGTGACCGGGGGACCTTGGCTAGACCAGGTGACTCTGCTCCCATCTCAGGGAACACTCAGTCTCCACATCGTCTTGGTGTCATCCGGCTCTGTCCAGTTTGCTCATGCACACGCAAAGCCAGAGGACAATGGGGTTTATGGGCAGTGCCCACAGCAGGCATGACCGAAAGAGGGGCTCAGCGGTGACCCCCAATTCACCAGCTTTCTCTATGGCTCCCCATCATGGGAGGAAATTGTTTTTCCCTTTGTTTGGACATGTGCAGAACATGGAGAAAGAGCCAAGGCACGGAGAGATTAAGTCACTTGCACGATGAGTAAACAATGCAGCCAGGATTGGAACTCAGTTGGTTTGTTCCCGGTGTCTTTGATCTCAGTGGCTGCTTGAGGCAGCCTCTCAGGGTCCCTAGTTGGCAGTCATATTATAAAAATAGGTTCCCTAGACTCTTCGCCTGGAAGGAAGATCATTCATTCCAATTATTGAGAAGCGGGAAACTGAGGCTCTGAGAGGCAGAATGAGATACCAGGGTCCCTCTGCCACTGCCCTGCAGGTTGACTCCTTGACTTGGAACCATGGTCAGACCAAGTCTGGGCCTCCCATCGCTGGTGGTTGGTGAGGAAGGGAGTATGAAGAGGAGGCCTGGAGCATTCGAGAGTGCTCAGAGGGGCCTCTCCGTGCTTCTGCCACTGATGGGCATGTTAGCTGTTGGAGCGTTTAACCTGGGCCCTCTGGGGGCCAAAGAGGAAAAACAAAGAAAAGAAAAAAGCCTCAAAGAGCTGACAGAGGAGGTCCCTCCACCCCCAACCTAGACCCCTCTGTGGCCCGAACAGGCAGTCTTCTCTAAGGTCCAACACCTGACACCTAGACCTGGGCAAGGAGCAGCACCTGATGCTCCCAGCTTCAGGGCAAGGACCTGGAGTCTGAGAGGGCTGGGCTGGCACATGGGGTTGTCCCTCAAGCCAGCATGACCTCAGGCAAGGAGATTTGTTCATCCAGTGATTATCTGTTCATCCCATGAATATCTGTTGAATGCCTGCTATGGGCCAAGCATTTTGCTTTGTTCTGGCAGAGCAGTGGATAAGACAAAGTTCCCACTCTCTTGGGGCAGACAGACAGATACCCAATCACTGAATGGGGAAATGGAAGAATGAACAATTAAATGAAGGTTAGGTAGTGCTGAATCTAAGAGAGAGTAGGATAGGGAGACAGGGAGTACTTGAGGGTTGGGATCTTGAATAAGTTAGTCCAGAAAGTCTCCCTCGCTTTATGAAGAATCTCAATGAGGTAAGCGTGGAAGCTGTGTGCCTTTCCAGGCAAAGGCCCTGGGGAAGGAGCAGGCTTGGTTCAAATTTTCTGAACCACAGTTTTCTCTTCCGAGAAATGGGGACAATAGTATGGCTCATAAGACCATTGTGCTTGTCACATAGTAAGTGCTCAATAAATAGAGCCGCCCGGAATAAGGTTTCCTGGATGGCTGAGGGGATCTCTGTATTGTGTGACACTAAGCCAATGACTTCACCTTTGCTGGGTCTGGTTTCCCATGGTTTAAGTTGCAGAGTGGGAGGATTTGACTTGCTTAGGCGATCTCAGCTGGGCCCTGCCCCAACACTCAGGCCAGCCTCCAGGGCCACCTTTGGGGGATTTGTTCAGACACATCCTGGGAGCCTTACCAAGGGCCAGGCGTTGCTCCTTTACAGATGAGATCGCTTCTCGGAGAGGTAAATGATTAGGTCAAGGTCACATGGCTGCTCAGTGTCACAGTTGGATTAGAACACAACCAGAGCTTTCAACTCCAGTGCCAGAGTGTAGCTGTTTAGAGCTTGGGGTACGGAGTCTCCTGAGCATGGAAGAGGTAAGACCCATGAAAGCCTGGACATGTTATGGCCTCTTCTCCAACCGGACACAGCAAGGAATGTCAGCAGGGCCATGCCTCAGTTTCCCCCTTCTACTCCATCCTCTGCATCCTCCTCATCTCCCCTCCTGGCGGCCCCTTCATCCACCTTCTCCCTGCCATGTACCTGTGTTCTTCTTGGAGCACAAAGTTACCCTGTTCATGGCCTGGCTGAGAAGGCAGTCCCAGGTTTGAGGTCCCATTATCCTGCCTGTGTGAGATAAGGCCACTCATTCATTCCTCATTCAACCAAAGATTATTTGTTGAATATATTACTCTATGCCAGGCACTAAGGATAACACTGTAGCCAAAACAGACAAAAATCTCTGTTGTCATGAAGCTCAAATTTTAAGGGTAGAGACAATCAATAAACACGATGAATAACCAGAAGAAGGCATGGTTGCCACCCTAAGTCCCCTGCAAGTGAAAGGAAGCAACGAGTATTGAGGCCCTCGGTGTGCATAGTATTTGAACCACATGCGATTCTCCCAGTGAACCTTTAAGGCAAGATCGATTATCCCCATTTTCCAGATGAGAAAACTGAGGCTTAGACTGTCAAAGCCATTTGTCCATAGACACTCTGAGCCTTGCCAGACTGAGAACTTCTGTCTGCTTCCTTGCTTCTTGCCTTTAACTTTCTAAGACTAGGCTCTGATCTTCATGACAGGCGTGTTGTTCCCTGGCACTGGGGTGTCAGATGTGGGTGGAGGGAAACATCTTTTCAGCCCTAGACCTGTGCAATACCCTTGAGAGCCATGAAAATACCCTCAACTCTGTTCCAGCCACCATGGCCAGCAAATCGGCGAGATCTGCATCAGATATGATTTAATGTGTACGTAATGGGACTTCACATCGGCTGAGTCCCTACAGCTTGGTCTCTGTCTCCGCTGGGCCTCTGAGTCTGCCATGCCTCTCAGCCTAAAGACCCTGGACAGTCTTTAGGGCCATCCCTCTGTTGCTGTTGCTCCCAACCCCTTGATCTGTCTGGTAGGGTTGGGGGCTCCTGTCGTGAATGGTTTTTCCTCCTTATCCAAGCTTTAGGCCAGACAGTTTCTAGGCACTTATTAAGAAAAGGAAGTGACAGGGGAATGAGCTGAATTCCTTCATGCCAGATTGCAGCTGGCGTCATTTCTGGCAGGGCTGGTGATGATTTTGCTGTAGTCAGTCTTTCCCCAGCAGGCAAAACCTTGGGCCCGTGCATGCGGCCTCCTCAGTATCCAGTTTGGAAGGGTGATGTGTCAGAGTCTTTTACTAACGGGAGCTGAGGAAGAGACAGTGGAGGTCAAAGCACATCAGAGCTATAGGAACCTTCGTGATGGCCTGGCCCAAACTCTTTTTCAGACAGATAAGCAGACATAGCCCAGGGAGGGCAAGACACTTGCCTAAGATCTCACAGCAAGTTGTTGGCAAAGTCAAGACTTGAATCCAGAACACTTGCTTTCCAGGGCAAGGTACTCTCCACATGGCTCCCTCTTCTCTCTGCTCCCATCTTCAACCTCCAGAGGAAAGCTTGGTCCACAGCTCTCATCCCTCCTCATACCTCCTGCTAAGAGAACGTGTTGTGGTTTTCTGGCGAGGGGTCCAGGTGGAAAATGTTACCAACTTGGCTGGAGCTGAATGGCTTTCTCCTGGCCTGTCCTGGCTTGTTGGGCATGGCTCAGTATCACTCACAGTGAGAGACTGAGCCATGTTTCCCAGCCAAGGGTCTCTACGAGCAGGCTAGGAAGATGCTGCAGTGAGTCCTTCTACCTGTCTTCTCCAAATGTACTTTCAAGCCTGCTGGGATGGCCCTGCAAGGCAGGCCACCATGCACAGCTTTACTCACAGCCCCTGGCCAGGACTGCCAAGGCTGGCCTCATGCAGTGAGTCCGGAGGGAAGACCCTAAAGCTTAGAGCTGGAAGGGCCCAGCCCTGGCACCGACTCCCTGGGGTGTGGTTCAGGGATGACTGGGACCTGCCCAAGGCCGCGCAGTCCTCTGGGAGGAGGCAGGGCTTCTAACACAGTGCATTTGGGCTTCAAGTTCATGGCTCTTTCCAGTTCTCAGATTACAGGCAGCAAGCAGCCAAGTAACAGAGAATTCCTATTTCCAAGTAGGGAAATTGAGGCCAAAGCAGATTAAGGTTCTCAGCTGAGGTGATGCTGTGAGCTGGGGGTGTGGTCTCCAGTGACCCAGATGTGAACCAGAGCTGACCCAGGCTGTTGGTGCCCCTGGAATCCTGGAGAGAACTCTGCCTTCCTATTTTCTCCTTGTCCCCTGAGGCGACTTTTCTTGAGTAGATTTCCTAGTGGATTTCAGGAGGGCAGGGTAAAAACATGTTTAGACCACGAGAGAAAGGGGCTGGGAAAGTTCAGGGGTCTTTCCATGTCAGCACGCTTGGAGCCTGCACACCTAGAAAAGAATATGGCTGCTTCGAGTGCAGCAGGAAGGATGCAGGTTAGACTTAAGCAGGAACTTCCAGGCCTTGGAGAATGTCCACCTGGTAAGAAGTTCTCCAAGATCCTTTTGCGGGCTTCTCCTAGAGGTTATTAAATATTCCCACTCTTGATATAAACCCTAACTAGTGTAGTGATGGCACATTAGAGTTGACCAGGGGCTGCATTAGAAACATCTCACCGTTTCTTCAGCCCAGCCCTGCCAGGTGAGTGGGACAGTGCTGACTGTTTTGCAGGCCAGGGACCTGAGCCTTAGGAGCATGAGGGGGACTTTGGATTCTAGATGTTTCTTGCTTCTCTGCCCCTGTATCCTACCCGCTGGAGCACACGGTTGGGGTGGACACTTCCTGGAGGCAGAAGAGTGGAGGAGATGGCCTTCTGAGTTCTCCTTGGCATCCTGCTTTGGATGTGGTGGCGAGGACCGTCCCTGTCCTCAGCTCTATTCCTCTGAGTTGTTGTGGCCAAGAGAGAATGCAGAGTCTCACTCCTTAGCCTTGTTCTATCTCCTCTTGGGCCTTGTTCTGCTCCAAGTATGAAGTGTTCAGTTCTCCAGAGGGGCCCGACCTGGGAAAGTAGAGAAACCACGTGGCTGGGGCCCTGGCAGGGAGCCAAGCTCATTCCTTGGGCCTGGGGCCAGCCTGCTGCAGCCAGGAGCTCGGGCATGTGGAGGAAGGTCCCTGCTGCTGGCCAGGCTGGGCATGCATGCCATGTGGTCGCCTTACACATGCAGGCATGGCCAGAGAGAGGGAAGCAGATGGGGTTGAAGTGGGGGCTATACATTCCAGCTCAGCAGCCGCCACCCTAAGACCCAGGGAGCTCTGGGGTGACTGCTGGAAATGGCTCTGCCACTTAGTAGCGGAGGGATGAGGCAAGGTAGTGGGTGAGGGGGTCTTGGGTGTGTTCTGGGCTGCAGTCTCCCCATTGGTGTAATGAGGTGGTGAACATCAAGAACGTCTCGGGTCCTTTCATCCTTAGACCATCTGTGATTGTTCCAATCAGAGATTTGTTCCAGCACCTTTAAAGCTCTTTTTTCCAACCACTGTGCTCTTAATTACAAACCCTAGATTCCTAGAGGTCATCTGCTTGACCCCTCCATTGGAAGGGAGATTGAAGATGGAGACAGGGGTTGACTCCCGGAGGCCCTCAGCGTGTCCAAGCAGAACCAGTCCTCAGCATCAATCATGCCATTCCTTTTTGCACATTAGCTCAGGGCTCTAATGAGCCCTCGGAGAGCCTGTAGGCTGGTTCTAGTTCATCTGTTCATTCAGTGTCCAGTTGTAGCTAAGAGAACAGCTTCTGGAGTCACACTGCCTAGGTTCGAATCTCATCTCTGCTATGCCAGGGCTGTGTGACTTTGGAAACATTTCCTAGCCTTTCAGAATCACAGTTTCCTCATCTCAAAAATGCAGCCAATAATAGGACCTGTTGGGTGGTCACGCTGTTGGGGTTTACTGTTGCTATGATTGTTTCATCCCACCATCATCGCCCTCTGGCTAGACTCAGGCTGCATTTTGTCTGCAGAGGTTACTCCCCTCCAGAAACTGACTCAAAATTCTGATGACCGTCTCTCCCTTGCTTATACCTCAGAGACATTCCCTCACATGGCTGAGGCCTCCCATGTGGCAGTGAGGCACCCTCACTGAGGCACCCTTCATGTGGCATCTCAGCTCATCCTCACAGCACTCCCTTTTGGATGGCAAAGAGAACTGAGGCCCCAAGAGGCCTGTGGGTGGTGCAGTCAGGACTGTCTTGGGGCAGGCTGGCCAGCCTGGAATGGCCTCTGAATGCAGACCCATGGGTCTGAGACCTGCCTGGCAGCTGCTGTATGTGAATATATTGGGCATCACAGGGTCCTAAAGGATCCTTAGAGATCACACACCTCCAACCTGAGCAGGACAGAGGGTCAAGTGTGGGGGCCTGCCCAAGGTCAGACAGCCAGCCTAGAGGAGAGCCAGGGCTCATCTGCAGGCCATCTCCATATGCTGGACTTGGAGAACAGGGCAGGACTACAAGTTCTGTCCCTTGTAGGCCATGTGGAGTCAGCCAGGTGCCCAGCCAGACAACATTGCCCTTGTCTCAAGGAGTTGCTTTCCTCTCCTACCAGGTCCTTCTACCCCAAAGTTCAGAGGCCAGAGGTGGGAACTCAATGCCTTCAGAAGGTGCCCTGGCTGGACGCCATGGCTCACACCTGTAATCCCAACACTTTGGGAGGCCAAGGCAGGCAGATCGCTTGAGCCCAGGAGTTCGAGACCAGCTTGGGCAACATGGAGAAACCCCATCTTTACCAAAAATACAAAAATTAGCCAGGTGTAGTGGTGTGCATCTGTAATCCCAGCTACTTGGGAGGCTGAGGCGGCAGGATCACTAGGAGGCAGAGGTTGCAGTGAGCAGTTATCACACCACTGCACTTCAGCCTGGATGACAGAGTGAGACCCTGTATCATGAAAAAAAAAGAAGGATCCCCTGGACACAGCCCACCTGGCTGATTCTTGTCCCAGGAGGTGAGACGATCTACCTTCAGCATGACCAAGAAGAGCTGGTTTAGGTGAGACTGGAATTTACCAGGGGAGACCCTAAAGATGTGGGGGAGGAAGCTTGGGTAAGGTCAGATATGCCCCCACAAAGACATGATCTGGAAACACACACACACCCTCCCCTGCCACACTCCTCTGCCACCCTCTGCAACCAGTTGGACACGCGTTTGAGCAGCTTCTACATACCAGGCTTTGCCCGTGCATAGCTCATATGAACATGCCAAACTCCAGAGGTGGACCTGGGCTCTGCTTGCTTTATGACCTTGGCCATGTGATGTTGCCTAACCGAGTCTCAATTTTCCCATCTGTGAAATGGGACTGATAACTTTTCCCTCAAAGATAGATATCAAATGCAAAATGAAGTCTTGCATGCAAAGTGACTACCTTGGTCTGAATTTCATTATCGTCTTCTCGTTTCCTCCTTTTGGTGTCTGAATGAAGCCACACCTTCTATGGGGTGAATGTCAATCCAAGAGGACTTCCTGGCAGGGGAGAGATTTAAAGGGAGTAGGGCTGCGGGGCAGGGCCAGGCTAAACACCTGGTTACATACACACATTTCAAGGTGTCTTTGCCTAACCAGTAGAGACTTTGGTTTGGGTTTTGTTTGTAGGTTTGGTCTTTTGGGTTTAGTGTACTCACTGGACTCCTCCAGTAGTATTAGAAACCGAAAACAGGATCATCCTCCATGAGGAATGTTTACCATTTGAATCATAGCCCCAGCATTCACTTGGTCAGGAAAACATGTGCTTTGTTTTTTTTTTTTTTTAATTACATTTCCCTGGAAAAACAATGATTTGAATTCAAGGAGGGGAGGAGAACAGGTTTCCCCCAACTCCAAGCTTGAGGACTTTCTTTTCCTTTTGAAGTAGGAATGGAGTTCTGTCCCCGGCCCCCGAAGGCGTCCTTACAGCTGATATTTTTCCAGCTGCCTATCTCCCCAGAGCGTGGAGCGGCCTCCAGAGTGGGGTCAGGGATGGGGCGAGAGGGCCAGACCTGCCTGGGCCGGGCAGCTCAGCATCTCTCTGAGCTGCTGAACACCTATGGAGGCTGTGCTCATGTTCACTGGTGGTGTGACTTTGTGTGACCTTGCCACTTCACTCTTTCACAGCCTCGTTTCCTTTATCTGTCAAATGGGGATCATGAGTTCACTGGGTGGCTTTTGAAGAACGTGCCACAATCAGAGAAGGTCTGAGCTGGGAAATGCAACAGAGGCCTTCTCCTCCTTGACCAGTGGGGAAACAGAGGCTCTTAAAACTGGCATAGATCCAGCTTCCTGCCCCTAGTCTCTGTCTTTCCCATTCCATCAGGACCAGATCTCAGAATAGGGGATTGGCATTTTCATGCTGGGGAGCTGGGTATCATTTTCTTTTCAGAGACTTAGTAGAAAATAAAAGGATCCCTGAGAAATTCTTTATGTTCAGGTGCTTGTCGATGGTAGGGGTGACCTCAGGACCGCACTGTCTGCCCATGACCAAGGAGTGAGACTGCTTGGACATTGTCCTTGTGTCCCCCCTGGGGGTCTGGATCAAAGCCCACCCTGAAGGTGACAACACTAACCTACAGATGTTTGTTCTCTCTCATGCCCTCCAGGGGTTTCCTGGAGTCTTTGGGGAAAGAGGCCCTCCTGGACTGGATGGAAATCCTGTGAGTATTTCAAGTCTTTGGGAACAGGAGCGAGATTCTGAGTGAACACACAGCAGATTTTAGGAGCCCACGCTTTAGGGTCAGACAGACCTGGGTCAAATCCCAGCCCTGTGAAGTACCAGCTGGGCACCCTTGGACAAATTACATGACGTCTCTAAACGCTAGGCTCCTGTCTACTGCGGCTGCACCGTCGCCCCCCTGTAAGAGTCCCCAGCCCACTGAGCCCCTGGGTCCAAAGCTCCAGGCTGCACCCCATTTCCAGGACTTTGGAAGGTTCATGGGTCACTCCCCACTGGAGAGGCCCCAGCTGCTGCCATCTTACACAGCATCAGCAATGTTTATGGGCCGGCAGAGGCATGGGGAAGCAAACGGTCTGCAGGCCGTGTTTGGAGAAAAGGAAGAGCTGAGTTCCAAAGGAATCTCCACCACAGGCATGTTTATAGAGTTTGTAAATAATTAGAGGCCCAGGCTCTGTTCCCCGAGGAGCCAGGTCAGCCTGCCCTGGGGAGCCGAGTCTGTCTTTCCCTTCCCAGCTCCAGGCCCTGGTGGGAGAAGGTGTTCATGGTTCCCCATCTCCCCCTGGGGCTTCCTGCCTGAGCAGCTGTGCCAGCTGTGCCCTCTGCAGTGGTGGCTGCTGCGTTCATAACCAGCACCCGATTAGGCGCTAATTCAGTTCCACAAATGCTCCCTGAGCCTGACCCAGCCAGGCTCCCTTGGGGATTATAGCCTTGACCTCAGAACCCTGCGGACCTGGGTTTGAATTTTGTTGTACCACTTGTCAGGTGTGTGAGCTTGGAAAAATCCATTCACCTCCCTGAATCTCAGTTTCCTTGTCTGCAAATTGGGGGGATCAGAATTCCAGCCTGAGGCCGGGCGCAGTGGCTCACGTCTGTAATCCCAGCACTTTGGGAGGCCGAGGCGGCTAGATCACTTGAGGCCAGGAGTTCAAGACCACCCTGGCCAACATGGCAAAACCCCGTCTCTACTAAAAATACAAAAAATTAGCTGGGCGTGGTGGCAGGCATCTGTAATCCCAGGTACTTGGGAGGCTGATGGGGGAGAATTGCTTGAACCCAGGAGGTGGAGGTTGCAGTGAGCCAAGATCACGCCACTACACTCCAGCCTGGGCAAGAGAGTGAGACTCTGTCTCAAAAAAAAAAAAAAAAAAGAAGCCGTTGTGAGAATGACAGGAGGGCAGCCAAGGTGTTGCCTCATCACACAGGTTCAGTGGGTGAGGCTGTGTAAAATACTGGGTAATCCGGGGTATAGTCCTGCCTTTGAGGAGTTCATGGGCCATTGCCCTCCTCTGTCACACAACAGGCAGTGGGATGGGTGGGATCAGAGAGGTCCCAGGTGCCTCTTTGGAGAAGGGAACAGGGAAGTAACATTTGCATTGGGATGAGGAGATAGGTGGGGAGACATTGCAGGTGGAGGAAGGGGCACCAGCAAAGGCATGGGGTGAGGGGAAACCAGAGCCTCTCCCTCAATACAGCATTTGTTAGATTAACTATTAGCGATATGCAGTATCATTCTGCGAGTTTCCTTGGCGAGCGGCAGGGATGTCTTTATGCTGCTGGCATAGAGGAACAGAAAAGACCTGATGTCCATTTCTTCCTCTCATTTGAAGTGAAGGCTGTTGCTTACTTCTCATTGCTAATTACAATGTCTAGAGCCCTGGAGTTTTATTCTCACTTTTCCATTTTGAACTTGACTCAAACCCTTCCACCTGTCATTTCTCATGTGGGCCATGGAAGATCCATGTTTAAGACGAGAAAACTGAGGTATAGGGGGATAAATCACACACACAGCCTCGTCTCCTGACTCCCAGGCTAGAACTCTTTCCAGTCTCTGGGGGCCCCTGGAAGAAGGAAATGTGAGGGTGTGGGGTGCTGGGGAGGATTCTCCAAGGGCCACAGCACCTCCCGGCTGAGAAAGGGAAGGAGGCTGGCTTAGAGGCTCTCAGCTTGGAGCCCTCATGGCTTTGTCATTTCCTTGCACCTGGCCTTGGGTGAATCACTTAACCTCTGGAGCTTCAGTTTTCCTGTCTGTAAAATGAGCGTGAAATGTCAAGCACCATGCACGTCTGTATGACCTTGATCGCGATTCCGCTCCTTCCTTTATGCTTCCAATGGGAAGATACTGGATTTGGAAGTCCGACCTCCCCATTTGACAGATGTGGAAAGCTGATGGCAGAGAGGGGATGGCTGTGGTCCAAACTCCAGGCCAGGCTCAGGAAAGTCGCTGGAGCCTGTGGTCAGGAATAAGGAGTGTTCAGCTCTGAAAGACCCCACCAGGTGCCTGTGTGGAGGATGACATGGAGGGAGGGGCCCTGGAGGGAGATGGGACAAGTAACCACCTTGGTCTCTCTCTATCTGCAGGGAGAACTGGGCCTGCCAGGCCCCCCTGGAGTCCCCGGCCTCATTGTAAGTACATTGATGCCTGGGGCAGCAGGTGGGTGTTGAGGAGACTCAGGGTGGAGCCAGCGTGTGGGGAGCCAGGAGCAGGCCCTGCAGGGGAGGTTGAAAAGACCCTTCTCTCATCAAACCCCCAGAGGGGCTGGGGGGCCAGGAGAGACCAACCTGGGTGAGGAAGGTGGGTAGGGGAAGGTGGGTAGGGGAGGGCGGGCGGCTGAGGGAGGAGAGCCCTGCTGTGTGGCCTCAGGTGGATCACCTTCTCTGAGCCTGTTTCCTTATTAGTTAAATGAGATGAGCACTTGGAACACAAGATTGCCAAAGCCCTTTCACACCTGCTGCGTGCATGGCCGTTGCTCTGCAAGGAGGTGTGGGCAAGTGGTGATGGCATACTTATTTCACAAGCGAGGTGTTCCAGGTCCAGAGGGAGAAGGTAGCTGGCAGGGTGGTCTTTTGCACTCTTTTCCTCCAAGCAGACTTTGGAGCCAGACCACCTAGGTTCAAGTCACAGACCCACCACATCCTGGCTGTGTGACCTGGGCCAAGCCACTTACCTTCTCTGGGCCTAGTTTCCTCATCTGTGAAATAGAGGTGATAGCAGAATCATCCTGGAGTGGCCATGAGGATTAAAGGAGGCATCATATGTGTAGTCCTTGGCACAGGATCTGGCACCCAGTAAGTGCTAGTGGAAAATATTGTTATAATAATTCTTGTTATTACCTCCTGAAATGCCCAGGACTGAGAGAGGCCTATACACGAGGAGGTGGGAGGCGATCTGACCTGACTCCATCCAGGTGGTGTAGGCCTCGAGGAGTGGTTCTAGCCAAAGCCAGGGCCCCTGCTGCGCTTTCAGTGGAATGAGTGTTAACCTTGGGCCCAGCCGCAGGGGCCAGTGAGAGGTCAGAGCCTGGGAAATGACACTCCAAGTGTCCCCATAATCTGATGCCCCCTCCGCCCTGTCCATTGGGTCATTCCTCATGGGGTTTGAGTTTGGGGGCCCGTGGAGGGACACAAGTAAACTATCTGCTAGCTTGACAAATGAGCTTCCAGCTTTACCACTCCAGCAACTGTACTGAGAAATTCTGCTCAGAGGGAGGCTGGAGGAGGTCCCTGAGGGAGGCAGGGAACCCCATCGCTCAGGGAAGGCCAGTCCTGGGAAGAAGGCCCAGATGTCCCCGTGGCCATCTGTGCCTGCTCAGGTGAGTGGGAGCAGAACCTGGGTGGGGTGGGCAGGAGGTGAGAGCTCTCTGTGTCTGAATCCTGACTTTGCTACCTCCTGACTGAACTTCACCTTGGCCTCACTTCCCTGAGCCTCAGGGATCCCCTCTGTGAAATGGGATCATTGTATCCACTCTTATTAGAACCACAGAAACACACAGTCCATTCCAGTCCAGTGGCTAAGAGAACAGTTTCTGGAACCAGACCACCTAGGTTCAAATCCTAGCTCTACCACTCATGTAATCACAATCCTGAGCAAAATTTTTAACCACCCTATGCCTCGGTTTCTTCATCTGTAAAATGGGAACAATAGTGGTACCTAACTTGGAGGATTGTTGTGAGTGAGGATGTAGATAAATTAATATGTGAAGTGCCTAGTATGTAGTAAGCACTCAAGAAGTACTAGTTATGATAATAATAGCTATTGTTGGTGTTATTATATTACACACACGTGATATTTTACACCTGGTAGCAGCTATCCGGGTTACTGAATTGACAAAAATTTCACAGTCACATTGGAACTTGGTGGGAGAGAGTGCTGCAATTGATAAGTGATGTCTGCCTTGGCTGGGGTTGAGGAAGTGTCAACACATGAGTCATAAATTTGTCATCCCTGATGTCCATTCAGTAGGACTTTGCTGAGCACCTTCTTTGGCACAAGGCATTGACCTAAATGCTTTGGAAAAAGAAATATCTGCCATGGGAATTCGAGAACTCTCTAGAAGTCTTCTAATCTGACCCTCTCTAAGCCCAACAGGAATCCCTTCTGGAGCATCTTGGTCATATGGTGATTAAACTCCAAATTGAACACCTCCAGTGCAAAAAGTCCCTCCCTCTGTGGGAGCCTAGTCCATTCTACAGAGCTCTCTTTGTTTGGAGTTTTCCTGTGGATGGAGCCCGAGTCGTCCTCACTGTCCCTGAGTGAGGCTGTTTGAGGTGTAAAATGGTCTTTGTCTGTGCTTCCCAGGGCTCCTTCTTCAGGCTAAACAATTCCCATCCCAAAGCCTTTCTGAAGGGATGTTTACATATCCTGTCTGTCATCCTTGGCACATGTTCCTATTTGTCATCATCCCAGCGTTCACTAGGTTGGGTCCTGAGAGGAGCAAGAATATTGCTTAGTGGAATAAACACAGATTGTGGGGTTTTGGACTATAGCATCATAGCCCTCCTGGTTCTTTTTTTTTTTTTTTTTTTTTTGAGACAGGGTCTCACTGTGTCTTCCAGGCTGGAGTTCAGTGGTGCAGTCTTGGCTCACTGCAGCCTCTGCCTCTTGGGCTCAAGTGATCCTCCCACCTCAGCCTCCCAAGTAGCTGGGACAACAGGTGTGTACCATGATGCCCAGCTAATTTTAGTATTTTCTTTTTGTAGAGACAGGATTTCGCCACATTGCCCAGGCTGGTCTCCAACTCCTGGGCTCAAGCGATCTGCCCACCTCGACCTCCCAAAGTGCTGGTACCTCCTGGTTCTTTAAAAGGTCATTCTTACCTGTGCTCTCCGCTGCACTCCACTGTTAAGGTTGCCAGATAAAATATGACACCTAGTTAAATTTGAATGTCAGATGCAATATTTAGAACACATTTATACTAAAATGTCACTCATTGTTTATCTGATATTCAAATTTAACTGGGCATCCTGTCTTTTTAATTGTCCAGTCTGGCAACGCTATTTGCAGTGTCTCTTAGGAGAAACCCTTTCGGCAAATGGGAAAACTGAGGCCCTTGGTCAAGGTCACATACCTGGCAGGTGAGGATGGGGGCCATGAATCTCAAGTCCTAGTCCAGGGCACTCCTCTTTTTGCTTCTGAGCAGCCTGCACTGGGGGCAGAGCCCTGGGACTTTCTGCATTTCATGGTACCCCCTTTTCCCAGAGCTGATTTGTTCTGCCTTGTGGTTCCTTCATGCTGTGTCTTTTTTTGGCCACTTTCAGCCTCCTTCCTCAGTTTTTAGATTCTTTTCACTGCCAAGATGAAGTGTCCTCTCTCCTGTAACTGGGGGATCACAGGGCTGGGCCTGAGCCCATCAAATCACCTCTGCTCCCTGAGCAAATGCCTCCTTCCACCCTGGATTTTTGGGAACAGCAGCTTCTGTGCCTGGGGAAAAAAACTGTCTCCCCAAAGAGCTGGAAAGGAAAGGAATTTTCTAACCAGAAGTTAAAGAGGAAGAGGGATTGTGAGTCACCTACGGTTTTCCAGAGGATGTGGGTTTTTAGCTGAGCAAATGGGAATTCCATGTATTGATAATCATTTTAGTGGAAATTCAAATTTATTCAATGCCTCTGTCTAGTCAGTTGAAGCAATTTGCATGCAGACTGAAGCCAAACCTTCCTTCCGTCCCCCGGGTCCCTGCAGCCGGGAGGAAGGGCGTGAGAGGACAAACTAACATTTATTGAGCGTCTGTCTGCTATGTGTGCAACACATGCACTGGGCTGGGGAGGCCTTGCGAAGCCGAGGTCACCAGTTAGAGAGTGGAAGTGTCGGGCTTGTCACCTGGGTCCATATGCCTCAATTCCAGTGAGCCACCGGTGGCTCCCTGCAGCCTCAGAGGTGAGAGGGCCTCCACACAGCCCTCTTTGAGTAACTGAAACCCTTTGGCAGGCCCTCAAGAAAACTGTGCCTGATTCCAGAATCTGCTCAACAAAGACGATTTCTGTCCTTTTTATTCAGAGTGACACAGAGGAAATTTTGGCTCCTCCACAATTTAATGAGACCCAAAGAACATGTGATCTGGCCACAAACCCAGCATGTGAGGGGCAATGGATTTGTCCACCTTATTCTGCCACTAAATGATCACCTGCCTTTGTTTCCTTGTCTGTAAAGCAAAGTTAGATACCCCACCACCTGGCATGCACCAAACCCTCTTGTGCCCAACGCTGTGCCAAGTTTTTAGTTGTCACAACAGCCCTCTGAGGGTAGGAAGTGGGGCCACCAATTTACACTTAAGGAAACTGAGCCTCAGAGAGGGTGAAGCACCTGCCCAAGGTCACACAGCCAATCAGCTGGACCTGGCCTGTCACAGCTCACACTCTCCACTGTTGTACTATATCCCCAGCTCCTCAAGACTTCTGTGCTGAACAGAGATAGCGTGTATGTGACAGCATGGACTGGGCAGTGCCAGGGCTGTTCTGGTGTGACAGATGGTGCTTAGTAAGACCACACAGCAGCCAGAACTGACCACAGCTCCAGGTCCCTGTCCCGAACCCGCCTGGCATTGTTGGCCTTCAAAGGCAGTCCTCAGAGGGATTATAAGTGAGCGTGTTTAGCTTTCTTTTTCACCATCATTAAGCCACTTTTACCAAGCACCTCCTCAGAGCTGTGCCCTGTGCTAGGCACTGGGATCACAGAGGTGAGGTCCTCAGAGCAGGCACCTGCCTTTGGTCTGGGGGCAGCACAGGTGGTGGCCCCATAGGCACACGCAGAAAGGATGGTCAGTGTCAGAAGGGCCCTGAGCGAGAGGCATGGGGCTCTGAGGCCTGACAGCAGGGGCATGACCTGGTCTTGGGGTCAGGGAAGTGATGTTAGTGCTGGAGGCCGAAGGACAAATGGGCATTAACAATGCCAGTGGCGGGCATGGCACTCCGGGTATAGGAAACAGCTTGAGCCAGGGTCGGGGAGATATGTCAGTGGCTAAGTATGTCACAGCTAAGGAGGAAGAGCAGGGCAGGAAGGTGAGATGTGTGAGCAACCATCATGAAGGATGGGCACCAGCCGTTCCCCACATTAGCCTCCGGAGGTCCACTGGCTGGCAGTCAGGGGAGCACAACTCAATTTTTCTGAGTCTCCAACCTGACCTGATGCCCTGTCTCATGTGAGACATAGCAATAGGAAAGGCAACCTTGAGTGTTTTTTTTTTTTTTTTTGGTCAACAGCCAACTCAGGCCTTGTGAGCATGGACTGTGGGGTCAGACAGACAGACAGATGGATGGACAGACCTGGGTTCTGGTCCTGCCTCTGCCCCCTGTTTATTGCTCGATCTCAGGCAGGTTACATCACCTGTCCCTAAGCCTCAGTTTTCCCATCTGTAAAAGGGAGTGGGACTGACAATGGTGCTTACCTCCTGGGGTTACTGTGAGCAGCTGGTGAGGGTCCAAGCCACCAGCATCGTCCCTGGCATGGCAAAGGTGCCCAGAGTGACATTTAGCTATTGCTAAGGAGGGTTCAAAGTGGATAGCGTGCATCTGGCACACAGTGGGCGTTCTTTAAATGGTGACAGACAGGACCGATTGTGTTCTTGGTGGGAGTCAGTGAGACGAAGGGCACAGCGTGTGGTGCGGTGTCTGGGAGCTTAGAGAAAAGTGGAAACAGGTTCCAAATTAAGGGACTTACTCATTATTCTTTTTCATGGGGACATGACATTCTGAGTGGCTCCGGCCAAGCTGGCCTCGAGGGCGTCTGGTACACAGTAGACGGCTGCTCTGCAAGCTGCCCTCGGGGGATGCTGGCCTGGAGTTTTCTTTGTTCCTCCCGGAAATGCTTTTGTAGCCCAATGTGGGGGTCCCACCAACACAGGGGGACCTGTCCTATGCGAGCTGGCACCTTCTCCGGGTGTGGCCTGCAGGCAGGGGTCTCTCTTCCAGATTCCTTCTCCCCTGGGGTTGCCCATGCCCATGGGATGCCCATGGCAGGTCCCTGCCCCCACCACACACAGACCCCTTTGGAGAGCCCTGCTGAGGCAGCGAGTGGGACCTGGGGAGTGGGGTGCTGCGCCGTGACTCCCCGAGGCCCCACAAAGGTGACCATCCTGCCTGCACTGAATTCAGTCCCACACAACAAGCCACTTCAGGCCTGGAGGGAGGAAGAAAGAGCCTGTGTTTCTGAGCTGCTGGCGGCCCCTCTGCCTGCCGCCCTGCCTGGCCCCCGGCAGAGAAAGACTCCTCCAGCAGAGCCCGCCTCTGTTTATTTGTGCATCAGGGGGAACTCTGGGCGGGCCACCCTGGCTGCCTTCGTCCAGGAAAGGAGAGAAGCAGCAGCCAGAGGGGCCTGTGGACATGCAGCTCTCTGCAGAGAGCTGGCCTCCCTTCCAATCCGGCTTCTCTCCCTCCTCTCCAGAGACCACCTCAGAATGGCCTAGAAGCTCTGGAGACAGGCTGCCTAGTGTGAATCCCAGCGGTGCCCCGACTCCGTGATATCGCTGGAGCCCTAACCTCTCAGAGCCTCAGTTTCCTCATCTATGAAATGGGGACAGTAGTAGACTGATCTTCATGGGCTGTGGTGAGGAATTACTGGGTTAAAGCACGTCAAGTGCTTAGCACAGTGCTGGCAACTGGCATTTGCTTATTATTATCACCCGTTAAACTGAGCCCTCACTTTCTCAGTGAGACTGTTTGATGGGACCTGAAAGCAGAATTTCTTTCTCTCTCTTTTTTTTTCAAAGATAGGGTCTCTTTCTGTCGCCCAGGCTGGAGTTCAATGACGCTATCACAGCTCACTGTAACCTTGAACTCCTGGGCTCAAGGGATCCACCTGCTTCAGCCTCCCGAGTAGCTGGTACCACAGGCATGCATCACCATGTCCAGCTAATTTTTAAATATTTTCTGTAGAGATTGAGTCTCCCTATGTTGCCCAGGCTGGTCTTGAACTCCTGGCCTCAAGCAATCCTCCTACTTAGGCTTCCCAAAGTGCTGGGATTATAGGCATGAGCCATGGCGCCACGCTGGGCCTGAAAGCAGAATTTCTTAGCAAAGGCTCAGCTGGGAGGTTTTGTTTAATCCAATCAGATGGGAATCCTAAAGTCCAGAAAGGGGAAGCATTTGCCCAAGATCACACAGGTCAGGATGGGCCAAGGCCAGACTCCAGTTGTTCTGGGGTTGGGAGAGTGAGAATCGGCATCATCTCAGGCAGGCTGAGCTGCCATCTGCAAACTCCATGCCGTCTGTCTGTCTGTCTCTCTCTCTCCTCGGGGGCATTCCATCACATAGTCCCCTTGGCCCTTCCTCCAGGAGCCAGGGAGGAATGTGATTTTTCATTCTCTGCCTGGCCTCCCTCCGAGACGTCTCCAGGCAGCTCCGACAAGAACTCCAGTTCCCATTCTTGAGCCTGGCTACTGGGGCAGCCTTTGTTCCTCCAATGCTTCAGAGCTGTGCCCCCACCTCAGAGCACTTGCCAGGGGCCTCTGTAGAGCCTGATCGGGTAGCAGGAAACAGAGGCCCAGAGAGGTTGGGCACATTGAAACCACACAGCAGCCAGACACTCAGATCAGTCATGGAGGATGGACAAGGGAGAGAGGAGGGTATTTTCAGGGTCTCCCTTTCTCTGAGTGCAGACTTAATGTTATGGTTGTGGCTGAGGGAGTGATGGAGTGGGCAGAAGTGAGATTTGAGGGAGAAAGCGTAGGCTGGTTAAGAGAAAAGTCAGCCGCTTCTTCACTCTGTACCAGGGTTCCTGGACCTTGGCACTACTGACATTTGGGCTGGATGGTTATTCGTGGCGGGGGCTGTTCTGTGCACTGCAGCATGCTCAGCCACATCCCTGGCCTCTGCCTACCAGACGCCAATAGCACCTCTTAAGTTGTGACAACTAAAAATGCCTCCAGACATTGCTAAGTATTTACATGTGAAATCAGTTTCTCCTGGAAACAAGGCTGGCAGGTACACAGTATTGTACGTCCTCACTTGTCACATGAAGAAACCGAGGCATGGAGACATCAAGTTCCTCCAGTTCACACAATGAGTGAGTCCCAGAGGAGAGTGGGATCCAGTGGTCTGCTGTCCACTGGGTGGACAGGGAATGAAAAATCACATTCCTGCCTGGCTCCTGCTGGAAGGGCCACGGGGCCTGTGCAGTGGAATGCCCCTGGGGAGAGAGACAGAGGGACGGTGTGGAGTTTGCAGACGGCAGCTCAGCCTGGCTGAGTGCTTCCCAGAGCCTTCCTTGCAGAGGAAGGAAGGCTTTGGAAAGGACAGGAGGGGCGTCATGGGGACAGCACTCAGCCAGGCTGAGCTGTCATCTGCAAACTGCACACCCGCAAAGAGAACTTGGCTTTCTAGGTCGGGAACTCCATTTTTCTCACCTTGGACCGGCTGATCTGATCTGAAGCTGGGTCTCCAACCTGTGGTCCAGGATCTGCCAGCTGATTATAGTGTCCCACAGGGTCCACCATCAACCCTGGGATTTCTGGGATCAACAGCCTCACTCCTTACTTGCTGCCCTCCTCAGAGAGAGCCAAGCCTCTGGGAAGCAGGAGGTGCCTCCCCTCATGTAGCCAGAGGAGTCAGAACTTCCATTTATGCTGAATTTAACTCTTACAGCAGCTCCGGGGGGACAGATAGAGAGAAAGCATGAGGGTCCAAAATAGTCAAATGAAAAGCCCTTTATCCCTGATACGGGGTAAAGAATCAGATATAGGAGAGAAATATTGAATATGGAAAGGAATGGGGATAGGGAAGGGGCAGCAGTCTAGAAATGAGCTTGGGCAGGGATCTTTATGAAGTTTATTCCAGCACTTTAGTGAAGGTCTCTGGATGAAGAACATTCCAGATTCCAAGATCAATCCTACAGAGTTGCGTCTTTGGAAGCCCAGGCCCAGGGACCTTGGGGATTGTCCCCACCACCCAGGCCAGCCTCCTGTGGGCCACTGCTCACAGCACCCTCTTCTCTTTCTCTCCCCACAGGGTGACTTAGGAGTGTTGGGTCCGATTGGCTACCCGGGACCCAAGGGCATGAAGGTAAGCAAGGGATGTTCCCCCGATTCAGGCCTTGTCCAAGCTGGGCACCCCCGACCCATTTCAGCCCAGAAGGAAGGGTGACCTTAGATGATGCTGGGGGAAGGGAGGATGGCAGGATGCTCAGAGGGGTGCTAGGAGGAAGCTGGGCAGGTCAGGAGCTGTCAGCTCTGGCCTCAGAGCCAGGCATCATCTGTATGTCATTTAGGCCAGACATCCTCCTCTAGCTGAGCATGAGTCTGACAGGGTTCCAGGCCTCAGGGCACCGGAAGTCCAGTGGGGGACATCACCAGGGCCATAGAAACTACCATGGCAAACCAGTGAACTCAGCCCATCCCTGAGTGGGAAGGGCGTGCAGCAGGAAGGCAGGCCAAGACTGCTAGAGCACATCCCAGGGGCGACCAAATTTAACCAACGTGCGTGTGACACGGCTCATTAAGCCCTTCCCTCCCCACCAGTTCCTTCTTCCTCTGGATTTGCCTGCAGTGCTGTGGTGCACTGCCTCTCTCACAGCTCCTTCAGTCCACACCCTTGCCCTGTGAGATTGGAGTCATTTGCCCCCTTTTACAGATGTGAACACTGAGGTTGGGGGATCTAGCACGGGGTCTTGCAGCAAGTCGTGTTTAAGCCAGGGCTCCTGACTTCTGTGGCCTAGAGTCCCATCACAGCTGGCCTTGGGCTTTGTCTTGCAGGGACTGATGGGCAGCGTGGGGGAGCCCGGACTGAAAGGTGATAAGGTGATCTGAATACTCCCTTATTGCACTGTGGTTTCTCTGCATGCCACCCCCCTCTCCGCCCGGAGGCTGCTGCTGATTTCTCGCCAGGTCCACTCCCCTGCACTCTTCCTGCCTCTCCTCTGGCCTCCCCTAAATCTGTGCTCCCTAGCTTCTTCCTGGTCACTCTGGGTGGGGCTCAGGCAGATGGTTCTGGGAGCCCGAAAACCTCAGCAGATAGTGCAGGAGCAGCTGTTGCAGCAAGGAGGGCAGGTATGTCAAGACAGGGCTCTGAATCCAGAGAGCAGAGCTGAGGCCAGCATCTGGGATTTGAAGGCAAAGCCACAGAGCAAGGAGGGTGGCAGTGAGGGCACAGGAGGAAACAAATCTACATAGATCACCCTGGCATGAAATTGGAAACCCCAGAGAGCGTGCCGACTGGAAATGCGACTCTGAGCCCCTGACCCGCTTCTCCTCCTGCTGCCATGGGGGTGGCTGCCCTTGCCATGTATCCTCTGTACAGCCCTGCTGCTGAGCTCTCCCTATCTCACCCTGTGCCAAACCAGAGTTGGAAGTGGGAAGACAGGCCCTGGGGGCCCAGAGCAAAGCAGCATCTGAATACGAGAGACACAGGGCCCAGCACTTGTGCCCTGCTCTGTGGCCATCTTCCTGCCTAGCCTCTTCAGACCTTGGCAAACCAGGACCCCCGAAGGGGGTGCAGGAGGGGTTCAGAGCAACATTCCAAGTATCCATGAGACATCCGAAGGACTGACTGCTGCTCAGCCAGCCCCTCATGTGGTCAGGTGACACCGCACCTGTCTCTAGGTGCCTCTGCTTCCTCCTACACCTGAGTCATAAGGTCAGGTGCCATGCTGGGCGCCATCTGAGTGTACCACATGGATCCACCCATTAATCCTCCTACCCACTATGAAATAAGAAGCTTGCTTGGGCCGGGCACAGTGGCTCATGCCTATAATCCCAGCACTTTGGGAGGCCAAGGCGGGCGGATCATAAGGTCAGGAGTTCGAGACCAGTCTGGCCAATATGGTGAAACCCCGTCTCTACTAAAAATACAAAAATTAGCTGGGCGTGGTCGTGGGTGCCTGTAATCCCAGCTACTTGGGAGGCTGAGGCAGGAGAATCGCTTGAACCTGGGAGGCAGAAGTTGCAGTGAGCCAAGATCGTGCCACTGCACTCCAGCCTGGGCAACAGAGCAAGACTCCCTCTCAAAAAAGAAGCTTGCCTGAGGCCACGCAGCTGGTAAGTAGAAAGTTACCTGGCTCCAGAGACCTCAACTGTGAAGCAGAACTAAGTCAGAAGGTCAGAGCTGGTGAGACTCTGGGAGGTCACATTTCACAGTTCCTACGTCTCACAGATGGAGAAACCAAGACCCAGGGAGAGAAAGAGATTTGCAGGCCCCTGGACTCTTAGAACATTAGAATTGCTGGGTGAAAATGGACATCTCCAGATTGTTTTACTCAAGCCTATCCCTGGGTAGCCAGCTGGGTGCCATGCCAACCCCAGTCCTTTCTCTACCTGTTTCTACCTCTTCCATCTCCTCCTGTCATGCCCAAGCCTCCAGCCACAACCCACCTCTGCCCCCCTTGCCCTGCTGTCTGCTACACCTTTCTGCCAGAGCCCTCCCTCTTTGAAGGGGCTTTCTGATGGAGGCAGGGGGTTCCCCACACCTACCTGTTTATCCCAAGGTTTGAGACATCAGCGCTCTGGAAATGTTGAAGTCATGGACGAGAGAGAAAGGAAGCTGGGGAAAATGAGAGTGTAGGCAGTGAGCTCTTTATAGGCCCCTTTGCAGAGCTGGTCTCAGCTCAGCGTTGCTTCAGGAACATGGAAATAAATGTGTTACATGGAACTCGGCTGGCTTGCTGATGGGAGTTGCCTGGGACATTTAGAGATGTGAAAACTCTGGAAAAAGAAAAAGGAGGAGGAAATTATTTTCATGCCCATAGTTTTTAGGAAAATCAAATGTCTTTAGGGGAAAAAAGAGAGAGAGGGGGAGAAAGAAACCCCTTTTCCTTTGGTGGGGAGGAGCCTTAAGGCTGTGTTCCGATCAGCCACGCACACATCCGTGTCCCCTGGCCCTACCCTGGGATGACAGAGCCATCCCTTCACGTTCCAAGGTTGCTCCTGCCTCAAATCCCAGATTTTCCATGACCCAGCCTGGACTCAGTCCCACTTACAACCGCTTGGCTCCCTCTCTCAGCCTGGAGAAGCATTCTGGAAGCAAAGCTCCTGCTCCGAGCCCAGCTCCCTTCAAATTCATTGTCCTGATTTCCTAGGTGCCTTTTAAACTTTCCTTGTTTTTCTATTTTCACTCCTTTTTTTCACCCCTTCACTCCTCTCTTGGACATTAAAAAAAAAAAAAAAAAAAAAAGTCCTGTGGTTCCCCAAATACCAGGATGTTGTACAGGATTTTCCAAATTGGAAAAACCAAAGTAAGTTGAAAAAAAATTTTTTTTTTAATTCTGACTTTTGTTCTACTAAGGAAGTTCTTTTGTTAGGTCATGGCCTTAGCCATGTGTGGGTTTTCTAAGGTTTTCCATTTTTCCTGGGTTTTTCTCCCCATTCTTCCTCCTGCTCCCAGGGATGTAAATGTTTTCGGAATCCTGGGGCTGACAGAGTGTCAGTAATGTCCAACGTGGAGGGCTGGATAGAGTGAGGCCAGGGCTGTGTGAGGTGGTTTCGGCCCTAAGGGGAAGCAGCTCCCAATCTGGACTGCCTGTTCAGAATATGGCTAAAAACAGGGAGGGAGCAGAAGAGGCCTCCAGCAGCCAGAATCAGTGTCACGAAGCCTGTGCAGTACATCGTGTTAGAAGACAAACACCCAGACTTAAGTCAAGACCAATTTACTTGCTGTTTACACATAGTCTCAACAAGCCAGGAAATCTGATTTCCCATGCTATAGCTGATTAAAATAGTTAATTAGAAGTAGACCGGCCAGGCACAGTGGCTCACGCCTGTAATCCCAGCACGAGGCGGGCAGATCATCTGAGTTCAGGAGTTCAAGACCAGCTTGGGCAACATGGCGAAACCCCATCTTTACTAAAAATACAAAAAAAAAAAAAAAAATTAGCTGGGCGTGGTGGCACGCGCCTGTAGTCCCAGCTACTGGGGAGGCTGAGGTGAGAGAATCACCTGAGTCCGGGAGGTCAAAGCTGCACAGAGCCAAGATTGCACCACTGCTCTCCAACCTGAGCAACTAGAGTGAGACTCCATCTCAAAAAAAAAAAAAAAAAAAATAGACCAAAGCTGCTTGCTGGCACAGAAACTCCCACATGAGGAGGAAGTGACAGCTCAGTCTGATGGTGAAAAATTGAGCAGACACAAACGCTCCGAAACCACGTTGGTGTGGGGGCCCTTGCACACGCTGCCTTCACCCCTGTGTGACAACACCCGTTAATGATGAAGAGGTTGAAGGATCAAACACTTGATTTGCTCTGCATCAGTTCTCCAGGCAAGGCCAGTTGACACTGGGCAGTGGGCAGCTTAGCTTCTGTTAGTGGCATTTTCAGCCATCCGAGCAGCCCCAGGCAAGTCTGCACATTGGCCAGCTCACCCCCCGCCACCGCCTGCTTTCCTCGCCAGGGGCCCGTCCTTTCCTCTCACAAGGCTGCTGCTGGCCGGATCCGACTTGGGAAACAGCCTCGGCACAGCTGTACCTCGCCAGGGGGTCTGTGGGGGAGGCTTCCAGAACCCACGTGGCCTCCATTGTAACCTTCTTTGCTGGTGTGTACTTAGGGTGAACAAGGGGTTCCAGGTGTGTCAGGAGATCCCGGATTCCAAGGAGACAAGGTAATTGCATGAGATTTTCCCCTCCCCCTGCCCCTGCCCCTGCCCTGCTGTTCCCCTGGTCTTGGCTTCCTTCCTAGGGTCCATCATGAGCAAGGACCCACCTGTAAGACGGCTGCCCTCGAAATAATCCAGTCTTCTCCATCCTTGATCCTCTTGTCATCTCTTCCTTGGACTTTACAGTGTGACCTTTTAACTTATTTCTGGGCCCCAGCCTCTTGCTTTCTCTCTTTCTTCTTTACTGCTACCCAGTTGTTCTTCTGAGGGCAAAGCTCTGCTCTCCGCTCACACACCGTCCATGGCTCCCTATTGCTCTCAGAATGACACCCTGGCTCCCTAACCAGACATCAGGACCCCAGTGAGTGCATCTCTCTGATATTCTCCTGCTCCCCGCCTTACAGCTCTGCACTCCAGCCCCACTGAACCGCCTGCCGTGGGCCTCTGTACACACACACACACACAGACTGCTACCCGCCCGGGACCCCCTCCACCCAGCCTCTCCACACCACCCTGCTCAGAGCCCTTTTTCCCCACCTGCTCAGAAAGTGGCCATTTCCCTCTCTAGATGCTCTGAGAGGCATGTCCTCCCCTCACTGGTGGTGCCACCTTTCTCCTCTGATTTTGGGGGACTTGTACTGTGTCCCCTGCCAGACAGTGAGTTCCCTAAGAACAAGGCTCCAGACTGCCCTGATGGAGCTCGGCTCAGGGTCCTGTCCTTGATCATGAATATTTAGGATAAGGTTGAGGGAGTAACTGGCCTTACAAAATGACATATTGACTATGGGATCAAACTGAGGTGGCCTTGACTTCCAGAGCCCAGCTGTGGGCCTGCTGAGACTGGCTCCCCTTTGCCTGTGTCCGGCATCATGTGGCCACATCTGGAACTCTCCCGGCCAGTCAACGAGGCCCAGATGTTGGCCAGCTCTCCCTCTTCCTCTTCCCTCCCTCCTCGCTGGCCTGTCCTGACCCAGCCTTGGTATCTCCGGGTTGTGAACCACAGCAGGCCTGGCTCTTCCCTACTGGACCCTGTCTCCAGAGTTCCCCAGGAGTCAGAGGCACCACAGAGCCTGCGTGCAGCCCCAGGGTCCCTGATTCTTCCTGGTGAGGACAGGGGCTGCTGTTTCATGTTAGCATTTCCTGGGGCCCAGCCTATAGGGGTGTCAGGCAGGTGTGATCCAAGCCAGAGCCCACAGCAGGGAAAGGAAGGAAGGAGCTCATCTTCCTCCAAGGCGGGCGTTCTCTGGGCCTGGGACCAGCAGGAGGACTGGGCGGCTGTTCACCTGGCCATTTCTCTTCCTCACTAACCCCAGCCTGCTCTGGATCTCTTCCAGGGGAGCCAGGGGTTGCCAGGGTTCCCCGGTGCACGGGGGAAGCCAGGGCCTCTGGTAAGTACCTGCTCCTCCAGCACCCCCAAACCTCACACTCTCCAACTGATCGTGTAATGTGGCTGGGGACACCTTCACCTCCAAGACTTCATTTCCTCCTGCAGCAGAGCTCCTGGGGGCAAGCAGGGCAGGGCAGGAATGGGATGTGCTCATTTCACAGATGAGGATACTGTGAGAGGCTCAGTAACTCAGCCAGCTTCAGAGGCAGGCCTCATTTGCCGACAAAGCTCTGATGAGGATCTGGGGTTCCTGATGCCTTGTAAACAATAGTGATGTTATCAGTAACAGCAGTGGCTGTCATTTATTGAGTGTCACTGTGCATCCGACCCTTTCTGAACTGTTTCTTTGAAGGCTGCCAACTACCCCAGGAGTGAGGGAATTAATATTGCTCCCATTTTACAGATGGGCAAACTAAGATTCCGAAAGTTGAAGTGACTTGCCCAGGGTCCCATGGTTAGCAAGTGCAGGAGGCAGAGTTTGAATGGTAGCTCCTTCTAGTTGTCCAGGCAGATTTTATGCACATGCTTCTGAACTTTCCAACCATCCACAACCAGCGGGGGAACGCAGGGGGTTCATGGAAGGTGGGGTCCTCACCCCTGCCTCCCTGCAACCTCTTCTCTTCCACAGGGCAAAGTCGGAGACAAAGGATCCATTGGGTTTCCCGGGCCCCCTGGACCCGAGGTATGTGATGCCCCATTTCTCCGTGTCTGGCTGCTGCTGGGACTCGGTCTTGTCCTTGGGAAACTGAGGCCCAGGGATGGGGAAAGACTTGCTTTAGGTCACACAGGATATGAGAGATGAGGCTGAGAGGAGAAACTCCTAGATCAGCAATCATTTATTTTCCCCTTCTGCTCTTCTGCTCTTACTCAGGGGCTCTCAAAAGTCAACAGGGCCAAAAGGTGGCCTCAGAGTCCTCTGCCAACTTTGTGGCCACCGCAGCTTTGTGATTCATGAAAGCCCTCTGTGCGCCACTGTCTGGTCCCTCACAGGAGCTTCCCACATTCTCCACTCAGAGTTCCCTCTCCAAGCCCTGGAACTTTCCTAGCCACCCACAGCCACTCTGGAACGGTTCAGGGCTCAGAGCTTCCGGGTATGGGGAGCAAGAGGTAAATGCAAAATTCGGGCTTTTGAATGAAGAATGAGAAATAAGGATAGATTTAGCAATTAATATAATAACTCTAGTTGAGTCAGGAGAGAGCCTCAGGGTTTCTGATGTGTGTGATCATTGGCATAGGTAGGCTACACCTGAATGATCAACTCGGAATTCACATGTAATGTTGCGAAGCAAGCTGGCTGGGTTCTTTTTGACGCCCCCGTCTTTAACAGGGGTCTCGTGTCTAGAGAGCTGGGCTGAGCAGGAGCCAGGGCTGCCGTCCCTCTCAGGATCATTGGCACCCAGGCCAACCTCAGTTGGAGCCCCCCACCCACAACTCCCTAGCCTCCAGGTCTTGCTCACCCATGAGGTCTCTGCATCCAAGACAAAAGTGTGGCTCTGTGGATAGGCCGGACCCTGCCAAAGATCACTTCTGCTATCACTCGGATGGATGAGGAAATGTTTCCTAAAAGCTACAAGTTCTGACTTTCCACTCTGTTGACTTTGGCCATGACACAGTCCTATCTTTAGACAAATGGACTTGGCCTCTCCTCCATGGCCCCAATTCCCTCCTCTGGTCGCTGGAAAAAGGCTTTTCTGAGAGTCCAGCTTTCCCAGCATTCTGGCCCGTGAGGGTGGAAGGCATGCTCCCTCACATTTATTAGGCACCTCCTGGTGCCAGGAGGCTGTGCAGTGTCCTCGAGATGAGAACTTGCTGAATCGCCACGACAGCCGCATGAGGGGGATATTACCACCACCAGTTTACAGTTGAAGAAACTGAGTCACAGAGCAGGAAAGTGGCTTCCTCAGGGTTGCTCTGCTATGTAGGAACAAATAAGGTCTGCTTTGGCCCTTTCCTGGGTCCCTGGACAATTTAGCCATCAGCCTCTCCCGTCTTTGTGCTCTGTTTTGATTGGCTGACTCTGTAGCCGAGAGATAGCTCTGCTCAGCTGAAGGGGGAAGCTGATAAGCGCGGAAGCTGATAAGCGCGTCAGCACCCTGCCTGCTTCTTTCCCTGAGACCATGGGAGGGAGCTCCAGCTCTCCAGCACCCGGGTGAATTATCTCTCACTCATCAGTGGGTTATATGCAAGTGAGCATCAGGATTTGCTCAGCATCCCGACTGCTAAGTTCTCACTTAGAGATGGGCCCACCCCAGGCAGACTTCTTTTCCCAGAGTACAGGACCCAAAATCATTTTGGATGCAGATTTTTACTGAGCACTTGCAACTTTGCTGGTTCCATTTAAACTTAAGACTAGCCCTGTAAGGGAGGTGTTACGAGCACCATTTTACAGATGAGGAAGCTGAGGCCCAGAGAGGCTAAGGAACTTGCCCAGGGTCACACAGGAGGAGGGCAGGGCTCTGGGAACTGCGTAACAGGTCTCCAAATTGTGCAAAGACCACTGTGGGGAGAGGGAGTCCCTGTGCTCTGTGGGGCCCTAAGGAGGAGCACGAGGATATTGCAGGGAAGGGAGGTGATTCCGCTCCATGTGGGAAGAACCTTCTATTGTACAGTCATCCCAGGGGAATGGCCCTCACTGGGAAGCAGGGAGCCCCCATGGGTGGAGTGGGGCAGAGTCCAACACATGTGGCCAAGATGTAGGAAGGACTTAAGCTTACGATGACTGGAGCTGAGGTTAATTAAATCAGTGCTTTTCAATGCTTTCAAAGTCACAGCAAACCCAGAAAATCATCCTCTTTGCAGGATTACTGCAGTCAAAAGACAAGACTTCTCAGGGCAAGGCGTGGCTGGCTCTGGGGAGCAATGTCCCCAGACACCCATAATTCTGACCCAGTAGCAGCACCGGATTTGAGAAATAACGACCTTGAGTGTGACCTTCCATGTTACAACCTTAATGCTTTCCTGCACCGTCCGGTGTATTGTCTCAGCAACTCTCTGAGGTGTCAGGGCTGGAACCATGCACCCTGTTTTAGAACTGAGGACTGTGGGATCAAGGTGGTTAACTGACCTGCCTGGGGTCCCATCCCAGCAGGATGAGATGGAAACCCGGTCAGTCTCCCTGCAAGACGCATCCCCGTAGCACTCCCTTCACAGCCCCCGTGGGTGACCCTGCTCTCTGCTTCCCCTCAGGGATTCCCAGGAGACATCGGCCCCCCTGGCGACAATGGCCCAGAAGGCATGAAGGTGAGTACCTGCCCAGGGCAGCTCCAGTTGGAGGAGCAGACAGCTCTGCAGAAACCACAGGGGCTGGCTGCCTGGCTTGGAAGCAGGGGTTGCCTTGCCAGCCTGCGATGGAGATGGAGGTACCGCCTCTGAGACTCCCTTTTTGTTCCCTTCTCCCCAGGGTAAGCCTGGAGCCCGAGGCCTGCCGGGACCCCGTGGGCAGCTGGGGCCCGAGGTGAGACTGTCTGGCCCCCTCCACTGCCCATCCTGGCCTGATTGCAGCCCCCAGCCTGCCCTGTCCTGGGTACTGAAGGCCTTAGCTTGGGCTGGAGCCCCCTCAGCCAGGACACCACCCAGGGCTTCCCCAGACTTACCCACCAGCTCATCCTATACAGCCCTGCCCCGTGCCCCTTCCAGGGACCTTCTCTGCCCTGCTGTCACCTGGCAGGGTGGCTTCCCCGCACCCTCCCTCCTCTGCACCCTCGTCACCCTGGGGTTTTCTTTCCCAGAGCTACTGACAATGCCGTGCTCGTGGTAGCAGTTTATCAGGGCATTAATGAGGGAGTAGGAAGTGTCAGCCCCATTTTACAGATGAGGCCACTGAGGCCCAGAGAGGAAAAGAGACTCAGTCAGGTCTTATGGTTAGTAGCAGGCAGGGCTGCAATGGGAACCCAGGTCTGCTTGAGCCCAAAGCCCATGACATACGTCCTATGCTGTCAACTCTGTGCTTCCTGGGAGTGGCCTTGCTGTCAACTCTGTGCTTCCTGGGAGTGGCCTAGGGGCACCTCCAGAATATTACAATGACTTGCACAATTAGTTAGTGGCAGAGCATCGATTTGCTTATTTATGTGCGCTGGATGAAGTGGGTTGGGAGGGGTCTCTATGGGGCTGTTGGAGCACCAGGTGGGCACTTAATGGGTGGGCCCCTGATTTTGCCCTGTGCACGAGGCCATTCTTAGCCTTCCCATGCCCCACCTACCTTAGCTCAGGCGCCAGGCCCCCGTGACACACAGCCCTGGGCTGAGGGTGCGGGAAGCCCAGATTCACCGCGACCGCAGGCGGGCATCCAGCTGACATGGATCCCTTCTCGGGCTGGCTCTGGGTCTGGCGGGGTCCCAGCACTGGCTCTGGGAGCCACCACGTGGAGCTGCTTTCCTGGAAGCTGGGGAAAAGGAGCTGGGGGGTGTCTCTGGAGGGAGCCCCTTGGTCAGGCCTGGCATGCCAGAAGGAGCCAATTAGGAGGCTGCCTGAGCCTGTGGGGGTGGGGAGCACCTGGAGAGTCTCATGGGCCGGAAGCGGGAAGGAAGGGGAGAGGAGGGAACGGCACCAGCCACATGCTTCTGTCTACACTCACATTACCACTCAAGAAAGCCCTATGTATGCCTGCCACTTGTTCACATCTTCATTCATTCATTCATTCACTCACCAAACACCCCTTAGACACGGCACCATCCCGAGTGATGTTTGGGGGTGGCTGCAAGAAAGAATAAGGCATCACTGCTGACCTCCAGGAACTCAGCTGAAGCCACTTATTATATTTGAGGATGATCTTCTCCAATCTGGGAAACTGAGACACAGTGAGGCTGAGGTCTGCCAGTGAGCAAATGGCAGAACTCAGAGCCTACATCTTTGAGCTGCAGTTTGAGGCTCTGTTCCTCACAGCACACAACGGGGTTTAACTCTCATGCCCAGGGCTTCCATGAAGCCTGGAGTCTCCATTCACTGGAAGTCACTGTGTAGCCTGGCCTCTAGGCCATGGCCAGTGGAGCCTCTGCCCTGGGTGGGGCCAGGCAGGTGGGCCAGGCGTGCTGTTTCCCTTTGTCCAGGAGGGCTCTCCTCTGTCCATCCCTTTCCCTCCATACAGGACAAGATCTCTGCAAGTCCAACTGGATTAACTTTCTCCTTTTTTCCTCTCTCGTGTCTCCCAATTCTAGGGAGATGAGGGACCCATGGGGCCGCCAGGGGCCCCTGGCTTGGAGGTGAGTGTCACTGGCCTGGGGTAGGTGGCATTCATGGGAGCTGAGCCAGCTGTGCACAGGCAGGGCAACATCTGGCCAGTGCTCCAGAGGGAAGTCATCAGTGAGGGCCTTGGACCAGCCAGAGAGAGAACTAGGACAGACCCCAAAGGAGAGAGACAAGAGCCAAGAAACTGACTGTCACTGCCCACCTCCTATGTTCCAGGTGCTTCATGTCAGTATTTATTCTCCTTGATTCTCCCATGACACATGATTGCTTTCCTTGGTTTCATTAGAGAAGAGGCAAACGAGAGTGAAGGCTTTAGCTCGACATCTCACAGCCAGGCAGTGGGGACGCCCTGCCTGGGCCCTCAGCCCGAGCCCTCTGCACTCTTCCAAGCTGCCTTCCCAAAGTCACTTGTCCTACACCCCTTCTTGGTCCCAGCCATTGCATAAACCAGCAGCTCATGAAATTTCTGGTATCCAGAGCTTTTTACACTCTTGAAAATGATGGAGGACCCAAAGGCTTTTGTTTGAGTGGGTTACACCTACTGAGATTAGTAATTAAAACCAAGAGACTTTAAATGTATTTATTCATTCATTGAAGATTAATCATAAACTCATTTCCTGTTGATAAAAATTATATTTTTAGGAGAATTCACGCTATTTTCCATAGCAAAATAATTGAGTGGAAAGAGTGGCATTGTGTTACCATTTTTGCAGATCTCTCTTTAATGTCTGGCTTAATAGAAGTCAGCTGGCTTCTCAACTCCGCTTCTGCATTCAATCCACTGACAATATTGCGCGCCATGCAGCCTCGGGAAGATGCCACTTAACATTCACCAGAGTGAGAGTGACAAAGGCGAATGACATCTTAGTGTTATCATGAAAATCATTTTGACCTCCTGAACCTTCTGAAAGGGCCTCCGGGACCCCTGTAGTCCTCAGGCCACACTTTGAGGACCACTTGCATAAACTGTTCCTTCCCTGCACCCCCCGATCATCTGCCAAGTTCCTTCCTTTCCCTCACTCCCTGAAGGCAGGTGTCATCTTCCTCATTTACAACAAGAAGACCAACCCAGGGATGGGGGAGGCTTCCCTGAGTTCACGCAGCTGGAAACCCTGCCTGTATTCCAGGACAGCTGGCCACCTGGTGGACTCAGGGTTATATGCCCCTGTCCACCAGGGTATGTGGCTCTCTACAGCTGTGGATACCCTGTGCCAGGCCCTTGGAGCCCCTGGACCCCAGCCATGTTGCCCCTGTCCAGCTTCTCCCACTTACCTGTCTCTCTGTTGCAGGGTCAGCCTGGCAGGAAGGGGTTTCCTGGGAGGCCCGGCCTGGATGGCGTGAAGGTGAGGGGACCTGGAGATCCCTGGGGACAAGAGGAAAGAGGGGATCCTACATATCTGGGCCCCAAGTCAAGCCCCAAATCCCATGGCCAGTTGTGAAAAGGGAGAAAAAAATTGGTTCCTGTTTAGAACAAAGTATTGGTAAGGGAGAAAAAAATGGACACAACCTAAGTGTCCAACTGTGGGGGATTGTTCAAGTAGTGGGATATAGTCCAGCCACCCTAGATGGTGTTTCGGGCTATTTTACAAGATGGGAAGATGCCTGAATGTGGGGTGGGGGTGGTGGAGGAAACAGGTTATAAAAGGGAATGCTCAAGTGTGAGCCTGTGGCAGGGGCTGGGTTGCACCGTTTCTGTTTTTTTCTTTCATTTTTTTTTTTTTTTTTTTGAGATGGAGTCTCCCTCTGTTGCCAGGCTGGAGTGCAGTGGTGCAATCTCAGCTCACTGCAACCTCTGCCTCCCAGGTTCAACTGGTCCTCCTGCCTCAGCCTCCCGAGTAGCTGGGACTACAGGTGTGCAGCACCACGCCCAGCTAATTTTTTTGTATTTTTAGTAGAGATGGAGTTTCACCATGTTGACTGGGTGCAGTGGCTCACACCTGTAATCGCAGCACTTTGGGAAGCTAAGGCAGGCGGATCAAGAAGTCAAGAGATCGAAACTATCCTGGCCAACATGGCACCCTGTTTCTTTACGCACAGAGCAGAGGCTAGAAAGTGGACAGGGATTATCTCTGGGTGGTGGGACAATAGGAGATTTTCATTTTCTTCTGTGGGCCTCTATATTTTCCCTATTCTGCATAATAAATAGATAGTACATATATTAACAGGGTTTTTAAAAAATGTTATCAAAAAAGACCTGGCCCAAGATAGGAGAGTAATGGTCCTCAGCCCATGGGCAGCCTCACTTAATAGTTTCCCAAGGACTCCCTTAAGTTGGAGTTTTCCCAGCCATTCTGGGCAAAAGATTGTCGGGTCAAGTTTACAGATGGGCAAACCCACAGGAGGTTAGGACAGAGCCAGGGGGAGCGCAGGTCATCCATATCTCCCTCCCTTCTGGGGAAATGGCCCACTTATCTGTCCTGGCCCCTCTAGTTTTCATGAGGTCCAGGGAGGAGCCGAAGGGGGAGGAGGCTCCACCCAGGCTTGCAGTAAGCCACATCCATGTATGCGCCAAACTACTGGCTAGCCCGAGCCCATGTCCTGCCGTCTGAGGTTTCGGCCTCTCTCCCTCAGATACCAGTTGGGTTTCTGTGGTGGGAGTGGTGACATCGTCTGTGTGGATTTGTCCCACAGATCTGCTGTGGGCCTGAGGAGCAGGAGCCATCTCAGCATGGGACAAAACAGACAGACAAGGCCGAGATAGGCCACCCAATGTGAAAGTGGGACAGAGCCTTGAAGACAAATGAGTCTGATTTCCCTTTTTTATAGCTGGGGAGGCTGAGCCCAGAGCAGAGATGGGACTCACCCCAGCCACCCGTGAGCTGGTGGCAGAGCTCTAGTGTGTTGAGGTCTAGGACCCTGGTGCCCTGACGTCCCATTTCCCTGCTCTTCCTGAGATAGGGCAGCCTGATGCAGTGGGAATGTGCATTCTTGTTTTTTTTTTTTTTTTTTTTTTTTTTTTGACAGTCTCGCTCTTGTCACCCAGACTGGAGTACAGTGGTGCAATCTCGGCTCACTGCAACCTCCACCTCCTGGGTTCAAGCAATTCTCTTGCCTCAGCCTCCCCAGTAGCTGGGATTACAGGCATGCAGCACCACACCCAGCTAATTTTTTGTATTTTTAGTAGAGATGGGGTTTCTCCATGTTGGCCAGGCTGGTCTCGAACTCCTGACCTCAGGTGATTCGCCTGCCTCGGGTTCCCAAAGTGCTGGGATTACAGGCGTGAGCCACCGCACCTGGCCCAGAATGTGCATTTCAACCGGGCAGACCAAGGTTTCGGTTCTAGCCCTACCTCTGGCTCACTGTGTGACCTCAGGCAGGTCACTTCACCTCTCTGGGCCTCATTTTCCACCTCCACAAAATGCAATGGGCTTCTGAAGGACCTAGATGAGACATACACATCCAGGTGCTGAGTAAGCCAAGGCCCCCTCAGAGGGAATGGGTGACTAGAGTCATGTCTGCCTGAGGTTCTGTCCAAGTACCCCTTTGACTCTGCCCATTTGTTGGGGGTCTCCAAGGCCACACACTGGAGATAAGATCCCTGGTTCATCCCCACTAATGGCAGCTAAGGCCAGCAGGCCTGGGACTTCCCCAGGAGGTCTAGACTTTCATCTCCCATCCCAATCCATCCTCCTCTTTGTCTCTTTGCAGGGGGAACCAGGGGATCCTGGTCGGCCGGGGCCTGTGGGAGAGCAGGTTAGTTAGCAACGGTCTCTGAATGAGTGGCTCCATTTATTGGGCCCTTACTCTGTGCCAAGCCCTTTGCCCAGCACCCTCCATGCACCACCTCGTGTAATTCTCAGAACAACTCCAGAGGTAGGTTCAGTCCTCTACCCCTTTCACGAATGTGGACGGTGACCCTCAGAACGGGGAAGTCTGTAAATGAGAAAGCTGTGGATCATAGTCACGACAGCTTTTCCCCACAGCCTGACTCTACACACAGGTTTTTGGTGCATTTGCCCAAAGAGGTTATGTGACTGCTCCCCCAGGACATTAAAACTGGAGGAGCCCTTGGCAGTCGTTGCTCGTGTTCCCATCAGCTTATAGATCAGGAAGCCAAAGGCCAGAGAAGTGTTACCACTTGCCAAGGTCCCTTGGTCTAGGCATCCCTAAATTATATAGAAGATGAAATCCAAACCAGTGGCTCTGGCTGGTTGAGAAGCTGGGTCAAGGTCTGAAGAAGAGAAGAGGTTGCAACTAGTCATTAAAATGAAGGTTTGAGGATCACGACCTTCAATTAAAGTCCAGAGAAACAGCTCTGAGGGATGGGCAGAGGGACAGCTTCAATCCTTCCTGCCCAGCCCTGGGGCCTCCTGAAAGCTTAACCTCTTGGCTCCAAGGTGGAGAGGTGTTCATCTCCTCCACTCCTTTAAATATGGAGCTCATTCCTGGAAGGGGCTTCCTCAATCCGGAAGGACTGATGCTGGGGATGGCCATAGAGGAATTTGGCCGCACCACGAAACCCCGTCAGTGGCGTGAGAGTCACACACGATGGGCTTCCTCACCAGGCCTGCAACATCTGTTGGGGGAAGAAAGGAATTAAAACAGGGGGAGGCCTGGATTTTTGAAATCTTTCCAGTGTCATTCGAGCGCATTCTGTGGGAAGCCCGGGAGTTTGGAGAGGCTGCCGCGGCCTGGATATATTTCCTGATTGGAAAAAAAAAAAAAAGGCAATTTGATCAGCAAATTCAGTTTCATAGTTATGCTAATGGTAGGGCCCTCGGGAAATAGATATGCAGGGTCTTGGAAGTCAGAGCACAAAGATCCTTGGAAATCACTGTATCTAAGAGCCCTAACCATATTTTGTGCCTTGGATTTCTTTGCCAGGCTGGAAAGGCCCAGGGATCCCCTTCTCAGAATAGAGTTTATAAATGCATAAAATTAAAAACAAAGGAAACTGATTATATAGAAATGCAATTATGAAAATATGTTAAAATATAATATATTCATATATATGCTTCTTTGGCAATGCATTAAATAATGAGTTCTAGTAGCAGGTGTAACAGCGGCCTCAATTTTGAAGTAATGCCAAGCCTTAGTGATGTATTTTGAGATCTCTGCAGCAATGATTGTAATGTGCCATGTCACTTTCTGGGACAGTCCCAGGTCCTGGTAGTACTACTGTGGTTTGTTGCCTACACTCATATTCGAGGCAAATGCTAAATTTCAATTAGAGGTTCATGAAAATGAAAGAGTTTTAATTTTTTTCCATTCAAGTTGATATACCCTCTGAGTTCCATTCATAGAGACTGACAGAGACCCCGGGTTTAGAACCCTCAGATTCTAGTCCATGTTGGCAATCTGGGATTTATGGAGGAGAAGCACGTTTGACCAAGATCACCAAGTGGGATAGTGGTAGAACTAGGCCCAGGAGGGGTGGGAACCTTGCCTGGAGCAGCCCAGTCTCATTTGGTCAGCAGAACACCCGGCTTGCTGCCCAGGCAGCTTGGACAGTAGCGGGAAGGAGGCAGAGCTGGAACCCTGTGGCTGCTATAAGGCACATGGAGGTACCATGCCAGCCGTTCCCTTGGCCCCCACCCCATGTGGTCACAGTGAAAGGGGAGGCATTTTCTGTTCACTGCAGGATCAGAGGATCCCTGGGAAAGTTCTGAAGCTCACACCACAGGACCTCCTTGTAATCATAGTACTGGGTCGGTGCAAAAGTAATCACAGTTTTTAGCATTATAATGGCAAAAACTGCGATTACTTTTGCAACAACCCAATAACAGTGACATTTATTAGTCACCTGTTAGGTTCCAGACTCTGTGCCAAATGCTATCTACACAATCGTCTATGGCAGTAGGTATTACTGTCCTCATTTTGCAAATGAGGAAACTGAGGCTCTGGGAAGTTAAGTAACTTGTCCGAGATCTCACAGGCAGTAACATCACTGTCAGAGGCAAGATTGACCCTGAGGTCTGCTGGGTTCCCAATGCCTGCCTCGAGGGCTGAAAACTCTCCGACCTCCTGAGCCCTGGCCTGTCTCTAACAGAGCACAGACTGGCTGCCAGGCCCTGGCCGAGGTGCTGGGAACAGGGCATGGGTCTTGCCTTCAAGACACCCCGTCCAGGGGCAGCCACGCATATAAACACGTCACACTGAGCTGTCTAGTCCAGCTCAGGGTCCATAGCCCTCTCATTCTCAGTTGCATCCCCAGTGCCTAGCATATGAGAGGAGGAAGAAAACTTCCGGTAGCAGACAATGGCCCTTTATCTGTAGGCAATGTGAGGACCAGGCTAGCCTCCTCCCCAAAACTGGGAACTCGGATCCTGCCTGTGCGGTGCCCGCTGTGGGTAACAATGCTGCCTCCTCCCATGCCCGCCTTGCCAGCCCTAGAGGAGCCAGCCATGCCCGCAGCTTTCCAAGCTGCTTCTCCGTTGACCTGCCTGGACTTCTGGGCCTGGCCTCTCTGGACCAGCCTCAAGAACAGGCCTGCCAGGATGTTCTGGGACAGTACCCCGGGGGGGTCCCAGGGGTGCGGGTCGGGGGATGGGGCACTTGCTGTATGGCTCTTATTCATTAGGATCTTGTTTGGTTTCTTGTTAGAGGTTTATGACCCGCTTGCCTTCCAGGACCCAACATCTCATAAATTTAAAGTAGCTATGAAATTTCTGTTTCTCTGGGCCAGTCAGGCAGGGGCCTTTTAACAGAGCAGTTTTTATTCCCTTCATTCGGCATCCTCTAAATGTCTGACTGCTCCCTTGTGGGAAGCCCAGGCCTCTGTCTTACCCCTGTGCCCTTGTAAAATAAATTAAGAGGGGATGGGAAAGAGCGAACATGTATGAAGTACCTCTACGCATCGTGCACCATCTCCCGTATTCGGAACAGTGCCAGGAAGTAGGGAGGTACCTTTATTGTCTCCCATTCTGCAGATGAGGCTCAGAGAGACTGATTTGCCCAGAACCCACACACCTGAAGACTGAATGACAGTTACATAGATAAAGTGCCAGGTACAGGGCTTGGCACACAGGAAGTGCTCAATACGTTGAAGCCGTTGTTATAATATTGCTATCACTTAGAAAATGCTCTAATTAATTTTTAAAAATAAGTTGTTGCAAAAATCAAGTATTTGGTTATTTTCTGTGAAATGTTAGCTGTGACCTTATACCTAGTGCCTCATCCCTCTTACCTTATACTTCAGAAAGTTCTCTGAACCCAGGGAACCAGGGGCAGGTGCAGGATCCACCATGCGTAGTGCCAGCGTGGTGCTGGGATGTACGGGAGATCCGGGCCCTGTTCACAGCCACATGCTTTGGAGGCCTTGGGCTGGAGGGGAAGGTGCGTGGTCTTTGGAGCCACACAACCAGAGCGGACATCCCAGGCTGCAGCAGCAAGACACGTGTGGCCCTCGCTGAAGTGACCACTTTAAAACTGTCTTTAGATAAGAAAGTGTGGATCCCAGAGGTAACCCTCTCATGGTAGTTAACTGACAGCTGGGCCGGCCTTATTGACTGAGTACACAAACTCTGGCCTATTCCTGGCCCAAGGTCTCATTTTACTCTGGCCAGGGTTTGGGGGACAGGGAGCGGATTTTATGGACAAAATCCACTCATCCCTCCATCTTTCCTAATTCACCCAGAACCTCTTGGCTGCAAATCTGGGTTCTTCCAAAGCCACTTCTGCACTCCTGAACCACACAAGGCCCTCCCGGCTCAGTTTGTATTTTCCTTAGCAGGGAAGAAGGTGGGGCCTGAATAAGAAATTGATGGGCCTTCCTAGGTGACCCCTCTAGGCTGTCCACCCTCGCTGCGCGTGTGCGTGTTTGCTTGCTCAGGGAGACGGCAAGGACTGGGGCCACCTAGAAGAACCCCCTGGAACCCAGAGGCAAGTTGTCACCCAGCGGAGTTCAGCAGAGCAGCAGGAGCTGCAGCGTGTGTCTGTGTGTGCACCCTTTCAGAAAAAGGCAAGGAGGCCTTTCAGAAGACAGTAAAGAGGCCTCCGCCTCCCCGATTCCAATCAGTTCTCTTGGCGGAGGCTGTTACGGTATTTCTGTCCCAGCCAGCGGGTTTGTTTCACTCTTTGAAACAGCCCCAGAGCCCCGAAAGATGGGCACAGATGGCCTCTTCCCAGCTCAGCTTAAGCCACCCCCCGCCCAACCCCAGCTCTCCAAACGTGGCAGCCTCCCAGCCTGCTTCTGGCGCGGGAAGAATGTGTGGCGCTCCCAGGGATGTTGGCAGCGGCCCCGCTGCTTGGCTTCAAAATCAGAACCATCTGGTGGAGTGAGGGAAGTCAGAACGGTGCCCAGAGAGAGGCAGCGCTCTCCCCGGCACAACCCCATGCTGGCTGGGTGACCAGGCACGGGTGGGAGACACCTGGGAGATGAGCTTCAGGGGAAGGAGCGGGAGGGCTGGGTCCCCGGATTCACGTTGTTTCTCTTGCTTTCGGGAATGTGTCTCATAGGGATTTATGGGATTCATTGGTCTGGTCGGGGAGCCAGGAATCGTGGGAGAAAAGGTAAGTGGTGTTGAGGGGAAAAGATAAACAATTAGAGCTTGTGTTTTGAAATTGTAAAAAGGTGAAGAGGCCCTTTGACCTGGGGATTTCAGAATACCCTCCCCTAGCCTCTCTCCTGACCTGGCATTCTGAGTCTGCCAAGAGACATTGTTCCCTTTCCTGGCATCCCTTGGGGTTCTATCCCTGCCCTACTGTCATCAGCCTCAAGCACAGTTAGACTTTTGTGTGACAACCAGCAGATGCATGTGACCTGGGCTCCTCACAGCTGCCTACTGGCCCTGCACAGGGGTCGGCGAGAGCAGGGAGGAAAAGACTCATCTTTACAAAGAGGAAAGATGAGGTTGCCTTGCTAAGCCTCTGTTTTAGATGAGATAACAGAGGCTCAAATAGGGGAGGTGACTTACTCCAGGTCACCCAGATAATAAGTGGCAGTGCTGAGATTTGAACCAGGTTCATTGCCAAAGGTTAGCTACACTTTGCTCACTAAGACACTCTGCCTCATGTTGGCTCCCAGCTCCCACCAAGGGCCTTGGAGGCACTTGTCTTCCTTTGTATGGGTTTATCCGATCCCCAGAGCAGGCCCTCTGGGAGAACCAATATTATTCCCATTGAATAGATGGAGGAACTGAGGTCCAGAGGGAGGAAGTATCCCCCGCAAGTCTGGCCCCGCCTAACTCTCCAGGATCCTCTTGTGCCACACTCTATCACTCTATGTGGCCCAGACCCTCGGGCCTCTGCCTTCCTCCTCCTCCTCCTCCCTCGCTTCCCCCTCCTCCTCCTTCCCCTTCTGCTCCTCCTCCTTTTAAATTCAGCTTTTTATCTTGAAATTTTAAATTTAACTTTTTATTTTGAAATAATGACAGATTCACAAGAAGTTGCAAAAAATAGTACCCTTCACCCTGTTTCTTCCAGTGGTAGCATCTTACATAATGATAGCACAACATCAAAGCCAACTCTGGGCTTCTGCTGTTGCTCAAATGACCCATGTCCCTTCTCACCTACAAACCATTGACTGCGCCATTCCCTTAGCCAAATGCTTTCTTCCCATTGCCATCTGCCTCCACCCTTTCTGCCCAGATGCTCTTCATTATCCTTCAGCTCTTGGGTCAAGAGGGACTTCCCGAGGGAAGCTTTCCCTGACCGGCTCTGCCCCCAAGTGGGTCAAGTCCTCCAATAATAACACCTTAGCACCATGACCCCCACCCTCACTGCACTGTGTCTCCTACAACCCTCTGAGTGCCTTGCTCCATGGGAGCAGGGCTGCTCACCATTGTATATTCAGAGTCTCGCAGATAGTGTCAGACACATAGTAGGTGCTCAATAGATATTTGCTGGCTGGGTGGATACAAGAAACAGAGCCTCACGAAAACAGAGCCAAGATTCGAACCCAGAGCACCTACCTTCTGGCTGGAGCTGTCTGCTACACTGCCAACTCTGCCCAGTGTGTCTGGATTGGTCGAGAGGGAATGAGTTATGTCTCTGATTCTCTAGCATCTCATCTAGGTTTGGACAGGGAGTTTGGAGAGTGAAAGACATGCCTTCTCTTGCTGTTTCTGCCTCAGCAAGCCTAGCCCAGGGGATGCCAGGCCTAATAAGGACCAACATGATGTGGGCCAGGATCAAAGGGGACAGTGTAATTAGTGCTTCCTTAATCAGGACCATCCTTGGAGGGAAATTCACTGCGTGGCCCACTACAGGGGATGCTGAGGCCTTCCAGGGCTTGCCAGAGGTCTTGGCTTCCTCTGAGTGAAATCCCAGATCCCCACCTGGGTGATGTGGCCATGAACTAGGCAGGGACCCTCTAGAGACCTTGAGCAAACCCCTACCTCTCTTTGAGCCTCTGGATGGCCCTCTGCACCTGCCTCCCACAGAGCCACCCCACAGCCATAGCCGTGACCTGCCTGCATTGCTGTCTCCATCACAGGGTGATCGTGGCATGATGGGACCCCCAGGCGTGCCTGGACCCAAGGGGTCGATGGTAAGGAGTAAGTCTGCATCCTCTTGCCCTCTCCTGTTGCAGCCTTGAGTGACAGCTCTGCTCTCCTCCATGAACCGCTTACCCCAGACGTTCAGAATGACCAGCTCCCTCTTTGTCCAGGGGGCCTAGCTGCTGTCCTCCTGGCTTTGCACTGGGGCTGAGCCGACCGAGGTGGGACTGAAGGAGGAAGCTTCCATAGCTGATTCCTCCTTTGTCTTCTCTGTCTTGGCAGGGTCATCCTGGAATGCCAGGTGGTATGGGGACCCCTGGAGAGCCTGGACCCCAGGTAAGCAAAGCCCTCGTGATCCCTAAGCTCAAACCACTGTCAGATAAGGGTTAGGTGGCTGGGTGTGGTGGCTCACACCTGTAATCTCAGCACTTCGGGAGGCCGATCACTTGAGGCCAGAGTTCAAGACCAGCCTGACAAACATACCAAAACCTTGTCTCTACGGAAAATACAAAAATTCGCTGGGCGTGGTGACACGCACTTGTAATCCCAGATACTCAGTAGGCTGAGGCATGAGAATCGCTTGAACCCAGAAGGCAGAGGTTGCAGTGAGCCAAGATCGTGCCACTGCACTCTGCCTGGGTGATAGAGCTAGACCCTGTCTCAAAAAAAAGAAAGGAAAAGAAAGAAAGAGACAGAGAAAAAGAAAGAAAGAAAGAAAGAAAGAGAGAGGAAGGGAGGGGAGAAAGAAAGAAGGGAGTGGAGGAAGAAAGAAAGACGAAAGAAAGAAAGAAAAAAGAAAGAGGAAAAAAGACAGAAAGAAGAGGAGAAAAAAGAGGAGGGAGGGAGGGCGGGAGGGGAGGAAGAAAGGAAAGAAAGGAAAAGAAAAGAAAGGAAGGAATGAAGGAAGGAAGGAAGAACAGAAGAACAGAAGAGAAGAGAAGAGGAGAAAAAGAATAAGGGTTAGGAGTTCAAGCCTCAGAATCAGACAGACCTGGGTAGAATCCCAGCTACACCACTTTCTGACTATAATCCTGGGGCAGATCTGACTGTATTCCTGGGGCAGATCATTTAACTTCTCCAAGCCTGAATTTTGCTCATTTGAAAAACAGAAAAAAGAATCATGGTCAGGATAGTGTGATCGTGTGGGTTAAATGGAAGCGTGGGGCTAATGTTCATTACAGAATGGTGTTTGTTCCCTGGAAGCATTTTGGTTATTAGCAGCATTATTGCTTTTGTCCATTCACTCATTCACTCTGTAGTTACTGAGCGATAAGTGCTTGTGGGCAGTTTCAGGAGCTGGGTGAAGGGGCCCAATCTCCACTCACTGCAACCTCCACCTCCTGGGTTCAAGAGATTCTCGTGCCTCAGCCTCCCTAGTAGCTGGGATCACAAGCGTGTGCCACCACACCCAGCTAATTTTTGTATTTTTAGTAGAGATGGGGTTTTGGCAGTTCCAGGAGCTGGGGATGTGGCAGCAAGAAAGGTAGAAAGTGGTCCCTTCCTTTGGAGCATGTAGTCTGGTATGGGGGGGCAGGGTAGATAGAACCCAGTAAGTGATGTCTGTTCTGGAAGAGCAGGCACAAAGATGGGAAATGCTGGACAAACAGGGCTGAGGGTCCTCAGGGGCCTGGGCTTCTCATGATGACTGAGGAAGCAGGGTTGGTGGGAGGCTCTCAAGGCAGAGTGGTGGGAGAGGCTGGGAGAGCTGGGGGAAGGGTGCGGCCAGGAGCACTCAAGTTCAAGAGCCCCTTCTCCTTCCCAGGGGTGATGATGTGCAGGGGGTGGGGGTGGGCTTGCTCTCATTTGGAGCAGGTAGAACTTGCTTCAGATCCCTGTTTCTGCCAATGGAGGATGGAAACTAGGAAAGGGCACTCGCTTCAGCCAAAGCCAGGGGTCAGGGCTGGGAGCCCAGTCCGAGGTGGGCTTGGGGAAGTTGGGGAGGGTGTGGGGGTAGAGGGACCAGCCCAGGCACAGATCCGGAGGTAGGGCTGAGGGGCGATGAGCTCAGGTTGCCTGGGTGTCTCCAAAGTCCAGACTGAGGAGTTCCCTGGGGTCTGATGAGGAAGGGCCCTGAAGCCTTTCATGGTTTGAACCCAGGGGAAGCTCGCATAAACCTGTTCTCTACTGTGATTAGGGAAGCAAGGCCAACTCAGCTCCTACACTTTTTCATGCACCTGCTGTGTGCTAGCATAAGCTCCTCCCTGGAGGTACAAAAATGGTAAGAAAGAGTTCCAGCTCTTAAGACTCTCACTGTCTGGTGGGGCTGTCAAGTATAAACATTCTCTCCATCATTAACAGACTTTTATCGAGCACCTACTCTGTGCCAGGCCATGCCAGGGGCCGAGGAGGTAGAGGGGTGGACTAGTCCAAGGGTGAGAGGCCTGGATATAGGTGACCGTCACCCAGAGGAGAAGGCATCAGCACCAGGGGTCTCTGTCCATCCTCATGATTCTTTGGACAAGTTGGAACGTTCTTGAGGAGCACAGTTGGAAGCAGAAGCCAGCACTCTGGGCTCCCAGTGACATATTTTTGCCCTTTTCATGAGAAGGAGGAAAAGTCACATCTGGCCCAGGGCTGGAGGAGCTGGCAGTGTGGAAGTAGGACTGTTGGGGTAGAAGCAGGGGGTCAGAGGACCAGCATTCTGGTCAGGGGGCTAGCACGGCTGGCCGAGGCACCCAGCTTGGAATGCAAGGGCCCGGCCTCCCTCCCAGTGGTCAGAGATAGAGTGATTGGAGCCCTCAGCATGGGGGGTGCCCAGAGTAGGGCCGAAGCCTGAGTACAAGGATGCTGGGGGTACATCATCGAGTTCTATCCCTGGCACCCCTGCACCTCAGCCGTCCTGGGCCTGTCTCCCCATCTGTCTAGTGGGAGGAGGAAAGCCAGGAAAGGAGTCACTGGGACACAATGGAAGGCCAGCGGGAGATGGGGAAAGAGTGGGGATATTCAGGCCAATACAGAGAAGAAGGTGCAAGCCTCCTCTGAATCCCTTGCCTCCCTGGCTCCACTCACCTCCCCACCCCACCCCATCTCCTCAGTGCTTCCCCCTCTTCAGTGGGTTGGCTCAGGCTTGGTGAAATCAGACGGTCACTTACTGCTGTTTCTGATCCCAAGGTTGCCATGGTCCCCCACTGCTACGGTACAGGGCTGGTCCCTTGGATCTCTTGGGGTTCCTCCTGGCCAGCGACACTGGGGAAGCCGGCTAGCTCGGAGGCCCAGAAAACCACCTTCAGAATCAGATACATGGGGGTGAAATTCTGGCTCCCCGACTTGCCGGCTGCGGGATTGTTGGCAACATTCATAGCTTCTCCGACCCTCAGTTTCCCCATCTGTAAGTCAGCATGATGCCACCTGGAGTATGAGATTGTCATCGGAAATGGTGCAGTGCATGATGTGGTGTCTCACAGCCCTCCTGCATAACTGTGTGCTTCATGAATGGTGATAACTATTTGTTAGAGATGATCATTGCCACTATTATGAGTAAGGCTACTACGATTAAAAGTGACATTTCTGGTGATATTGTTCACACCTGATTGGCATTTTCCCACTTTATCAATCACTTTCACCTCCATGTTGTCCGATAGCACATTGAGATCTATCAAGATTATTATCCCCAGGCCAGGTGCAATGGCTCATGCCTGTAATCCCAGCACTTTGGGAGGCCGAGGCTGGCGGATCACGAGGTCAGGAGATCAAGACCAGCCTGGCTAACACGGTGAAACCCCGTCTCTACTAAAAAACAGAAAAAAATTAGCCGGGCATGGCGGCGGGCACCTGTAGTCCCAGCTACTCGGGAGGCTGAGGCAGGAGAATGGTGTGAACCTGGGAGGCGGAGCTTGCAGTGAGCCAAGATAGCGCCACTGCACTCCAGCCTGGGCGACAGAGCAAGACTCCATCTCAACAAAAAAAGATTATTATCCCCATTATTGGGGGTGGGAGTGAGGCCCTGGGACCTGCCTAGGGTCGCCCTGGGACCTGCCTAGGGTCACCCAGTGACCAGAGTTGGGTCTAGCATTCAATTCTGACCTCCTCCTGCCTTGCGAGAGCAGGCAGCTACCTTTTCCTGAGGACTTTGTCACTTCACCTTCTAGAAACTCTAGGGGGTAAGGACTCTTCTATCCCCATGTTATAGATGACAAAACTGAGGCCCAGTGAGTTGAAGTAACGTGCCTAAGATGGCACAATTAGTAAGTGGCCAAACTGGCATGTGAGCCCGGGTTCTCCAGTGCTACAGCCTGCTCTTTTCAGCACTCTATGCCTTGATGTAGAGACTTGGCTCCCGAAATTTCCCAGCGGTGCATTGCATGCCTTCTGAGCTCTGAGATCACTCTATAAAATGGCCCATTCTCACCCAGTCTTTCTGTTCTCCACCATCCGGGAGTCAGAACTGCCTTTTATGGGGCCAAGCCCGGGTCCACACCCTGCTTGCTCTACTGACGAAGGGTCAGCCTGGGACCCAGCCCCTCACATCAGCCCCTCCACAGCAGCTGTTGGAGGGTCTGCTGGGTGATAGCGGCTGGGTTCACACCCCTCAAAGCCATGGGGAAAGGGAAATGGGAAAGTCAAGAGTTCGCTCTGAGGCACCAGATGGGGCTGGGCCTCTCCCTGGTATTCAGAGGAGGGATGAGACTGGCTCTGCCTTGCAAAAGGAGCACGCCCAGTCTGAGAATTGCTGCGGAGCTGGGAGGCTCCTGGAGCTGGCAGAGGGTCCTGGCTGGCCGGTGGATGAAGTTGCTGCTTGAGGTCTCTCAAGCTGGGCCTGGAATCGGGGTGGGGGCGGGGGAGACATTAGGCAGAGGGGTGGCCTGCTTCCCATCTTCTCCTGTGTTCCCTCCGTTCCCACCCTCTGCCCTCTTCAGTTCATGTGCTCCTTGTTCATTCAGCAGATTCCTGAGTGTCTGTCGTGCACCTGTGCCAGGCCAGGTGCCGAGAATTCCAAGAACTAAACTGGCCCTCTCACCCTGTCTCTCTTGCCCCTCTTGTCGTCTGTTCATCAAAACCAAGATGGCTGCCCATTTGCCCGGGGCTGGGCCTTGCTCCCTTCTCATGCCACCCCACCCACTTCTCTGCCTCTGCCTCCCCTCTCCTTCTCTCTTTCTTGATCCTCTCCCACTCTGCCCTCTCCGCCTCCCAAGCTCACCCCAGGCCTGTGTTCTCAGTTCTTCCTCCTCCTCTTTTCCCTGGGAGAAAATATTCAGGAAAATATTGGGTGTCAGGGTGGAGGTGAGGGACAGAACTTGGGTCACCAGATTCTCCTTTCTGGTGGGGGAGAAAAAGGGAGATGAGGATTTGAGGAGACCTTTTGTCATACATGTCATTGTAGTCTGGATGCAGTGGCTCACACCTGTAATCCCAGCAATTTGGGAGGCTGAGGCAGGAGGATCACTTGAGCCTAGGAGTTTGAGATCAGGCTGGTCAAGATAGTGAGACCCTGTCTCCACAAAAATAAGAAAATTAGCTGGGCATGATGGTGCATGCCTGCAATCCTAGCTACTCAGGAGGCTGAGGCGGGGGGATCACTTGAGCCCGGAGCTCAAGGCTGCACTGCACTCCAGCCCAGGCCACAGAGCGAGATCCTCTCTCAATAAATACATAAATGAATGAATGAATGGCATCGTATCTTCTCATTGTTGATTTTGAGGAAAAGGAGAAGAAAATGTCATGCAGGGGGCCTTATCCCCACTCCCCAGACTCCCAGGAAAGGTCGAGGCCCATCCCCCTATAGCCCAGGGCATTGGCTGTGTTCGAGGCTGTGGCTCGCCTGCTGCTTTCCCCAGTGAGCCAGGTGCCCAGTCCTTCCATGTGGAGGCTGCTGGGGCCCCGGCAGCTTCTGAACATGCCCGTCTGAGGGCTGCAGGCCTTCAAGCTTTGCCCCACACTCCCAGCCCCCCGTGTTGCTCTCACTTCCTAAAAAGGGGCCTCTCCAAACTCTTTCTCCTCTTCCCAGGGTCCTCCAGGATCTCGAGGCCCACCAGGCATGAGGGGAGCAAAGGGACGTCGGGTAAGTCGAGCCCAGCTCCTGGGGGCTGATGCTGGTGGGAGGGGGCACACTTGGAACAGGGCCATCTGCCAGAGACTGCCTGGGCTTTGCCCCTAGCCCAGCTCTGGGATCTGTGACTTTCATAGCACAAGGCAAGGTTCTAGGCTCACCCTGGACCTGTCTCTAGGGGTGGGACCCCACCCCTCTTTCCAACTCATTTCTCAGCCTTGCTATCCACCAGGCACAGTCGGGCTCTCCGGTACTAGTTCTTTGTTCATTCATTTATTCAACCAGCACTTATTTAGCACCTACTGTCTGGCGGACACTGTTGGAGGCTCTACAGGTATAGTGGTGAACAGGACAGACATAACCCCTGCCTGCCCTTGTGAGCCAGTCAACAAGTGAATCAAACCACTTGGCAGATGCAGGTGATAAAATACAGGGTCATCAGCACATGGACTGAGGAAGTATTAGCAGCCTGGAAGCCCAGAGGAGGACCCTACCTGGGCAGGGTACTAAGGAAGGACTTTAGGAGAGGGCAGTGCTTGAGTTGATGCCAGCTTCCTGGCAGGGGACTGGCAGGGGAAGACCTGAAGGTGATACAGGAGGTGGATGCTTAGGTATCCTCAGGGTCAAAAGAGGGACGAGGGAGAGGGATGGGGCTGGGACTTAGCAGGCACCAAGCGAGGCAGGGCCTCAAAAGCCACAGCTATACTCCAAGGGCATTGGGAGGCTGCAGGGGGTTTTAAACAAGGCTTCCCTGAGCAGTCACTGGAAGTAATCGCCAGCACTTAATCTATGCCAGATACTGCCTGTCACACACATTAACTCATTTAATCCTCAACACTACCCTGTCATGAAGGTGCTATTCTCATTCCCATTTTATTATTATTTTATTATTGGATTACTTAACCTTTCTCCCAGAAAGCCTTTGATTCCTGGGATAAACTAGGTGCTATGTGATTCAGCCCAAGCCCTGAACACCTCTGAGCCTCCACTCCACTCCCAGAGAGGCACAGAAAGGTTGAGTCACTTACCTCAAGTTGCACAGCTAAAAAGTGGCAGAGCTGGGATTTGAACCCAGGGAATCTGGCTCATTTGCATACTGAATTCAGCCTTATTTTCAATCACACAGGGAGGGTTGACAGGATGGTCTGCCAGCAATAGGTATACAGGCGTGGGGCCGTGCAGCCTTATTGTAAAGAGAAAGTGAGATGGTGCAGGTGGTGCCGGCAGCCCAGGCCTGATATCCAAGCTCCATACGGGGGGATCTGTGATTATTATTCTCCTCTTGGCTGGATTTCAAGTGGTTTTACAATTTCCCCCAAACCAGATGGCCTGAGCAGCCGGCCTGGAAGAGGGAAGATTAAAAGGCATTCCTGTGGCCCAGCAGGGTCCCTCCGGTGCCCATGTCCTCTGGGTGGGGGGGGGGTCTCTTCAAATGGGCCTTGGGCCAAGGGCAGCCAGGCTCCATCCGGATCCTCTGTACCTCCCCTCCTGCCCCAGGAAGCTGGATTTCCTGGAGGGTGAGCTGCATGGGCCCAGGCCCCCTGCCCTGCCTCAGGCGCGGGGCTCAGGCCCCCTTCAACTCACTGGGCTCCCTTCAACCATCTCCACCACCCCTTCCCAGCAGTGGCTTGAAGAACGTATTCCTGCTTAGGGAAACACAGGCTTCCAACCTCGTCAGTGTCTCCCGGGCTGGGAGGGGAGCATCAGGAACATGAGCCCCTCTCCCCACTGGGTTTGTCAGGAATGCACAACCTATGAGATCGGCCCCCTGGGTCTCCTGCCAAACAGGCTGCCCTTCGCCACCTCCTAGAGGAGGTGACTGAAGGTGGGGAACCTACAGAGGCACCCACCGTGCCTGTGAAAGAGCTTGATTCTGGGCAAGTCCTGATCAGCTCCCGGTTTGCCCTGTGCCCTTAGCAAGGCCTTGTGGCGCTCTGTGCCTCAGTTTCCCCATATGTGCCACGGGGAATGGGCCTGGAGGTCTGAAAGGCCTTGCCTGCTTTCCTGCCTATGTGTAGGACGGGCCCTGCTCCCCACCCCACCGCCCACCCAAGGAAGAATGAGCACTGAGAGTTGATGGCCAGGGGCAAGGGAGGCTCTCATCCTCTGTTCTTGGTGAGGACGCTGACTAGAACCTGGGCCCACCAGCCCCAGTGAAAAGAATGAGGACTCTGGGGTCAGATGGGCCTACGGCAAGTCTCAGCACCCCCGGTTCCCAGCTGTGGAACCCCAGGCCGGTTTCTTAACCTCTCAGAGCCTTTCTCCCACCTGCTCAGGTTAGAGACTTTAATTCCTCCTTCCGAGGGGGTCGTAAGGACCCCAAGATTCCAATGCCTCGGGCCAACTCTTCCCCTGCCTGTGGGTGTTAGAGCTTAGCAGACCTTACCCAAATCCAGGCTCTTCCTCTTGGATCTTAGACCTTGGGCCACTGATTTCCCATCCCTGAGCCTTCACTTCCCCCTCCGTAAAACGGGTTGGCAACAGAACAAAGCTGGTGGGCTGGCTGTGGGGACTCAGTCACTGCCTGAGCACCTTGAACTTGCTGCAGGGTGGCAGCACGTGATGGTGTGTGCTCATTCCCGCTTGTTCATCGGCCCCTTTTTCACAAGAGCTGTGGTTGGCCAGATTTTCTGTCCCAGGCAGGAGCTCCTCCCCACCAAGCCTGATCCCCAGGCCTGGCTGGAGGGCAGTCTCCAGCGTGCCTGCAGACATCTTCCTCGAGGAGCGGATACAAGAGAGCAGACAGGTAGCTCTGATAGAAACCCAAGCTTCCCTCCAGCAGGCGGGGCGGGGGTGGGCCTGCCCAGGTTCATTTAGGGAAGGAGGCAGCAGGACTGGGGAACCTGCGGGATGAACTGTTGAGTGGCCCAGAGCAAGGGTTAGAGTGTGCGGCTGTTCTCGCCCCTCTCCCTGCCCTGTGGGGCTGGGGAGACAGGGTGGCTGGTGGCCCCACTACTGCCTCCTCCTCTCTCTTAAGCCAAGCCAGCTTCTCCCGGGTTCTCTGGTGCTCTGCTGGGATAGTGAGTTCTCTCAGATAAGAGGGATTTTAGATATTGTCTTCTCCAACACCAGGCCCCAGTGTGCAGCCTTCCTGGCAGGATCCTCTGGGTCCTGACCTGTATACCCCCGGTGACGGGGAGCTCACTCCATTTCTGAAAAACAGTGACAGGTAGTGGTGAAAAAAATGGATGTCCAGCTGACTTGGTCTCAAATTCTGGCTCCTCCATTTCCTAGCTGTGTGACCATAGGCAAGTTCACCACCATCCTGAGCCTGTTTCTGTCCCTGTGAAAGGAGGATAACAGCTTTCACTGCTCCTGCGGTGGCTGCTACTGCTCTATTATTATTTGATGACTTAAGCTTTCTCCCAGAAAGCCTTTGATTCCTGGGATAAACAAGGTGCTATGGGCTTCAGGCCAAGCCCTCAACACCTCTGAGCCTCCACTCCCCTCCCAGAGCTATCCCTTTCTAGGGAGGTGTATGTCTCAGCGAGAGACAGAGCCCAGAGCCAGAGATCATCCCTCAGGAGGGTTCAGTTGTCTGCCATCAGCTCAGCCCCTGTCCCAGCTCCCATGACCTGACACGGCCCCACCCCATGTGGCTCCAGCTCCGCCAGGCCTGTGCCCATGAATCACGGGTGTTAAGCCTAATGACGTGGTGTGACAGTGTCCACGTGAGCCTGAGACTGAGGCCCAGAGAGGAGATGGGGCTTTTCGGGGTCACACAGCAAACCAGCAACAGGCTACGGCTAGCACCTGAGCCCCGTAATGCCCACTAGAGATGGCTTGTTTAGGGGTTCATCAAACTGCAGCTTGAATCTGAAAATTCTCAACTGGTTTTACACAGCATAGTGTGAACTGCCTGAGGAAGGGACTGAGCCCAGATTCCCCAAGCCACTCCTGTGTCCCTGCCTCTGGGGAGGCTGCCCCCTCCCCTGGCAGAGCCTGGCAGGGATGGAACTAGCCATTCTTAAGCACTTTCTGCGTGCCAGGCACTGAGCTGCCTGTGGGCATCGCCTCCTGTCTTGAGGGAGAGATTTCTTGTGCCCATTTCAGAAAAAAGAAATGGAGTCTCAGTGAGGAGCAGTCACTTGTCCCCAGACACATTTCCTGAGCAGCCCGGTGCCTAGGGCTGGACCCCACAATGGGCACCAGGCCCTGGGCTTGGGGATGCTGAGGACAGCGTCTCCCAGCTGAGCCTTGGCCTTGCCCGGTGGCTCCCTGTTCCAGGATTATTTGATCAGTGGGGTGCTCTTTAAGGCTGCGGTGTGGGATTGAAGCATAGGGAGCTCCAGGCAGCTGAGAAGTGGAATTTTCACTTTGTTGGCCCAATTATTCATTGAAAATTTCCTTGTTTGATTTTTTTTTTTTTTTTTTGAGATGGAGTCTCGCTCTGTCGCCCAGGGTGGAGTGCAGTGGTGCGATCTCCGCTCACTGCAAGCTCCGCCTCCTGGGTTCAAGCAATTCTCCTACTTCAGCCGCCTGAGTAGCTGGGACTACAGGCACACACCACCATGCCTAGCTAATTTTTGTATTTATAGTAGAGATGGGGTTTCACCATGTTGGTCAGGCTGGTCTTGAACTCCTGACCTCATGATCCGCCCACCTCATCCTCCCAAAGTGCTGGGATTACAGGCGTGAGCCACTGTGCCCAGCCTTCCGCCACTGTGCCCAGCCTTCCTTGTTTGATTTTTAAATGATTTTTCTTCATTTAGTTTTCTTATTCCCCATCCTCTCCCACCTAGACACTTCCCCAGTTCCTTTTATCTGGGGGAGTATTGCGGGCTGATCCCCTGGGCTCCCGGGCCAGGATGGGCTGGCCTCCTCCACAGGACACTCCTGTCCTCCCAACACAGACTGCTTGAGACCCCCTAGAGAACACAGCCTGCTCTGTTTTCCACGGGTTTTTTCCAGGAGAGCCCAGCCCATCTGCGTCTCTGTGGGAGCGGCCCTGGAGGGGACACACGTGGGGCAGTGGGTGGAGCCCACATGGGGGATGAGAGCGGCTAATGTGTTAGGGACCTTAGCTAAGTCACTTCCCTTGGCTGGGCCTTAGTATTCCCATCTGTGCAGGGGGGATGGGGGTGGACTCCACCTGCCCCTGGGGTCTCCCAGCAATCAGGGACCAAGACTCCTGTGTCAGGGGTCAGGCCTGAGCCCAGGGCTCCAGGGAGCAGTAGCCTGACTCCCACTCCCTCGTGCAAAATCCTGCCCTGTTCCTGCCCCCACCTCATGGGCTCTTCCTCTGTGAGCTGGGCTGTATTCGTTGTACGTCTGGCTAGAGATGGGGCTGCTCCACACATCTGGGAAGGACATGCAGGTTCTTCCCAGGTCCTGCTCTGTCAGTTTCCCCTGAGGGCTGTTTCTGCCCCGTGTGTGCTCTGGGAATGGCACATGGCAGCAGAGTCTGAAGAGTTGGCCGTGTGGACGTGGCCACGTGTAACTCAATTGCGGCCCTCAGTCTCCACGTCTGTGAAATGGATTGGCTGGGTGACCCCCAAGGTCTCTCTGAACAGGGCCATTAGTGCCCCAGCCCCCTTCTGGAAGCATCAGCCTCTAGCTGAGTCTACTCATGCTGCGGCCTCTGCAGAGCTGTCTCGAAGGCGCTGCACGAGGGTGACCACCTCAGTGGGGAGTGTGTGGGAAGTGGGAGGAGGAGGGGGCCGGAGCTTGTGCAGGGGAAGGCCCCAGGCTTGGAGCAGCCCCGCCCTCCTGGTTCTCCGCCCGAGGGAGACCCCTGCTGTCCGGTGTGCTAGTCCCTTTTTCCTATTCCAGGGCCCCCGAGGACCGGACGGACCAGCTGGGGAGCAAGGGTCCAGGGGCCTGAAGGTACCGACCCCTAGGACCTGCCCTTCCTCACTCCTCCGACACTGGGTCAGGAATCGTGAACAAGGCTCACAGCTCCTCAGAACAATGCCCCTTAGGGACAACAAAGGGAGCCCCATGGAGGCTGCAGGGCTCTTTCTGAGAGCTTAGCCCTTCCACTCCTCCTGACCCCTCACTGCAAGCCCAATAAAGAGAAAGCAAGAAAGGAGGAGGGAGATCATACACGTCCTCAGACCCTTTCCCCGGACCCCAAACCCCACCAGGCCCCTGACAGCTGAGACTGCTTCTGGCAGCCCCATCCCTAGGAAGGGGTCCTTGGTTCTCCACCTGGAGCAGCTGGTGACGGTGGCGAGCCACTCCCCTTGTCAGGCCTTAGTTTTCCCATCTGCACCATGGAAAGGGGGCAGACTCTGTGGCCTCAAACGGGTTCCTTTTATCTCCCATGTGGAGGGGTCCCTTTTTGGGGAACGGTCCTCCCAAGCACCCTCTCCCACCTTCACGTGCTCTGCTTCCCACAGGGCCCTCCAGGACCCCAGGGCAGACCGGGCCGGCCTGGACAGCAGGTATGTCAGGCCAAGGCCAAGCAGGCCAGCTGCAGGCCCCCTCCCTGCTCCGTGCTTTGTGATCTGAGCCTGTAATGACCCCCACATGTGCTTCCAGGGTGTGGCTGGTGAGCGAGGCCACTTGGGCTCGAGAGGCTTTCCTGTAAGTAGCACCAGTTCTTGAAATTCTCTACATGGGGCTTTTGATGGGGGTGGGGGGCGGGTGCGGTGCTGATAATAACCACTTTTACCAAGTTCCTGTCCTTCTGTGGAAACCCCGCAGGTTCTGGTTGCCCACCTGCCCTGCACTGAAGCTCCTCCAGCACATCCTCTCTTCTCTGGGTCTCAGCCTTCCCATCTGTCACCCGGTGTGGGAGGAGGGGACCCAAATACACTAGGATGGCTTGCTTGAAATCAAGACAGGGCAGAGAAGGCCATGGAGGGCCTAAGGTCACCTTTACCTTGTCTCTGCAGGGCATCCCGGGTCCCTCAGGCCCCCCAGGCACCAAGGGCCTCCCAGGAGAACCGGTAAGAGCCCTTTCCTTCCCTCTTCTGCTTCTTTGCCGCTGGCACCTGGGGGTGTGGGCCAGGTGGTCAGATAAGGAGAAGGGTTGGAAAGGGACCATGCCTGGCCTCTAACCCGCTGTGGGCCAGGCCTTGGGGTTGGTGGCGAGCACTAAGCCAGGAGCTCTGGGTTTGAGGCTCAGCTCACTTGGCCTCCAGCCTGTTTTCTTGCCAGGAAAATGGGGGTGATTGTCTCTGCCTTGCCATTCTGTTGTGAAGATGAAATGCGAAAATGTATAGGGAGTGCTTGGCACAGGGAAAGGCAGGAGGGAGGGAGGTGAAGATAAGAGTAAACGAACAAGCTGACCGGGAACTGCAGAGTCCAGCATGGCTGAAGTGGAAAGCGGGACCTCAGAAAGGGCAGGAGGAGGCAGCAGGCTCCAGTCGCCCAAGGCCACGGGGACACTGTGCTTTTTATCCCAAGGGCAACAGGGAACCATGGAAGGGCTTGAAGCAGAAAGGGCGATCAGCTTGCCTTCCAGAAGATGTCCCTGGGAGGACAGGTGTGGGGGGACAGTCCAGGAACCCCATGAGGAGGCTGGAGAGTGGTGCTACAAGAGATGGCAGAGAGAGGACAGAATCTCCAGGGGGCTAGAAGGATGACTCCTGCACAGGGCAGGGGAGGACAGGAGGCTCCCATCCTCAAGGCCGCTGCTGCATTCCCACATCTTGAGGCCCAAGGAGTCACCCTTTTGAACAGTGGGTTGGCTGGGGGTGGGGGTTTCCAGACATGGATCCGAGGTGGAAGAGCGTTCCAGGCAGGGGCAACAGATGAGCAAGACTCAAGAGCTAGGAGGTTTCTGATCAGGGAGGGCCCCCTGGGCTTTAGGTGGGTGGATAGGAGAGTGTGCAGCTGTGTTGGAGGGAGTATGACAGATACCAGTGATGAAGAGGGGCTGCAGACACCAGGACCCTCGGTGTGGCTGGGGCGGACTAGGGGTGTGCTTCAGAGTCCCCAGTTCTGGGGGTCAGCTCCCTCATTCACCCCTCCAGATCCCAAAGAGGGCCCAGGCTGACCTCTCCCAACTGTCTGTGTGTCTGTCTGTCTTCCAGGGCCCTCAGGGACCCCAGGGGCCAATTGGGCCTCCAGGAGAGATGGGACCCAAGGTGAGTGTGAGAGACCCTTATTCGTCCCATGATGCTGCTGGGGATGTATCAGCCCTTCCCTTCCCTCCTCCCCAGGAGCCTCTTTCTGCCATTCCCTGTCCTGGCCCAGGGAGATGGTCATGTACCGTGTAGTTCAGAGAAGGGTGGACGCCCTGGCAGAGAGGGTAGATCCATCCTGGTGGCATAGGTTGAGGAGCTGGCTCCTAGTCCAGGGGCATTGGGTGGGACACAGAGGTACCAGGACCCTTGTGGGGGTTGGCATTGCCTCTTTGGGCATCACTGGAAGCATGGATGCTTCCCAACCTTGACCTTGCTGGGACTTTGCCCCAGCAGAGGTTTGACTGTCCATCCAGCCCCCAAGGGTCATGCAGCAAGGAACTTGGAAGGAGCCTCGCACACCCCTGCCTTATCCAGAGGGAAAAACCAAGCCCCAGGGTTTATGCAAGGGCTGCAGCCATGCCCACGGTGATAACTCAGGGCTGCTTCCCACCCGCCTCACGCTGGCTAAGCTGTAGAGAGAAGGGTTAGAATCACTTGGCCCTAAACACAGCATCCAATGGCTTCCTCCCCCGTCTTTTTGTGAATCATGAAATTTTCTTCCCTCTGCTTGCCAAAGGGCTCCTAGTGTGGTAAACCACACTTGTGGGGCGGGAGAAGGCTCTAGAAGCCTCTGGGTAGTCCCAAAGCTCAGCCAGCCTGGGCCCACCCCCAGCCCCCTAGTTCCAGCTCCAAGCTCCAAGAAGCTACAAGCTGCTCCCACCTCTGCATCTCTTGCACTGTGTGACCCTGGGTGTTCTCTTGCCCTCTTGGAGCCTCAGTTACCCCCTTGCTTACAACCAGGGGGCAGCTCTTGCTCTAGGAGGGACCAATGGCGTTTTCTTTCAGGGGCCGCCTGGTGCAGTGGGAGAACCGGGCCTTCCTGGGGAAGCCGGGATGAAGGTGAGGTGGGATGAAAGAAGAGAAAAATGACTTGTTGAAACCAGCTCCCAGATGGTGGCCACATCCTCTCCATGGAAGAGAAATGGGCCTTTCTTGTGGCTGGGATAATGGGTTCTCTGTGCTCCTGGCTGGGGAGTGGGGCCTGGTTAGGGCCAGAGTGGAATGTGGAGCCCCCACCAGTGCCCTCTGCGAGGTAATGTTTTTTCGGGCACCTGCCCCTGCCTCTATGCTGGGGTGGCTGTACCTCCTGGCCTCATGCGATACCATCTGCAGCTCGGTGCCAGTGCCCTTCATTACCTGCTGAGAAACAGGTGCCCATTGATACATGGACTCTGGGGAGAGCCCCCTCCCCATTCTGCTGTTGGAAGAGGACGCTGTTCCCCCTTGGAGGCCCCAGAGCTGATGAGTGATGCTGGCTAGCCCGTGGACATTGTTGAGGCAGGGCCCAGGGGAGCCCGCAGAGGGGCTGTGAGACTTGAGTCCAGTCACCCCCTTCCATGCCTAAGTCTCCCTGTCATTCAAAGAGGGAGTTGGACCAGGCCGGGGGCTGCCAGACTTGGCCTAGTCCCAAAATCCCTTGCTCAAACACCAATGAAGAAAACCACCCCACGTAGAAAACTGATAGAAGTGGGATTGTTTCCACTGGAGCAGGGCTGGGGGCTCAGAGCTCTGCCCTCCTCCTGTGCCCCTAGACACCAGCAGGGAGCATAGCTTGAAAATTCACCAATGAAGAAACCACCCCACGTAGAAAACTGATAGAAGTGGGATTGTTTCCACTGGAGCAGGGCTGGGGGCTCAGAGCTCTGCCCTCCTCCTGTGCCCCTAGACACCAGCAGGGAGCATAGCTTGAAAATTCTCCAATGAGAAAGACCCTTTTAGGGCCTTTATGCAGGGGGCAGGTGACATTTATTCCGGCTCATTTAGGGCTTCCTCCTCGTTTGGGTTTCTCTTCAAGTCTCTCAAGGAAGAATAAAGTCACATAATTGCCATTGCTGCATCCAAGGCTCCTGGAACCAGACTGCCCAGGTTCGGATCATGAATCTGTCACTGAATAGTCTCACGAGAGCTTGGGCTCCTTACCGAACTCCCCCAATGCCTCTGATGCTTCACCTCTAAAATAATGCCTTTCCTTGCAGGGCTGTCTTGAAAGTCAGATATGTTAATATAAAAACTGATGTCCTCAGCCTGGGCAACGTAGTGAGACCCCATCTCTACAAAAAATTTAAAAATCTGCCGGGCATGGTGGCGCATGCCTGTGGTCCCAGCTACTTGAGAGGCTAAGGTGGGAGGATCACTTGAGCCTGGGAGATCAAGGCTGCAGTGAGCTGTGATTACCCCACTGCACTCCAGTCTGGGCGACAGAATGAGACCCTGTTTCAAAAAACAAACAAAAAAAGTCCTTAGAACAGTACAGAACAGTACAGTTAGTTATTAATAGGATGATGGTGTTGGTGCTAATTGTCCTCCTGTCCTGGCGTGGGAGAAGAAGTCCGTGGACAAGGCTTACTTGGAACAGGAGCTCTGGTTGGTGTTTTACGATTTCTCTGTGGTCCCTGGGAAGAAGGACCTTCCCCAGCTCCTCCTCCCACACCCCAAAGTCAGAGCTGGTGGAAACAGGAAGGGGTGTCGAGAGCTGGGGCTGGCCCTACCCACCCGCAAGGACTTTTGTTCGGCTTCTCCTAGGGTGACCTTGGACCCCTGGGCACTCCTGGGGAGCAGGGCCTCATTGGGCAACGGGTAAGTTGAAGCAATTTATTCTTCCTGAAAGCCCCCAGGGTGTGTGGGTGCCGCAGGGGAAGAGACCGGCTTTTCTCAATCTCCCTAAGCCTCAGTTTCCTCAGTTACAGAAATAGACTATGAATGTCTACAGCCTCGCCCAGTCTCTCTTGGTAGGCCAGCATTTCCACAGTGTAGAGAAAGGCATTTTGTGGTCTGTAGTCCCAGCTACTCGGGGGGCTGAGGCAGGAGAATCGCTTGGACCCAGGAGTTGGAGGTTGTGGTGAGCCAAGATCATGCCACTGCACTCCAGCCCGGGTGACAGAGGAAGACTCCATCTCAAAAAAAAAAAAAAAAAAAAAAGAAGAAGAAGGATGTTGAGGTTCAGTCGAGTCTCGGCAGTAAAGAGAATGATGAGCACGCATCCTATGCCCACTGTGTGTCGAGCACTTTTCTCGAGGCACAAGGAGCACAGCAGTGAGTAACGGAGGCCTGTCTCTGGAGCTTGCATTCCAGCGGGTTGATAAGTGATACCTGCCATGGGTACAAGAGGAGCATGGACCACCCAACTGGCACATCGTTGCCATCCTGCACCTGACGGCCCCTGAGGCCCTTTCCAGCTCAGACTCTGAACAGCGATGAATTCTAAAAGCAGAGAGAGACCCAAACTTAATTTGATGGCCATTTCAAGAACTGTTGTCCAGGGGCGTCTCTAGAGCTGGAAGGGCAAGCCTGGTTGAGGTTCAGCCAGGGACTCTGTTCTTGCTGTCATTCCCGAGCTTGCTGGGAAGAAAAGTCGAAAGACTGGCCTCCCTTTCCTCATCTGAGAAGTAGGATTCCACCAAGGAGTTCCATGCAGGCTTACTCCAGCTCCAGTAATAGTATCTCACATGGTTGCCAGGTATGGGGCGCTTACACCATGCCTTACAGCAACCCTTGAAGAAGGTGGTGTCAGCCCCATTTTTCAGATAAAAAAACAGATGCCAATGAGACCTAAGTAGTTTGCTTGCGGTCAAACAGCCAGTGAATGAGAAACCAAGAAGTAGCATTGACGTCTGGCTGATGTCAAAGCCTGTCTTTAACTACTAGGCCACTCTGCAGCCCAGCCAACCAGCCTAGAGATGATGTTCAGGACAAATCCATGACAAGCACCTTCTAAATTCGTGACCTCATGTAGCCCCCACCCCACGTCACCCTGCAGAGGGAGCTGTCGGTAGCTTGGGGGTCTGCTCCCCTTTTCTGGAGAGCTGAGGGTGGGCACCTCAACCTTCCTGTTCATTTGCTAACTCAGCCCCTGGCTACCATGCACCCACTGTGTGCCAGGGCCCCCAGGGTCCCACTGCCTGGAGATCCATGGGTCAGGGTCCTGCCCCAGGGAGGGGGAAGAGAGGAAAAGCACACCGGGGCCTCCTCCCCAGTAACATCTCCTCCTCTTTCTCCATCACCTTTTCCAGGGAGAGCCAGGCCTTGAGGGTGACAGTGGCCCCATGGGACCTGATGGGCTGAAGGTAAGTGCCCTTTTAGGGCAGGGCCTGGGGACCCCGGCAGGGCATTGCTTTCCCATCCAAGACCTAAGTCTCCTCCCAGAAACACTGTGTTCCCATAGAGATCTGAGATGACAGCTCCAGCTCCCATTGACAGCAGCTTGGGGAAGGGTCAGCAGTGTCCAGCAGCCACCTCCCACCCTGCCCTCTGCACTACCTGCTCAGGTGGGACCAGGGCCATCACCACCTTCCAGTCTTTCCTGCTACCCTTCTTAAAATATCAGCTTCTCTTGGCTAAGGGTGATTCCTGAGCACCGGCACTACGCCAGGCCCAGAGCCAGAGTCTTTGGTCTCTGTTATCTTCCAAATATTCTAGAAGGTCAGGAAAATAATAATTACCACCAATGACTTATAAGCCACAATTTAGGGAGGACTAGTCACACACATACCAGGTACAACGCTAAGCCCTTTACCAGCTGGATCCATAGGACAACGGAAGTTCTGTCTTTAGATGAGGAAACTGAGACTCAGAGTGGTGAAGCAACTTGCCCAAGGACACACCGCTAGCAACTGGCACATCCAGGACCCAAATCTGGGCCCGTTTGGCTCCAAAGCCTCTGCTCACTCTGCTGTACCATGCACCCATTCTAAAGGCGAAGAGGCTGAGGCTCAGAGGAAGGCATAGATACATTCAGGACCTATGGCTATGAGTGAGGATCCAAAATTCAAACCCACGGCTCACAGGTGCCAAAGCCTGCTGGCCCAACTTGACCCTGCTGCTCCCTGAGAGACTCCTGTCAGCCACAAATGTCAGGACTCTGAAGAGACACCTTAGCTCACCTGAATTGCAGGTGGGCAGGCGGGCACCTCCCTCTGACTCTCCAGACCCATCTCCAGGCCAGTCCCTGGCCTCCGTCTTGGGCCCCGCTCTGACCCCACAGGTGGGCTTTCCCCGAGGCTGGCCGGTCACCCTGTGCAAGTCAGCTCCCCAGCCCAGGTTCCTAAGGGCCATGCCCTCTCGCCCACCTACTCTCCAGGTGACCTCAGAGAAGCAGACCCCTTCTCTGAACCTCAGTTTCCCCATCCACAGGCTTCCGCCCACCCTCGTTACCCCCTCCCCACAGTCTCCCAGGGTGCCTTGGCGACCGGCCCCTGCTGACTCCTCACATTTTCTTGCAAGAGCGAGAGCACCCCCTGTCTGTCATCTGCCTGACTCCTCTCCCCCAACCCTGCTGCATCCAAGCGTACAGCCGAGTCCCAAGACCCGGAGCATTTGACAGCTGCTCCACACCCTTTGCCAGTGCCTGCTACACTGGGTGGTGATGCTGATGAAGGTCATGGCTAAAATGCTTTGGGCACTTGCCATGTGCCCAGTGCCACCCACCCAAAGGGCTTTATGTGAATTAACCCATTTAATAATTAATGTTCCCAGCAACTCTCCCAAGCTTGATACATTACCATCCTCACTAGACGGATGAGGAAACTGAGGCACGAAGCAGCAGCCTTCTCACTCCACTCTGGGCGGCCACCTTTCTTCTTGGAAAGTCCACTGAGGTGGGCGGGAGGGGGTCTTCCAGCCTGGGTGCCTCATGCAGTCTTCTGCCTCCACCTTGCATGGCTTTTTGGCCCTGACTTCATCCTCTTCCCCTCCCTTCAAAGCCAATTCTACCTGAGTCCTTGTGCTCAAATGCACAGCATCTTCCCTGGTCTTTACATGAATCCCAGGAGAGACCCATTTTCTTAAGGTGTTTGTCCAGGAATCACCCCTCATGGTGAAAACTGCGTCTCGAATATGCACAGCACTTCATAGTTTATAGAGTGCTTTTACACCCGTTATCTCTTCGCTGATGTCCAGCTGACAGTGATGATGGTGGTGGTGACCAATAATAGTTAGCTTTTATCCAGCATTCACATGCCAGACACACTGCTAAGCTATTTACATGGTTTATCTCTTTCAATCCTTGCAGTAATCCTTTGATCCTGATTTTACAAACGAGGAAACTTGCCCAGGGTCACACAACTATTCAGTAGCGGTAGCAAGATTTGAACTTAGGCAGCATAACCCGAGGGTTGAGGGAGGCATCGTCCCCTGAGCAGAGAATCTTGGAATTAGAAGGAGCCAGAACCCCAGGTTCACACAGCACTGACTCACTCGGTGGTATTAGGGAGTCTCCACCTGTCTGCACTTCAGTTGTCCCATCTGTAACTGAAGAGGGTTAAGGAAGGTGACTTGCAAGGCTCCTCTGAGCACTGGCAGATGTCTGAGGATTTGGGGCATCTCTAGGAACCCCCAGAGACTGTTCTGCATGAGATTCACAAGGACGCCCACCCCAGGGGTCCAGTTAGCCCCTGGAGTGTGGTCTTAGGCAGAGCCCAGGTGAGGGCCCTTTGTTGAAAACCCGACTAGCCACCTGGAACAGGCTGTCTGCCTCTGAGAGGAGAACAGGTGGCCAGGACGACAAGCCAGAAATGGAATCCCAGAGCCAGAGGAGTCTGCAGGAGAGTTATTCAGGCCAGCCCCCTGTCTTCATGCCAGGCTGTGCTTAGAAGCTGAGGCTCCCAGCAGGAAGGGATCCGGGCACAACTTTGTGCCCAGATCTGCTCTACATTGGCCCACGCCTCAGCTCGGAGTCTTCTGCCTTTATCTGTGCCATCTCTGGACCGCTCCATTGGAAAATCTTCCCAACTGAACTAGAAACTGCCCCAGCAACTCCCTCACACCCACCTCCTGCCCCAGAGCTCAGGCCTCAGCAGGCCCAGCTTGAAGCAATGAGCAATCATGAGTTGCTTTCTTGAGCCTCTCTTCTAGGCAGGGCCAAGCCCCAGGCTCCAGCTTCATGCCCTCTGCTTCCTGTGCTCTCTCTCCTCTGGATGCACACCAGTTTATCAGTGTCCCTCGTAAACCTTGGCACTGGGGGACAGAACTGGTAAAGACACACTATGCTTTTCCAAGCCTGCTCTTCTCGCCCATCCCTTCCTGATGGACGCCGCCCCTCAGCAGCCATGCCCGTGCTGCACTCCACACCTGCTCTGCTCACGGTGATGAGGGTGACAGCCCACGCCCCATCCTGGAATCCTGCATGCCCCATCCTGGAACCCCACCTGCCCCCAATCTCTCTCAGAGTACGCAAAGATTACCGTGATGAGATAAGGCAAGCTTAGAGTGACACTGATTGCTTCAAAACCATAAAAAGCCCATGCCAGCCTGGTGCAGTGGCTCACACCTGTAATCCCAGCACTTTGGAAGGCCAAAGTGAGTGGATCATCTGAGGTCAGGAGTTCGAGACCAGCCTAGCCAACATGGTGAAACCCTGTCTCTACTAAAAATACAAAAATTAGCCAGGCATGGTGGCGCGTGCCTGCAGTCCCAGCTAGTTGGGAGGCGGGGGCACTTGAACCTGGGAGGTGGAGGTTGCAGTGAGTTGAGATCATGCCACTGCACTCCAGCCTGGGCAACAGAATGAGATCCGTCTAAAAAAAAAAAAAAAAAGCCCATGCCAAGGGTTGCCTTTCCAAGGAAATAACCTCAGGTGCCCCAAAGGTCCGAAGCCCCAAGAAGACCTTGGTTACAGCCCTATCACTGTAAAGAGGATACGCTCAGGATCCTGCTTCAAAGTCCAGCTCCACCGCTAGCCAGTTGTGGGCCTCTGGGCCAGACCACTTGATTTAGCTCTGCCTCAGTTTCCTCTTCTGTAAAATGGGACTAAAAGCGGACCAGCCTTAGAAAGCTTTTGTGGGGATTAAGTCAGTTAATAGATGTTAAAGGACTCAGACTATGGTCCTGACATGGTTAGTGCTATATAAATGTTAGCTCCATCCACTCCCCAGAGAAAGTATTCTGCAGCCAATAAGAATGATCGCCATGCAGAGCCCAGAGCGATAGGAGGGCACGTTCACCATAGAGCAAAGCAGTAACTATAACAAACAAAGATGGAGACCAGCAGTCCAGTGGGATTGTGCCTTTAGAGCTTAGTTTACTGCTGTCCGATTCATTGCCTTGGGAGAGTTGCTTCACTGCCCTGAGCCTGGTACATACCATCCAAACTGTTACCTACCATTTATTATTATTATTATTATTCACTGTGTTTTTGTCATCGAGGATTGAAAATACAACTCAGAAAAATGGAAAGAGTGGTTCTGAGAAGGAGAATTGGGTGAATTTTCTTTCTTGATGAAAATTTCTTTCAGCTAGTTGCAGCAGCTCATACCTGTAATCCCAGCACTTTGGGAAGCTGAGGTGGGAGAATTGCTTGAGCCCAGCAGTTGGAGACCAGCCTGGTCAATGGTCTCCAACTGCTGGGCTCAAGCTCTCTTGTAGCAAGACCCCATTTCTACAAAAAAAGAAATTTTTTTTCAATTAGCTGGGCATGGTGGCATGTGCCTGTAGTCCCAGCTACTTGGGAGGCTGAGGCAGGAGGATTGCTTGAGCCCAGGAGGTCGAGGCTGCGGTGACCTATAATTGCGCCTCTGCACTCCAGCCTGGGAGAGAGTGAGACTCTGTCTAAAAAATAAAAAAAAAAAATCTGCTTCATAAGACTCTTGTTCTCCCAATGTGTCTAAGTTGGAGAGAAATTGCCCTTGTCTCCTGTGAACTCCATGGGGTGGGTGCAGTCAGGACCCCGGCTTATCTCTGAGTCACTCTGCCCTTCGCAGCCCAGGCCCAGGCAGGGACACATGGGAGCCTCTACGTCTGGGATGCATCCTTGTGCAAGCTTAGAGCTACACTGGGCTTGGCAGCCGAGTCACAGCACCCTGCCTTTTTGGCTGCAGAGGGAACTATCGAGAATCTAGGGACCAGTTGGCTGTGGATGCCTGAATGGAGCCCTGAGATTTGGGGCCTCTGATGCACTTGGCAACTAACTTATTCTCTCTCTCTCTCCCCTCTTCATGCCCTGCCACCCAGGGGGACAGGGGAGACCCAGGGCCTGATGGAGAACATGGCGAGAAAGGCCAGGAAGGGCTGATGGGTGAGGACGGGCCCCCCGGCCCCCCTGGCGTCACTGGTGTCCGGGTGAGTGTGCAGGCCCCTTGCAGCGCCTGGAGCTCTGGGGTACCCTGAACTCTCATGCCTGTGCAGGCGGCTGGGCGGGAGGGCTTTTGGTCGTGCCACTGAAGGATCTTCTGCTGTGGTCCTTTCTCCACCTGGCAGTTTGCCAGAGAACCAATCTGCTCAATGCTCCATGGCTCTGGAGAACAACCTCGGTTACTCATCCTCCTGGCTGCCCTGCCCTGTGCAAACCTGGTCCCTGCCGACCTCATCTCATCCATCCCCCATATCCAGACACACTAAACTTTTTTCAGTTTCTTGGACAAGCTGTGGCCCTTACCCCTGGGCCTTTGCATGTGCTCTGTCTAGGACACTCTCCCTTCTTCACTCCCCTGTCACCTGCTTAAGTTCTATTTGGCCTTCAGGTATCACCATAGACATCACCTGCTCCAAAAAGCCATTCCTGCCCCCAGGCTGGGCCATGAGCCCTCAGGGACATGCATAACCTTCAGTGTATGTCTTGGCTCCATGAAGACCAAGACCTTTTCTGGCCTTCATTTACGTCTTTAACAGTGCCTTGGCCAGGTGCGGTGGCTCACGCCTGTAATCCCAGCACTTTGGGCAGCCAAGGCGGGTGGATCACTTGAGGTCAGGAGTTGGAGACCAGCCTGGCCAACATGGTGAAACCCCGTCTCTACTAAAAATGTAAAATTAGTCAGGCATGGTGGCGCATGCCTATAGTCTCAGTTACTCAGGAGGCTGAGGCAGGAGAATCACTTGAACCTGGGAGGCGGGGGTTGCAATGAGCTGAGATTGCGCCACTGCACTCCAGCCTGGGCAACAGAACAAGACTTTGTCACAAAAAAACAAACAAACAACAACAACAACAAAACCAGTACCTGACACATAAGAGGTGACCAAAGTCTGTTTGTTGATTGAGAAGACGGAGGAACTCTGCTCTTCCACCCTAACAGAAATGTACTTAGTCAGTCCACAGACCCTCACGAGCATCTTCCCTGGGCCAGGTCCCCTGAGATTGAAGAGGTAAATCAGAAAGCATCCCTGACTTTGAGGGACATAGAAGCCAGTAGGGAAGGGAGCAGAATTCTCCTGTTTCAACATGTACAGACAAGTTGCCCAATGCTTTCTCGAAGGTTCCCTCTTTGATACCGATAGCAACCCCTGAGGATTGGGAAAATCGGAGAGGTAAAGGAAACTTCCCAGGCTCACACAGTGAGAAATGACAAAGCTGGAATTTGAACTTAGGCCTGCATGACTCTACGCATACTGCCCCTGTGCTCTGGCAGAGTTGGAATCCAGGGCTTGGCTGTGGGGCTGTGAGGATGAGCTGGAGGCAGGTGGAAGCTTGATTTTTGAGTGTCGCAAATACTGGACTGATGACTCGGAACTTGACTTGGTAGTGGGGGGCAGTGGTAGTCTTGTACAGTTGAGCAGGGTTTGTGTGACCCAGGAGTGCTGGGTCGGTTCAGTTGAACTCCTTGGGACCCGTGGATTAGGTGGCCTCGTAGACAAAATGCCCAAATGCACAGGCCTGCTGGCATCTACCTTGAGCCAACCAGGTGGTGAGAACTCATGCCTCTGCTGCCATCCCAGTCTCCCTGGGGTGTCATTTTCACTCTTCATCCCTCAAGCGGAGAGACTGACGTTGTTACCTAGGCAAAGCAGCCCAGTTTGATTCAGGCCTGCTCTTGACACTGTTTTTCCCCCCTGAAGTGTTTACATGACTAACCTAGGACAGATCCAAGTTAGCCTGCAACAAACTATGGTTGTGGGAAAATATTTGTTTCCTAAAAATAGCACTGAAGTGCCAATCCCCCTAAACAGCTGCAACAGAATGAACTCACCAAACTAGAGAAGAATACGAGGGCGCTGAGTCAGCCAGGAGGCTTCCCCCAGGCTTGACTCAGTGGCGGGCTTGACTCAGCGGCGGGGAAGTAGGCCAAGGGGAATTTAGCAGGAGGGTCCCGGGCCAGGATTCTGCATTAGGAACTTGGTCTGCGACCTTTCACCCGCCCCCTGCCCTCTCTGGTTTTGCCCTTGGAGGGTTTGGAAGGAATGTGTGCTAAGATTACTTTGAGCTCCAGCGTTCTAGGGACCCTTTTTTAGTGAGTGTTGAGTATCATGGCTGTGGAATGGGCAGGAACACATGGCAGAAATAGCCTTGGAACCAGAGTCCTGAGGTTGAACTTGAGTTTCTGGCTCTAGTAACCCATTCTCTGTGTGACTTTGGGCAAATCACTGCCCCTCTCTGAGCCTTGGTTTTCTTATCTATAAAGAATAAATAAAACTTAGGGTAGGAAAGCACTTTATAAAATGCACCAGAAATATAGAAGATTGTCTTTATAAATTTAGAGGAGAAAGTGACTAGAGGCTGGTGGTGGCTGGTGGTGATGGTGAGTGGATGGTGTGGGTGGGGGCAGCAGCAATGGTAGTGGTGGTAATGACGATAATAATGATGGTGATGGTGGTAGTACTGATGATGGTGTTGGTGGTGGTGATGATGATGAAGATGATGGGGGTGTTGATGGTGGTAGTGGTGGTAGTGGTGACTGTGATGAGGTGGTGATGGTGGTGCTGGTGCTGGTGGCGATGGTGATAGTGGAGTGGAGGTGAGGGTGATGATGGTGCTGGTGGCGATGGTGGTGGTGATAGTGATAGTGGTAATGATAATGATGATGATGGGGCACTGATGATGGTGGTGGTGATGGTGGTGGTGATAATGGTGGTGGTGGTACTAATGATAGTGGTAGTGGTGGTGATGATGGGTGGTAGTGATGGTAGTAGTGATGGCAGGGGAGTGATGATGGTGGTCATGGCAGTGGTGGGGGTGGGAGTGGTGATGATGATGATATGGTGGTATGGCGTAGGTAGTGGTGATGATGATGGTGATGATGATGATAGTAGTGGTGTGGTGGTGGTAGCTGTGTTAATGTCAATATTTTGCCATCACTCCCATTTCTCATATGCCGGGATTGGAAGGAGAGTCACTTGGGCCAGACGAAGTGTGTGCCAAGTGATAAGGCAGTGAGGGGCCTTACTTGAGTCTCTTTGGCATCAGGATAAATACCTCCCACTCTGTGGCCTGGAAACAGTTGAGTATTTAAAAACAGAATTTTATGAGCCATCGGGGCCTTTCCAGAAATGCATCTATATGGATGGGGCCCAGCAGAAATATTCATTCCGGACCCACAGCCTCACCCACTGTATGTATGCTCTCGGCTGGAGAGGGCACGTCCCAGCAAGTGGCACCCTGTCCCAGGGGAGACGCAGCCTCCCGTCTCCCTGCCCCTGTACCGGATGCTTCAGCACTGACTCATCTCGCCTTCTGCAAGGGATCAGTCAGCCATTGCCGCCACCTCAGTGCACTGGAAAATGCCACCAATCACTGTGACATGGCTTCCCCATTGCCTGACCAAGACCAGCCTGGAAGGAGAGGTGCCCCAGAAGTGGAGGAGCTGCTTGTCACTTCTGACCTGGCTGGGAGGCCCACAGAGGGCTTCCTCTCACTGAGCCTCAGTTCCTTTAGCTCCAAAACGGGATAAATAATCCCTTCCTCCAAACACTGGCGAGAATTGAACAAACATTTATGTGGAATGAGAACACAGCACATGGCCCGTGGTGAGGGTTGTAGGGATTGTTGGTGTTTTATTACCGGAGGAGCTGGAGACTTTGAGATTGCCTAGTGCAGTCCGATAGAAATGAAATACAAGCCATATACAAGCCACTCCTTTTAAATTTTCTAGTAGCCACCTTTAAAAACAGCAAAAAGAAACAGGTAACTTCAATTTTAAGGGCCAGTGCAGTGACTCATGCTGGTAGTCCCAGCACTTTAGGCAGCCAAGGTGGGAGGATTGTTTGAGCCTAAAAGTGCAAGACCAGCCTGGGCAACATAGTGAGAACTTGTTTCTATAACAATTAAATTAAATTAAATTAAAAAGTTAGCTGGGCGTGGTGGTGCATGCCTGTAGTCTTGGCTACTCGGGAGGCTGAGGTGGGAGGATCACTTGAGTCCCAGAGGTTGAGGCTTCAGTGAGCTGAGATTGAGCCACTGTGTTCCAGCCTGGGCAACAGAGAGAGACCTTGTCTCAAATTTAAAAAGGAATTAATTTTAATAATATAGTTTATTTAGCCCAATATATCCAAATATTATCATTTCAAAATATAATCAATATAAAAATCATTAATAAGATATTTAGCACTCTTTTTGTAGTAAGTCTTTGAAATCCAGTGTATAGTATATTTTCATAGCATACTCAATTCAGATGTGAATTTTCATTGGAAATACCTGATCCGTGTTTAGATTTTCATTGTATATAAAATTTCATTGGAAATACTTGATCTGTATTTAGATTTCATAAAATTTACAGTTGACAATGTAGGTTCATATACCCAAGTTACTCCAAACAAGTTTTGTAGCAACCTAATTGGGTGTGTCAACTTTTAATTTTTTTTTTTTTTTCTTTTGAGACACAGTCTCACTCTGTCGCCCAGGCTGGAGTGCGGTGGTGCTCACTGCAATCTCCACCTCCCAGGTTCAAGAAATTCTCATGCCTCGGCACTCCCAGGTAGCTGGATTACAGGCGTGCACTACCATACCTGGCTAATTTTTGTATTTTTAGTAGAGACAGCATTTTGCCATGTTGGCCAGGCTGGTCTTGAGCTCCTGGCCTCAAGTGATCCACCCACCTCAGCCTCCCAAAGTGCTGGGATTACAGGCATGAGCCACCGTGTCCAGCCTTAAATTTAATTTTAAATTAATTAAAGTTAAATAATATTAAGAATTCAGTTCCTCAGTCATAGTAGCCAGATTTCAAGTGTTCGGTAGCTGTATGTGGCTGGAGGCCACGGGGCTAGTCCCATACTAGAGGTGGGGAAACTAAGGTTCAGAGAAAGAGCAGGATTTGTCCAGGGGTACATGTAGACTCAGGCACTGGGTTGCAGGCAGTCTGTGCTGAGGTCCTTCCCGGGCCACTGTTCCTGCCTTTCTGAGGACCGCAGGGTGGTCTGACTGGTGCATCTCTTTGGGATAGCGTCATCTTTTCTGGCATCATAGTTGATGCCGCATTAGTCTTTAGAGCAGACATTTCTCCCTTGTGCTGAATCAAAGCCAGCCGCCCCATAATTTTCATGCGCTGGCCACCCTAGAGAACATGGCTGGCCCTGCCTCCAGAACAGCTGCAGAAATCTGCAGACAGGAACCAAGTCCTCTGGGTTGGTCCAGATGTTTCCTTGTTCCTCTAGGACCTCCTCTTCCTGTCCCTCTTCTATCACAATTAGTCAGTGCCTCTTCTTAAAGTACAATACCTATTCCCAAATGGGACATCACCTCCTTCATTCTACATCTGGTGCCTCTGTTAATGCAACCAGAGGGATTACATCAAAGCAGCTCCTTAGTGCTTACCAAGAGCATAGACATTCTTTCTAGATCCTTTGAGGCTTGCAGTCAAGAAGTCCTTTCCAGGCCAGAAACGCTGCCTGCCCCACTCCCTCCATCCTGACCTAGTATGGCCCAGGATTGATTCTCTCTCTTCTCTTTCTCTCTGTGTCTGTCTCTTACTGTCACATTCACACTTGCACACACTCACTCACCCTTGCTGTGCAGTTTCTCTGACAACTGTGGACACAAAGCTGGATTTGCCCTCCCAGGGCAGGGCAGGGCAGATCAGGCCGGAGGATCTCTTTGGGAAGCCCTGTGGGGCAGGGGCAGAGTGGCCTGTCAGAGGGAATGGCCTGGGGACTCCAAGGAAAGTGGGAGAAGGCAGCTGACCTTTCCAGCACAATTCCCTACTGTGAGGAGGCTCCTCCAGCCCAGTCCCTGAGAGAGGAGGGGCCCGTTCAAGGGACATGCCCACAGGAATTGCTCGCAAGTGACGCACAACATCTCAGAGATAGGGAAGAACCTATAAATCCTCTCCTGCCACCTCATGTCATCAGTGGGGACCATGAGCCAGGGGTGGTAAGAGCCCTGGGCATGGAGCCAGAACAGCTGGGATTGATTCAGGGCCTGCAAGGCGCAGCTGGGACCCTGGGCAAAAGTCACTGTATCTTTGGGAACTTGGCTGCCTCAACTGGAAGCGGGTCTCATTGGGGCCTAATGTTCAAGGTCGTTGGGAGGGTGGAACAGCACTTGGCGCTGGAGAGAGCTCAGTGCAGAGAGTTGCTCCCTGTAGGACACCCCTGGATGCCTAACAGTAACCATGACAACAGCAAAGCCAGCAATTGCAGAAGCCGCACCCGCCATCCACCCCTGCACCCAGGCCTCACTGTCAGCACGTTCTTACATCGCCAGGTCGAATCCCTAAGTTCTGTGACACTGTCCCCACTTCACAGCAGAGGATGCTGAGCCTGGGAAATTAGGTCAGGCTCAAGGTCATGTGGGTACTGGGTGGCAGAATCAGTTTCGAACCTGGCCATCTGCCTCCAGAGCCGACAGTCTGACCGCCTTGCGGATCCGCCTCAGTTTCCTCTCTTCTCTCATCTTTCTCTTGCTCTGTCCCTCCTCTCTCTTCAGGGTCCTGAAGGAAAATCAGGGAAGCAAGGCGAGAAGGGCCGCACTGGAGCCAAGGTAGGTGTCCCCTTCTGACTTGATAGGCCTGCGTCCCTCCCCCGCATCCCTTCCCCACATCCCTCCCCTCCCTGGACCCTCCGTCCTGTTGGGCCTGGTGACAGCTTGTCTTTCCTCCTGTTGCAGGGTGCCAAGGGCTATCAAGGACAGCTGGGTGAGATGGGCGTCCCTGGAGACCCTGGACCCCCTGGCACTCCAGGCCCTAAAGGGTCCCGGGGCAGCCTGGGACCAACGGTGAGGACTCTCTGGCTGGGGTGGGGGAGTCAGATGTGGAATAGAGGGAACCAAGGGCAGGAAAGGAGACACCAGGCTTCTCTGTGCTGTTATCACCCACCCCAGCTATTAGCTGAACACCTGGTGCTCATTGCCCCAGCCACCTCTCTGAATCATGAATCGCTTTGGTAACCTGCAGAAAGCTGCAGCCCCGCCTCCGGAACAGTATACACCACACAGAATACTTCCTGCAATTTGAAGGGGTGTGTGGGTCCCCTGAAGCCCTCTATGGACCCAAATTAATAAGCCTTGTTATTAGCATCGGGGGAGAAAGGACCAGATTCTTAGAACTGTTTTTATCAAACAAGGAGATTTCCCACTGGAAATAGATTCAGGAGGAATGGAGTGATGCTGCTGCAGGTCCCTGGATGACTCTGAGGGTGTCCCAGCATTGCTGGGCTGCTCTGAAGGAAGGGGCCCAGAGGGCTTTGATACCTCCAGGAGATGAAGACCCCAGGGGGAAGCCAGGGAAGGAGGCTGAAGAGGGTGACACAGCAGCTCCGATCTGGTTGTGTGTAAGGTTAAGCAACCAGGCTGGTTTGTGGTATTTGCCAGTTTCTGCGGTGTAAATGCTCCCTCCATGTCTGGTTTCAAGCCACTGACATGACGTCACTGAATGCAGAGTGGGGAGGAGTTACACGGCAGCCCTCCCTTAGGCAGTATTTCCACCAACACGCACAGATGCAATAGACCAAAATAACCTCATGAGTGTAGGTAGGAGGAAAATGTAGTAAAATGGCTAGGAGGAGATGAGTTTTGAGTATCCTCTATCTTTGTTTTTAATAACATTAATTTAACTGTAAGTCCATAAAATTGAATTGTTAATAACGGCTCTGTTTCACTGGCTTGTAAAAGTCCTGAAAATTTAGCAATCAGCTGTCTCGAACCCCTGGAGCCAGGAGAAGGAGGGCTGGGGCAGGGGTGGGGAACTCCAGGGAGGAGGGATAATGTTACTGGCTTTCCGCCTTGTTCACACACTTTGGTTATGGGCGGCATGGATGTGCCAGGCTGCTGGGCGGAGCGGGGCTGGAGCCTGCAGGGAGACTGCTGTGTCCCCGCTGTGAGAGCCACACTCCATACCAACGAGGGTCTCCTCCTCTTGTAGGGTGCTCCGGGACGCATGGGGGCCCAAGGAGAACCGGGACTGGCTGGTTATGATGTAAGCAGATATCACCTCACCCCACCCCCCGACTCTGTCCTGCAGGCCTGGAAACACAGGCCCATGCCAGCCTCTGCCCCACCACCTCCCAGCTGAAGGCTGACCCCTGGAATACTGAAGATGTGGGGTCTCACCTGCCCCAGGGAGCGCTGGGCCCAGAGCCGTGGTTGGGGTGGAGGATCATGGATGGGACAGGTGTGGTTGGGGCTGCCAGAGCGAAATGTGCCACCCCAAGCCTTCTTGGGTATTTCCTGCCCAGGGTGGGCGCTCTGCATGCCTTGTCTGCTGTCTGGGGAAGGGACCATTTCTGCATCCAGGTTGGCACCTTCTTAGACATGGCTGAGCCAAACCCATGTTACACATCTGGAGAAACCAGGGCTCAGAGAGATATGGTGCCTACTCAGAAGGGGAAACCAGGGCTCAGGAGGATAAAGAGCATGCACGAGGCCTGACCACTTCAGTTTGGAGGTGGGATCCTAGCCCTGGTCCTTGTGGCTCTAGATCCAGTGTCTGGAAGAAATGCAGCAGGGAAGGGAGGAGGAGGAGAGGAAAAGAGGCGAGACAAGACCTGGAGGGGTGTTGCGAGGAGCCCACAGTGGGTGTCCATACCTGCAGGCCTAGCCAAAGCCTGGGAAGGTCTGTTGAGGCAAGCATTTTGCCCCTGTCCCTGGTTCTGGCTGGGAGAACAAAGCTGGTTCTCCCGAGTCACCCTTCCAGGTCTGCTCCAGGGTGGGGCCCCCAACCATCCCAGCTGGAACACCCCTTTGGGGTGTGTCTGGGACCAGCACGGCACATCTGGAAGGCCAGGGCCCAGACAGGCACAGACTTACTCAGAGCCACACAGCCAGCTGGGGCAGAGCTGGGACCCAGTTTTGCAGCCCAGTATCCCCATCTTGGAGTCCATGTCCTTTGTCCTTCCTGAGTCCTCATTCTCACTTCCCTCCTTCTTGTTTGCCTGCAGGGACACAAAGGCATTGTGGGACCCCTTGGACCTCCTGGACCAAAAGGCGAAAAGGTGGGTGTTTGCTCTGGGGAAAGCAGCTGCACCCTCGTGTCTGAGGCTGAGGTCAGCTTCAGGGCCAGCAGGAGAAAGCCCCTGGGGTACCCATGGCTGGAGAAGCCTGTGGGGGCTCACCCCCTGCAGCAGCCGAGGCTGGTGTCACTGCCACTGTGCCCAGCCCGCAGGAGCTGTCAGATCCACATTCAGCACTATGTGCTGGGTATCATCTTTGTACCCAGCGCTGGAACGAAAACATGCAATCCCTGCCCTCACGGGGCTTATAGTCAAGAAGCAGAAATGGACATCAATCTTGTAATGACTAAAACTGCGACTCCATCATCTGTGTGGACATGGGAATTGAAGTCTTGCCCATGAATAAGATCACCCAGTGAAGAGTGGGGAGAGGATGCTGAGCAGGAGAGGCTTGGGACAGAGAGCAAGGAACCCCAGTGGTTAGTGGTCAAGGAAGGAGCCACCAAGGCAGAGGGGAAGGCATGTTCATTCCCCACGCCTTGGCTCAAGATTCAGTAGAGGAGAGGAATTGCTGGAAGGATCCTCGCTGATCCCTGGACCCTGCCCCCCCATGCCAGTGGGGATGTGGAGGGCCAGGAGTGCCAGAAGGTCCAAGGTGTTGGTGTGGTGTCACGTCCAAGGCAATCCCAAACTGGCCCCAGAACCCACGTGTCTAAGTCCTACCTTCGTCGCCTGAGTCCCTCCTGTCTTTCCTCCTCCTCCCCTCCCCTGCTGGCTCAGCTGGAACGCTTCGCTTGCCCCCTGCCTCCCCAGCACGCCTTTCTTTTGCTGAGTCAGCTCCCCACTAACTAAATCCTGCTGTTGGTGACTCACGCTGGCCCGGCGTGCTGCCCAGCCGACCCCTTCCTCCTGCTGGAGGAGGACAGCTCAGCCATGGTAGACGGCCACCCGCCCCAGCCGATTCCACAGGAAGCCACAGAAGGTGCCACTCAGTACCCCGGGTCCCTCCTGGGCCCTCGCAGCCTGCCAGGGCTGGCACAGAAGGGGTTAACACAGACTCTGAAACAAGGAGGCCCTGGTGTGCCCCAAGGCCTCTGCGCCGGAGCATCTGCAGCTCTAGAAGCAGTCTCTGTGGCTGCTGAGAATGGGACCCTAACACCAAATCTGCCCTAAGGCTGCAGGGGCCTTGTGGGGGTCCCCAGGATTCCCTGAGCCTTGAGTGCCTCATCAAGTGGTGGGGTCCTTGGGAATGAGAGGTCAAGGTGGGGGCAGAACATGTTCATCAGCCAGATGCCTTTTCTCACTTAGAAGGCATTATTAGATTCGTTCATTCCTCCAGCTCTCCAACAGGTACTTATGGAGGATTTAGTGTGTTCCAGGCCCTGAGCTAGAGGATGGAAATGATGCCCTTAGAGGTCTCAAAAATAGGGCGAGTCCCATGAATGAACAGCCACCCCGCAAGCTGGACGGTGCTAGGGAGGAGAGAGCAGCTTCCTGGGGTGACCCATTGAGCACACGCCCACGTGCAGAGTTCTTTCCCTGCCATTCCTCCTGTAATCTTCACCACAGCCCCAGTGCAGAGGTACCATTGTTCTACAAGACAGGCGGGGAAACTGAGTCCCCATAAGGCTCAGAGACTAGCCCAGGATCTGTAGTAAGAGGGTGGCAGGGCCAGGATTTAGACCCCATCTGTCCGATGCCAGACCCTGCTTCCCTAACCAAAAGCAGACCCAAGATAAGGAAGCCATATGCAATTTAACTTGAACCGCCCATCCCTGCTCACCGTGGGGGTGAGCTCACTACAAAGCTGGTGGCCAGAGAGAGGGGATGAGACTCTGGGACTTGGACAGGGCAGGGAAGTATCCTACCAGATTTCTGGTGCTAAAAAATGATATACCTAATGCTAAATGACGAGTTAATGGGTGCAGCACAGCAACATGGCACATGTATACATATGTAACAAACCTGCACGTTGTGCACATGTACCCTAAAACTTAAAGTATAATAATAATAGAATTAAAAAAAAATGCATCCCCAGACTACAGTCACATTGCGGGGGATCAGTATAGCTGGCTTTGGGCCGAGATTGCCCCCTGATTCCTGAGTGGCCTTGGCTAAGACCTTCCTTCCTCTCAGTTTCCCATCTTTAAGTGTGGACAGTAGTCCCAGCGGCATAGTTACTGTGCAGATCGGATGAAACAAACCTCACAGAGTGCCTGGCACATGGAACACGCTAGGTAGACACAGGCAGGCCCCTTCCCCAAAGCCGTCAAGTCCAGCTGCCTCTATCCACAGTGGGACTTGAGCACTGGATCCAAGAACCATAGAGAGTGGGCAGGGTCAAGAAGGAATCCCCGCTCCTTGGGCCACCCCTCTAGACCTCAGGCCAAGTCCCTGCCAGCCTTCAGCCTCCACCCACCAGAACCACAGAGGCCCAGGCTGGTGGCTGATCACCACCAGCCTTTAGAACTGCCTCCCACCAGGGATGTGTCCCAGCCCCAGGGACGCTTTGCCTCTGTCCAGCCTCTTCCGGCCCCCTTTCAATCCCTATGAACAAAGGGGCTCAGGGGTGCCTGGCTTGAGCCCTGTGCCCAGGGGAGTGACACCAGTTTCTGGGGCTGGAGTCTTCTGAGCCCTGAGATTCTGCCATTTGCCGTTCCGCTTACACCTTCCTTGTAGTTGAAAGGTGGCGTCTACACCTGTCCTGTGGGTGGACCAGGGCCTGGGGTGGCCATGGCATAAGGACCTCACCTCTAAACTCTGTTCCGCCCCCCCCACCCCAGTCTCTGGCCATGTCTATATGACACAGTCTCACTGCTGCTATTGTTACCGGCTACGGCAATTTTAACGCCATCTGCTGAGCCCCTGCCACGTGTGCAGCAGCCTGCTGAGTGCTTCCTGTGCCTTTCCTCACCGAGTCCCCTGAACAGCACCGGGAGGCGCTCCAGTCCCGCTCTGCACATAGGAACCTGTCTTATGGACACAGCCCCCATGCTGACTGGCTGCCAAGTGCCACCTGGGGCTACCATGGAGGGTAGGAGGTTCATCCTAAAGCTGGTTCCTCCCAGCAAGGATCGGAGACAGGGACTCTCGGGTTGAGGGTGAAAACTCTGAGCAGGTCCCATCATCTCTCCGAGCCTCATCTGTGAATTGGGATAATAATCGCATCTGCTTCACAGCACTGCACTGCGGATGTCATGAGTCTGCCTGTGACTGGCCCAGAGCAGTGCCCATGCGTGCCAGCTGCTGGAGTTGGTGTTACTCCCTGCCGGGCGTCGCGCATCATTCCACGGAGTCCTCACCACTCCTTGATGGGCATCACATGCTGTCCCCTTCACCCCACCCCACTCCGCTCTGTTCTCCTATTCCCCAGCAGAGGAGAGAGCTCCGAGACAGGAAGGGAAGTGTTGCAGGCCACACGGCTGGTCCTTTGCAAGCCGGGATGTGAATCCAGCTGTCTGAGCTCCCTGACTTCCTGCAGGATCCTACAGCTCAAGGGCGTCTGGAGGGCACAAAGCACTGTTCTGTGTTCCACAGTCCTGGTTCCACACCAGCCTGAGTCTGGCTCAGACACACCTACCCTTCCCTCTCTAGTTTGTGTCCCCATCTGTAACCCTAAGCAGGCTAGAATTCATCTCTGACGAAGCGCTTTCCGTCTGGAATTCCCCACATTCCCCAGGAGCAGGCGGTTTGCCCTAAAGCTGGTTCTGTGTCCACAGGGGGAGCAGGGCGAGGACGGCAAGGCTGAGGGGCCCCCTGGGCCACCTGGAGATCGGGTAAGCCCCCTCCCTCCCCTGGACCATGTGGCGTCCTAGGTGGAATCTGAGCCTCCCGCTGCATGGAGAGGGGTGGGCCGATCAGGGGCCAGGTCCCTGAGAGCTCCGCAGAGGTCGCGGCCAACAGGGCCCAGGGCTGGCATCCTTGGCACCTGGTGGCCCAAATTTTGCTGTTGTCTTTGTCATTCAGGGCCCTGTGGGTGATCGAGGAGACCGCGGGGAACCGGGAGACCCTGGGTACCCTGTAAGTATCAGAGCTCCTACCTGCTGGCAGGATCGGGCATGTCAGGGAGAGGGGGGATGACACATGTCTAGAAAGAACAAGAACTTCCCAGGCTTCTGTGCTGCCTCCCAGCCCTCTGCAGGATGGGCCCCCCTCACCTGTCTCTCTTTGGCTTCCAGGGACAGGAGGGTGTGCAAGGCCTCCGTGGAAAGCCAGGCCAGCAGGGCCAACCCGTGAGTGGTGCTTCGTGTCCCATCCCTGCCTCCCACCCTGAGTGGGGCGGAGCAGTGGGAATTAAAGAACTAGGCCCTTTAAAGCTTAAAGGGACCCTCCCTGCAGGAGGGTCTGGGGCAGCCATTTCTGTTTCTCCTGCCCTGACCCTGGGGATGCCCCCAGAACCTGCACCCCCAAACCCCTCCCCACCCCTCCCCCTCCAGGCGGAGACTGGCCACCCTCCCCGGGAGAGAATCCTGGGGCTGCCTTGCGTCATCTCACCTTGGTTTGCAGGGGCATCCGGGACCCCGGGGGTGGCCGGGACCCAAAGGATCGAAAGGCGCAGAGGTAAGAGGGCCGGGGGTTCAGCAGGGAGACTGAGTCCCAGGAAGGGGGAAGCCTGACCCACAGTCACACAGCAAACCAAACGCAGGCTGCAGAGGCTGCGAGGCAGGGTAGGGAGGGGCGGCCCACCAGGAGCCCGGCAGGCTGCTTCTGGCCATGACCCCATCTCCCTTCAAATAGCCTGAGTGAGGAGGGACAATCAGCCCCATTTCACTGGGGCTCCAGGAGGGGAGCCAACTGCCTGAGGCCAACCAGAGTGACTTGAACCCAGGGCTCACCACACTGTAGAGAGAAAACTGGGAGAAGTCAATTGAGGGGGTCTGGAGGAAGAGGAGGCAGAGACAGGGTGCTTGAGCAGGAGCCACTTCCTGCCTCTGCCCCAGGGCCCCTGCCTTCCCCCAGCCCCCAGACTGGGCCAGTGCTCTCTTAATGCTCTTTCCCTCCCCCGGGTGCGCCCCCCTCACCTGCCTGCCTCGGTGATACCTAGTCTCTAAAAGATCCAGTGGAACTGTGGCCTCTGGCTCCTCCCAGAAAATTGTCAATGCCAGTGAGGGGACACCAAGGCCCAGAGCAGGCTCAGTGACAGCCCCAGGAGGTTCCAAGGCCAGCTCTGGCCCCAGGCTTCCAGGCCAGAGTGCTTGGGTACATCTGTGGCATCAGATGTTCACCCAGGGGCCCACAATCCTCTCAGTCCCTCCTTCCAGAGCCCCTAGGGTCCCACACCTCTACCAGGCAGCCTCCATCATGTGGCCCTTGATTTTTCAGGGACCAAAGGGAAAGCAAGGCAAGGCAGGGGCCCCAGGCCGGAGGGGGGTCCAGGTGAGTGACTACAGCTGCTGTTTCCAGCCAACCTCCCTGCCCGCCCCCCACACCCGCCCTCCTCCCACTCCCTGCACCAAATGCCCTCACCAGCTTTTTATGTACCCCCCAGGGCCTGCAGGGGCTGCCAGGGCCCCGGGGCGTGGTGGGGAGACAGGGCCTCGAGGGCATCGCTGGACCAGATGGGCTTCCTGGCAGGGACGGGCAAGCAGGACAGCAGGTGAGCGGGAATTGGCATTAACAGATGGTGGCTCCATTTGGGACCAGGTGTAGGGGAACTTCCCCAGGCCATGGGCCAGAGGAGCCCGTTTGGAAACTTGGATGGGCAGAACCAACACATCCAGAAGTTCTCTGGGGTGGGCAACCATCTCCTCCCCTGGCACCTGGGAGTGTGGACCTTCTGACTGTCTCTCCTGGATGCCAGCACCCAGAAAGACCTTCCTTTCCTCCCCTGCCTGGTGGATAGGGTTCCTCTCCCGCCCCTTCCTCACTCAGAATCCCGCCCTTCCCCACTCACAATCCTCAGCTCCTCCTGTCCTCCTGGTCCAGCCACATCACACACAGGCCGTCTGACCTCCATCCTGGAGTGTGACCCCTTCCTCCAGCTTCACCCAGGGTTTGCCCAGGCGTTGAGCCATCTGCTTCCTTGGCTGTATCGTGAAACACAAGAGACCCTCCTCTGCCTGCTTTCTTAACAGGGGGAGCAGGGAGACGATGGGGACCCTGGCCCCATGGGCCCTGCTGGGAAGAGAGGAAATCCAGGTGTGGCCGGCTTACCTGGAGCACAGGGACCCCCAGGATTCAAGGTCAGATACCTCTTAATACACTTACCCACCCTCTGCCCTTTCTGCCTTGATGCAGACTCTAGTGGTTCCGACCCTTTGGGCACCCATGTCCCAGGGCCTGTGTGAAAATGGAGTCCACATTGTTGACCTTTCTCCGTCAGCAGTGCTTGGGGGTCCTGCCCCAAGCTTGAACCAGAATGATAGTTCATCTGGGGAGCTGTAAATATCGCCCCTACCAGGCCCTTGAAACCTTCAACTGGTTTTTGAGTTGTCCACGGGCGCCCTCTCGTGGACATTTGTGGAACAACACGTTGCTTGCAGCCGGGATCCCCAAGGCATCCTTAGAAAGCTTCCCAGTGCCGCGTGGGAGGAGGGGGCCCCCATGAATCCGTCAGAGCCAAGGGCTGGACACTGAAGGGGAGATGTAGATGAATGACTCAGATGTGGTTCTTGCCCTCTCTGAGCTCGAGGTTTAATTGGGGGAAAGATTGGAACCCTCTGAGACACAGGAGGCGGAGGGAGCGATGGCCTTGACCCAGGGAAGATGTGAATGAGAATAGAAGGGGAAAAGGTGGCCACACAGTGGCTCACACCTGTAATCCCAGCATTTTGGAGGCTGAGGCTGGCGAATCACTTGAGGTCAGGAGTTCGAGACCAGCCCGGCCAACATGGGGAAACCCCGTCTCTACTAAAAATACAAAAATTAGCTGGGCATGGTGGCAGGCACCTGTAGTCCCAGCCACTCGGGAGGCCGAGGCAGGAGAATCGCTTGAATTGGGGAGGCAGAGGTTGCAGTGAGTTGAGATCGCACCACTGCACTCCAGCCTGGGCGGCAGAGCGAGACTCTGTCTAAAAAAATAAAAATAAATAAATAAATGGGGAGGAGGCATTCTACGAGTGTGAGCTGAGGTTTGAAGGAGGGAACTGCATGCTGTTGGGGAAAAGCAATAAGGAGGAGAGGAATTGTGGGAGAGGAGAGGGGAAGGCAGGGCCCGGAATGCGAGAGGAGAGACAGAGACCTTCCTCTTTGGGAGGTGAAAGTCTTGTCACCCCTACCCCACCAGGCCTCCATTTGTTGCCCCAGCATTCTGCAATCTCGGGTACCCTGTGGAATCACTGTTCTGGCTCTCCCAGGCCCCCTCCGCCTCCTCCTGCCTTAGAACCCCTTCCCACTTTGACTGGTAATTTTTTGTGTGTTTCTTTAAGGGTGAGAGTGGGTTACCCGGACAGCTGGGTCCCCCTGGCAAGCGAGGAACAGAGGGCAGAACGGGGCTCCCTGGAAACCAGGGGGAGCCTGGGTCCAAAGGCCAGCCGGTGAGTGAGCGCCAAAGAATACACATGCCCACGCACTCACACATGCACACACTCACATACACCTACATGTACAAACACATGCACACTCATACACACACACAAACACACTGACCCAGAAGCCACCTCCTTGCTCTGTGACAAGGTATAAAATCTGGGTACCAGATACCATTCTGCCACCCCTCAACCAGGTGGTGGGGGAGGCTGAGGAAAGAGACCTGAGTGGTTCCTTCAGAATGAGGAGAGGGTGATCACAACCAGAAGGTGGGCGCTCCTGACTCCCAGTCCAGTGCTCATTCTGTGCCTCACTGCCTTCATCCCCCTGTCCCAGAGGCTGCATTCAACTCACCCTTGCCTGGAAAAAGAAGGAAGAATGAACAGAGAATAAACAGGGCAAATAGAAAACACACAACAAACAGTTTCAATACCCCAATTAAAGCTGAGATTGTCAGAGTGGATGAAAAAGCAAGACCCAACTACATCTGCTGCTACAAGAAATCCACTTCAAATATAAAGATATAAGTAGGTTAAAGATAGATATAGAAAAAGACATACTGTGCTAACATTCATCCCAAACAGCTGGAGTAGCTATTTTAATATCAGATGAAATGAATTTCAGAGCAAAGACTACTAACAGTCATAAAGAAGGTATTTTCATAATGACAAAGAAGCCAACTTTTCAAAATAGCATAAGAATCATAAATGTTTATGCACCTAAAAATAGATCTTCAAAATAATCAGGCAAAGACTGATAAAGCTACAAGGAGAAATAGACAAATTCACAATTATACTCAAGGATTTCAATATATTTCTCTCCTAATGGGTAGAACAGAAGCAAACAGAAGATCAGTAAGGATGTCTTGAACTGCATTATCAACCAACATGACCTAATTGACATTTATAGAACACCACATCCAATATCAGCAAGATACACATTCGTTATAAGTTCATTCAGAACATTTACCAAGACAGACACTATTTTGAGCCTTAAAATCAATCAATAAATTAAATTATAAATCAATAACAGAGAGATCTGAAAGATCTCCAAACATCTGGAAACTAAGTAACAAATGTCTAAATGACCCATGGGTCAAAGAAGAGACCAAAAGAGATGTTAGTATTTTGAATTGAATGAAAGTAAAAAACAGCATATAAAAATTGGTGAAATGCTGTTGATATATAGGGAGATCTTTATAGTAATAACTTCTGTGTTAGAAAAGAAGACAGGTCTCAAATAAATGGTCTCGGATTCCGTCTTAAGAAACTGGGGGTTGGGGCTGGAGAAGGCAAATTTAAAACAAAGTGAGCAGAGGGAAGGAAATAATGAAAATCAAAAATAAACCAAAAAAAAAAAAAGGAAAATCAAAAGTTAGCTTTTTGAGATCTGTAAAACTGATAAACCTCTTGCCAGACTAATCAGGAAACAACAAAAACAACAAAAAGGATACAGAAGTTACTAGTATCAGGGATAGGGGAGCAATGTCACTACAGATATGACAGAAATTAAAAGGCTAATAAGGGAATATTATAAATGATTTTATGACAATAAATTTAAAGACTTAGATGAAATGGACAAATTCCTTGAAAGACAAAACTACCAAAGGTCATCAAGAAGAGACTGATAACCTAAATAGCCTTATATCTATTAAAGAAATTGAATCTGTAGTTAGAGCTTCCCACAAAGGAAACTCTGGGCCCAGATGGCTTCACTGGTAAATGCTACTAAACATTTACAAAAGAAATAATAACGGCTGGGCGCGGTGGCTTACGCCTGTAATCCCAACACTTTGGGAGGCCGAGGTGGGTGGATCACGAGGTCAAGAGTTTGAGACCAGCCTGGCCAAAATGGTGAAACCCCATCTCTACTAACAATACAAAAAAAAAAAAAAAATTAGCCAGGCGTGGTGGCGCACACCTGTAATCCCAGCTACTCAGGAGGCTGAGGCAGGAGAATCGCTTGAACCTGGGAGGCGGAGGTTGCAGTGAGCCAAGATCGTGCCATTGCACTCCAGCCTGGGCGACAGGGAGAGACTCTGTCTCAAAAAAAAAAAAAAAAAAAAAAGAAGGAATACCAATTCTACATAACTTTTCCAGAACATTGAAGAGGAGAAGAATAATTCCCAACTCTTTCCTTGAGGCTGATTCTACCCTGATGTCAAAGCCACACCAAGATATTACAAGAAAAGGAAACAATACACCAATATGCTTCATAAATATAGCTACCACAGTTCTCAATAAAATTTTAGTTAGAGGAACCTAAGAATATATAATAAGGATAATACATCAAGACCAAGTGGAGTTTATCTTAGGAACACAAGGATGGTATAACATTTGAAAATAAATCAGTATAATTCACTATATTAACAGACTCAAAAAAGAAAACCCATTTGATCATCTCAGTAGTTGCAGGAAAAGCATTTGAGAAAAATCTAACTCCACTTCTGATAAACTCTCAACAAACTAGGTATAGAAGTTCCTCAACTTGATAAAGGACATCCATGAAAAACCTAGTCAACATCATACTTAGTAGTGATTGACTGAATGCTTTTTTCCAAGGAGCAGAGCAGAAACAAGTCAAGGATATCTGTTCTCACCACTTCTATTCAACATTGTACTGGCAATTCTAGCCAGTGCAATAAGGCAAGAAAAACAAATAGGAGGTATTCATATCAAAAAGGAAGAATTAAAACTTTTCATTTGTAGAGGAAATAATGTCTATGTAGAAGATCCATTGGCATCCACAAGAAAGCTACTAGAATAAGTGAGTTTAACAAGGTCACAAGACACCATATCAATATGCACAAATGAATTGTGATTGTATATACTAGGCAATATGCATAAATGAATTGCATTTCTATACACTAATCAATGAGCACAAATGAATTGCATTTCTATACACTAATCAATGTGCACAAATGAATTGCATTTCTATACACTAGCAACAAACAATTAGAAATGGAAATCTAAAAAGCAATACTACTTATAATAGCATAAAAACATGAAATACTTAGAGATACATCTGACATTAAGTGTGCAACATATGTACACTGAGAACTATAGAACACTGGTAAGAGAAATTGAGGAAGACTTAAATAAATGGAGATATATACTGTGTGCATATTTCAAAAGACTCAATATTAAGATGTCAAATTTCTTCAAATTGGTGTATTGATTCAACACAATTCCAATGTAAAGCTTATCGGGTTTTCATGTAGAAAATGACAAGTTGGTCCTAATATACATATGAAATATAAAGGACTTAGAATAACTAAAACAACATTGAAAGAGAAGAGCAAAGTTGGCAGACTAATGGCACTTGATTTCAAGACTTATTACAAATCTGCAGTCATCACGAAACTGTGGTATTGCCGTAAATAACTAACAGATCAAAGGAACAGAATGAAAGGTCCAGACATATACCATACATATACGGACAACTGGTTTTTTTTTGTTTTTTTGTTTTTTTTGAGATGGAGTTTCACTCTTGTTGCCCAGGCTGGAGTGCAATGGTGCAATCTCAGCTCACCGCAACCTCCGCCTCCAGGATTCAAGTGATTCTCCTGCTTCAGCCTCCCCAGTAGCTGGGATGCACCACGATGCCCGGCTAATTTTGTATTTTTAGTAGAGATGGGGTTTCTCTATGTTGGTCAGGCTGGTCTTGAATTCCCAACCTCAGGTGATCCACCACCTCGGCCTCCCAAAGTGCTGGGATTACAGGCATCAGCCACCACACCCGGCCTGGACAACTGATTTTTAACAAAAGTGCAAAGACGATTCAGCAAATACAAAATAGTCTTTCCTAACAAATGGTGCCAGACAAGTGATGCCTCATAACATGTACAAAAATTAGCTCAACCTGGATCATACACCTAAATGTAAAACTGAAAATTAAAACACTTCTAGAACATAGAAGGACATCTTCAAGAACTTGGATAAGACAAAGATTTCTTAGATATGGTACCAAAAGCATGACCCAGAAAAGAAAATGTGATAAATCAGACTTCATCAACATTTAAAACTTTTGCTCTTCAAAGGACACTATTAAGAGAATGAAAAGACAAGCCACATACTGGAAGAAAATATTTCTAAATCATGTATCTGATTAAGGATTTGTATCCGGAACCTAAAAAGAACTCGCAAAACTCAATAATAAAAATAAGCAGCCCAATTTTTTTAAATGGGCAGAAGATTTGAATAGACACTTCAAAGAAAGTATACTGATAGCAAATAAGCACATGAGAAAAAGATTAATATCATTAGTCATTAGACAAATGCTCATTCAAACCACAATAAGATGCTATGGCATACCTATTAAAATAGTGAAGAGTTTTAAAAGACTAACCATACCAAGTGTTGGCAAAGACATGGGGAAACTGAAACTTTCAAATGCTGATAATGGGAATTTAAAGTGGTACAATCACTATGGAATCAGTTGGGCAGCTTCTTTGAAAGTTAAGCATATCCCTATTGTATAATCAAATCATTCCACTCATAGATATTTACCCTACATAAATAAGGACATTCAGCCACATGAAGACTATACTTGAAGGTGCTTAGCAGCTTTATTTATAATAGCCCCAAATTGAAAAAAACCTCAAATGTGTATCAGCCGGTGAATAGATAAAGTGTGGTATATTTTGCAATGAAATACAATTCATCAGTAAATGGATTGAACTATTAATATATGCAACAACATAAGATGATTCTCAAAATAATTAGGCTGAGTGAAAGAACTCAGATAAAAAATAGTATAGACTGTGTGATTTCATTTATATAAAATTATAGAAAATGCAAACTAATCTGCATTGAAAGAAGATAGATCAATGGCTCCTGGAGATGGGAGGGTAGGCAGGAAAGAAAGATTACAAAAGGGTGTGAGGAAAGTTTCTGGGGCTATGGGATGTTATTGTCTTGGTTGTTGTGACAATTACAAGGGTGAATACAGACAGATATGTCAAAACAAATCAGATTATACAATTTAAATAGTATAGTTATTATCTTCAGTTTTACTTTAGTAAGACTGTTTTTAAAATTACCCCTTCTTTGCACCTGATGGGTGTATAGGAGACAGCCATCAGAGTGCAAAAATGAACAGTTAGGACATCACGCAACTGGTTCTGTGAAGCCAGTATTATCCTGATACCCCAACCAGAAAAAGATGTCACAAGAAAGAAATCAACAGACAAATATGCCTTATGAATACAGATACAAAAATCTTTAATAAAATATTAGAAAACCAAATTCAGCAATATGCCTAAAGGAGTCTACACCATGACAAAGTGAGATTTATCCTAGAAATGCAAAGCTGGTTCAACTGTTGGAAATCAATCAATGTAATACACCATATTAATAAAATAAAGGACAAACATTATAGAGTCATCTCAATAGATGCAGAAAAAGCATTTGACGAAATCCAACACCCTTTCGTGATGAAAACACAACAAACTAGGAACAGAAGGGAACATCCTCAACCTGATAGAGAATATCTGTGAAAATCCCACAGGTATCATCATATTTAATGGTAGAGGACTGAACACTTCCCCCAAGATCAGGAGCAAGCCAAGGATGTCCACTGTTACCACTTCTATTCAATATTATACTGAACAAAATTAGTAGAACTAATAAACCAAAGTTGCAGGATATAAGATCAATATACAAAAAATGTCATTTCTATATATAACATACAAACATCAATTATATGTCTATACACTAGCAATGAACAATTCAAAAATGAAATTAATAAGACATTTCCATTTATAATAGCATCAAAGAGAATAAAATAGGAAGAAATCTAACAAAAGAAGTGCAAGAAGCTGGGCATGGTGGCATGTGCCTATAGTCCTAGCTACTCAGGAGGCTGAAATGGGAGAATCTCTTGAGCCCAGGAGTTCAAGTCCAGCCTGGGCAACATCTCAAGACCCCATCTTAAAAAAAAAAAAAAAAGTACAAGATATGTTCAGTGAAAATTTCAAAATGTTGATGAAATAAAAGAAAACCTAAATAAATGGAAAGACATCTCATATTCATAGGTCAGAAGACTTTGTGTGGTTAAGATGGCTATACTTACCACAAACAGAGCTACAGATTAAATATAATCCCTATCAAAATCCAAGCTGACTTTTTAACGAAATCTGACAAATTGATCCTAAAATTCATATGGAAATGCAAGTGGCCCAGAATAGCCAAAATTTTGATCTTTAAAGAAGATCAAAGTTGGACAACTCACACTTCCCAATTTCAAAACTTATTACAAAAGTATAGTAATCAAGACAGAAATAAAACCTTACATTTATGTCTGTTGTTTTTAGCAAGAGTGCTAGGGCAATTGAATGGGAAAAGAATTTTTTTTCAATAAACAGTGCTGAGACAATCACACAATCACATATCACGTACCAGAGAAGTAATTTGGACCTCTGCTTCACACCACATGCAAAAATTAGCTAAAAATGAAGTATAGACCAATGTAAAGGCTAAAACTGTACAACTGTTAGAAAACATAAAAACACATTTTTATAACCTTGTGTTAGGTAATAGTTTCTTAGATATGACACCAACAAAAGCGAAGTACATAGATTGGACTTCATCAAAATCAAACACTTTTGTGCTTCCAAAGGCACCATCAAGAAAGTGAAAAAACTCACAGTAGGGGAGAAAGTATTTACGAATCATATCTCTGATAAGGAACATGTATCTCTAATATATAAAGAACCCTTACAACTCAAGAATAAAAAGACAATCCAAATTTAAAACGGACAAAGTATTCAAGTAGACATTTTTTCCAAAGGAGATACACAAATATCCAATAAGCATTGATAAGACAAATGAAAACCACCAAGAGAACCACCAATAGCTCAATAAAGCTATTATCTTTTAAAAATGAACAGGTAGAATTTAGATTAAATGGGACCCTCCCGAAGCCTGACCCCTCAGCCTACCTCCATCAGCACTGGGTCTTGACCTGCCTGGTCTCATTGCATCCTTCCAGCCCCTTGGGAGGGAGATGACGTATTATCCTATTTTACAGATGAGGAAACTGAGGCTCAGTAAAGGGAGGTGACTTGCTCCTGGTCTTATAATATAAGGCTAGGAGATTCTAATACATGGCTTTCTGCTTATGAGCTTGAAGGCCAAGCCCCAAGAATGTGTAATAATGGCAGGCTCTTCTGCCTCCAGGGGCCCCCAGCCCTCCCTTCTTGGCTCAGACCCCAGCATGCCCCCTTGCCAATTGCTCTCCTAACCCTTTACAAGATTGGGAGCAGAGGTCAGGAAAGGAGGCCAAAGGTTCCTGGAATCGTTCACACTGGGTTTGAATCTAGCACAGTCCACAACATGGTGTCTGCGTGACTTTTAGCAAGTTCCTGCCCTCTCTGAGCCTGTTTCCTCATCTGTAAACAGGGGATATGGTGTGTCCCTGGGTTGATGTGGGAGCATGGAAGTGTGGCGGTCCAGGCAAAACATCCGGCACCTAACAGGCCCTCAGTGAACTGGGTTATTTTTAGTTTTTAGGGGAATCCTTCCTTAACAGAGCTTTTCAGAGCTGTGGGAGGAGGCTGCAGGCCCTTTTATTCTGTCCCTTGAAGACCTGGGACAGGAGCTCCTGAGTGTGGCAGAGCCTCCTCTGTGGAATCCCTGAGCCGGGCTCCTCTTTCTCATCTGACGGAGAGCACAGGCTCCCCTCAGAGCCCAGGCGGACTGGCATCTAGTTTGTGAGCTGTTCACACTCACTTGGTCGCTTCACAGAGGAGTCACTGATATCCCTGGAAAGGCTGGGAGGGAAAAGGCAGGCCCTGAGGTCCCAGGTGGCTGGCGGGACACGCTGACCATGAGCTCACTCGCTCCATCACTTCCTGTTCTTCCTGCAGGGCGACTCTGGCGAGATGGGCTTCCCAGGAATGGCAGGTCTCTTCGGACCCAAGGTATGGACTCCCACGGCTCACTGTTCCTGTGGGGTCCCATCCATTCACCCCATTCATTCATTTATTCATTCAACAAATATTTATGGAGCACTGAAAACATTGGCTGGAAAACAGCCAGAATCAGGCATGAACACCCTCATCCCCCAGTACTCCAGAAGATCTAGGTTCCAAGCCCAGCTACACAATTACCTGCTCTGTGCCTTGCAAAGTCACTTAGTCTCTCTAAGCCTTGGTTTCCTCATCTGTAAAATGGGAGCAATGACAGTAGAAGACTGTTGCAAAAATAAAGACCAGGGGCATATGCCACACAGCACTGAGCCAACACACTGCTGGTACCTGCTGAATAATTGTAGGTGTTTCTTACTCCTTCTGGGGCCTCTCAGGTAAGGCCTCTCTTGACAAGAAGGGCAAAGGTTGACAGACCCCAGGGGTGAGGGAGCTGTGGGGGCCCTTTACCCAGTGGCTGCCAAGTACAGACAGCCCTTTCTCTGCCTCCCACAGGGCCCGCCTGGAGACATTGGCTTCAAAGGCATCCAGGGCCCTCGGGGGCCACCTGGCTTGATGGTGAGTTCCCTCCCTGCTGTCGGAGCAGAGATGATTGTCCTAGGCCCAAGGTTGGCCAGCCATCAGCTGGCCTGTCTTCATCCTCCTCTTGCTCCTTGACTCATGAGCCCTTTCTGCCCACAGGCCTGGTTCCCACCTTCACTCCTGCCGTTCCCACCAGCTCAGCCCCCATCCTTCCCCGCTTTCACTCTTGCCCCCATCGCCCCACTCTTGAAGTCCACCCCTAGGCACAAATGAGGGGCTCAGGAGATGCATGGCCTGGGCCCGCTTCAGATGGTCTCCCTTCTACTCCCTTGCGACGCTCGGGCTGCCCTCCACCCCGCTCCCCGTGTCTGTTCCCCAGGCCCTGGAACAAGGACACATGAGCCTTTCTGTCTCCTTTAGGGAAAGGAAGGCATCGTCGGGCCCCTCGGAATCCTGGGACCTTCGGGACTCCCGGTATGTGTGGGGATTGGACAGGAAGACTCCGGGGTCCCCTTGCCTTCCTGGCTCCAGATTGTCTCTGTGACTCAGTGCCAGTCTGAGCCTCAGTTTCCTCATCTGGAAATGGGGCTTCACCTCTGGGCCCTGTCTCACTGGGCCGTGGTTTGTTGCAGGGTCCGAAGGGTGACAAAGGCAGCCGTGGGGACTGGGTAAGTGGATGGGCTGGGGCTGAGGGATGCAGCACTGCAGGGGCGGGGGAGGGGTGGGCTCCCAGAGTTGGGCCATGGCTCAGCCAGGTTCCCTAACTCTCTCCCCTGCTTCTGTCTCCCTCCAGGGATTGCAAGGTCCGAGGGTGAGTGGGCTGGGCATGAGGGCTGTGGGGCGGGGCGTGGGGCGGGCACCCTGCATTCTCCTCCCGGTGGTACATTCTCTCCCTCCGGACCTCCGTCATCCCGTCTGTGCCAGAGGAACCATTGTCCCTGGGTCCCAGGTCTGCTTGAGGAGGGACTGGGTTGGGGAGAGATGAAGACCCTGTGGACCAGGGCTCACTCTTCTTCTCTTGTTCCCCCAGGGTCCTCCCGGCCCCAGAGGGCGGCCCGGCCCCCCGGTAGGTAACTGAGTGCTGGGTGCATCTTGGACTCCTGGGGGGTTCCTTTGAAGGAGATTCAAGGCTTCACCGGCAGACTAAGCCTTGACCCTGAACCCCACAGGGGTTCTTGTAGCCCACAGACTCCTAGGAGAGTATAGGGCATCCCCCGAACATTCACTTTTGCCTACGTGGGGTAACACCTAGGGGCCAGGCCTCCAGAAAAGCATAGACCAGCCCACTGGGGCCCACCAAGCCTCCGGGAAAGCAGAGGCCAGCTTGGCAGGTCCTGCATGCTTTGATGGTCTCCCTGGTCTCCTGACACCCTCTCAGATTCCAGCACACTGTCCCTGTCATTTGACTGACCCGCAGTCTTCTTTTGCAGGGTCCTCCAGGGGGTCCTATCCAATTGGTAAGTTGGAAACCTTCTCTTTTGCCTACTTGGGGTAAGGCCTGAGGGGTTTGGGGGAAGAGGCTGCTGGCCCTCTCTGGCCCTGGTGGCTAGAGCCCTAAGCTGGGTCTAGGGACGCCCATGTCCTTTTGTCACTTCATACTGGAGACTTGGACCCGGAAGCAACAGAACGAGCCCTGGGCCAGGAGGCAGGAAACCTAAGTTTTTGAGTTGCCTCTGACTGAATCCGGGAAGATGCTCCAGCCACCGGGTTCATGGCCCTATCTGTGTACTCCATACACGTGGGCTGATTGCAAGGGTCTGTACATCTCAGATTCTGAATCCAAAGAGAGTTGGGGCCGGGCGCAGTGGCTCATGCCTGTAATCCCAGCACTTTGGGAGTTCGAGGCGAGCAGATCACCTGAGGTCAGGAGTTCGAGACCAACCTGACCAACATGGTGAAACCCTGTCTCTACTAAAAATACTTAAGTAGTTGGGTGTGGTGGGTGGCACCTGTAATCCCAGCTACAGGAGAGGTTGAACCCGGGAGGAGGAGGCTGCAGTGAGCCAAGATCGAGCCACTGCACTCCAGCCTGGGAAACAGACCAAGACTCTGTCTCAAAAAGAAACAAAAAAAACAAAAAAAAAAAAAAACAAAGAGAGTCGGGCCAGGGGGGCAGATTGGGGCCCCTGCATTCTTCCCTATTGGCCACTGTGGCCCTATCTGAGAGCATGACTCCTCCCAAGCCCTATGACGAGTCCATCCACATTGTACTATTGCACGGTGGCTACACGACTATTACCATCAGGCCCCAACAGCATCCCAGGGCACAGCCTCGAGGAAAGACTGAATGGGCCAGGAGCCCTTGAGCCATGCGTCATTCAGAACCTCTGCTCTCCTCATGCCTGCTCTCACTGCCACTCCCTCTGCACCATCCTCAAAGACAGAGTGACAGCCCTGGCCTCTCCTCTGCAGCCTTCCCTTGTCCTTCTCATCAGTAAGAAAGGCAGGGAAAGGAAAGTGAAAAGATCCAGGAAAAACAGAAAATTAGAGGATTTTGCATTTTTTTGAATAATCACTACTAATGCTAATTGAGTGCTTGCTCAATGCCAGACACCATTACAGGTGCTTTGCTTTTCTTTTTTTTTCTTTTCTTTTTTTTTTTTTTGAGACACAGTCTTGCTCTGTCTCCCAGGCTGGAGTGCAGTGGCACGATCTCATCTCACTGCAACCTCCTCCTCCCAGGTTCAAGCAATTCTCCTGCCTCAGCCTCCTGAATAGCTGGGATTATAGGCGCGAACCACCACGCACAGCTAATTTTTGTATTTTTAGTAGAGATGGGTTTTCACCATGTTGGCCAGGCTGGTTTTGAACTCCTGACCTCAAGCCATACACCCGCCTCGGCCTCCCAAAGTGCTGGGATTACAGGGGTGAGCCACCGTGGCCGGGCTACAGGTGCTTTTCATGTATTCACTCATGTGTTCCTTTCAGCAGTTCTTGTGAGGAAGTTTTATTATCAGGTCCATTTTCAAGATGAAAGAACTGAGAAAGAGTTAAGCAGCTTTCCCCAGATTATGCAGTTAGTAAGTGGCAGGTCTGGAATTTGACCCTGAGGAGTAGCCCCAGAGTCCCCCGTTCTGGACCCCAGGCCTCAGCTTTTGCTGTTTTCATGGCAAGACCACGGCTATGTCTCTGCCAAGCCCAGTGGTAGGGTTGGGAGTGCAAAGTTATATTAGACTATTAAAGTGCGAGCCAAAGGAGAAACACGGGGACTGGGGGCATAGAGAAAGGGGGCCTCCCTCATCTTAGCCTGGAGTCAGAAGCTTCGGGAGAGGCTTCCCATCACAACTGACATCTATAGGATGAGTCTAGGGCAGGTTTTCTGAGACACAGTGCAACTGACATTTGCATAATTCTTTGCTGTGAGTGACTGTCCTGGAGGATGTTTAGCAGAATTCCTGGCCTCTAACCACCAGATACAAGTAGTACCCCCTCCCCCGGCTTGAACAACTAAACTGTCTCCAGATATTGCCAAATATCCCCTGGGGGGCATTGTCGCCTCTCCTTGAGAACCACTGGTATAGGAGATAGCCAGATGGTGCATTGAAGGGAGGGAGAGGTCCTCCAGGCAATGAGAACAGCATGTGCAAAGGCCCCATGGCCAGATGGATCATGGCGTTTAGGAACTTAGAAGTACTATAGTGCGGCTGGTGCCAGAGCACATATGAGGGAGAGGAAGGAGACATGGCTCAAGACCACAGTGTTCAAACTGGGTCTTATAACCATGTTGAGGAGTCTGAACTTAATCCTGAGGGCCATGGGGAGCTATTAGTACCTGGGGAAAGGGAATGGCAGGGTCAGCTTTGACTGTCTGCAAAGAGAGGAAGGACCGAGAGTTCTGCAGAGGGCATATGACTTGGCCAAGATCCTGCCAGGGAATGTGGCCCTGGGGCTCCCACTTGATGGGTGTGGAGAACCCTGGGGGGCCACGATACATACCCTGTCTTTTCCTTGCCCAGCAACAAGATGATCTTGGGGCAGCTTTCCAGACGTGGATGGACACCAGTGGAGCACTCAGGCCAGAGGTATCTCCAGGGGCTCTCCCCATGTGGGATCCCTTCCTGGGAGAAACGCAAATAGATAATGGCCCACATGTGGTCAGTGCCTTCCATGTGGCCTGCATGGAGCATTTCAGAGTCCTGGTCTTGGTGGCATCTCGCATCCACAAATGGGGGTTTGTACTGAAACTCAGAATGGGCAGTGAGTCCAAGGTCCCATGGCCAGTGCAGGCAGAGCAAGGCCAGAAACAGGCCCTGAACCCTTGAGCTTTCTCCGGAGGCCTCTCAGAGTCTCCAAGCTCTTGCTGGCTGGAGTCAGGGGGAGAAGCTTGCCTGGGCCCAGAGCCCGCAGCAGCTTCCCAGTGCTCATCCCCACGTTTCTTCAGGAGTAAGAAGCTCATGGTTAGCTCGTGGGGCTCTGCTAAGAACCTGCCCTGTGGTTAACTCAGCTGTAAGACTCCAGGCTGAGAAGGGAGTCCCATGTCCTCTAGTCCAGCCTCGGTCAGGAGCCCCCTTTGCAGCCTTGCCTCCTTCACATGACAGGGAACTTACTGCCCCCAGCTCAAACCTCCTATGAACATTTCGGTTTGTTCCCTGTGCTGGATGCTGAGACAGATGGATGGCCAGTCACAGCCTTGACTTTCAGAGGGCTCACAGTCTAGGGTGGAGGACAGCATGGATGAGCCCCTTACCATCTGTCCGGGGAGGTCAGTGGAAAGAGAGGGGAACACTCAGGATCCAGTGCGGCTGGAGAAGGGAAGCGTTTCCTTCCATCCCTAGAAGCCAGTGATGCCGCACAGGAGAGCGCTGACCTGCAACATCCTTAACATGATGAAGGAAAGTGGCTCCGTTTATCAAGCACCTCCTACCCACTCTGCATTGGCGGTAGAATAGAGGCTTATTTCTCGTGCACGTAAAAGTTAATTGGCTTGTTGATGAGAGACCTTGGCTACCTGCCAGGGGCTCTGCCCTCTTCCTCTCCCACACGTGGCTCCCAAGGTCACTCCACACCAGGGGGAGGCACCACCGGGGAAAGAGAGTGTAGAGAATTGTGCAGGAGGGTCTCTGGGCCAGGCCTCTATGGGGCTAGCATCGCTCCACTTCCATCCCGTTGGCTAGAGCACAAATAAGGCTGAAGATGTAGTCTGTCCAGGCAGAAGAAATGGATTGGGTGAGCGGCTGCTGGTCTCTGACACACGTTCACACATGCGTGCACACACACACGTGACCTCCGCCACCCCCAGTGGAAGGAGGGTTTATTTAGCTCTGATTTGTAGCTCTGGAAGCTGAGGCTTAAGGGAGAATTCTGGCCAGGGTAACCCTGAATGGCCGGCTGTTTAGCATCTGTGGTCCCCTCCTGCCCCCTAGTGGAGATCTGCTCCTTCTCTGAGCTGAAGTCCTCCTCCCAGCACTTGTGCCTGCTGGCCCCAGTCCCGTCTCCTGGTGCCTCACAGAGACCCTGGCTCCCACCCTAGGGGAGCCCAGTGGGGGCTGTGTGACCCCCAAGTCAGCTCCCCCCAGCACCTCCCCTTCCTCCACAGGCTCTTTGCAGATAGAGATTGGGCCGCTGCCGAGTGTCCCACGCACCCTCGCCTACCTCATTCACGGGGCTCTGCCTGTCCCATATCAGAGAACATGGTCTGACCCTGAGCTCTTTTCAAGCCTCTGAGCCATTGTGATAGCCTCTCCTCCTGCACTTTGTCCCTGGCCCGTTTTCTTGTCTGCAAAATAAAGAGAAACCCAACCCGTGCTCTAGCCATGACCGTGGAACCGAGATACCTCCCAGGTTGTGAGAACTGGGGGCTGTGGAGGCTTGAACCCCAGGCTGGACCAGGACCCTAAGGTCCCAATGACCACCCTCTCCTCGTGACAGAGTTACAGCTATCCAGACCGGCTGGTGCTGGACCAGGGAGGAGAGATCTTTAAAACCTTACACTACCTCAGCAACCTCATCCAGAGCATTAAGACGCCCCTGGGCACCAAAGAGAACCCCGCCCGGGTCTGCAGGGACCTCATGGACTGTGAGCAGAAGATGGTGGATGGTGAGAAGGCTTCCTGCCGGGGGTGGGTGCGCCTGGCGGTGGGGAGCTGGGGCAGGTGGAGTATTTGATTTCCGCCGCATTTTGGCTGAGTTTTTGTCCTCAGCAAGACAGATACACTGGCAGTCATTTATTCACTCAGCAGTCACAGAGCCTCACAATATACCAAGATCCGCATGCTGGGGATGACCATTTCAGTGCAAAGAGACAAGAGCTCTGGCAGAAAAAGCTCCTGAGGCTGTAAGAGTCCCCACCCCTGGGGCCCATCCTGTCACAGGCTCCCGGGTGAGCCAGGATTTTCCCCCTTTCTGAGCATGAGGACTCTGCTCTCTCATCTGTGAGCTGATGTGGTGCTGTGAAGGACAAGCTGCGGAGCCAGACAGACCTGAGTTCCAATGTCAGTTCTGCCTCAGACTTGGTCTGTGAGCTGGGGCAAGCCACGGCCCCATCCCGAGCTGCCCTTGCCTCCTCTGCACAAGCGGCTGGGACTAGATGGCTGGTTGTTCCACTCTTGAGCTGCAAAGGTTTTGGCTTCCTGAGAAGCCCAGTGGGGAAGCTAGATGTAAGCAGCAGCGCTGGCTGATGGGGTGGGAGACCTGACTCCTACCCTCCCCCGGCAGGCCCTAGGAGGAGCCCTAGGCCTCGAAGAATCCATTCAACTAGGTGATCCCCCAAACCCTTGTGCAAGTGACCCAGCCTCTCTCAATGTCAGTTGTCTTCTCTGTAAAATGGATACATCCCAGTAGCAACATAGGCAAGTACTTAGCCATGTGACCCCTCCTCTGGGGGCTCTGCCAGTTGTGAGCTCTGCCCAGAAGGTTTCCTTCCATCTCGGTTGGAGGAATCCCTTTTCTGCTCACCCACCCTGACTTCATGCTCACCTGGGGCTCGGCAGGTCACAAGATGCAGGGTCCATCTACAGAACCAAGGAATGGGCTCATCCCCCAGATACATACATCACCTCCATCCCACGCTGCCTGCAGGTACCTACTGGGTGGATCCAAACCTTGGCTGCTCCTCTGACACCATCGAGGTCTCCTGCAACTTCACTCATGGTGGACAGACGTGTCTCAAGCCCATCACGGCCTCCAAGGTACCCATCAGCTCCCACACTGCCCACCAGGCTGTCTGCCTCTATCCCCAGCCTGCCCTGGGCCACAACCAACCCAGGTTCTGTTCTGAGCTGTGCCTGTCTTACTGCATGCCCTTGGGAAAGTTATCGCCTCCTTCCGAGACTCAGTTTCCTTATCTATAAATTGGGAGTGAGTAGGACTAATTTGTAACCACAAACCCTTTCGAGTCATATGATGCTGATGATTCTTTCTTCAAATAGAATCTTCTGCCTAATATCTAAAGCAGAGCAGTTGGCCAAGCTGGCCTGGCTTGTGGAACTATGAATCATCAGCATGAAATAAAAGAGAAAACTAGCATGATGCTCATCTGAAGCATGTTGTGTGAATTATGTATGCGAATACTTAACTCATGTTCAATGCCTGCGTACCACGTGCCTGTTTCTGGGTTGAGCATTTTAGGTGGTACAGGGCCACTCAACAACAAACCAAGGCAGGTGGCAGCATGAGACCTGACAGCTCCCTCGCCCAGGGATCCTCAGTGGATTGTGGGTCTGTAGTTCCACTAAGCCTTCCGAATTTGGGGGCAATTTATGCCACAGTGAGAAGCTGCTCCGACTGCGGGGGAAAGGAACCCTCCCATTTCATCAGCCACATCCCCTAGGAGATGCCTTGTGCTGACTGGGTCAGACTGGCAGTTTGAGAATCTCTAGGAGAGGCAGCCAGCCAGTAGCCAGGTCTTTGTTGGGTCCCTATCATGTGCCAGGCCCTGAGCCAGGACGGGGAGGTCAGACTCGAAACTCCCCTGCGGCCAGAGCTCACAGTCCAGCAGGGACTTGGTGACCTCCACAGGCTCTCTTCCCTGGTGACTCGAAGGTTTTGGGATCACGCAGCAAACCTGCCTAGCAGAGGGGTGAGGCTGGAGTTGGCGCCTGGGTTGGTGGCATGAATGCCCAACTGGGTCACCTTCTCCATCAGAAACAATGGCAGGGAGAGGCCCTGGCTCTGTGTGGGAAAGTGCTGAAGCCACAAATCCTGCCGTGTTGTTTGCTCTCAGGTCTGCCATTTCCGGCAGCACCCCATCGCACCTCACAGGGATCTTGGGACTTAGGAAGGGTCTCGAAAACACCTCTCATTTCCTCTGCATTCCATGAGCCTCTTAGTCTTGGGCAAAACCCTCTCCCTCGCTGAGCTCCTGGATCCTAGCTCAGCCCAAAGACCCCCCATACAGTAAGGGAGTGGATCAGATGGCACCAAGATCTTTGAAGCTCTGGCTCTGGAGTCAGGCAGGCCCTTCCCACTTACGCAGCCAAGAACCTGTAAGACCAGCTCACGCAGACCTCAGTTTCCCCGTCTATCAAGTGGGCACATGTCTGGGAGCATATCAGGAAATGCTTGCCAGGAAGGGGCCTATCCCTGTTCCCTCCATAGAGAGGCAGGGAACCCTCGGTGTGGGGGGTGTGGGGGGCAGCCTGAGCCGCTCACTGCCGTTGCTTCTCTATAGGTCGAGTTTGCCATCAGCCGGGTCCAGATGAATTTCCTGCACCTGCTAAGCTCCGAGGTGACCCAGCACATCACCATCCACTGCCTTAACATGACCGTGTGGCAGGAGGGCACTGGGCAGACCCCAGCCAAGCAGGCCGTACGCTTCCGGGCCTGGAATGGACAGATTTTTGAAGCTGGGGGTCAGTTCCGGCCCGAGGTGTCCATGGATGGCTGCAAGGTAACTCTCAGAGCCCCTCCTAGGCCCTTCATGTGGGGACAACTGGAAAAACACTTGTTTGGAAAAATGTGTTTCTATTATAAGATTATATCTAACATTTTAATAGTATACTATATTAATGTGATAGATATGATTTCATCTTTGTGTAATATAACAGTTTTCTAAAATCGTTTTTACTCACTTTCCTCTCTGGGAAGCTATGAGGGGAGGTCTGGGCTGGTAAAAATTCTTTGGGCTAGTAGATGTTGTACTTACTTGCAAGGCTCTTTCAAAGAAGATACATTTCTTCTTCCTGCTCCCACCCTAGTCAGGCTAATTTCTTCTCATTATATTTTTTGGTCATTTTCAAATGTCCTGAACAGGGTGGGTTGTCAGGGGAGGGGAAGACAGAAAGTTGAGAAAAGGCAAAAATCAGTTTTATAAGACTAAACAAAACTAATAATACTACACAGTGTTCATGAGGATGTGGGGAAACCAACAATCTCGCATGAAGCTGTTGGAAGAAAATAAATTGGTAGAGGCTTTCTGGATAGCAGCTCTAATATATATCCAAAACCTTAGAAATGTACTTATTTTCAGGGGAGCTAAGCTATGAAGACACAAAGGCATAAGAATGGTACAACGGAATTTGAGGACTTAGGGAAAAGGGTGGGAGAGGGGTGAGAGGTAAAAGACTACACATTGGGTACCGTGTACACTAAAGAACTTATTCATGTACCCAAACCCCACCTGTTCCCCAAAAACTTATTGAAAAAATAAATTAAAAAATATATATATATGTATATGAGATGTACTTGTTTTTTGGTCTAGCAATCTAGAACAATCCTTCTAGAATTTGTTCTAGGGAAATAAGAATGCACACAAAGGTTTAGTTACAGTGATGTTCATGACAGCATTCCTTACAAGAATAAAAAGAGTGGAAGCAATCTAAATGTGCCATATAGGTCATTGCTACAATGAAATACAGTATAGCCATTAAAAATTGTGAGGAAAGATGGAAGGGAAAATGCTCATGATGTATGATAAGAATCACGATGGATGTACGTGTGCACTTTTCCTTCTGCCTTCAGGTCCAAGATGGCCGCTGGCATCAGACACTCTTCACCTTCCGGACCCAAGACCCCCAACAGCTGCCCATCATCAGTGTGGACAACCTCCCTCCTGCCTCATCAGGGAAGCAGTACCGCCTGGAAGTTGGACCTGCGTGCTTCCTCTGACCTCTGACCTCGTGGCCACTCTAGGCCTCACGGAGGAGGGAAGAGGAAGAGGCAAGGGGAGGGTACTGAGGGGCAGATGGCTCCAGGAGAGGCAGCTCCCCTGCCCAAGGGTCCTTGGGCAGACCCCAGCTGTTGTCTGCCCAGTAGAAGTGGGTGGGGGTAGGAGGGGATAGGGTGTCCTTGGGAACAATGGATCCCAGCTTAGCCCCAAAGACCAACCAAAGAGCCAGCCAGAGTAAGCTGGACCTGCAACCTGCCTGAGCCCCGTGGCCTCTCAGCTCTGCGGCCACCCCGTTCCCTCCCCAGCTTCCTGCCCAAAGAGCCCCACATTCAAGCCAACTTGAGGGAAGGGGGCGTCTCGTCAGCTGGTCCCTGCTAGGGAGCTATTGATGTGCAATATTAGAAAGGAGACATGAAAAAAGGAGAAAAGGAAAGACAGAAGTGTATATATATATTATTTAAACAAACAAAAAGAAGGTGCGTTACTATTTTTTTTTCACCCGGGAAAGAGGTGAGAGGATGGGAAGGAGCAGCCAGGCGTGGGAAGCGGCGAGATCCTCGGGCTGGGGGTGCCCACGTTTGCTACCTCCCACTGTGAAATCGCTGGTGCTCACAATTGTCTCTCACAGTGTATGTGATTTTTTTAAGGAAAAAAAAAAATCCCTATTTAAGATTCTGAAGGTGCTACCATTATTTTGCCACAGACTTTGAAGAAACTTTTGGATGTGGGGCATCATCCGCATCTTTCTCTCTCCTCCAAATGACAAAGTTTGGGGAATTTTTGAATTTTCCTAGCATCGCCCTTGTGCTCATCAGGTAATCTGCTAAGGAGGAAAAAAGAAAAGAAAAAAGGAAAAAAAAAAAAAAAAAGCAAAACAAAAACAAAAACAAAAACCCTACCAGAAACCAGAAGTAGAGAGATTTACCATATAACTTATGGACTTTGAAATGTCTGTCCTTTTAAGGCAGCAGGGAGGCCTGGGTGCGAAGCATGTTGGCTTGGCCCTTCACGGTCCTGGAGGGAGGTGAGGCTGGCCTTGGAAGGCGTGCCCTGGAGAGGTCTTGGGTGAAAACTTGACCTTGAAGAAACCAATCACAAAAGCGGCGTTGGGTCAGGGCTAGGCTTAGAGGTGAAGCATCAACATGGAACCATCTCAGGAAGCCGCATCGCCTCTTCCGAGGTCCTCACTTCCAGGAGCCTGTCCTTGCAAGATGCAATCATCGTTCCTGCTTTTTCATTGTCATTAAATTCTGTAGAAACCCATTGTCATTAGCTCCAAGTGTAAATTTGGGTCAAGGAGACAGAATAATAATGGGAATCTCGGAGTTCGACACCATAGTGACGTTCAGCGTCCTCTGAATTGTGCTACATCAGCGAACAAGTCGGCGCTTGAATTGGATTTTGAGGTTATTTTAACCATGGAATTATTTTTATAGAAGGGGAAAATGTATGTGAAAGTCTCTATTTGTGTATTTCTCTCCTAAAGTTGTGTCTCTTTGGGAATTGGATTTGATTTTTATTATTTAATACCTCACTTTGGCCCGTCCCCCCTCCCAACACTTCTGTATCCTCGCCCTGCCGCCCCAGCCTGGACGCTCTGCGTGGAAGTGCGTGTTTGTAGCAGCTCGGGCCTCATCTCAGCGCTCGGATCCCTCCTGCTGCCAGAATCCACTGGCCTCTGTCTCATTCTTGGGTTTTCCTGCTGTCTTCGTTTACGTCTCTGTCCACATGTCAGTGTATTAAAACCCCAATGGGTTCCGTTTCTCCTTTTCCCCTCTGGATTTTAAATAAATATTTAAAACTGAGGCAATGGAATGACACGCCTGTGGTCCCGTGCTGCTTCTCAAAGCTCAGGGGGGCAGTTTCTGGCTGGGCTGGGATAGGGAGTGGGAGGAGATGCTCAGAGGATGTCCTCCTTACGCTGTAACAAATACCACAAACTTGGTGGCTGCAAACAACACAGAACCGTCTCTCTCGCAGTTCTGGAGGCCAGAAGTTCACACAGGCAGTGTTGGCAGGGCCACACTCCCTCCAAAGCCTCAAGGGGAGGATCTTTCCTTGCCTCTTCCCGCTCCTGGTAGCCCCAGTCATTCCTTGGCTTGCAGCTGCAGCACTTCGGTCTGTGTCCCTGTGGTGACACGTGTTCTGATGTGTCTCTCTGCTCCATCTTCTCTTTATGAGGACCCCAGTCATATTGGATTAGAGCCCACACTCATGACCCCACCTTAACTTACTTTCATCTGCAAAGGCCTTATCTCCAAATGAGGTCACATTCACTGGTGCAGGGGGTTAGGACATATCTTTTGGGGGGACACGATTCAACTCCTAACACACAGGGAGGAGGTACACTGAGGTTAACATGAGCAATTTGTTTTTATTATTATTGTGGTTAATTACACATAACATAAAATTTGCCACTGGTGATAGTACATTCAGAATGGTGTGCAACGTTACCATGATCTAATTTCGTATTATTTTCATCACCCCTAAAGGAAACCTGTACCCATTTTAGCAGTCCCACCCTCCCCCAACCCCTGGAAAATCACCAGCCTGCTTTCTGTGTCCACGGCTCTGCCTACTCCAGACATTTTATATTACATTGGTGCCAAAGTAATTGCGGTTTTTGTCATTACTTCTAAATGGCAAAAACCGCAATTACTTTGGCACCGACCTAATACAAGTGGAATCATACAGTATGTGGCCTTTTGTGACCCCGGCCTCTTTCACTCAGCGTGATGTTTTCAAGATTCATCTGTGTCGTAACGTGTATCAGTACTTCATTCTTTTTATGGTTGAATGTACTCCATTGCATGGATAAACCACATTTTGTTTACCTACTCATAAGCTGATGGATATTTGAGCCAAACTGGTGGACATTTGGGCTGTTTCTACCTTTGGCTATTGTGAATAATGCTTCAAAAGGAGTGATCCCTGCCTGTCACATTCTTGAGAGAAGTCACAATAGTACCTGCCACGGAAGAAGTGAGTGGGTGTGAGTCTGGGAGATGGCGTTGCCAGACTTAAAAAATAAAACTATAGGATGCCCAGATCAATTTGAATTTCAGATAAACAATAGCTATTTTTTAGTACAAGTATGCTCCATGCAATTTTGAGGAAATGCTTATGCTAGAAATCTTTTTATTTGTTATTTATCTGAAATTTATACGTATCTGAGTATCCTGGCCTGGAGCCCACATTTCCTGACCCTTGTTTCAGATCTCTTTCTTCCTCAGCTTATTCCTCCTTCCCTGGGACAATGAATAATCAGAACTTTTCTGCCATTCTCATTGAGGAGAAAGAGCACATCACTAACAGTTGAGTTTATACCCAGGATTTTATATTTTAAAAACTTGCAGCCGGGCGCGGTGGCTCACGCCTGTAATCCCAGCACTTTGGGAGGCCGAGGTGGGCGGATCACGAGGTCAGGAGATCGAGACCATCCTGGCTAACACAGTGAAACCCCGCCTCTACTAAAAATAGAAAAAAAATTAGCTGGGTGTGGTGGCGGGTGCCTGTAGTCCCAGCTACCCAGGAGGCTGAGGCAGGAGAATGGTGTGAACCTGGGAGGCGGAGCTTGCAGTGAGCTGAGATGGCGCCACTGCACTCCATATTAAGGGATTTATTATATGAAATTGGCTCATGCAATGATGGAAGCTGACAAATCTTAAGATTGGCTGCTGGCAGCTTTGAGACCCAGGAAAACCCAACGGTTCAGTTCAAGTCCAAAGGCAGGGAAAAAACCTGTCCCAGCTTGAAGGCAGTCAGGCAGAAGGAATTCGCTCGTACTCAGCCTGTTTGTTCTATTCAGGCCTTCAACTGATTGGATGAAGCCCAGCCACATTGGGGAGGGCCATCTGCTTTACTCAGTCTCCCATGGGATTACCCAAATGTTAATCCCATCCAAAAACACCTTCACAGACACACCCAGAATAGTGTTTGGCCAAATATCTGGGCACCCTGTGGCCCAGTCAAGGTGATACATAAAATTAACCATCACACTCCTCAAGCTGAGGTTGAAAGAGAAGGAATAGAAGTGAGCCAGATGGGGAAGGGCACTTGGGGTAGAGGGAACAGTGCCTGCCAAGGCCCAGAGGTAAAGGTAGCACTTTGCATTTGGGAACGGTAAGTGTTCCCATGTGGGGCTGCAGGAAAGGGTGAGGAAGCCTGCGGTATGGAGCTGGGAACATGACAAGTCACAGGTTTGCACAGATGAGCAGAGGTCTGAGTTGGCAAGTTGGGTTTGACTGCCATGGGGCCCTGGAGCAGAGCCATCCAGGAGGCAGCTGCCTGCGCTGCGAGGAAAGGAGAGAGGTCTGCACTGCACTCAGAGCTCTGGAGGCATCAGCAGTTTCTGCTAGGCCTGGAAGACATGGGTAGAGATTGAAAAAGCCAGCCAGAAGGGCCAGAGGGGGAAAGCAAGAAGAGCCATGTTAGAACTGTGACACTCACGACTCTCGGCCTGGTCTCCAATCCCAGGTGGGCCAGTGAGGATGCTGGAGCTGGGCCAGCTCATTCCCAGCAGGGGCAGATAGGAGGTTGTTGGGGACAGAAGGAAACTTTTCCTAAACTGGCAGTACCCACAGTTCCCAATCTCCTGTTGCACAACTGAGTGTCAGGAAACAGTCAGGTGGACTTCCCAGGCTGGGCCAACTCCAGGGGAAAGCCCAGGCCAGCCTGTTTGCCCTGTTCACAATGAATCAAACCCTAGCTATGGTCACAACCCATAATGGCCGGCAGCCCAGGATTGGAAAAATGAGGAAAAGAAGAGCGAGAAAAAGAGAGGCTGGCAGGCAGATTCCAGTTCCTGACTGGGACATGGCCCTGGGTAGGTCATTCTTTCTCTCTAGGCCTCAGTTTCTCTCTCTGCAAAATGGGGCCGATATGCTCTGCCTTTCTTGCCAGCCACAGAAAGGACTATTGTTCAATAATAGTAGAGTGAACGGTATGAAATAGAATAATATCCAATGCTTTTGGACCTGCAAAACCCAGTTTCATATGGTTCAACCCAAGAATAGCACCATTCAGAAGAATAATGGCTACAATTTCTTGTGCATGGACGGCACACCAGGTGGCATGCTCGGTGCGATCTCATGCGCATGTGCATGTGATCCCACATTTTCATCTCATACACAATCTCGTGGGACACATGTTGTAACCCTGGCTTTTCAGATGAGGAAACTGAAGTTCAAAGAGGTTTCTTAAGTTGCCCAAGATCACAAAACAGGATTTGAACTTGAGAAAATCTTTTTGGGTCTTTCCTCAGCCCAGTCACAGAGTTCCCCATGAGGACAATTTGCTCAGCCTATGTATTCTCATGTGGAAGCAGGTCACAGGTTGGTCTTACACAGACCTTGGCTCTGGCCTTGATGAAGAAGGGTGGAATGTGACTTTTTCAGGAAATGAAGTGTTTCAAACAGGTGCATTTCCCTGATGACTTCCAGCTCACCTGCTGTGTGACGTTTCCCACACTGCCTCGCCTCTCTGGGCCACTTTTTTCCTCATCTATATAATGGGGGGAATGTCTTATTTTCTTGAGCCTAGGATAGACACGTTTTCATGTTTTGATATCTTTAAAAGAGAGATGTAGCTTGCAATCACTGAAGTACATATGCAATGCAGAAATTTTTCTTCCCTCCTCACCCCAGCTTGTCTGGGGGATGGTTAAACTGACAGCGATAGTTATTATAATCAGAAGACCCTTAGGAGCAAATTTATTTTATTTAACAAGCATTTTATGGGTGTGGTAGCTCATGCCTGTAAACCCAGCACTTTGGGAGGCTGAAGTGGGAGGATCACTTGAGCCCGGGAGTTCGAGACCAGCCTGGGCAACATAGTGAGACCTCCCATCCCTACCAAAAAATTTTAAGAACTTTAAAAAACCAAGCATTACAACTATGTACCAATTTAATCTTCATAACAACCCAATGAAGTAGGTACCACTATTATTCTCATTTTACAGGTAGAGATACTGAGGCACAGAGAAGTTCACCAACTTGCGCTTCACCACCAGCCTGTACTGCCTGCCCTGAGGCCTTTTCTCTCTCTTTTGTTCCTGCCTAACTTCTTTTGACATCCTGCCAGGGCCAGATGGAGGATAGGGCCAGACGAGCTAGAAGGACTACTTAAAGCCTCAGTCTTTAGAGGCATTCATGCATACCTGAAATGTTAGGAGACAGAGAAAATTGTACTGTGGTAGGGTAGGTGCCAGATGAGCTTGGAGGAATTACTTGGATAGTCTAAGGTGGAGAGTGAGACCCCCAAGCGGCAGCCTGAGGGACAGTGAGGACACTGAAGACCACTTACTCCTGCCAAGGAGAGGCACTCGGAAGCGCCTCTGTACTGCATTCACAGTGCACAGCTCCGCTTTGAATGGTGGTAGCTCTCCTTATTCACCCTTCCCCTACACAGGCTGCGCCTGGGATCTCTACACTCGAGCAGACGGAGACCCCAGACCCCATTGGCCTAAGTGCCTGAACGTTATAAATCAAAAGTATTTTAAATGAAGCTGACATGTTTACATTTAAGTTTTAGAAATTTAATTAATTATCCCAGCACTTTGGGAGGCTGAGGCGGGTGGATCACAAGGTCAGGAGATCGAGACCATCCTGGCTAACCCGGTGAAACCCTGTCTCTACTAAAAAAATACAAAAAAATATTAGCCGGGCATGGTGGCGGGCGCCTGTATTCCCAGCTACTCAGGAGGCTGAGGCAGGAGAATGGCGTGAACCCAGGAGGTGGAGCTTGCAGTGAGCTGAGATTGTGCCACTGCACTCCAGCCTGGGCAACAGAGCGAGACTCTGTCTCGAAAAAAAAAAAAAAAGAAATTTAATTAATTAATTAAATCATGTCCAAAAGATTTGTACAACTGAAAATTATTCACGAGGCTAGCATGCAGCCTCTACATGCCCATGTCAAGAACCAGATTCAATTGTCCTGATGCAGTGACTCACAACTGTAATCCCAGCACTTTGGGAGGTCGAGGCAGGCAGATCATTTGAGGTCAGGAGTTTGAGACGAGCCTGGCCAACATGATGAAACCCCGTCTGTACTAAAAATACAAAAATTAGCCAGGTGTGGTGGCAGGCGCCTGTAATCCCAGTTATTCAGGAGGCTGAGGCCGGAGAATTTCTTGAACCTGGGAGATGGAGGTTGCAGTAAGCCAAGATTGTGCCACTGCACTCCAACCTGGGTGACAGAGCCAGACTCTGTCTCAAGAAAATAAAGAGAAAAAGAACTAGATTCAGGCTGTATGTGGGCACCATCTACAGACATCAGACACACACATTTAGGAGTAATAATGATGCAATATTGCCAAATGTTTCTCAGCAACCATGTGCAACTGTTGCATGTACTGTTTATTTCTAACTCAGGAGGATCTCTCTAACCACACATTGCAAGAAAATAGACTTTCAGTGTTTCTGGCAAAACAAAGAGTTTTTTTGTTGGCATTTATGCTGAAAGGGAAGAGTTAAAATGTTAATTTGTCTTTTTTCTTACCTCCAAGTTCACTCAAATCCTCTCTTGAAGCAGTGTCTGTCTCCTATGTCTGCGGTGGCATCATCCACGAAGTATCAGGACATTTGACCTGTTGTTTTCAGAGTCGAGTGCCACATGTAGAGATTGTTTCCTGGGGCCTAAACAGTGTTGGTTGTGAAAGAGAATAATCAGTGATGTGGGTCCCACTGTGCCAGTACCAGGCACCAGATCCCAAAGGACAGAGGTGCTTATCTGTTATTTAATAAACTGTTGTGTGTGGGTGGGTGTGTGGGTGGGTGTGATATGTGGGGCTCTCTAAATCCCTGGGCCCCAATAGTCCAGGTCTAATGGTGGTGCTGTCCCCAACAATGCTCAGCTTCTCCTCAAAATACATGGTATCTGGGCTGGGCACGGTGGCTTACACCTGAAATCCCAGCACTTTGGAAGGCCGAGGCGGGTGGATCACTTGAGGTCAGGAGTTCAAGATCAGCCTGGCCAACATGGCGAAACCCTGTCCGTACCAAAAATACAAAAGAAATTAGCCAGGTGTGGTAGTGACACCTGTAATCCCAGCTACTAGGGAGGCTGGATAGGAGAATTGCTGGAACTCGGGAGGCGGAGGCTGCAGTGAACTGAGATCGTGCCACTGCACTCCAGCCTGGGCGACAGAGTGAAACCTTGTCTCAGATAGATAGATAGATAGATGATAGATAGATAGATAGATAGATAGATAGATAGATAGATGATAGATAGATGATAGATAGATTAGATAGATAGATAGATAGATAGATAGATAGAGATAGATGATAGATGATAGGTAGGTAGATAGATGATAGATAGATAGATAGATAGATAGATAGGTAGATAGATGATAGATAGATAGATGTTAGATAGATGAATGGTATCTGGAGTCTGTCCCCATCATCTCACCCCTGGACCACTGCATCAGCTCCAGCTGGTTTCTCAGGTTTAATCTCCTTCCCTAGCCCTCCCCATTCTTCCCATTCAGACAGAGCGATCTTTCTGAAGAACCAATCTGGTTATGCCTTTCCAACCCCTTTGAAATCTTTCCATTTCTCTCCTACACCTCCTAAGTCTAGCGAACCCCTCAGCCTGGCTTCCATGCCCTGCAGGCTCCATCTCCTGCCAACCTCTTCAACATAAAGTCTGGCCACTCCCACTTATCATGTGCTCCAGCTGCACAGACTTTCCAGCTCCCTGATACACCCACTCTCTCACCTGCGCTCTTCCCTCTTGATAACTCCAATCATTGTTTCAAGCCTCAAATTAGAGCAATGCAAATTCAAGAAACAAACCAAGCTGGCAAAAACACAAAAAAGAAAGGAAAAAAAAAGGGTCATTTCTGTTCTGACAAGGATGGGGATAAGGAGACTCACTTGTACACTGCCAAACTGACATTCAAAATCCTTAGTGCTTTTGGATTTGTCATGTTTGGGAGGAGGGTTTTTAAATCATCGGCTTTCTTGAGGTTGAATAAATAAAAGAAAATGCACACATTTTAGGTTTACTGTTCAATTAGTTTTTACAACTATACGTGTGTGTGTATAATGGCCACCACGATGACAACCTGGATCGTTGTCATCCACTTCAGTGTTCTCTCATATGCTTTTGCAGTCAAATTGCCCTCTTTTGCCCTTGGCAACCACTGATCTGATTTCTAAAATTATAGATTTGTTTGAGCTGTTCTAGAACAGAACCGTACAGTATATAAGCTCCTTTGTATCTGGCTTCTTTTGTTCAGCATAGTGTTTTTGAGATTCATCCATGGTGTTATATGTATCAATAGTTTAACTATTTTTATTGTTAAGTAATATTCCTTTGTAAGAAAATGCCACATTTTTATTTACCATTTTCCTGTTGATGGGCATTTGGATTGTTTCTTTCTTTTTTTTTGGTTTTTGTTTTTGCTTTTGTTTTTGTTTTTTAGACAGTCTTGCTCTGTCACCAGGCTGGAGTGCAGTGGCACGATCTCGGCTAACTGCAAGCTCCACCTCCCAGGTTTGAGCGATTCTCCTGCCTCAGCCTCCTGAGTAGCTGGTACTACAGGCGCATGCCACCACACTCAGCTAATTTTTGTATTTTTAGTAGAGACGGAGTTTCTCCATGTTGGCCAGGCTTGTCTCGATCTCTTGACCTTGTGATCCGCCCACCTCGGCCTCCCAAAGTGCTGGGATTACAGGCGTGAGCCGTGGTGCCCCACCCTTGGATTATTTCTAATTTTGGCTATTTTGAGCAATGCTGTTATGAACATTAATATGTAAGACTTTGTGCATAGCACGTGGTTTCCTTTCCCTTGGATACTAAGGTAATTTTAAAAGGGAAATTGGCTGCTCTCTGACACTTATCATCAGAGGAAAAATCACAATATGAAATGCTGTTAGATAGGCTGGGAGTGGTGGCTCACGCCTATAATCCAGCACTTTGGGAGGCTGAGGCAGGAGGATCACTTGAGGCCAGAAGTTCAAGACCAGTCTGGGCAACATAGTGAGACTCTGTCTCTACAATTTTTTGTTTTTTAAATTTAATTAGCCAAGTGTGGTGGTGCATGCCTGTAGTCCTAGCTACTCCAGAGGCTGAGGTGGGAGGATTGCTTGAGCCCAGGAGTTTGAGGCTGCAGTTGAGCTATGATTCATACCACTGCACTCCAACTTGAAGAGCCTGAAAAAAAAAAAAAAGTGCTGTAGACATAAAGGACATGACTAAGTAGGTTAGAATATAGTAAGCGGGCCAGGCGCCGTGGCTCATGCCTGTAATCCCAGTACTCTGGGAGGCCGAGGTGGGCAGATTGCTTAAGCTCAGGAGTTCGAGACCAACCTGGGCAACATGATGAGACCCCCATCTCTACAAAAGTACAAAAAGTTAGCCAGGTGTGGTGGCACGCACCTGTGGTCCTAGCTACTCGGGAGGCTGAGCTGGGAGGATCTCTTGAGCCTGGGTGGCAGAGGTTGCAGTGAGCCAAGATCCCACCACTACACTCCAGCCTGGGCGACAGAGTGAGATGCCATTTCAGAACAAAAACAAAAACAAAAAAAGAATAGAGTAAGTGAATGAAAAGTTGTGCATCCATTACACTTTTATTTATTTATTTATTTATTTATTTTTGAGACAGGGTCTCTTGCTCCATCATACAGGCTGGAGTGTAGTGGCAAAATCACAGCTTACTGCAGCTTTGAACTCCTGGGCTCAAGCAATCTTCCAGCCTCAGAGTCCAGAGTAGCTAGGCTTTCAGGTACATGGCACCAGACCTGGCTAATTTTTTTGTTTGTTTGTTTGTTTTCCTTGAGACGGAGTCTCACTCTGTCACCCAGGCTGGAGTGCAGTGGCGCCATCTCAGCTCACTGCAAGCTCTGCCTCCCAGGTTCACGCCATTCTCCCATCTCAGCCTCCCAAGTAGCTGGGACTACAGGCGCCTGCCACCACGCCCAGCTAATTTTGTTTTTGTATTTTTAGTAGAGATGGGGTTTCACCATGTTAGCCAGGATGGTCTCCATCTCTTGACCTCATGATCCGCCCGCCTCAGCCTCCCAAAGTGCTGGGATTACAGGCGTGAGCCACCGCGCCTGGCCGACCTGGCTAATTTTTAAATATTTTTGTGTAAAGATAGGGTCTCACTATGTTGCCCAGGCTAGTCTTGAACTCCAGGACTCAGGTGACTCTCCCATCTTGGGTCCATTAAGCTTTTAACTACAAACTACACTGAAATATGAAAGTTATTCAGAATGAAATGAATAAGAATGCAAAATTATAATCATACCGTAAGAATACTTTCTGAGTAATCCCAGCACTTTGGGAGGCCGAGACGGGTGAGTCACCTGAGGTCGGGAGTTCCAGACCAGCCTGGCCAACATGGAGAAACCCCATCTCTACTGAAAATAACAACAACAAAAAAAATTAGCTGGGCGTTGTGGAGGGCACCAGTAATCCCAGCGACTCAGGAGGCTGAGGCAGGAGAATCGCTTGAACCCAGGAGGCACAGGTTGCAGTGAGCCGAGATTGAGCCATTGCACTCCAGCCTGGGGGACGGGAGTGAAACTCCGTATCAAAAAAAAAAAAAAATGAATACTTTCTGAAAGTATTTATTCATACAAATAAAGACTTGACCCGTGAGGTAGGAACACAAATGGGCCACGGAATCACTCATTCCACAGAATATACCGAGTGCCCTTGAAGTGCTGGGCACTGCTCCAGGATTGGGGGCGTATTGGTGAAAGAGAAGCAAGCTGCCTGCTCAGATGGCAGGGAATGGGGGAAAACAGGGAGACAGTTTCCTGTTTGAGATGTTGGGAGATGCTTCGAGTAGTATATTTACTGGAAATAGACATTCAACTTGGATGTCCCTTTTTGGAAATGTGCCTGCGTCCAGGGCTGGGTTGGGGCCCCAATGAACTTTGGCTCTGACACAGCTGTTGCCACACTCAGTGGAACTGAATCTATGTTTGTCTTCCCCGGCATCCTTCACCCCAACTCTCCCCGCCACAACATACATCCCATGCCAGCCTGGGGACCCTCAAAGGTGGCTTCATCATTAGGTTTGTGGCTGGGTCCCACTGAAGTAAGTCTTGGCACTCAGAGGGATAGGAATTGAATGAAGACATGAGATTCCTCTGCGGGAGGCCTCTCTAGGAAATCTGTGGACTCACACGTTTACTAATGTTGCTGCAGCCCCGCACCCACCTTGGCCTTGGGCAGCCATACTCTAGGGCTTTTGTAACCTCTCCATGTGAGGAACTCAAATTAGACCTGGGTTTGGAGGCGGTGCTCCGAGCTGGCCTTTGGGGGAGGTTTTGTGCGAGGCATTTCCCAAGTGCTGGCAGGATTGTGTCACAGACACAGAGTAAACTTTTGCTGGGCTCCAAGTGACCGCCCATAGTTTATTATAAAGGTGACTGCACCCTGCAGCCACCAGCACTGCCTGGCTCCACGTGCCTCCTGGTCTCAGTATGGCGCTGTCCTGGGTTCTTACAGTCCTGAGCCTCCTACCTCTGCTGGAAGCCCAGATCCCATTGTGTGCCAACCTAGTACCGGTGCCCATCACCAACGCCACCCTGGACCGGGTGAGTGCCTGGGCTAGCCCTGTCCTGAGCACATGGGCAGCTGCCTCCCTTCTCTGGGCTTCCCTTTCCCTGCTGGCTGTGGTCGGACCCCCACTCCCGGCTCTGCCTTTTTCTCTTCTGGGTCCCCAGGGTGAAATTCTCACCAGCCCAGGGGACTCTGGAGGCACCCCCTGCCTCCAAACACAGAAGCCTCACTGCAGAGTCCTTCACGGAGGACGGTTCTGTGCTGGGCCTGGAGGGGCTGCCTGGGGGGCAATGACTGATCCTCAGGGTGAGCTCCTGCATGCGCACTGCCCACCAGGGGCCTCATCTCCCCATCTGCAAAATCAGGGAGAGATCTGCCTGAGTCTCCTCCCAGCTGACAGTCAAAGATTCAGCATCAAGCCCCCATCACCAGCTCCCACCTTCTCCCCAGATCACTGGCAAGTGGTTTTATATCGCATCGGCCTTTCGAAACGAGGAGTACAATAAGTCGGTTCAGGAGATCCAAGCAACCTTCTTTTACTTCACCCCCAACAAGACAGAGGACACGATCTTTCTCAGAGAGTACCAGACCCGGTGAGAGCCCCCATTCCAATGCACCCCCATCTCAGCTTCTGGCCAGAAGACCTGAGCAAGTCCCTCCTTCTTCCTGGCCTTGGCCTTCCCATGGGTGGAACCGGGAGGGCTGGCTTTAATCTCCACCAGACTCTTGCCCCAGGACTGTGATGGGCGATTGGCCACTTCTCAATAATCTTCCTGTTTTCCTTCCGCCTTCTGTTTGGCTTTAGACAGGACCAGTGCATCTATAACACCACCTACCTGAATGTCCAGCGGGAAAATGGGACCATCTCCAGATACGGTGAGGGCCAGCCCTCAGGCAGGAGGGTTCACTGTGGGAACAGGGCAGGCCAGCATAAGGTGGGGGCTGGATGTAGAGCCCTGGAGGCTTTGGGCACAGAGAAATAACCACTAACATTTTTGAGCTCTAACGATGTGCTCAGAAACAACTCTAAGAGGACACTGAGAGAATTAGAGGAGGAAAAAGAAGAACAGAGACCTCAAATAGTTTCCCCAAGGTCACACAGCTTATAATTAGAACTAGAATTGGAACTCCAGGCTGGCTTCAGATCTGCCTCTCTCTCATGCCCTCTTTAAGATCCTTTGCAAACCAATGGTAGAAGCCTGTATGTTGGAGAGGTGGTACCTTCAACTATGTCCCCCATCACCGCAGAGGTGGCACATGGCAGGGAGCTGATGGAGCTGAACTGACACCATTTAGCATCCCGAGCCTCCTCTCTGGGCCTCATTTTCCTCATCTGTAAAACGGAGAAAGGCCCTGACAGCCACGGTCTGTGTGAGGCTCCTGAGATCTCATGTACAGAAAGTGCTTGGCGTGGAGCTGGGCATGCAGCAGGGGCTGGGCACACGGTGGCCCAAAGGAGCCCTGGGCCTTCACTGATGGGCTGTGTGGCCACTGACACACCTAGGCCTCCTCACCTGTAAGACAGACACCATTGTGCCATCCCATGTTCTCACCCAGAGGCTCCTTTTCTCTTCCAGTGGGAGGCCAAGAGCATTTCGCTCACTTGCTGATCCTCAGGGACACCAAGACCTACATGCTTGCTTTTGACGTGAACGATGAGAAGAACTGGGGGCTGTCTGTCTATGGTAGGCATGCTTAGCAGCCCCAAACTCATGCCCCTCTCAGGCCTCACCCCCCATTCACCCACCCCTGGGCTGGCCCCTAGAACCCCAGCCCTCCCTGGCCTCCCGCCGGGCCCCACCATGTCCCCAGTCAGTCTCCTTGCTCCCCCTGCAGCTGACAAGCCAGAGACGACCAAGGAGCAACTGGGAGAGTTCTACGAAGCTCTCGACTGCTTGCGCATTCCCAAGTCAGATGTCGTGTACACCGATTGGAAAAAGGTAAACGCAAGGGATTGGACAGTGCCCACCTTGTCCATGGCCCAACTTGGGCAGCCCCAGAGGCCCAGAGCAGGAGAGCTGCCAGGCAAGGCTGCACAGCTAGGCAGATCTTCTGCTTTTAGGCACCTGCCTCACTGTAGGGACAGCTGAGCTCTACAGAGGCCCAGGGGTGGTGGATGAGAGCCCAGGAGGGAGAAGTCCCTGTGAAACCAGGGAGGACCTGAAAGCTAACAGGAGGGAACAGCGTGAGCCACGGGGTTGGGGGATTGGCAATTGGAGGGGACGTAATGCGGGGAGTTACCACCTACAGACGCGTCCCAAACCCCAGGCTTTCACCCCACCTCCACTCCCCACTCATTTTTAATACCCGTGCAGTGGGGAATTGATACTGTGGTTTTCAATGTCACCCACACTGCAGCACGGCCACAGTCACCATCCCGATTTTTGCTACAAATGAAAATTACTTTATAATGAGCTCCTTAACACTTTTCTTTAAACCTGTGTTTGGAAGACTTGCGTTGGTGTGGCCCTGTGCCCAATACCTGTGAAATCACAGCACCGATGAGCTGGTTCCAATTTTTAAAATATATACATGCAGTACTTCCATGACTATTCAAAGAAAAACAATTCCTTCCATTTGCCATCTGAGATGACCACCAGTGGTGTGAACTACCTCCTGCCCCCATCTGCAGTCCCAGGATCCTGGGACAGGGCTTATGAACACAACCACTGTAGTCAGCTCACCTGATCCACAGCCTGGCACCCCCACTGTCTGGCTAGGGAGCCTCGAATGGGTCCCAAGGCCACCCTGCTCCTCAGTTACATCATCTGCATAGTAGTGGTGGTTGTGAGGAATTCAGGAGCTGCAGCATAAGGGCTCGGCAGGTCCTAAGTGCACAGTAAATGCCAGTGATTCTTAAGAGTCTGAGCTCCCATTGTAGAGGCAAGTAAGCTGAGGTTCAGAGACAGAAAATGACTTGCCCAAGATCACCCAGCTGGGAAGTGACAGTGCCAGGGTTGGAGCCCTGGTTGAGCTGGTTCCACAGGCCAGAGCTCATTCTGCCCTCTCCCTGGAAGACCTCCCACCCTGTCCCCATGCCTCTGCTTCTCCCTCACCCCAATTCCCCGCTGCCTTCTAGGATAAGTGTGAGCCACTGGAGAAGCAGCACGAGAAGGAGAGGAAACAGGAGGAGGGGGAATCCTAGCAGGACACAGCCTTGGATCAGGACAGAGACTTGGGGGCCATCCTGCCCCTCCAACCCGACATGTGTACCTCAGCTTTTTCCCTCACTTGCATCAATAAAGCTTCTGTGTTTGGAACAGCTAAGCTGTTAGTCATTTGTTCATTCATTCATTCTGAAGCCTGCCCTGAGTTCAACCCTGGCTGGGCACTGGATAAGACGCTGTCCCTGGTGGGAAGAGCCCCACACGTGCCAGGATGGAGGATGACAGGCACCGAGTGCTGTGGGAGCCCAGCACTGTGGGAAGACATTTTCTTCTGCAGGGCGAAAATCTGGGAAGGCTTCCTAGAAGGGGCATCTGAACCAATCTAGAAAGATGAGGAGCATAATACAACCTGCTGTTCTGTGTACAATGTGTGATGATCAAATCGGGGTCATTTCCACCACCTCAAACATTTACCATTTCTTTGTGTTGGGAACATTATCACACAGTTCCCCATAAATATGTACATTATGTGTCCATTTAAAACAATACAAGCAAACAAATGTGAATTTCTAAACTGAGACTACTGTAAGGCCTTTCTCCTAATAGCAAGATTGTAATAAAACTTCAACTAGTCATAAAAAAAAATCCTTTTCTGTTTCTGCTGCAAGCAAGGAAATGAGAGGATGCATTTGAGTAACCTTGAGGCAGAAGACCCTAAACAGGAGTGGAGGTGTGATATTGTTTGGCTCTGTCCCCACCCGAATCTCACATGGAATTTTCAGCCCCATGTGTTGGAGGCGGGTCCTGCTGGGAGGTGATTGTATCACGGGGCTGGTTTCTAATGGTTTAGCCCCACCTCCCAGGTGCTGTTTCTCACAAGGTCTCATTGTTTAAAAGTGTGTAGCACCTCCCCCTTCGCTCTGTCTCTCCTGCTGTCTTGTGAAGAAGGGACTTGCTTCCTCTTTGCCTTCCACCATGATTGTAAGTTTCCTGAGGCCTCCCAGCCATGCTTCCTCTGAAGCCTGCGGAACTGTGAGTCAATTAAACCTCTTTTTTTCATAAACTACCCAGTCTCAGGTAGTTCTTTATAGCAATGTGAGAACAGACAAATACAAGGTGGATGGGGTGGGGAGAGTTCAGGCATGTGGTGCCTATCACAAGGACCTTATTCCAGTATTACCATGGCCATCGGGGGAGGCACGTTGTGGGGACCAGGCTGGAGGCAGGAAGGCCTGAGTGAAGGCTGCTGTGGGCAACTAGGCAAGAGGCGGTTGCCTGGGCCAGGACAGGGCAGGGCAGGGAAGGGCTGGGGTGATGCAGAGGGCTTGGGGCCCAGGCCAGAGGGGCTGGGTGTCTCCATGGACGTGTCCTCAGGGTGCTCACCTGGGAGACCCAGAAGAAGGAGACAACACGTAAGGGTGAGGCTGGTCCCTGGAAATCAGTTGACATCTTGCAAATGTGGAGCCCTGAGGTGGAGCCAAGCCCGAGGCACAGCCCACTCAGTGGCACAAGCCACGAAGGGCCGGCCTCACCCAGACCTGGGGGCTCATGATTGACAGCCTCTTGTTACGTGAGGGAAGCAGCACTCCTCCCGTGGCAGAAAAGTTGGGCCTGAGTTGTTCCATCTATTCCGTATGTGCAGCTGCGTACACCATACAGGGTGATAAGACCATGAGCCTGAGGCTCTGACACCCCAGGGTCCAGTCCTGTGTCCTCAGGCACCACTCCCCTTTGTACCTCCTGTCCCAACAGCCAAGCTCCACAGGGCCAAGACTACAGCATCCTTTGCTCAGCACCCAAACCACTGCTGTGCCCACAGCACGGAGGCTGGGGACACCGAGCTGATGTCCTCAGAAGGCAAGTGGACAGGACAGCCTCTGGGGTCCCACAGTGGCCTGGAACTGAAGGCTCAGAACCTAAAAGAAGTTTCCCCATTTCAATGTTACTTTCAGTAAGACACCATTTTCAACCATACTGAGGAGGATCCGCTGAAAAATGAAACAGAAATGAGTCGTGATGGGCAGGGCAGGGAGAAGCAAGGGAGACGAGAAGTGGGGAACATGGAAGGAAAAGCCACGTGAGGAAGAAACCAGAGGTCAAGAGAAAAAGAATCATGGAGGTAGAGGAAGCAAAAAACACACATAACAAAGAATGTGGACTTTGGAGTCAAACTAATGTGAGTCCAAACCCAGGCTCTCTCCCAAACCAGTTTGGGCAGATGGCCCAGTGGAACCTCACTCTCCTCATCAGTAAAAAGGGGGCAGAGTGAGGGTCCTGAGAGCTAGTACAGGGACTGTGTGAAGTAGACAATGCCCAGTGTTTAGCGTAAGAATCAGGGTCCAGCTGGTGCTCCCTAAACAGCAGCTGCTGTTCACTGTTGAAAGGCGCTCTGGAAGGCCAGGCGCGGTGGCTCATGCTTGTAATCCCAGCACTGTGGGAGGCCGAGGTGGGCGGATCACCTGAGGTAGGGAGTTCGAGACCAGCCTGACCAACGTGGAGAAACCCCATCTCTCCTAAAAATACAAAATTAGCCAGGCGTGGTAGCACATACCTGTAATCCCAGCGACTCGGGAGGCTGAGGCAAGAGAATTGCTTGAAACCAGCAGGGGAGGTTGTGGTGAGCCAAGATCGAGCCATTGCACTCCAGCCTGGGCAACAAGAGCAAAATGGCGAAACTCCATCTCCGAGAAAAAAAAAAAAAAGAATACTTTCTGAAAGTATTTATTCATACAAATAAAGACTTGACCCATAAGGTAGGAACGCAAATGGGCCACGGAATCACTCATTCCACAGTATACACCGAGTGCCCTTGAAGTGCTGGGCACTGCTCCAGGATTGGGGGCATATTGGTGAAAGAGAAGCAAGCTGCCTGCTCAGATGGCAGGGAATGGGGAAAAACAGGGAGACAGTTTCCTGTTTGAGATGTTGGGAGATGCTTCGAGTAGTATATTTACTGGAAATAGACATTCAACTTGGATGTCCCTTTTTGGAAATGTGCCTGCGTCCAGGGCTGGGTTGGGGCCCCAATGAACTTTGGCTCTGACATAGCTGTTGCCACACTCAGTGGAACTGAATCCATGTTTGCCTTCACCCGGCATCCTTCACCCCAACTCTCCCCGCCACAACATACATCCCATGCCAGCCTGGGGACCCTCAAAGGTGCTTCATCATTAGGTTTGTGGCTGGGTCCTACTGAAGTAAGTCTTGGCACTCAGAGGGATAGGAATTGAATGAAGACATGAGATTCCTCTGCGGGAGGCCTCTCTAGGAAATCTGTGGACTCACACGTTTACTAATGTTGCTGCAGCCCCGCACCCACCTTGGCCTTGGGCAGCCATACTCTAGGGCTTTTGTAACCTCTCCATGTGAGGAACTCAAATTAGACCTGGGTTTGGAGGCGGTGCTCCGAGCTGGCCTTTGGGGGAGGTTTTGTGCGAGGCATTTCCCAAGTGCTGGCAGGATTGTGTCACAGACACAGAGTAAACTTTTGCTGGGCTCCAAGTGACCGCCCATAGTTTATTATAAAGGTGACTGCACCCTGCAGCCACCAGCACTGCCTGGCTCCACGTGCCTCCTGGTCTCAGTATGGCGCTGTCCTGGGTTCTTACAGTCCTGAGCCTCCTACCTCTGCTGGAAGCCCAGATCCCATTGTGTGCCAACCTAGTACCGGTGCCCATCACCAACGCCACCCTGGACCGGGTGAGTGCCTGGGCTAGCCCTGTCCTGAGCACATGGGCAGCTGCCTCCCTTCTCTGGGCTTCCCTTTACCTGCTGGCTGTGGTCGCACCCCCACTCCCAGCTCTGCCTTTTTCTCTTCTGGGTCCCCAGGGTGAAATTCTCACCAGCCCAGGGGACTCTGGAGGCACCCCCTGCCTCCAAACACAGAAGCCTCACTGCAGAGTCCTTCACGGAGGACGGTTCTGTGCTGGGCCTGGAGGGGCTGCCTGGGGGGCAATGACTGATCCTCAGGGTGAGCTCCTGCATGCGCACTGCCCACCAGGGGCCTCATCTCCCCATCTGCAAAATCAGGGAGAGATCTGCCTGAGTCTCCTCCCAGCTGACAGTCAAAGATTCAGCATCAAGCCCCCATCACCAGCTCCCCCCTTCTCCCCAGATCACTGGCAAGTGGTTTTATATCGCATCGGCCTTTCGAAACGAGGAGTACAATAAGTCGGTTCAGGAGATCCAAGCAACCTTCTTTTACTTTACCCCCAACAAGACAGAGGACACGATCTTTCTCAGAGAGTACCAGACCCGGTGAGAGCCCCCATTCCAATGCACCCCCATCTCAGCTTCTGGCCAGAAGACCTGAGCAAGTCCCTCCTTCTTCCTGGCCTTGGCCTTCCCATGGGTGGAACCGGGAGGGTTGGCTTTAATCTCCACCAGACTCTTGCCCCGGGACTGTGATGGGCGATTGGCCACTTCTCCTCGATAACATTACTGTTTTTCTTCCGCCTTCTGGTTGACTTTAGCCAGAACCAGTGCTTCTATAACTCCAGTTACCTGAATGTCCAGCGGGAGAATGGGACCGTCTCCAGATACGGTGAGGGCCAGCCCTCAGGCAGGAGGGTTCACCGTGGGAACAGGGCAGGCCAGCATAAGGTGGGGGCTGGATGTAGAGCCCTGGAGGCTTTGGGCACAGAGAAATAACCACTAACATTTTTGAGCTCTTACCACGTGCTCAGAAAAAATCCCTAAGAAGACACTGAGAGAATTAGATGAGGAAACATAAGAACAGAGACCTCAAATAGTTTCCCCAAGGTCACACAGCTTATAATTAGAACTAGAATTGGAACTCCAGGCTGGCTTCAGATCTGCCTCTCTCTCACGCCCTCTTTAAGATCCTTTGCAAACCAATGGTAGAAGCCTGTATGTTGGAGAGGTGGTACCTTCAACTATGTCCCCCATCACCGCAGAGGTGGCACATGGCAGGGATCTGATGGAGCTGAACTGACATCATTTAGCATCCCGAGCCTCCTCTCTGGGCCTCATTTTCCTCCTCTGTAAAACGGGGAGAAAGGCCCTGACAGCCACAGTCTGTGTGAGGCTCCTGAGATCTCATGTACAGAAAGTGCTTGGCGTGGAGCTGGGCACGCAGCAGGGGCTGGGCACACGGTGGCCCAAAGGAGACCCGGGCCTTCACTGATGGGCTTTGTGGCCCCGGACACACCTAGGACTCCTCACCTGTAAGACAGGCACCATTGTGCCATCCCATGTTCTCACCCAGAGGCTCTTTTTCTCTTCCAGAGGGAGGCCGAGAACATGTTGCTCACCTGCTGTTCCTTAGGGACACCAAGACCTTGATGTTTGGTTCCTACCTGGACGATGAGAAGAACTGGGGGCTGTCTTTCTATGGTAGGCATGCTTAGCAGCCCCAAACTCATGCCCCTCTCAGGCCTCACCCCCCATTCACCCACCCCTGGGCTGGCCCCTAGAACCCCAGCCCTCCCTGGCCTCCCGCCGGGCCCCACCATGTCCCCAGTCAGTCTCCTTGCTCCCCCTGCAGCTGACAAGCCAGAGACGACCAAGGAGCAACTGGGAGAGTTCTACGAAGCTCTCGACTGCTTGTGCATTCCCAGGTCAGATGTCATGTACACCGACTGGAAAAAGGTAAACGCAAGGGATTGGACAGTGCCCACCTTGTCCATGGCCCAACTTGGGCAGCCCCAGAGGCCCAGAGCAGGAAAGCTGCCAGGCAAGGCTGCACAGCTAGGCAGATCTTCTGCTTTTAGGCACCTGCCTCACTGTAGGGACAGCTGAGCTCTACAGAGGCCCAGGGGTGGTGGATGAGAGCCCAGGAGGGAGAAGTCCCTGTGAAACCAGGGAGGACCTGAAAGCTAACAGGAGGGAACAGCGTGAGCCACGGGGTTGGGGGATTGGCAATTGGAGGGGACGTAATGCGGGGAGTTACCACCTACAGACGCGTCCCAAACCCCAGGCTTTCACCCCACCTCCACTCCCCGCTCATTTTTAATACCCGTGCAGTGGGGAATTGATACTGTGGTTTTCAATGTCACCCACACTGCAGCACGGCCACAGTCACCATCCCGATTTTTGCTACAAATGAAAATTACTGTATAATGAGCTCCTTAACACTTTTCTTTAAACCTGTGTTTGGAAGACTTGTGTTGGTGTGGCCCTGTGCCCTAATACCTGTGAAATCACAGCACCGATGAGCTGGTTCCAATTTTTAAAATATATACATGCAGTACTTCCATGACTATTCAAAGAAAAACAATTCCTTCCATTTGCCACCTGAGATGACCACCAGGGATGTGAACTACCTCCTGCCCCATCCCCAGCCCCAGGATCCTGGGACAGGGCTTATGAACGCAACCACTGTAGTCAGCTCACTTGATCCACAGCCTGGCACCTCCACTGTCTGGCTAGGGAGCCTCGAATGGGTCCCAAGGCCACCCTGCTCCTCAGTTACATCATCTGCATAGTAGTGGTGGTTGTGAGGAATTCAGGAGCTGCAGCATAAGGGCCCTGCAGGTACTATGTGCTCAGTAAATGCCAGTGGTTCTTAAGGGTCTGAGCTCCCATTGTAGAGGCAAGTAAGCTGAGGTTCAGAGACAGAAAATGACTTGCCCAAGATCACCCAGCTGGGAAGTGACAGTGCCAGGGTTGGAGCCCTGGTTGAGCTGGTTCCACAGGCCAGAGCTCATTCTGCCCTCTCCCCGGAAGACCTCCCACCCTGTCCCCATGCCTCTGCTTCTCCCTCACCCCAATTCCCCGCTGCCTTCTAGGATAAGTGTGAGCCACTGGAGAAGCAGCACGAGAAGGAGAGGAAACAGGAGGAGGGGGAATCCTAGCAGGACACAGCCTTGGATCAGGACAGAGACTTGGGGGCCATCCTGCCCCTCCAACCCGACATGTGTACCTCAGCTTTTTCCCTCACTTGCATCAATAAAGCTTCTGTGTTTGGAACAGCTAAGCTGTTAGTCATTTGTTCATTCATTCATTCTGAAGCCTGCCCTGAGTTTAACCCTGGCTGGGCACTGGATAAGACGCTGTCCCTGGTGGGAAGAGCCCCACACGTGCCAGGATGGAGGATGACAGGCACCGAGTGCTGTGGGAGCCCAGCACTGTGGGAAGACATTTTCTTCTGCAGGGCGAAAATCTGGGAAGGCTTCCTAGAAGGGGCATCTGAACCAATCTAGAAAGATGAGGAGCATAATACAACCTGCTGTTCTGTGTACAATGTGTGATGATCAAATCGGGGTCATTTCCACCACCTCAAACATTTACCATTTCTTTGTGTTGGGAACATTATCACACAGTTCCCCATAAATATGTACATTATGTGTCCATTTAAAACAATACAAGCAAACAAATGTGAATTTCTAAACTGAGACTACTGTAAGGCCTTTCTCCTAATAGCAAGATTGTAATAAAACTTCAACTAGTCATAAAAAAAAATCCTTTTCTGTTTCTGCTGCAAGCAAGGAAATGAGAGGATGCATTTGAGTAACCTTGAGGCAGAAGACCCTAAACAGGAGTGGAGGTGTGATATTGTTTGGCTCTGTGTCCCCACCCGAATCTCACATGGAATTTTCAGCCCCATGTGTTGGAGGCGGGTCCTGCTGGGAGGTGATTGTATCACGGGGCTGGTTTCTAATGGTTTAGCCCCACCTCCCAGGTGCTGTTTCTCACAAGGTCTCATTGTTTAAAAGTGTGTAGCACCTCCCCCTTCGCTCTGTCTCTCCTGCTGTCTTGTGAAGAAGGGACTTGCTTCCTCTTTGCCTTCCACCATGATTGTAAGTTTCCTGAGGCCTCCCAGCCATGCTTCCTCTGAAGCCTGCGGAACTGTGAGTCAATTAAACCTCTTTTTTTCATAAACTACCCAGTCTCAGGTAGTTCTTTATAGCAATGTGAGAACAGACAAATACAAGGTGGATGGGGTGGGGAGAGTTCAGGCATGTGGTGCCTATCACAAGGACCTTATTCCAGTATTACCATGGCCATCGGGGGAGGCACGTTGTGGGGACCAGGCTGGAGGCAGGAAGGCCTGAGTGAAGGCTGCTGTGGGCAACTAGGCAAGAGGCGGTTGCCTGGGCCAGGACAGGGCAGGGCAGGGAAGGGCTGGGGTGATGCAGAGGGCTTGGGGCCCAGGCCAGAGGGGCTGGGTGTCTCCATGGATGTGTTCTTAGGGTGCTCACCTGGGAGACCCAGAAGAAGGAGATAACACGTAAGGGTGAGGCTGGTCCCTGGAAATCAGCTGACATCCTGCAAATGTGGAGCCCTGAGGTGGAGCCAAGCCCGAGGCACAGCCCACTCAGTGGCACAAGCCACAAAGGGCCGGCCTCACCCCAACCTGGGTGCTCGTGATTGACAGCCTCTTGTTACGTGAGGGAAGCAGCACCCCTTCCGTGGCAGAAAAGTTGGGCCTGAATTGTTTGAGCAATTCCACGTGTGCAGCTGCGTATACCATCCAGGGTGATAGGACCATGAGCCCGAGGCCCTGATGTCCTGGGGTCTAGTCCTGTGTCCACAGGCACCACTCCCCTTTGTACCTCCTGTCCCAACAGCCAAGCTCCACAGGGCCAAGACTACAGCATCCTTTGCTCAGCACCCAAACCACAGCTGTGCCCACAGCACGGAGGCTGGGGACACCGAGCTGATGTCCTCAGAAGGCAAGTGGACAGGACAGCCTCTGGGGTCCCACAATGTCCTGGAACTGAAGGCTCAGAACCTACAGGAAGTTTGTCCATTTCAGTGTTACTTTCAGTGAGACACCATTTTCAACCATACTCAGGAGGATCCGCTGAAAAATGAAACAGAAATGAGTCATGATGGGCAGAGCAGGGAGAAGCAAGGGAGACGAGAAGTGGGGAACATGGAAGAAAAAGCCACGTGAGGAAGAAACCAGAGGTCAAGAGAAAAAGAATCATGGAGGTAGAGGAAGCAAAAAACACACATAACAAAGAATGTGGACTTTGGGTCAGACCAATGTGAGTTTAAATCCAGGTTCTCTCCCAAACCAGTTTGGGCAGATGGCCCATTGGAACCCCACTCTCCTCATCAGTAAAAGGGGGGCAGAGTGAGGGTCCTGAGGGTTAGCACATGGACTGTGTGAAGCAGACAATGCCCAGTGCTTAGCACCGGAATCAGGGTCTAGCAGGTGCTCCCTAAATGGCAGGTGCTGTTTGCTACTGAAAGTACTGGAAGGCTGGGCGCCATGGCTCACGCCTGTAATCCCAGCAATTTGGGAGGCTGAGGTGGGTGGATCACCTGAGGCTGGGAGTGCAAGATCAGCCCGACCAACATGGAGAAACCCTGTCTCTACTAAAAATACAAAATTAGCCAGACGTGGTGGTGCATGCCTGTAATCCCAGCTACTCGGGAGGCTGAGGCAAGAGAATCACTTGAACCCGGGAGGCGGAGGTTGCAGTGAGCCGAGATTCCACCACTGTACCCCAGCCTGGGCAACCAGAGCAAAACTCAGTCTCAAAAAAAAAAAAAAAAAGAAAAAGAAAAAAGAAAAAAAAAAGAAAGAAAGGAGCACTGGAGAGTCCAGGTGCATACTCTTGTAGACAGCAACTTGCTGTGTGCCTCATTTACATCTCTGGCCTCAGTCAAAAGGGACTTGGCTAGGCAGCCCCACCTCAAGGCCCTCCGCAGTTGAAAGATTTATGGTTCTGAGATAGGCAAAGGGGGAAAACTGGAGAAACAGAAGCCACCAGAGGGAGGCAGGCAGAGCACCCAACAGGTCCCCTGGGAAAGGGCTTGGCTGGGCATCAAACCTACCACCCCATAAACTTGACATTGAAGGCAAAAGTTAATGACATACAGCAGAGACACGGATGGCTTTGGGTATTTTTTTTGTCTTCTTTTCTTTTTTTAAGATCAATATTCATTCTTCATTTGCCCTCGTAACGAAAATAGATTTTTAAATGCCTCAAATATACAAACATCATTGATGCACACACATTCCAGAAATGCAGAGGTATGCTGCTGCCACGGGGTAGGGGTGCGGGAGGCGGCCTGGCCTCATGGCCGCAGACCGTGCCCCAGCCCGGGCCTGGCAGGTAGCTGGCCACTGATAAACGCCACTGGGATCCTAGGAGAAGCTGGGGACCATGCGTGAGGTACTGAAGGGGACCATGGTGGATGGCATCCTGGGCACTTTGTAGCTTGTCTGAGGGAAAGGCCTCTGCTGCCATAGAAAAGCTGGACACATGTCACCCTGGGGCCCTGACATCCTAAAATGCCCCACTGACTACCAGTCACTAGGAGAAAGGTCTCCGGCTATGCCCTTCCCAGTGATGCTTGCCCCAGAGTGACTGGTCACAGGTGGGGGACAGGTTTGCTCCAGAAACCGTAGGCCTTTCTTGTCTGGCCCCCTAAAGAGGACCCAAGATCAGGAAAACTCCCCAGTTTAAAAAAATATCTGTCCATCTGTATATAAAATACCTATTATTAGCTGGAGTTGCACACATGCAGGACCAGGAGAGACTGCCTGAGGTTCTGCCTGGACCGAAGGAGGCCTCGCTCACAGCACCTCTGTGAGGGGACTGGTGCTCCTGGGAAGTCACTTCTCTTGGTGACCGAGCTGACACCCCCTCCACTTGGAAAGCACAGGGACTGAGCAGGCGGGACCTGTGCTGGAGGGAGACCCTCCTGGTGAGGAACTATGCGGGCCTTCTGGGCCTCAGCAGCTCCAGCCCACTCCTGGCCTGGCAGGCCACCTGCCCACCCACCCACCCATCTGCCTCTGGGCCCCCAGTGAAGTCAGAAGAGGCAGGAGCCCCGCAGGCTGTGAGCCTGGCGCAGGTCGGCTGACAGCGAGCTTCTCATCTGCCTGGTGGTAGAGCGGACGCTCTCGGCAGCCTGCACGGCCCGGCTCAGGGCCTTGTTGAGCTCCTCTAGGTCGCCCAGGTCGAGCTGGATGGAGTGCCGGTGTCTCCGGGCTGGTGGGGGAGAGGCTGTGGGCGGCCACTTGGCAGCTGGTTGGGCTGAGGTAGGTCCTGCAGGCGCATAGTACCTGAGGAGAGAAGTGAGTGGGCTCGTTACACATGGGGAGGGCTGGGGACAAGCCGAGGAGCACCGTGTGTGGGGTCAACCCCCTTCTAAATCCCAGCTGGGCCAGTGGCTCCTACTCTCTGGGTCTCAGTTTCTTTACCTCTAAAATGGGAATAATGGGCACACATCCAGGGATTTCTTAGAAAGATGAAGGAAGATAACAACATGAGTGCCTGACCCAGAACAGGTGTTCAAGGACAGGAAGTTCAATCTACCTGTTCATCTGATTTACTGCCCATCTAGTACATGCCAGCCAGCGTGCCAGGCTCTGGGGTTACAGTGGGACAAGAAAACATGGACTCCTGCAATCTTCTTGGAGCCGGATCTTGGGGAGGCCAGGATCACCCTAGGCTTGATAGCAAAACCCCCTCATGGAAGAATATCTGGGGGTTCCATTTGCCAAGCAAGGGGTGCTGGAGAAAGGCAATAATTAATAATTAATAATAGTAATAATAATAATAATAGGGATTCTGCAGGAGTGGGAGGGTCTGGCCCCATGTCCTGGGAAGTGGGTAGAAGAGCATCCTTCCTAGCCCAGTCCTATAGGAATGTGAGGTGTTGTTTTAAAGTGCTGTGGGAATGGGCTGACAAGCCCATTGAGATGAAGCACGGATTTCCCTAAGAGGTGACAATGGCATCCATCAGGGCCACTAAGTTTAGGGTTCAAGGAAACCAGCAGTGGGCAAGAGGGGGTGTGGCCTCAGCACTGTTAAATAAAGGGTGTGTGTGGTGGAGGAGGGAGATAAAGAAGCATGGACCTAAATCAGGAATAAGTTTAGGAGGACGCAGCAGAGTCATTCATTGGCATCTTGCTTGGCACACTGTAAACTCTGGCTTTATTCCTGAGCCCCTGCTGTCTAACTTGCATTGTTATACAGTGTGTAGAAACAGATGATCCAAACAGACATTTCTCCAAAGGAGCTATTCAAATGGACAATACGTACATGAAAAGATGCATATCCTTAGCCATCAGGAAATGCAAAGTGAAACCACTGCACACCCTCTAACATCAAAAAGGACAGATAGCAACAAGTGTTGACAAGAATGTGGAGAAACTGGAATCCTCAGCACTGCTGGTGGGAATGTAAATGGTGGAGCCACTGTGGAAAACAGTCTGACAGTTCCTCCAACAGTTAAACCCAGTGCCTAGCCCAGGGCTGGCATCCTCATCTTTGGTACCCATGTACCAGTTGGTGCCTTTATCTTTATTTTACAGATGAGCAAAGCGGAGCTCAGAGAAGCTAAGTGATTCAGGAGGCAGTAGAATGCACCAGCCTTAGCAGCTCAGGCCCTGGAGCCCTGCCCCAAATCCCAGTCATTCTGCTGGGCTACTCATGGGACTCTGGACAAGCTAAGTCACTTTGCAAGGCCTCTGTTTTCCCACCTAAAACGACCACAGTTAGCAACCTCTCAGCTTAGAGCTGATGGAAAATTCAGGTAAAAAGCTGGCACTGCCTGGCTCCGGTAAGTGCTCCATAAACGTGAGCTCCTAAGACCCAGAGTCAGACAGCTGGAAGGGGCAGCCATGGGTTCACACCTGGGCCCGACTCTCCCCACATATCTAATGTGTGCTAATTGGCAAGCAGCAGATGCTGATAAAATAATCTGAACTGTATGAACGGGCTTCTTGCATCCCCAAAACAGCAGCCTGCACTCCCTCCTCTAGGGACCGTCTGGTGTAAGTAACTACAGAGGCTCCTCAAATTACGATGGGGTTATGCCCCTATAAACCCGCTGTAAAGTCGAAAAATCATAAATCGAACCATTGTAAAAGTAGGGACTGTCTGGGCTGGGTTTTCATACACCCCCACCTTCTGTTAATTTGATGACCAACTTGGCCTGAAAGTTACCCAAAACTCTCCCTAGGGCCAACACTGAAAAAGTCCCTCTGGGCTGGAAAGTCTCGGCTGCAGGGGCTATGGGACGGCTGCCCAGCAGGGGGCAGCACAGGCCCACTCCGCTTTCCAAACTACACTGGTCTCAACCACTGGGCCCGTTCAGTCCTGCTGACCAGCAGCTGGAGAAATTTCAGGGTGTCACCAGCGCAAATTCTAGCAGCATTAGAAGCACCATCATTATTGGCAACTTCTATGTACTATGGGCTTTCCATGCATTAATTCATTCAATCCTCAGCACAACCCATTTCGCAGAGAAGGAAACTGAGGCATAGGTATAACCCGCCCATCCTGAGTTGGAAACAGCAACCTGGTGAGTTCTGCCCACAGGCCTGAGCCTGGAAGAATGTGAAATGGGGCCTCAGGAGAAGTAAAGACTCCATGGCTACCGTGGGGTCACCAAATTCTGGGCAAAACCTTTCCCGATCAATGAGTTGGAACACTGGCAGGCGCTTTCCCCCGTGTCTGCTGGAGGTCTGAGCATGCAGCATTGGTTCTCATCTCTGCTGGAGTGGAAGATTCCTTAGCGACTTGCTTAGACTCAGCTGAGAGGGCAGCAAGAAAGCAAATTTACATACCGGGCGCGGTGGCTACACCTTGTAATGCCAGTGCTTTGGGAGGCCAATGCGGGCAGATCACCTGAGGCCAGGAGGTCAAGACCAGCCTGGCCAACATGGCGAAACCCATCTCTACCAAAAATACCAAAAAAATTAGCCGGGTGTGGTGGCACACTATTGTATTCCCAGCTACTTGAGAGGAGGAGGCATGAGAATAGCTTGAATCTTGGAGATGGGGGTTGCAGTGAGCCAAGATGGCGCCACTGCACTCCAGCCTGGGCGACAAAGCCAGACCCTGTCTCAGAAAACACATATACATAAAAAATTTTTAAAAGCACATTTATAGGCCTGGTCCCCGAATAGAGGACCAGGGCTGGATGGCGCCTTGGGTCCCTGCTCCACCAAGCACCAGCCCTCACAGTGACGCAGGCCCTCACTGCCTACACACCCAGGCTTCTGGCAACACAGCCACTGAAGACATCCAGTCCCAATCGACTCATTTCACAGCAGGGGAAGCAGGCAGAGAAGTAGCTGCTGACAGCTGAGACAAGAAGACAGGTTTCCTACTTCTGGGGACTGGGCTTTTGTCCCTGCACAATCCTATCATGTTGAACCCACTTTTACTCCTTCTTCTTCCTACTAGTGACAACACTGAGCAATAGCAACATTCTCTGTGATGGCGAAGCTACTGTTTGCTCAGCAATGAGCACGTGACCAAATGGCACCACAAACTCCACACACTTCTCATTTGGTTCCTGCCACGTGCCACACTTAATCCTCACGCACAGGATTAAGTACGTGGTTGAGACTCTTCCTCCATTTAACAGATGGGGAAGTGGAGGCTCTGAGAGGAAGTTAGTTTGCCAAGGCCACAGTGCTACTAGGGGGCAGATGGGACTCCACGGTAGCTCTGGCCAACTCCAAACCCAAGCCACTTCTGTCTCGGCTGCCCTGCCTCTCCTGGCTTGACTGATGTTACGTCCAGAATCTGTGCAAAAAGTCCTACAATATTCCCGACCAGGACTCCCCAGAGATGTCCAGGTCATCAAAAACAAGGAAGGTCTGAGGATCTGTCACAGCCGAGGGGGCGTAAGGAGGCATGGCAATCGCATACCACATGGGATCGTGGATGGGATCCTGGAACAGAGACAGGACTTTGGAGGAAAACGGCCTGAAGGAACTACGAACTTCAGTTACCAATAATGTATGGATATTGCTTCACTAACGTGGCCAATGTGCCACATTATTGTAAGATATTAATAATAGGGGAAACTGTTTGTGCAGGAGTGAGGAGGATTGTGGGAATCTCTCTGGACTATCTGCTCAATTTCCCTATAAATCTAAAACTGTCCTAAAAAATAAAGTCTATTAAAAAAAACCCAGTGCTCATCACTTACTTGCGGAGAAAACCCATAAGGAAAATGGAAGATGGTTAGGATTCTCAGTCTCCACAAAGTTATAAGCTCCCAGAGGGCAGGGCCCTCTTGCTAGTCCCCTTCACTGCTGGGTCCCAGGGCCGAGCACTCTCCTTGGTACATGGGTTTGTTGAGTGCCTATATGAGTGTTGGCTTTGTTGAGTGACTATATGAGTGTTGGGCTCCTACTGCATGTTATCCACGCAGGGATAAAACACAGGAGGAGTATACTGCATCTCAGCTGCCCCACCCAGGTCTGAATGCTAACATATTCAGTGATCTATAGAAAGAGGCTGGGAAGGTCAGAATGAAGGCTCTTACACAGCGGCAGGTGGATAAGGCATGATGGGAACCGAGGAGATGTAGGCAAAGGCTGGAGGGGCTGGTGCTGGGGGCGCTGTTGCCAGATACCACAGTCCGGGGGGTGGGCGTGGCGACGACCCCGCCTGCTTGCTCCTCTGCTTGGGGCTGGGAGTTGAAGATGCTTTTCTCCTCGTGGTGGCCTTCTCTGCCCCTATCAGGGAGGGAACAGCACAGAGAGACAGAGTCTGACCACTTGGCAGATCCAGCCAAAGATGGAGGGTCCACCCAGCCCTTCCCCTATGAGAGCTGGACAGGCCCTACCCTGTGAGACTCCATGTCGGGGAGGTCTCTCTTTGGGGAACAAATCCTCTGCCCCAGTTGCTCTGTCCCAGACTGGAACAACAGCTGCTCCAGTTAAACTCACCCAGGTCTAATAACCCTGGTCAAGGAGAGCTGAGGGTCTGGCTAAGAGAAGAAACAGTATTTGTCCCTACCAGAGGTGGCTGAGCCTGGACCATCTGCCTCTGGGGGAGACCCAACTTGACCACACAGGGGACACTGAAGGGTATCAGCGGGAGGCGGTCCCAGTGGGTCCCCTGTGACAGCACCACCTAGAAGAGGAGGAAGAGATGTCAGGGGAGGATTACATCTAAATCATCAGATCAGGAGCCCCCATGCAGGCCTTCTGCAGCACTGAGCTCTCCTCGGGACCCACTGCGGAGGGGACAAGCTGCCTCCATCTGGGTGATGACATTGACAACAACCATGACAGTGAGAGCAAGCATTTAGTGAGCCAGGCCCTCTGCTAAGGGCCTTCCTGCATTATTTTATCAAATCCAACAAGCCACTGGGCTAGCCACTGTCCTCACTCCCCCACTTTACAGATGGGGAAATTAAGGGTCCAAGACGTCAAGTAATTTGCCAAGGGTCTCAGAGCTGGGAAGCAGTGGTCCTTGGATCCTAAGCCCGGGCTCTCCCAAATGCAGCCCAACCCCCCGCCCCAACCACAGTGAGACAGAGCCATTCTCCATGTGGGAGTGGCCCAGAACAGTCCCCTGGGGAACCAGGGGGGTCAGTAGAGGCAAAAGGGAACAGGAGGAGAGTGGGTGCCATTGTTCTCTTCCCACATACATCCCCAATGCCACACCTGGGTGAGTTCCAGGGCTGGTCTGTTTCTCTTTCAGGCCTTGGCTCAACCACCACTCCCTCTGGGAAGCCCTCCCACCCACCCCGGCAGAGTCAGGCACCCCCCAGCCCCACTCGTGCTCCCCTACCCCAGCTTTGGCCACTCTGCTTTGTTGTGTGTTCCTTGGGGACGGGGCCCAGGGCCCCATAGGGGTAAGTGATGAATGAATGAATGAATGAATGAATGCATGCAGGCATGAACGGAGAGGCCTGTCAGGACTCTAACACTAGCACAGGAAGAGCATAGTGGTGAAAAGGTGGGACTCTGGAGTCACAAAGACCTGGGTTCAAATCCTGCTTCTACCACTTGTAAGCTGTGTGCCCTTGGGCAAGTTACTTAATCTCTCTGAGCCTTGGTGTCCTTGTCTATAAAATGGACGTAATAGTACTGCAGTACTTAGTTCATAGAACTGTGAGGATTAATTTATGCAAAACCCTTAACATGACACCCTCTACAGAGAGGGACTTAATAAATGGCAGCTCATTATCATCAGTCATTATCATCACTATTGCTTGAAAAGTCCTAGAGACCATCTCTTCCAATCCTTTCATTATAGATGTGGTGACTGAGGTACAGAGAAGTCAAGGAACTGGCCTAAGGTCACACAGCAAGTCAGTGGCAGAACTGGGACTAGAACCCATTGCCTGGATTATCGGGCCACTGCTCTCTCTGCCACTCCTGTGGACTTGGGGGAAAGTATGAGGGGTGAAGGGAGGATGGAGGGGAGAATAAGACATAATCACTGATGCCAGGTCCCCTGCTGCCTGGAGGCCACCTATCAGGACCCTTCAGGAACTTCTTAAATCAAGGAGGGTGGCTTCAGGCAGCAGCACCTGAAGCAACAGATGTGACGGCAGGACACCCAGAAAAATCCTCTTCCCTGGTCTGTCCCTATAACCCACTGCTAAGTTCAGGGCAGGCCAGATCTTGTCAAGTACACACTCCCCTGAGGGCAAGAAGCTGCAGCCACAGCTGCCTGGGCCAGTTTTCCAGGTGCCATTCCTTACCCGCATCCTGGGTCCTAATGGGCCGGCAGTGGGGACAGGAGACTGTGCCATTGCCTTTTGGGACCGCCTTAGGGGACAGAACATGGTATTCGTGGCCTGGGGAAAGAAACCAGAACTGTCAGTATCAGCCCTGTGGATGGATGCAAAATAGAGGAAGATTCTGGAATAATGATCTCCTCTTCCTCCAAATGGTTTTAATAGTCTCTGTCTCTCTCTCACGTGTGCACACGGTGAGTGTGCATACACACATCATGTGTAAAATATGTACATATTTAAGTATGACACACATACACACATATACGTCACCGAACATCTTTGTGTCTGTTTATTGTAAGCTTTCTCCAGACTCCTATTCTGTTTCATCTCAGATCCTAGAACCAGCTGACATCCAGTAGCAACCAACACACCCAGGCTAAGTCAGGATTTGAAAGCAGGCCAGGAAGAAATGATAAGCAAAGCAACAATAAGAAATGAACAAGTGATGCTATTCCCCACACCCCGACTTGCTGGTTTGGTTCTGAATGGCTCGGGCACAGGGTCAGTGGTGTTTTCTCCCCATGCTCTGAGCGGCTGTAACATGGGGATAAACATAGCGCCCATTTCACAGGCTTGTTGGGAGAACTGAACGGGGCCGTATCCGTGTCGTGCTCCGCCCAGTGCCTGGCAGATGGAAAGCAGTTGATGTTATGAGAAAGCTGGGCGGACTGTGGCCTCCTCACCCAGCCCCACCACCTCCTGCCTTACCCACCCCTGAGTTTCAAATAAGGCCTTCTGGGTGACACCTGAAGCCACTGTGGAGCGGTCTCATCATCTCATTTCCCTCCTGTGCTGTTCTGGCTTTGTGTATGTGGAGCTGAACGTAATTGCTCTTATTTTCCCGACGCGACAGATGAGGAATCTGAGGGTCAGAGAGGCTCAGAGCCATTTTCTGTGAGACTGACTTCAGAGTCTTTGGTTTTGACTTCTATACTCTCTTCCTCTCATTGTGTTGGAAGCATTTCTCCAGGTTAAGCTCACTATTAAGGGTTAAGATCACCTTTAAAGGCTACAGAAAACCTCATCCAATGATATCATCTCTTTCCTTTTGCTAGTAAGTCCACAGAGAGATTGTCCGGTGAGCTTGGAGGTGTTCCTGCTACTGTCGTTTCTAACTCCTTGGCCTCTGTCCACTCCCTCGTTATGGTCCATGGAGCAGAATGTGCCTCTGGCCTCTTGCCTTGTCCCCAGAATCTGAGGTCAGCAGCCCTCCCTCTTCTGCAAGGTGTCTGTGAGAGATGATGCCTTTACTATAATTACCTATTGGTTATCATCTTCTCTGCTACAGTCAGATTCATGAAGGTGAGAACCATATCCATATATATATATATATATATATATTTATGTATTTTTGAGACGGAGTCTCACTGTCACCCAGGCTGGAGTGCAATGGCATGATCTTGGCTCACTGCAACCTCTGCCTCCTGGGTTCAAGAGATTCTTGTGCCTCAGCCTCCCAAATAGCTGGGATTACAGGCACCCGCCACCACACCCAGCTAATTTTTTTTGCATGTTTAGTAGAAACGGGGTTTTGTCACATTGGCCAGGCTGGTCTTGAACTACTGATCTCAGGTGATTCTCCCACCTCGGCCTCCCAAAGTGCTGGGATTAGAGGTGTGAGCCACCACACCCAACCCATATTTTTGTGTTAATGTTATAAGCACTTGAAATGCTACCATGTGTCATCTCAAGTCTTTACTCTGTGCCAGGTCCTGTTTCCTGAGACACAGGGGCCCTCTGGAAATGAGAACCTGAAGGAAGCCAGGTGCAAATGGGACATCCAATTCAGTGTCCACCCTGTATGCTCCGAGCCGGAAAAGCACAGGTGATCAGAACTTCTTTAGGATTGACCAGCTGAACAGACTTCCCAGAACCAAGCATGGGCCCTGGCAAAGGGGAAGCATCAGAAAGTGTTTGCTGAATGAATGAATGAATGAATGAATGAACAAGTGCACCGAGATTCATGGAGGCAATGCTCCCTGCTGGTTTTCATATCACAGAACTGATAGAAAATGATATTTGAATGGCCCACTGGGTATATGGAAAGGGCTTCTCATAACAGAGGAGCCCCCGCTGACACCAGGAGCTGCACCCATCCCGGCCCTCCCTCCTGACCTACCTGTGTATTGGCCCCGGAAGGTGACCCTGTCTGGCCATCCAGCACTGCCCACCCCTCTCTTTCCATCCCGAGCTGCCTGTGGACTGTCCTTGGTGGTCTTGCTCTTCTCAGAGAACAGTGGTAGGGAGGGCAGCTCAGATTCTGAACCTGGGGTAGAAAAAGTGGGGCATCAGAGGGGGCAAGGGGTGGGGGTCACATTTCTCAAGGAGTGGGTATGCCATGAGTTTAGGCTCTGGGGTGGATGCCTGGGTTTTAATCCCCAGTCTCCCCCTTAGGAGTAACAGCTGGCATTTCCAGAACCCTGCCCCCGTGCCAAGCGCTAGTCTAGACGCTCTGTGTGTGCCGTGTTGGGCACCTTCACAGCAATCCCACGATGTGGACACTGTTATAACTACATGGTGAGCTGTCCCTTTAACTGCTCAGAGCAGGTAAACAACTCGGCCAAGGACAAGTGGAGGGGAGCTCGCTGATCCCGGCTACTGACTCCAGAGCCCTGATCCTTTAGCACATCCCCTGCGCTCATTGGGCTTCAGCGCCCTTATCTGTGAAATGTGGATAATATGACCATCTTGCAGTGGAGGTTAAGCAAGACAGCAGCTACAAAGCCCTTACAGACACCCTACACGCAGTAGGTGTGCAGGACTTTAGAAGTGCTCTGTGCTTCACAGCACTATAATATCCTAAAACAGATGCACAAAAACCCTTCTCCAAGTTTCCTTGAATACTGTTGCTGTGGTCCCTGACCACTGAGCCAACATGCTCAGACTGTGGCCTCTGGAAATCAGCCTTTGCAGGTGGTCACTTACTCAGGGACAGTCGGAGCACCTCCCGAGGCACTGAGGAAGACCTGGCTCGCTGCCTTCCTGGAGGGACAATCTGCTCTTCACCTCTAGGCTCACCAGGCAATCTCTCTGTGGATTTACTAGCAAAAGGAAAGAGAGATGATGTCATTGGATGAGGTTTTGTGTGGCCTTTAAAGGTTATTTGTGAGAAGTTCAACCTGGAGAAATGCTTCTAACACGATGGAAGGAAGAGAGTATAGAAGTCAAAGCCAGACTCTGAAGTCAGTTTCACAGAAAATGGCTCTGCGCCTCTCTGATCCTCAGTTTCCTCATCTGTCAAGTGGGGATAATAACAGCAATTACCTCAGAGGGTTATAAAAAGATTAATGAGAAAATGTTCATAAAACCCTTCATCAAGTGCCCTCCCATAGACTCAAAAGAAGCCAGCTGATTTTATGTCATTGTCATAAATGAACAAACACCGAATTAATGGGTGAGAGTGAAGGCATGCTGGCAATGTTCTAACTCTTTGGTTGGGTGGTGGGTCTAGGGATATTCATTGTATTATTCTTTATTATTATTATTATTATTTTGAGACAGAGCCTCTCTCTGTTGCCCAGGCTGGAGTGCAGTGGCACAATCTCAGCTCACTGCAACCTCCGCCTCCTGGGTTCAAGCAATTCTCCTGCCTCAGCCTCCTGAGTAGCTGGGATTACAGGCGCACACCACCACGCCCAGCTAATTTTTGTGTTTTTAGTAGAGACAGGGTTTCACCATGTTGGTCAGGCTGGTTTCGAACTCCTGAACTCGTCATCTTCCCGCCTCGGCCTCCCAAAGTGCTGGATTACAGGCATGAGCCACTGCGCCCGGCCTATTCTTTATTATTAACATAGAGGTTTATATATTCTTTTGTGCATCAAATACTGCACAGTGAACAAGCTCAACAGTGAATGAATGAATGAGTGAGAGAGGGATGTGGCAGTGCCTGAGTCCATATGTCTGGGGAGAGCCAGAGGCCAGCCAAGACTATCTTCTGTAGCTGCCACCAGGACAGAGGTGGGAGTTTTGAGGTCACCCACCTGCCATAATGGGAGCCCCAGGTGGCTGGGGAGTCTGCTGGCCGGCCGCGGGTCCGGGCGGGGCGGTCAAAGGCAGATGCTGGGCGTGTCGGGCTGCCCTGGAGTGGCTGGTGCAGGCTGTCTTCCAGCCGCAGACGAAGCCGGGACACCTCTTCTTGCAGCTCACAGATGGCCTGGCTGGGGTTGGAGTGGAGACAGAAACAAAGAACAGAGGCATGAGGAACAGAGCTGCAGCCACCCGAGTATGCCAGGATGCGGCAGCCTTTGTCCCTTCACAGCAGGCACAGGGTCTATCTCTGCTGTCAAACGATTCTAGAACTTTCCTGTGCGACACTTTTCTTGCTACACAACTTGACACCTTTCTGAGTTCATGTCCCTGTGCAGTGAACAAAACAGAACTTTTCTTTGAAGTTTTCTCTTCCTAACACATGGGGTCTGAGTGGCTGTTCAGGAACACCAGTGACAAATTCTCGAGATGGAGACAAGGATGCAGCATAGAGAGGGCCCTAGCTACAGTTCTGCCATAAAATACCAACCTTCACTCTCTGTCCAGGCCCAGCTCCTCTCCCTACCACTGTGCAAGCCCATCTCTCCAGACCTGGCAGAAGATGCTTGTCCACCATCTCCCCACACAGACAGTGAGCCGCCAGCAGACAAGAAAGAAGCGGGCTTCCTGTCTTATAACCCCTGAGGCCCTGCACCTTGTGGATGCTCAGGAAACAGTACTGCAGTGGATCTGGGCTCTGAGACGGAGCAGAATAAAGCGCTGTGAGTGGAGAGCGGACAGGGAGACACCTCGATGCTTCCTAGCACCACCTGAACCGGGAGGGCTGACTAAGAGCAGGCTGGAAGCTGTCTGCAAGACTATAGTAAATCCTGGTGAAACCCCCAACATGGTCCAACCTCCAGCCACCAGCACTGAGGGAGTAAATCCTGTCTGTGTTTCTCTCCAATCAGTCCCTGCATCTTCAGGGTCTTGTTTTGTGGGCATTGCTGACACCGCAGCAGACAATCCTACCCAGATACCCCTCCCCACAAGACCCCCTCAACCACGGAGCAGCGTTAGAGCCAGGCTCAGCAAAGCCACCCTCCAGGCGGATGCAGGCTCCACATCTACTTGGTCTGGCTTCTGGGGTGGGAATTCCCACTGGGGCCGTTCTTGCCTGGTGGCCCCTGGACTCCTGGGTGAGTATCCCCTGGTGCCGCCTCCAGCAGACATGAGCGCTCAGATGACTGTGTCAGAAGGAGTGGAGGCCTCTTCCTGGCTGTGCCCCAGCGCTGAGTGTGTGTGTCTGAGGGCAGTGGGTTCCCTTGGTAATCCCCAGGGAGACGCTTGCTGGTGTTTCTGAGGCAAAGCCACGAGGGCAAGTGTGGGCGGTGGCTACTGGAGAGTGACATCTCCCCACCCCCAGTTAACTCCTGAAATGGAGAGCTCCGCCTCCTAGTCAGAAGGCACTAAAAAAAAAGACTTACCAGGCCGGGGGCGTGAGTCAGCCACTTGGGTATCTCAGTCTCTCTGATGTAACTCTTTAGTTTCTTACTGAGTGCCAGCAGGCACTTAACATTCATCTTTCTCTGCAAACTTACTTCCCTGTCTCTGCACATGGCAGCAGCATCTACCTGACTAGCCAGACAGAACTCTGAGTCACTCTAGATCCCCTCCTTCCCTGAACATCCCTGAAGTTAATTAGTTACCAAGTCTCATGGGCCCAACTTCCAAAATACCTCTTCCCAAATGAATCCCTTCTTCCCCTCTGTAGGGGCCCTCCCCGAGAACCCAGTCCCCATCATCTCTCTCCTGGATGTGGCAGCCTTCTCAGCAGTCTCTTGGTCTCCGTTCTCACCCTGCCGGTGGCCAGAGAACTCTAAAACATAAACCTGCCTACGCTACGTCCCTGCTTAAAATCCCCTTCCCTGTCCTCTCAGCCTTTGTGCACTCATGGAATATGCAGTGAATGTCTCCCCTTACCCATGGCCTTCAGGCCCTGTAGGATCTCCCATAGGTCTCTCCTCTCTACCCCTCTCTTCCTTTACTGCTCAACACTCCACCCCCTCACACTAGAGGATCTGGCTGACCGTTTAGCTCCTCCAAGGTGATGGGCACTCTCTCACCTTTAGGACTTTGCACATGCCATTCCCTCCACTGAAGATACTCTTCTATCTCTCTTCCTTCTGATGTCTGCTGAGATACCACTTCCTCCAGGAAGCCCTCCCTGAAGCCTCTAACCGGACCAGATGCTCCTTCGCTGTGCTCCCACAGTCCTTTAGTCCTCTGCCATCATGGTATTTATCACAATGGAGGGCACTACTGCCTGTTTCTTTGTCTGTTCATCCTACAAGATGGTAAGCTTTAAGAGGCCTAGGATAGAGTCTTGTCCACTATTGTATTCCCAAGGCCTGGCATACCCTAGACAAACAAGCCTCTAATTCCTCCACTGATGTCAGGGGAGGCTGCAGGGGTAGACTTACTAAACTCAGACAAGGAAGCCAAACACCAGCAGCTGGACACAACTTTGCACGTAGGCAACATGACAGCCTCATGCCTGTTCGAGCCAAAGAAACCTTGGCTGGGCCACCACCGAGCAGTCTCCCCAGCGCATCCCGGGACAGACACCCACTCCAGCAAGGGTGTGTAAGTGATCACTGGCCAAAAGCAACTAAGAGGAGGTGTGAGAGAACTGACCAAGCGATTTTACCATTTCTGTTCAACCAAGGAAGTGGAACTTTCTTAGTAGAAAAAATGCACACGAACCAAAAAAAGAAAAGAAAAACTCAGAAGGCAGTAGCTTCTTGGTCCATACAATCAATGGTCAAATTGCAGAAAAGATAGCCCTAGAAAGGACAGGCTTTTCTCGGAAAAGAGATGATGGAGAGAGAGGGCATAAGTGTCAGCACCAGAAAGGTGAATCTTTAGGTCATATTCCACTGGCTGGAGAAGTGTGTCCTCGATGTCTAGATCAATGAGGTCCCACAGAAACGCTGGGAACTGGGAGGCAGGACACCTGGGTCCGTCTGCTCCTACCACCACCATCTGTGTGAGCTGGGCAGGTCTCCACCTCCACCTGCTAACACGTCGCATCACGCTCCCGTCTGTATGATGAGCTTGAATCCCCAGGATCCAAGTGTCTAACTTACTCTCGCCCTGCCCTGGTGAGCAGGAAGCTGGGGATGGTCTCTGTTGGTCCACAGGGTAGAGGCGCAGCGGCAGGGGCGGGGGCTGGGGGTGGGCTGATTGTCTTGTTGGGAAGGGGCTGTTCAGAAATCCGTTTGTGCCCCTCAAACTCTGAGCCAGGAACCGCTAGGGAGGCAGAGAGAGAACCCAAAGTGAGTTTAAGCAGAGAGAACTTCCAAGCTCACACTTGTGCAGGTGGAATGATGGGGGAAGTGAAGAGACGGTGCCTAGTTCAAGGTCACAAAGGAAGTTCCTGATGAGGCCAATGACCCACACTGACCTCCAAACCAGAAGATCTAGATTTTGCTGGGAGTGTGGGGTGCTGAGCTGGGCCTGCCCCGCTGTTTCTAACCAGAACCCCTCCTCCCACCCACCATGACACCATCCGAGTCTTCAGGAACTTCCCCTGCAAAGAATTAATCACTTCTTCACTTGGGTTCCTCAAGACTTGATCACCTTCTCACCATGTTTTTGTGGGGCTGGCTTCAGAGCCTCCTCTGAAATTATAGTCACCTCTTTCCACGTATGCATGTTTCTGGGGAGAGCATTAATAACTTTTAACGAATCTCCCAAAGGGATGGGTGACCAAAGGTTAAAAACCACTAATCCGTCCCCTGCATTAAAAGCAATGAACTGGCCAGACATGGTGGCTCACGCCTGTAATCCCAGCACTCTGGGAGGCTGAGACGGGAGGATTGCTTGCGCCCAGAAGTTTGAGTCTAGCCTAGGTAATATAGAAAGACCCCATCTTTGCAAAAAAAAAAAAAAATTATATATATAAAAAAATTAGCTGGATGTGGAAGTATGCCCCTTTGGTCCCAGCTACTTGGGAGGCTGAAGCAGGAGGATCGCTTGGGCCAGGGAGGACAAGGCTGCAGTGAGCCATAATGGCGACACTGCACTGCAGCCTGGGTGACAGAGCAAGACCCTGTCTCAAAAACAATAAAGAAATAAATAAAAAATAAAAGCAATGAAACCCTTGGAATACTACTCAGCAATATATAAAGGAGCTAACTATTAATACACAGAATAATCTAGATAAATCTCCAGAGAATTATGCTGAGTGAAAAGCCAATCCCAAAAGGTTACATAGTATATGATTCTATTTATAGAACATTCTTGAAATGATAAAATTATAGAAATGGAGAACAGATTAGTGCTTACCAGGGGTTAAGGACAGGCTGGGGGCAGGAGGGAAGTGGGTGTGCCTATGAAAGGGTAGCATGAGGCTCCTTGTGGTGATGGAACGTTCTGTATCTTGACTGCATCAATGTCAACATCTGGCTGTGACATTGTACTACAGTTTTGCAAGATAGTCTCACTGGGGAAAACTGAGTAAAGGCACATGGGATCTCTGTGTATTATTTCTTATAACTGCATGTGAATCTACAATTATCTCCAAATAAAAAGTTTAATTAAAGGCCGGGCGTGGCGGCTCACACCTATAATCCCAGCACTTTGGGAGGCTGAGGCGGGCGGATCACTTGAGGTCAGGAGTTTGAGACTAGCCTGGCCAACATGGTGAAACCCATTTCTACTAAAAATACAAAAATTAGCTGGACGCAGTGGTGCATACCTGTAGTCCCAGCTACTCGCGAGGCTGAGGCTGGAGAATCACTTGAACCTGAGTGGTGGAGGTTGCAGTGAGCTGAGATCGTACCACTACATACCAGCCTGGGGGACAGAGTGAGACTCCATCTCAAAAAAAAAAAGTTTAATTAAAAACGTTTTTAAAATAATGAACCAGCTGGGCGTGGTGGCTCATGCCGGTAATCCCAGCACTTTGGGAGGCCGAGGCGGGCGGGTCACAAGGTCAGGAGTTCGAGACCAGCCTGACCAACATGGTGAAACCCCATATCCACTAAAAATACAAAAATTAGCCAGGCGTGGTGGCGCGTGCCTATAATCCCAGCTTCTCAGGAGGCTGAGGCAGGAGAATCTCTTGAACCCGGGAGGTGGATGTTGCAGTGAGCAGAGAGTGCACCATTGCACTCCAGCCTGGACAACAGAGCGAGACTCCATCTCAAAAAAAAAAAAAGATGAACCTTTTAGGCAAAGCTAATCTGAGGTGTCAGAAGTCAGAACAGTGGTTATGTTTGGGAAGCAGGTAGTGACTAAATGGGACTTCAGTGAGGTTCTGGGGTTCAGATCATACTGAGTTTCTTGGTGTCTGTTCACCTTGTAAAAACTCATCAATTTAAGTTCTTTTTGGTGGTTTTTAATTTCAATAAATAATTCATGTGTATTTCTAAAGGTCAAAAACTGAATCACATATAGATTTCATAGACATGGAAAGTGTTTATAGTACAATTTAGTGAAAAAAGGAGGTCGCCAAATATTCACATATAAAATGATCTTATTTTTTGTTTTTTTTTTTTATGTTTTTTGAGATGGAGTTTTGCTCTTTCGCCCAGGCTGAAGTGAAGTGGCGCAATCTCAGCTCACTGCAACCTCCGCCCCCGGGTTTAAGCCATTCTCCTGCCTCAGCCTCCTGAGTAGCTGGGATTTTAGGTGCCAGCCACCACGTCTGGCTAATTTTTGTATTTTTAGTGGAGATGGGGTTTTGCCATGTTGGCCAGGCTGGTCTTGAGCTTCTGACCTCAGGTGATCCACCCGCCTCAGCCTCCCAAAGTGTTAGGATTACAGGCGTGAGCCACCGTGCCCAGCCTCATTTCTGTTTTAAGTATAGTCACGCATCACTTAATATTGGGTATAAGCTCCCAGAAACACATTGTTATTCTGTTTCACCATGTCACAAACATCATAGATTACCCACACCTATTACATATGTGAGGTAGATGGAATAGCCCATTATTGTAGGCTACAAACCTCTACAACATTGCCTGCTGAATACTGTAGGTATCTGTAACACAATGGTAAGTATTTGTGTATCTAAACATAGAAAACAGACCATAAAAATATGGTATAAAAGATTTTAAAAATGGTACACCTGTAAAGGGTCCTTACCATGAATGGAGCTCGCAGGACTGGAAGTTGCTCTGGGTGAGTCAGTGAGTGAGTGGTGAGTGAATGTGAAGGCCTAGGACATTACTGTACACTGCTGTAGACTTTATAAACACCATACACTTAGGCTAAATTTACAACATTTATACAAAAGTTTTTTCTTCAATAATTAATCAAGTTTAACTTACAGTAACATTTTTACTTTATAAGCTTTTTAAATGGTTTTTAACCTTTTGACTCTTTTGTAATAACATTTAACTTAAAAATACATTGTAAAGTAAAAAATATTTTCTTTCTTGATATCCTTATAAGCTTTTTTCTATTTTTAACTTTTTTTTAAAAAACTTTAAAAACTTTTCTGTTAGAAACTAAGACAAACACACACACATCACAGACACACACACACATTAGCCTAGGCCTGTATAGGGTCAGGGTCATCAATATCCCTGTCTTCTACCTCCACATCTTGTTCTTCTGGGGCAATAATAGCACTGTCATCTGTGATAACAACACCTTCTTCTGGAATACCTCTCGAAGGACTACCTGAGGCTATTTAATAGTTAACATTTTTAGGCTGGGCGCGGTGGCTCACGCCTGTAATCCCAGCACTTTGGGAGGCTGAGGAGGGCGGATCACGAGGTCAGGAGATCGAGACCATCTTGGCTAACACGGTGAAACCCCGTCTCTACTAAAAATACAAAAAATTAGCCAGGCATGGTGGTGGGCGCCTGTAGTCCCAGCTACTTGGGAGGCTGAGGCAGGAGAATGGCGTGAACCTGGGAGGCAGAGCTTGCAGTGAGCCGAGATTGTGCCACTGCAGTCTGGCCTGGGTGAAAGAGCGAGACTCTGTCTCAAAAAAAAAAAAAAAAAATAGTTAACATTTTTAAAATAAGTAGAAGAAATACACTCTAAAATAATGATAAAAAGTATAGTAAATACATAAACCAGTAACAGAGTCATTAGTTATCAAGTATTAGGTACTGTACATAATCGTAGGTGCTATACGGTACTTTTTTTTTTTTTTTTTGAGACAGAGTCTTGCTCTGTCACCCAGGCTGGTGTGCAGTGGTGCGATCTTGGCTCACTGAAACCTCTGCCTCCGCCTCCTGGGTTCAAGCAATTCTCATGCCTCAGCCTCCTGAGTAGCTGGGATTACAGTCGTAAGCCACCACACCTGGCTAATTTTTGTATTTTTAATAGAGATGGGGTTTTGTCATGTTGGCCACAGGTGATCCTGGCCTTAAGTGATCCTCCCACCTTGGCCTCCCAAAGTGCTGAGATTACAGGCATGAGCCACCATGCCCGGCCTGTACTGTACTTTTTTTTTTTTTTTTGATACAGAGTCTTGCTCTGTCACCCAGGCTGGAGTGCAATGGCACGATTGCAGCTCACTGCAACTTCCACCTCCCGGGTTCAAGCAATTCTCCTGCCTCAGCCTCCCAAGTAGCTAGGATTACAGGCACCTGCCACCATGCCTGGCTAATTTTTTGTATTTTTAGTAGAGACGGGGTTTCACCACGTTGGCCAGGCTCGTCTCGAACTCCTGACCTCAGGTGATCCACCCGCCTCGGCCTCCCAAAGTGCTGGGATTACAGGCACGAGCCGCTGCACCCGGCTGGGACTGTACTTTCATGTGACCGGCAGCGCAGTAGGTTTGTTTCCACCAGCATCACCACAAACATGTGAGTGAAGTGTTGCTCTGCAATGACTGCAACATCGCAACCAAAGGAATTTTCAGCTCCATGAAAATCTTATGGGACCACCGCCGTGCACGCTGTCTGTCGTTGAACAAAACGTTGCTATGCAGTGCATGACAGTATGTGTAAACAAACACACATTTATATCGGCACAGAGAACAGCTCACAGGTTCTACACCAAAACGTCAGCACTGATGGTTTCCAGAGTATTTTTTTTTCTTTTGTTCCCTTTTGTCCACGTTATCTGTAATTTCAAATTTCAGTACAATGAACCTGGCTAATATGTCATATCCTAAAGGGTTCTGCAAGTTTTTCTATTTGATTTTTCAACCCATGCAGTTCTGTCCAAGTCAGACTCCTGCACTCACCCATCTCGGCTGCCAGTGTCCGCTCCAGGCTGAAGTTGGGTGCCCTCTGCCGGAGAGGCCCACTTGGGCTGGAGAGGTACCTCTGTGCTTGGCTCCGGGGTGTGCTGGGCTCTGTGGCTCTTCTGGGAATCAGAGAACCCCTGGCCTTGGGGTAGGAAGCTCCATCCCTGGGCACAGATGCAGCAAAGGGCTGGGCTAATGTTCCTGCTGTGCTGGGGGACCGTGGAGGAAGGGACACACAGGGGTCACACAGAGTGAGACACTCAGGCGGCAGCATCTGAGCCCCTCCACATGCTAACCCAATAAGCTCCCACCCTTTGTAACTTTGCATCTCGGGTGGTACAATATTTCCAAGGACACACACACATTAGATGCCCAATTCTTTGTAAACTGTTCACTGGCCAACCCAATATGCAAAATAATAAAGCTCAGTTTATGTGTAGAATACATAAAAGAGAAATAGGATTTCTAATCCTTCCTTTGCATGCACCCTTGGGTTGCCATGTGGGCCTCCTGAAGGGCCTGCACCCAGCTTTGGAGGCTCCATCCCTCCACTCTTCACCCCTGTCCCCTCCGCCTTCTCCCTTCCCTTTGGGTTCCATGTAGCCACCCTGAGTGCCCTTTGCCCTTGTCTTCTGTTCACCTCACAGTGCCCTCCCTGTAGTTTTTATTCATTCATCCATTCATTTGCTCAACAAAAATGAATTTCCCAGTCTGTCGCTAATTAGCTATGTGAGGCTGGACTAGTTACTCCCCTCTCTGAAGCTCTGTTTCCTCTGTCCATAACACAGGAACAAGAAATCACGGTTAGGGGATGAAATGAGGGCCTACGAATGGACAGACCATCCTCTCTTATTCTGGGCCATCACAGGCACTGTGATTCCCAGGCTGTCCCAGGAATGTGGCACTGACGGGACAATGGCGGGATCCCGGGATACCTGATGTGGGAGAGCCGGTGCTCTGGAGTCTGGGTGAGGGGTGAAACTCTGCTTGTTTCTGAGCCCACAAAGCCACTGTCTGTCTCTGGGGACGCCATCCAGGTCTCCTGAAAGAGGCAGTATCCCTTTATGTCTGAGGAATGTGTCCAAGGCACACTGGGAAGCCCTTCCCAAATCGTGGCCTGGCCTCACCTCCCAGAGGCTCACACCCCAGGGTTGCTGGCCCAGCTCCCAACAGCCAGGCCCAGGAGTGAGGGCTCTCAGGCTCTCAGGCCTCAGCACAAGAATCTGGCTACCAGCAGGGACTCTGCACCCCAGGAGGACCCTCAGCAAGTGCTGCCTCCCTGAGGGGTGGCAGCCAGAGCCCTTGGGAGAGACAAGGCCATGGACAAGGACTAGCAAGGGGAGAGGGAGAAAGCCTTATTTCCAGTGTCTCCTGGCTTAGGCCTGGAATACTATGGTCTTATCTGACAGTGGAAATGCTCAGGCCCAAGGCATTGGAAAAACGAGACCATCAAATATGTACAGGTCCTACCCGCTGGGTTTAACACACGGCACAGAGAACACAAACAGAGCAACACAGGTGCCTGCCCTCGCTGAGTTCATGTCTAGTGCAGAGAATCCTGACCATGGGCTCGTTAGGACTACAGAAGTGTGTGTGTGTGTGTGTGTGTTTGTGCATAAGTGCACATGCATGCATATATATGCATTATTCTATGACAGTCACATTTCCATAGTGGCCTGTGACTTTGCAGCAGTGATGTCTACTCTAAAGAGCATAGAACTAGTCTCTCCAGCTGTGATGGGCAGGCTCAGAGAAGTATAAGCAATGGGTTGCAAGCTCTCAGAGGAGGAACAAGAGCTCCGGAAGAGGGACAGGTTTGGGGGGTGACACTGAGCATAAGTCCTGCATGTCAGGTGGGATTGTGGCTGGCAGGGACAGGAGCAGCAAGTATTCCAAGAAGGAATAGCACAAGGAAAGACCCAGAAGCAGAAAGTTGAGAAGACCCAGGAATGACCCTGAGGTTCTGGGCCCATTCCCCCATGTGGAGACTTACCTCCAGGTGGGGCCCACCGCCTCGGTGCAAAGGCTTCTGTGGAAGGCGCTCAGAGATGCCGCTTCCCTCCAGGCTGGTCATACTACTTTGGTGGGATGCTGCGGACTTGGTGCCTGGAGGGTGGGGTGGCACGCCAGGGCCTGGAGGGGCTGCCTCAGCCTTGCCCAGGCCTGACATGTGCCCGTCTCTAGCCAGGGATGCCTGGAAACCTGGTGGCTTCATAGATACCATCTTCTCCGTGGCCTCCCTGGCATGGGAAGAGAAGACCATCCTTGAGTTCTGCCAGGCAGCCCTGACGCAGGGGTTGGCCTGTCCTGGGAGCCAAGCAGCCCAGGGCACAAGCTCTGGAGTCAGACATCCCTGGCTGCCCAGCCTGGTTCTGCCACCTTCTAGCTGTGTGACCTAGGGCAAGGCACTTCCCCTCTCTCAACCTCACTTTTCTCAACTATAAAATATGGATGCCAACAAAACCCACCCAACACCAAAGAGGAAATGTTAAAGCAGCATTTCCCAGACTTAAGGAGTTTGCATACCACCTTCCCTATTTCAGTCATTTCCATAAACTTCCATCTACTCCAAAGATTTTAGATCACTATTCAAAACAGAAGATCAGTGTGTCATGTGACAAACAGAAACTAACTTTGAGGATAAATATAAGAAACCTGAATATTATCATATACTAGATAGATCCACTTGCCTGCTAAATGCTCTAGGCCTTGTGTGCTCTCATACTGTCTCTCTCTCTCTTTTTCCACAGAAGTTCAAGAGAGGCATTAAAGACACCACAGCTCTCAGTAAACTATCACAAGGACAAAAAACCAAACACCGCATGTTCTTACTCATAGGTGGCAATTGAACAATGAAAACAAATGGACACAGGAAGGGGAACATCACACACCGGGGGCTGTTGTGGGGTGGGGGGAGGGATAGCATTAGGAGATATACCTAATGTTAAATGACGAGTTAATGGGTGCAGCACACCAACATGGCACATGTATACATATGTAACAAACCTGCACGTTGTGCACGTGTACCCTAAAACTTAAAGTACAAAAAAAGAAAAATAAAAAAGACACCACAGCACTAACTGAGACTTTCTCCTTGGCATCATTAGAAGGTCAGAGACAGAAAAAGAGAATGATATTCTTTTTTCTTTTTTTTTTTTTGAGACAGGGTCTCACACTATCACCCAGGCTGGAGTGCAGTGGCCCGATCTCAGCTCACTGCAACCTCCGCCTCCTGGGCTCAAGAGATTCACCTGCTTCAGCCTCCCAAATAGCTAGGGCTATAGGCGTGTACCACCATGCCTGGCTAATTTTTGTATTTCTTGTTGAGATGGGGCTTTGCCGTTTTGCTCAGGCTAGTCTTGAACTCCTGGACTCAAGTGATCCACCTGCCTTGGCCTCCCTCAATGCTGGGATTACAGGCATGAGCCACTGTGCCCAGCTGAGAATAATGTTCTTTAATACTGCATGTGTCCTACTGAAAATCATGTCCCACACTACCCAAAATCATTTCAAGGGCTATCAGTGGTATACATTCCACACTTGAAGAGGCAGGACAGGTAAGCCATGTCTAAACTGTGAAGCGCTGTCTTATTCACTCTGACAGTGATCATCCCTGTGGTTTTAGGGTGGAAACAAACATTCTGCAGGAAAGGCTCAGTGACTTACTCCAGGGGAGCCCCATGACTTTTCTCAGCCTGCACCGGGCACTGCCTTGGGAGGACCCTGGTGGCCTCTGCTTTCCCTGGAGTTGCAGCCACCCCATCAACTTCCAGGGAGTCACCTCCCCCCTCTTCCTCCTCCTCCTCCTCTCCTTCTTCCTCCTCCTCCATTCTCATGGCTTCTGGGAGAGACTTCACACTGAGGTACCTGCAGAAGAACACACAGAGGGGCATGACCTCTGCCCAGTGGGGGACAGCCAAGATCCAGCTGCTGGCCAGACACCCTGGTCAGGTCCAGGTGGCACTCACCGCTCCATGAGGCCATGGTAAACTTGCTCCATCTGCAGCTCCTTGTGCCTGAGTCGGGCCAGGGGGTCCTGTGGCCTGTCCTCCACCTCACTGTTGCCAGAGCTCACCTCCACATTTACGTGCAATGGGCAGGGGCCAGTGCTGGCGGCGGCAGTGGTGGTAGCAGGCTGGGGTCAGAAAGATGGACAGACAGAGATTCAGCAGATAGTTAAACACCACTTTTAAGCACTTACCTCCTGCCAGGCTCGAGCTGTGGGCTGCGGGGTAAGAAGCACATTAGACTCACTAAGCCCACCACCCTTTTATGTATGTGTAAACTATGGAGACTGGGCTGTGTGGTCTTCGATACTGGCTGCCATGAATTGAGCACCTGCTGTGTGCCAGGCACCATACAGATACCATGTCACAACAATCCCACCAGTACCTACGATTATTACAAACCATTTTATAGACAGGTAACTCACGCTCAAATGATTTGCCCAAAGTCAACAGAAACAAGGAGCAGAGTTGAGATTTAAACCTAGATTTCCTGCCAGAGTTAACTCTCCTGACCCCCATCCATTCCAGCATGGCCACCCCAGCCCCCTGCAATACCTTCAACTGCAGGAGCATGAGGGTCCCTTAAGATATTGTACTCAGGTTTTCTCCCCATTCAAGTGTGTAGTGGCACCTGGTAGAGTTTTCCTACCCTCTAGGCCAGAGCACAGCACAAGATTTTCCCCAAACCATAGGGCCAGCATGACCTCAGCTGTCAGGGATGTCCTACCAGTGTCCCACCCTACCCAGCATGCCAGGCTCTCTTTCCTGCTCCCATCCTCAACAGACAAGTCTTTGCAGCACAGGCAACAGGAGTTGGGAGGCATAGAGACCCCACTACTGTCATCTGTGTGAACGCACTACACTCAATTTGCTCGCCTGCAAAACGGAGATAGTGATTGTCTCTCAAGGGGTTGTGGTGTGGGCCAGACAGCCTTCTACAAAGCCCCTTTTGTGTAGGGCTCTTGTCTAGGTTTCACCCCATTATCCATGCAGTACTACAAGCTAGAAACCTGGAGCCATCCGTGTCTCCCTTCCTCCCTCTCACGGCCACTCCAAGTCCACTCAAACATACCTTCCCAACCTCTCTTAAGTCCACACATGCTTCTCCATTTGCCCTGCCACCTCCCCAGCCTCAGACTGGCCTACCCACAAGTCATCTTATGTCATCCCCTGCCAGAAAATCCAGCAGAGTTTAAGGCCATGCTCTCTACGTGACCCACAAGCCCCTACATCATGGGGCCCCTGCCTGCCTCTCCAGCCACATCTCAGACTATTTTTCCTTTCTCTTCCCATACTCTAGCCACAGGGCCTTTGCACAAGCTGTTTTCCCTGCTGGATGGGTTTTCTCTTTCTGTCTCTAGTAATTCCTACTTAGTCTCAGGTCTCATTTAAACATGACTTCTTCAGGGAAAGCTTCTCTGACCTCCTCCTCAAACTCAGTCATGTTACTCCTGCTACTCTCACAGAACCCCATAATTCTCCTTCAGTGCACTGACCAAAATTATAACTAAATCACTGTAACCAGTTCAACTCTACAGAAAACTCTGTGAAGGTAGACGCCACCTTCCCTGCCACCTCCCATCCCACTGAATCCCTACCATGTGTCATGGTACATGGCACACACTTCATAAATATGTAATATTTACATATTTGGCACACACTGGCATATGGCACACACTTCATAAATATGTAATACGTATTGAAGAAATGAATTAACGAAGAAATGAATGCACGAGGGAACAGCCCAATATGGTTGAGCCAAGAGGTACCTCAGGGCAGGAGGTCTTGATGGCTGGCATGGGGGCTTGTCCAGAAGGAGCAGGCAGGTGCGTTGGCTGATGGAGGCAGGGCAGGGCTGGGGTGCTGTCCAGAGCTGAGTCTGACCCGGGCGGCTCAGGCTCTTGCTGGGTCTGGTCTATGTGTTCCTTCAGCTCTTCCAGGCAGCTTCCCAGACGGTATATCTCTGCCTCCAGCTCCCTGGAATGCAGAAACATTACCACCAGGAGCCCAAGATGGCAGCTACATCAGGCAGGTCCAGGAACAGAGTATCAGAGCAGAGACTCCAGGGGATGCCCCCTTAGGGTCCATTTAATATCAGCCTTTAGATGATGGTGAGAACTCAAAATAAGCAAGATGAAAGAAGGTTCCATTGGGAATCAGGAGGTCTCAGCCCAAGTCCCCTCTGCCATCCACAGGCTGTGGGACATTAGAGAAATCCCACCCCCATCTAGCCTCAGTTTCCCCATCATCCAATAAGGGTTTCAAGGCATCTTCTCAGCACGTGGGTCCAAAGGGACTCAAATCACAGCTTTTGATCGTGCCACCATTTGGATATGTATACTAATTAGGATAAGATTTCTCTCTATTCCCCGTGTACAAATTATAAGGACAAAGTGCCTCCCTCCTGGAGACTGAGGGACCCCAGGGGCCCATCCCATCTGTCCTTCCAGGCCTTCCACCCCAGCAGGTACCTGCGAGGATCAAATCTTCCAGGCGTCCCCTTGGAGCCGGCAAGCGGCTGGGCAGGGTGTTGCTCCCGACAAGCCTTCAGGTACTCCTCCTCTAGGGCCGCGTGGGCAGCCTTCAGCCGCTGGAAGCCCTGAAACCAGACCAGGCCAGGAAGACTTGAGTGCTCAGTCCCCGCGGGGCCTGTCCCTGAAGACACAGTGGATGAGACAGCTTGCGGGAGGCCATGGGATGCACCTGGGCCCCTGGGTTCATGCAAGATACAGGCTGAGGTTGAGATCTCTGGAGGCTGCCTGCCCTGGAGAGCTGCCGTGGTCAAGCTCTCTGCCATCAGGCTGGCACAACAGAGACACAACTCAGAGACTTGGCACCAGCTCCAGAGGGCACCAGCCCTTCCTGCATAGACTTACAAGGACCCCAATGTACCACAAACTGTCATAGCTGTCACAGTGTCAAATACACTCTCACTATTATCTCCATAAGGACCCTTTACATGAGAGACTCTGGATCCTCATTCTTGATTTGCAAAACTGTGGGCTTCAGAAAATTAGCCACTCTTTCCCCAAATCCTTATAGACTATCGACACCGATAATGTTATCATCACCATCACATTATTGAGAATGTTTACTGAGCATTGAGGCTCTGGGCTAAAGCACTTTGCATTTATTTAATCTTCAATATAATCATAATGAGAGGGGTGATTTATCATCTTCATTTAAAAAGGATGAAACTGAGGCACAGGGAGGTCACTTAAGTTGATGAAGGTCATGGAGTGAGTGAGTTGTAGAGACAGGATGTGGGCCCAGGCCCTCTGGCCCCAGAGCTCATGGTCCTAGCAATTCTGCTAGGCTCCCATAGGAGGATCACAGGTAATACATGGCTAAAGCTGCAGGAATTGGGGTTGGTATCACTGTCTTACTACCATCCACATCCCACTCAACTCTGAGGAGAGACAGAAGCCAAGCACAACCTAAAACCCATTCCCTGGTCACATCTAATCTTCTGACAGCTCTCAACTTCCCTGTATATGGGGGGATTAGAACAGAGAGCAAAAAAATGAATGGTTTTAGTTTATAAGGTCCTTGGTCATCCACTGGATGATATTACATGATACATATGACACATTTTGTGATTGGAAAATGTACATGACATCTATGTAACCACACAGGAAATATCCTGCCATAACATTTTTTTAGAAACTAGGTGTTTTGAATTTGCCTCTCCAGACCTTCTCTCAGCTCCTCTCCCACCCTGCTCTGTGCTTTGAGCATCAGGGCTGTCTACCTGCTGGCTTCTGGTTGGGTCTGTCTAGTGGGAGGGACCTATGAGAGATCACAGGGTGGGAAGAGAGAGACTTGAGAGTGGGCACAGCTCCCGGCTAATGCTACTACCCGGGGATTCCTCAGTCTTTGTTGGGTCCCCTGATGCTGCCCACACCTTTGCTGACAGTTCTCTCCTTTGACGCCTACACTCCCAGACTTGAGAGCCCCACCTGTCCCTTAATGGGACCCTGGCTGATGCAGCAGGAATCTAAATTGTATTTATGACCACCGTTATCTAAAACTCCAAATTCCAAAGGATATACACCAATAGGACTCTATAAAGGGTCTCCCCTCCAGCCCCCACTTTTTTTAACAGGGTTTCCAAACTTTTGGCAACTATTTTGTAATTTTGTTTAAAGGCGATAAAAAAGAAAAGGCCTTTTTCTGCTTGCTGAGAGGCAGGATAATTTGTGGAAAGTAGTGCAGGGCAGTGATTATGACCCTGGATTTGAAAGAGAGACAGACCTGGCTCCAGGTTCTCCTGCCTACTAGCTGTGGGGCCTTTGAGTCACCCCTCTGAGCTTCAGTTCCATCCTGGTTAAATGAGGGTGATAAATGTAACTGCTTCACTGGGTTTTGATGATGACCAAATAAAATAACATACTCTAGGGTTTACCACAGTCCCTGTACACAACCATCCTTGCTTAATAATGGGTAACTATTGTGAAATAATGATCGTTATCATGGGAAGCTACTCAGGAACTGTTTGCTCTAAAAGAGACCCTGTGTCTGGGATTCTCTTTTCTGTCTTGCAGCAAAGAAGGCTTCAGAGACAGAGTCATGGGAGACAGTGGTTGTCTGGCAGTTCCATGGGTGGCTCCTGAATTGGGCAGTACCTTGACTTGGTCCTGGGGCATGAGACGTCCTGCCTGTATCAGTCTTTCAAAGGACTCCACCTGGACATTGGGAGGGGAAGGAAATATGCTCCATTAATCCAGTCCTGTAGACTCCCACACCCAGCCACATCTATGCCTTGGTAAGAGGAGCTGGGTCCGTCCTCAGGATGTGGGGTTTCTGCCAAGCATGGAGACGTGGGTGCTGGGAACAGCTTCTACCACCAGCCCCAGGCATGGTAGCCTTGAGAAAAATTGAAGTGAAACCTGCAGGAATTTACTGACAACAAAGCAAGTCACTCATGTGCATCAAGACTAATGAGTCAGGATATTTACTGCAGCATGAACAGTAGGGAGGGGACAAGAAATTGCCTAAATGCCTGTCGGTGGAATAGTATTCAGCCATCAACAAGAGGAAGGCACACGTGTATGTTCTGAGCTATTAATGCCTCCAAGACCTATTTTTCAGTGTCAAATCAAGGTACAGGGCAATGTTTACGGTATGCTACCATCTGTATAGAATATGTGGAGAGTAAAAAGGAAAACGATAAATACATTGCTTATATACGATATACTATCTCTAGAGGAATTCAAGAAACTAAAATATGAATTGCTTCTGGGAAGGAGAACTGGGTGGCTGGAAGACAGGAATGAGAAGTAGATTTTTCTACTACATGTCCTTTGCATCCTTTGAAATCTGAACAATGTGAATTCGTTGCCTACCCAAAAATAAATATTCAAATTTAAGACTTCAAAAAGTCAAGGTACAGTAGCTTATGCAGCCATTTCTATAAATGCAAGTGTGTGCATTGAACATTTTTGCATGGGTTGGAGGAAAGATTTAGTTTTTGCTCAATATGCCCTCTGTACTGTGCAAAGGTCCTTATCATGGGCATCTATTACCTGCTCAAAAAAGTTTAATTACAAAAAAAGGCAAGGGATGATGTAAGGTTCGGTTTTAAGAAAGCTCTAGATCAGTGTGAAATATAGAAATGTATATTATATAATCATATTACATAATTTTATAATATATAAAATAGAACTATAATGTGAGCTACACCATCTATAATTTTCTCATAGCCACATTGAGAATGTAAAAAGAAACAGGTAAAATTAATTTTTATATTTTATTTAGCCCCAAATATCATTTCAACATGTAATCAATACTAAAAAAATAGGGAGACACTTTATATTTCTAAGTCTCTGAAATCTGGCATGTGTTTCATACCCACAGCACGTCTCAATTCAGAGCAGCCCATGTCAAGTACTCAACAGTCACATGTGGCCAGCAGCTTCTGAATTGGACCGTGCAGCACTAGACATGAGGGGTCAGCTAAGGCCCCAGCTCCTGCTCAGTGTGATGATTTGACATTGCTTTATTTTGTGGACAACATATAGGACGAAGAAGAAATGTGTCTCCGGCTACGGAACCAAGAATGGTGGTGGCAAAAGGAAACGAAGCCTGTAATCCCAGCACTTTGGGAGGCCGAGGCAGGCATATCACCTGAGGTCAGGAGCTCAAGACCAGCCTGGCCAACATGGTGAAACCCCATCTCTACTAAAAATACAAAAATTAGCCAGGCATGGTGGCGCGTGCCTGTAATCTCAGCTTCTAGGGAGGCTTGAGGCAGGAGAATTGCTTGAACCCGGGAAGCGGAGGTTGCAGTGAGCCAAGACTGCACCACTGCACTCCAGCCTGGGCAACAGAGTGAGACTCTGTCTCAAAAAAAAAAAAAAAGAAGAAAAGAAATGAAGTACTTGTATGTGCTACTCCAACAAGGATTAACTTTGAAAACATCATGGTAAGTGACAGATGTCAGACACAGGACAAATATTGCGTGAATCTATTGCTATGAGACATCCACAATAGGCAAGCCTATAAAGACAGGAAGCAGAAGAGCAGCCGACGGAGGCTGGGGAAAGAGGGGATGGGGAGTGACTGCCTAATACAGATGAGGTTTCTTAGTGCGTGATGAAAATGTTCTAAAACTGACTGTGGTGATAGTGGCAGAACTGCAAATATACTAAAAACCGCTGAAGCAAGCAAACACTTTAAATGAGTCAACCGCATGGTATGTGAATTATATTTCAGTAAAGCAAGGGAAAGAAGGAGAGATGGGAGGGGAGGGAAGAGGAGAGGAGGGGAGGGGAGGAGAGAAGAGAAGAGGAGAGGGGAAGGGAGAGGAGAGGAGAGGAGGGAAGGGAAGGGAAGAATAAAATGGTGGTGCTTCTGAAAGAATTTGTTTTATGGGCATGGTAGTGCATGTAACTATTGCATTTCTCTTTTGGCATTGGCAACTAGGAAGCTCAAAGCTAAATGTGTGACTCTAATGTGCTTAGGGTCCAACAGAACATTTTATTTACTCACTCCACGTATTTTATTTTTTTCTACCCTTACTTCCTCTCTGCCCCAGTTTTCTCACTTCTGTTTTCAGAATGTGGCTAAAACGTATGTATTTTCATAAGGTGCTTTAAACCACTTCTGGAATAAAGCCAATGTACAGTTATAAACAGACCTGCAAACAATTCACGGTTACTTGGACTGTTTCATGAAGATACGAAGACCCTTGAGAAGTAACTAGGAATTGATTTATTTAATAAAATGAACTAAGAAAGTGAGGCAACTTATCCTGAAGAGGAAAAGGTAGAGTGGAGATTCTGTTACCCTTCCAGAATCCTGAAAGAGCTCAGAGTTTCCCGGGAGCCAGCCTAGAGACACTTCCAAGCACAAGTGGAGGGATTTGGATGAGATGCATTGCCAAAAAGGGGGGTGAGACCTAGCACTGGTGACAAGGAGGAGGCTGGAGCTGTGTGGCCTCTAAAACCAGGGAGGGGCTCATGTTTTGGGGATGGCTGAGTTAACTCGGTGCAGAGGCAGGGGAATGACAAGTGAGACTCCCAGAGTGCCTCTCACCCAAGCAGGCAGAGGTTCTGTGTTCTCCAGGTGAGTTAAGTCTCTCGGGGGCAAAGCTGGGAGTCCACTCACCTTGGCCAGGAACTGGCTGGCCTGAGAAGCCAGTGCCTGGGTCTGCTCTGCTGAGGACTGGTCCTCAGAGATGTCCCGGTTCTCCGGAAGCCACCCCAGGGTGGGCATGCTGGTAAGCGAGGAGGGGCTCAAGTCTCCTCGAGCTGATGGCCACCCTGGAATACACAACTGCTGAAAGCTGGGGCCAAGAACAGTCCTTCCAGGAGCTGAAGGACTGAGGCTGAACGTCAAAGCCACCACCTCCATCATCAAGTTATAGCTCAGTCACCATGTGCGATCTTCACATCAGCCCCAGGAAGTGGGCTGGGTAGAACATTGTCCCCCATTTACAAGGGAGAACAAGGTCCAGATCTGCCCCAGGCCACATGGTTGGCTGGAGCAGAGCTACGCTAGGCCTCTGGGTTCCCAGTCAACAGCGTGGGCTCTCACACAGGGAGACGTGAGTTCCAATCCAGACACTTCCCCTCCATAGCTGTATGAACTTCAGCGTGTCCTCACCTCTCCAATTGGTCCCCTTGGCTGTCATGGGTGTGACAACAGTGCACACCTCAGCGGGTTATTGTGGGGATTAAGTGAGGTCACATGTGTCAAGGCTTAGCACAGGGCCTGGCTGAGATATGGGCTCCCCAGGGACAATGCTCTATGTTTTCAACTCACCCAGGGTCACCAAGATGCCAAGTGGCAGGGCCAGGGCTGCCCCCAGGCTGCTGTGGATCAAAGCAGGACACTTTCCACATCTCTGACCCTTTTGAGTCAAAGTGCCCAGGGTGGGGCCTTGCCTCCCTCCTTCCCCTGGCCTGAGGCCAGCGCCATCCCCAGGGTGAACCAAGTCAGTCCCACAGAGCAGAATCCCAGGCAGAAGGAGCCTCCAGCTGCAGCTCTTCTCCCGGACTCACCTGAGGCCGCAGAGGCCTGGGGGTCCTCGGCCGGGCCCGGCCACCACTCTGCAGAGCGGGGCTGTGGGATGGTGAAGGACAAGACCTTGGTCCCCTGGGGCACCATTCCCGTGTGGATGCTGTGGTTGGGCTGGGGTGGGTCAGAGAACAGGTTCACCTGTGGAAGCAGGGAGGCACAGCACAGCCAAGTCAGGGTAGGGGCAAACCCACCTGAAACGCCTCATCTTCATTCAGGAGCTCAACACACATGCCCTGTAGTAATAAATACCATCTTTCAGTGCAGCCCTTGGCTAGGCCAAACACAGGTGAAGAACTGCATGCCTTTTCATTTACTCTTAATGGCAGTCCTGAAAGGAAGACAGGGTGGGGACCCCAACAGCCCATTATATAGAAGAAAAAACTGAGACACAGAGAGGTTATTAAGTCAGTTACTCAAAATCCCCAGCTGATAAGTCCTTGGATGAGGATCACAACACTGCTCTATCTGACCCCAACACCTATGGTTCTCCTATTAACAGTAATTTTTTATTAATAATGTGTGTTATAATTATATCATAATTAATATACCATATAACATATAATTATTTCTTAACAAATATAAGCATTTCTAATAATTATTATACTGATAATAATAGCAACTAATAGCTATTCGAATGAATGAGTGAACCAGCAAGTAAACAAACTAATCTGCCATTGGTAGCGGATCTCTATCATTTGAGGATGGATTTAACATGGCAGCCAGCCCAGTTGGTGAGGGAGCAGTCTGGAGTCAGGCAGGTGACCAAGGAAGGCCTCTTGAAGCTGGAAAGCAGAGGGAAACCACAGGCTGTTCAACAGCTTAAAGCAGAGTTGAGAGAACTATGTTCTGTTTTTGTAAAGAAGGTTTTATTGAACACAGCCATGCCTGTTTGTTTATGTGTTGTCTATGGCTGCTTTCACACTCTGGTGGCAGAGTTGAGTAGTTGTGACAGAGACTATATGCTCCACAAAGCCAAACATTGTCACAATCTGGCCCTTTACAGAGAAAGTTTGCCAACTCTGGCTTAGCATGTGGGCTCTGCAGCTAGAGCCCAGGTTCCTGTCTAGGCTCTACCACAGCACACCTCTGAGTCCTAGTTGGTTTAATAACCTCTCTGCGCACAAAATAAGTGCTCAATAAATAGTGGCCACCACCCTGACATTCATCACCATTATCTTCACCACCACCGTCATCACCACTACCATCATTAGCATCACCATCAGCATCACCATCAGCATCATCACCATCAGCATCATCACCACCACTGTCATTACCACCACCATCATCACCGTCAGCACCATAACAATCACTATTACCATCACCATCATTCACCATCATTACCATCACCATCACTATCACCATTATCACCAACACCATCACTATTACCACCACCATCATCACCATTTTTACCATTACCGTCATCATCATAACCATCACCGTCATCATCGTAACCATCACCATTATCACCATCACCGTTATCGTCATCACCATCATTATCTGCACAGCCACCATGGAGACAGGCCCGTGGAAAAGCAACACCCCTTAGTGGGATTTGCTCATCATGATGTTGGGGGGTTATCTTAACTGCCCCCACTGCACCAAGGTCAGGAATGAGCAGTTTAGGGTGGGCCTGGTGGAAGGGGCTCCCTGGCCCCCAGGCAAGCAGGCTCTCTTGCTTAAGCTGTATAGGTCCCGGCTGTAGCCGAAAAATCAACTCCAAGTGTGGCATGGTCCCCGCCGCCTCCCCCTCTTTCAGGCCCAGCCTCCCCAGATGAGAACAAAGCTGGATTTTAATAATCCCCTCAGCCATCTGCTCAGACTCCCCTGTGGGGGCCTTTCCTATCAGCACCCCTCTCCTGAGGTGACCCAAATCCCAGGGGAGGCCCAGCCCTCTGACATGTTTCCCTCCCCAGACCCCTCTCTCAGCCTCAGGCCCCACCTAGGGAGTGACAGGGAATGGGGATGGGCCAGGGAAGCCAGGAAGCCCTTTTGTTTCAGGGACCGATAAGGAGTTTGAAGCAGAGAAGCCCAAAACCTGAGCAGATGCCCAGGCAGAGCGATGAGGTGGGGAGTGGCGGTGGGGGTGGGGGTGGCAGCTGCAGCTGCTCCGGCCAGGCCCTCCCAGGGCTGGTCTCTCTGGACACAGCCAGGGTGTCCCGGGTGCTCCCCAAGGCTGGATTCACTCCCTTGGGGGATTCTGTGAAAGGTGAATCAGGATTCTGTGAAGGGAGGACTAGTGAATTTGGGAAACATTGGGTTAAACAAATGAATATTCTCTGCACAGATGGATTTCTCTCAGCCTTTAAAATGCTAATGGGCTTTATGAATGGGGAGGGAGGGGAGGAGGAAGAGAGAGAGGAAGATGTTTCCCCAACTCATCTGCATACAGAAGCCTCCCCCTCCCCCCATCCCCACCCAGGGGCTTCTAGACCAACTTGCAGCCATCAGAACACACTGAAAAGAGGTGGTTTTACATCATCTCCGTAATTCCTTCTTGGGTAATTTCTGGTCACCTCAGCTCTTCCAGATCCCTCTTCAGCTGAGATGGAGGAACAGGGGCTGGGGGGGAGGTGGCAACATGGCAGCAAATGCAGTGAGATCACTATAAACCCTGGCCAGAGGCCAGTGTAGAGAACAGAGCCCACCAGTGACTCCTGACCAGTCCTGGCTCCCTGCCCCACAGCTGGGCTCCCTGGTCCTGCCCCAACCCCAAGGCTCCAGACCCATCGGTGTTCCTGGGCCAGGCCTCCCCAGCTGCAGATCCCGCAACTACCAAGTCTAGTTCTGCTAGAGTGTGGTGTCACTCGTGGGCTTCAGAGCTAGGCTGCCGAGTTCCAACTCCTGCTCTGGCACCTACTTGTTGAATGATCTTGGTCAAGTTATTTAACCTCTCTGTGCCTCAGCTTCCCCAACTGCAAATTATTTAAGAGAGTGGTCCATAAACATCACCTATGACCATTCTTATTACTATAACAGTCATCAATCCACCTCATCCCTATGCCTGTCTCCACACCCAGTGCCAGGGCCTGAGTGCCAGGGCTTACCCAGGCATGAGGAAAGAAACACCTGTTCTGGAATCAGGGAGATGTAGGTTTCAGTCCCAGCTTTGCCTGTTGCACCAGCTGTGGGATGTTGAGCAAACCATTCCACCTGGCTGTGCCTTGGTGTGTGTGTGGAGGGGCTCAAATATGACCCTGAAGCTGGGGTGGGATACCTGTTGCTGCTCAGTGAATGTCAATCTCCTTCCTATGGGTCCCCATCCATTGCTGTCCACCTACCCACCATGCCTAGCCTGGGTGTCCAGCGCAACATCCCCAGCGCGGCTCCCTCCCAGGTGGGTCCAGCCCTCCCCCGTGGGCTCTGAGCAGAGTGAAATGGCTCGGTGGGTTCTGAGGACTGCCTCTGAACTCGTGGGTTCTGAGCAGAAGACCATCCTGGGGTCTCTCCAGCCTTCGGGGTAGAGTGCACAGAGGTCCAGATGGAGTGAGGCACTGGCCAGCTGGAATCTCAGCTCCCCTCAAGCCCCATGGACCCAGAGTGAATCCCCTCCCTGTTCCGGGGCTCTGTGTTCTCTTCTGCACATAGGAGCTGCAAGCCTGCCATGTACTGTTCCTTCAGGGCAGCTGTGAGATGGGGTTGGGCAGGAGATGATAGTATCATCCTGCTTCCTTCCGGTAGAGCCCTGAATGGTGCTCACACTTCTTGAGGCTGAGAGAGGGGTTGGGGGAGGGAGCAGAGCCCTCGGGCCAAGCAATCATTTTTCCAGAAAGCGGGAGTGAGTGAGCTGGCACAGAACCATTTCTGGCCTCTCCTGTGACACCCTCACACACATGAGCCAGGGGTCTGGGTGCTGGCCAGGGCAGGGTGACTACACATGGGGGGGACCCTGAGTCCTACTGGGTCAAGGGAGCACCCACGAGAGGAGATACCCCAGCTGTGCTCCCCCGTGTCCACCCCCGCCTGTCACTGTGGCTGGCACACAAGAGGCCTGGCAGTAAACACCTTTATAATATTCCCTAACTCTTACAAAGTGCCTGCCTAGTGCCAGGTAAATGCTTTCTGTATACTGACTCATGCCCTTAAACGAGTGCAGGAGGAAGGAAGGGAGGAGGGAGGGTGCAGACGCTCCACGCCTCCAGCCCCCGCCACTCCATGACCTTCAGAGGCCCCTATCCCAACGGGAGCCCCAGTTTCCCAATCTGCCAAATGGGGAAGCCCAAGTGTTTGGGTCTGATGACCAGTTCCTTTCTCCTTGGACCTACTTGGAGTCTGCAGCCATGGGAATGTGGTTTCCCCAGAGAGGATGACCTAACAAAGCCCCTTCCCTCCCTTTCCCAACTCCCCCGTCTCTTCCAACCCTGGATCTGGCTCAGTGGTTCAGAAAGCTGGAAGGAGCCTGCTTGGCTCCCAGGAGGAAGTCTGATTAGCCCCTCTTTTACAGATGTGCCCGATGAGGCCAAGAGGGAAGGGTCCTGCCTGTGCCAGGCAGCAGGTGTGGGGACGCAGCGGGGGGGGGGGGGGTCCTGGTCCTAGAACAGGCCCCCTTCCATTTCCTCACCACAGTGGCCTCCGCCCACCTGCCCCGGAAGTGCCTCTCGACATTGAGAGCAGCAGCTGTGGCAGGGGCAGGGTCCTGGAGCATGACAGGGGGAGGCACTGGGGCATCTGCATCTCTGCACCTCAGCTCCCACATCCTCCTCTACTGCTGCCTGATGAGGCAAGAGGAGGGCACAGCAAAAGCAGGAAGCCACGAGGGGCCGCACAGGTCCCACTTCCTGCCTCACTCAGAAAAGAGGAAGGTGCAGAATTCACAGCCTCCTCCGAAGACGGGGTGGGGGCTGGGGTGGTGGGTTCCCCCTCTGCTCTCCTCCTGCCCCATACTGCTGTTCAGGGGAGGGGAGAGGCTGTGGTGAGGTGGTGGGGAGGGAGAAAGGCAAAGGTGTGATCCAGGAAGATTCAGGCCCAAAAAACAAGCACCAGGGGCTGAGCAGAAATTCTGTGTTACTCTTTTGAGGCTCACAGAGCCCAAGTAACGTCCTTAAGGTCACACAGCTGGTTAGCAATGGAGCCAGGAGTCGAACCCAGGTGGTCTTACTCCAGAACCCATCTAGAAGGAGAGAGATTCTCATGAAATTCCTGGGCTCATGGTAGCTCAGGCCTGTAATCCCAGCAGCACTTTGGGAGGCTGAGGCAGGAGGATCACTTGAGCCCAGGAGTTCAAGACCAGCTTGGGCAACAAAGTAAGACCCCGTCTCTACAAAACATTGAAAAAAAAAAAATTAGCAGGGAATAGTGATGACTGCCTGCATTCCCAGCTACCAGGGAGGCTGAAGCAAGAGGATCCCTTGAGCCCAGGAGGTTGAGATTGCAGTAAGTTACGACCATGCCACTGCACTCCAGCCTAGGTGACAGAGCAAGACCCTGACTCAAAAAAAAAAAAAAAAAAAAAAGCCCAGGGAAGGCAAGGTCACTGCCCAAGGTCACAGAGGGACCTTGGGGTAGAAGAAAACTGGCGTTCCACTATCTCCAGGGCCTCAGTAGATGGAGGAGGCAGTGGCCTTTCTCTAGGACTATGGAAAAGTGTCACCTCCTCGGGGACTTGGGCCCATGCCTCCACCCCATCCCGGCCTGGTACCTTGGCCCCGAGGCGTAGCTGGTCAATGGTGTTCTCGGCCTCAGCGTACTTGGTGAGGAGCCTGTGGTAGTCTTCCTGCAGAAAGCGGGAGCAACACGGTCACATGCGCAGGCACACAATGAACCCCTCCTTGCTGGGAGACCCTGATAGCAAACCCCCTTCCATAAGGGCTTCTGGGTTCCTGAGAGGAAAGCATTCAATGGTGGGATCCGAGCTGAGCAATCTTCAGGCTTGTGTGCAACACAGACCCACCACGTTCAAGTTCTGGAGCATGAGAGGGCAGTGGGACAACTCTTCTACCCCCATGACAACGGGTCTAGACTGAGGGCCTCTGGCTGGTTTACCTTGATACATAACCCATGTCGCAGATGGCTGCCACTGTTTTATTTCTCCAAATGCCCTGCCCACCGGTTGGCTCTGTGGGGTGAGGCCCATATCTTTCTTTCCCCCTGCTGCACTGTCGGTGTTTAAGAAGCATGTGCTTAAGAAGTACCTGATTTTCAATGGCTAATTGAATGAATCACCCAAGAGTCCCATGGCAGAGAAATAGAAGACTTAAAATCACTGTTCCACCTACTCAGAGTCACTTATCTTAAACAAGTCCAAAGAACTTTATAAAAACAAGTCATTGCAGGAAAAAAGGAAAAGCATGTCACCTTTGAAGGATGTGAGGAACTGACTCCTTCTGAAAACGGGTCGGTAACTAAGTAAGTACCATTATGGGTCAGTAACGGTAACAGTAAAAGGACAGAACGGAACATCTCGCTGGCCCTTCCCATAGGAACAAGAACTTGGTAACCAAGTAGTTGATGAGGGACACTTTTACTTTTTAGCATATTTCCAGCAATTAATGCAGGAATGAGAGCATTAGCATACTACCACTTTGTCACCTCAAATGAAAGACTAGCCCAAGACAATGACCATCAGAGGCTGTCAAAATCACCAACAAGAGAGCAGCAGGCATCCTGTGCTTACTGAAGGAGGCACTCACGTGCTCTTGCCAAAACTCCCCACGCCCGTGGAGCTCATGGTCTGGAAGGGAAATGGTCATGTTTCTCCTCCAGACCACCAAAGCCTCTAGCTCAAAACCTAACAATATTCAAGAAAAAGAGGACAATGGGACGCATGAAAAGAGACCACAGCACATCAGCAAAGCCCAGACTGCGGACGACTCTGCAGGACAGACTGATTTCCGCAACAAATGAATTGCACGGCAGAAGTAAGAAGGAGGACGGACTAAGAGAGTAAAAGAGATCTGAAAAAGTAAATGCAAGAAAGAAAGAAAGAAAAAGACAAAGGGAGAGGACAGACTTGAAAGGCACCAAATGCAATATACAAGCCATGTTTGGATCCTGAGGCCCATGGACGGGAACGAATAAGCCATTTATGAGACACAGAGAGATCTGAATGCGGGTGTGATATTTGTTCATATTTAAGGACCTGGTGTTAACATTTAGGTGACCATGGTATGTGGTTATGTTTAATATAAGGTCTTTATCTTTAGACATACACACACTAACACATTTTTAGATAAAAGGATTGGATGCCTGAAATTTTGCTTCAAAATAATCTAGTGGGGGTGAATAGGGGAGAGGTAAGGCCACAGGCGAGAAAGGTTTTCGGGGCTGCTAATTGTGGATGCGGGGGGTAGGTACATGGGAGTGTATTCTACGATCTTCTCTCTTGTATATGTTTTAATTTTTTTATAGCAGAAGTTGAAAAGAAGCAAACAGATCATCCTTGAAACACGAGTACAATCACTGGTCTTTTTGAGCAAAGGGCTTGGGTGTATCTCAGGGCTCCAGGTACACCCTCCCTCCACCAGCAGGGAGTTCCTGGCCCAAACCCCAGGCCTCCCTACCGCAGCCAGCCTCTACCCCAGGGCTTCCTGCCCAAGCCAGCCTCCACCCCAGGCCTCCCCACCCCACCAGCCTCTATCCCAGGGCTCTCCACCTCAGCCAGCCTCCACCCCAGGCCTCCCCACCCCACCAGCCTCTATCCCAGGGCTTCCTACCCCAGCCAGCCTCCACCCCAGGCCTCCCCACCCCACCAGCCTCTATCCCAGGGCTTCCTACCCCAGCCAGCCTCCACCCCAGGCCTCCCCACCCCACCAGGCTCTACCCCAGGGCTCCCCACCCCAGGCCTCCCCACCCCACTGGCCTCCATCCCAGGGCTTCCCACCCTAGCCAGCCTCCACCCCAGGCCTCCCCACCCCACCAGCCTCCGTCCTAGGGCTTCCCACCCCAGCCAGGCTCTATCCCAGGCCTCTCCACCCCAGCCAGCCTCTACTCCAGGCCTCCCCACCCCAATTAGCCTCCACCCCAAGCCAACAGGGGCCTTGGTGACACATCCACAGCCATGAGTCCCACTAACCTGGAGCTGATGGACCAGCTCAGTGGCTTGCTCAGGCGTCTGAAATTCTTGGGGTACCCTGGTGATAGGGTGGGCAGGAGGCGTGTCCTTTGCCAGGGCTGCTTCTCCACTGCTCAACAGCACCTCCTGCACAATCTCAGCTGGAGACTTGAAGATGAGGGGCCTGGCAGGGGCCTGAGGCTTCCTGTTGTGGCTTCTGGACTTGGGGGGACGGTAGCTCTCATCTTTGGGGAATCTCACCCGGGGCCCTACCTTGGAGAAATCAGGGAGTGGGTAGTTCAACTGCCCCCGGCCATACTTGGGGGCATTAGAAGAGGAGCGGCCAGCCAGAGTGGCTCCCTGTCTGGGCAGCGGCCTGCCCTGCCGCGTTGGCCTGGGCTGGGGATTCAGGGGGCTGATGGAGCCAATGAATCGGGAAGGGAGTGGCTTAGGTGACGTCTTTGTCTGCTTCCAGATGTGTTCCTTGGGCTGAGGGCAGAAGAATCTGGTCGTTTCTCTCCTCCATCTATCTGTGGCATGCTGCGGACTCTGGGCTGGGGGAGCTGAGGAGTCCTGGAATTCCATGGGGGTTGCCCGAGCAACACTGCCTCCAGTTCTGCCATCTGGGCTTAGGAGGTGGTGGCTGGGGCCCTCTGGCAAGGTTTCTGCCAGGGCAGTGGGCTGGGGGCCATCGGTCTCTCCTTCCCAGGTAGAATCAAGGCTGTCACTAGGGTGGTCGAGGCTCACTGTCCCACTGCTCCAGGACCTTGCCGGGCTGAGTTCAACGGATGGGTTGACCTCGGAATGTTCAGAAAGTTTGTCCCCACTGGCTTGTTCGCCAGAAGCCACCCAGCCCCTGGCCTGACCATGCCCAAGAGCCATGGGGCTGGTGTTTCCATGGCCTTCCAAGCTGAGACCAGCCTCATACCCCAACCTTGAGGAGCTCTCTCCAGCCTCCTCAACCTCCAGACTTCCGAGGGTCCCATCTGGCTCCTCTTCAGTCATGTCCAGCTGACGGCCCTGCTGGGGGAGCCAGGCAAGAGGCTCATGGGAACTTGCTGGGCTGTCCACATCCTCTGCTTCAGCCTCTGGAAAGACAGGCCATTCACTTCTTAGCATATACCAGCTCTGCACCCACCTTGTAACTTACCCTAAGTCACTTCAACTCTCTGGCTTCCATTTCCTCATCACGTGGGGATGGAAAGAATCCCAAGGTGGTGGTAGACTTAGCCAAGTGCTTGTCTGATACCTGATCTGATTATCTCAGAGGTCCTTCAAACTCAAACTCAAACCCAAACCCGGTGGATGGTCCCTCCAGTGTCTCCCATCTCAGCAGACGGCAACACCATCCCCTCTATGCATACAGGCCAGAAGGCTGGGAGGCATCTTTGCCATCTCTCTCCCTCTAACCCCCTGAATCCATTCTGTCACTTGGTCCTGTCCAATGGGACCTCCTATAAAGATCGCAAACTCATCTACTGCTCTGAAGTCTACCACCACTACCTTAGCTCGCGTCCCATCCTCTCATCTGGCTAACTGCAGTCAGTAGCCACCTAACCATCTCCTCTATCCTCACCCACATCCCACATCTGAAAACTCATCCATGTCTTCCTGTGGAAGAAAAGCAGAACCTTCACTATGGTCCTAAGGTCGCTGCCACCCCGGCCCCATTAGCTCTCCTGATCCATCTCTCTCCATGGCCCCTCAAGCTCCCCCTGCTCCTGCTATGTGCACACAACGCTCCTCCCACCATGGGGGCTACGCATGTGCGCATCCCTCTGCCGAGGGATTCTCTCCCCTCCTTGGCCTAGTTAACTCCTATCTGTCCTTCAGGCGTTCGCTCAACCTCTGCCTCCTCAAGGAAGACTTAGCTCTCCCTGACTAGGTCAAGTTCTCCCTTTTACAGGCCCTCATAGGACTGGCTCCCTCTACTTTGTAACACTTATCATAGCAGCAGTTTTCCATTTATTTGTGCAGTTGTTTCATTGACATTTGTCTCGCCCACTACACTGCAAGTTCTATGAAGCCAAGGATGCTCTCTGTTTTGTTCATGATTATATTTGCAGTGCCGGTACCTGACACTATTTGTTGACTAAACAGAAGGAAGGAGAAAAGGGAGGTGAGTGAGGAAGAGAGGGAAGGAAGGAGGGAGAGAGGAAGATAAGGTATATAAAGCCCCCAGGAAATAGATAGTTATTGTAATTATTACATAGTGGGTACTCAAGAAATATTTATCCATCTACCCACCCATCTATCCCGCCATCCTTCCTCCCAACATCCATCCATCTACCCACCCATGCACCCATTCATCACCCACCTGTCCATTCATCCATGCATCTAACCACCATCCATGCAGTCATTGTTTATGGAGCACCCACTCTGCTCTAGACCCCGTGTTGACCTCAGGGATAAGTCCAAAGTTTCATGAGACATAGTTTGGGTACCACCAGGCATAGACTCTCTGTTCAGGCAGATGCACCTTTGTCGCACTCTCTGTTCCTCCATGCTCTTTCCCCTACCCTTGATGCCTCTACGTCTCTTAACCACTTAACATGTCCTTCAGCAAGTTACTCTTGCTTACAGCAGCATACTTGAAGCCCAGGGAGGTTACGTAAGTTGCCAAAGATCACCCAGTGGTTCCCTGGACCTAGGACCCAGGCCCCAGCCATGCAGGTGAGTTTGCTTCCACCACTAGGGGTCACGTACTAGGGGTGAAGGGGCCTGGGCTTTGGAGCTAGGGAGCCCTGGGTTCAATCCTGGCTCCTATCACCCCTCACTGGGGCCACGGGCAAGCTGCTGACCTCTCTGGCAATCCATAGTCAAACTTGAGGATAGTTCCTCCTACCTGACAGAGGGTGGTGAGGAGGGAACAAGAGAGGGCCAGACCCTGCCCAGCCCTGTGCCTGGCACATAGTAAAGGCACAGGACAAGGTAGCAGCTGTTACATCATAGCAGGGGGTTACCATGTGACCCCAGGAAGAGATGCCTCTGCCCTGTCGACCCAGTGCATCTCAGTCACCATCCCCTGCTGGAGAGAGAGCTCAGAAATGGCTCCTCAGTGGGCAGTGCCCACTTTGAGCAGATCAGGTGTGTGAAACTTTGAGTAATGGCACAATCCACTACCAGAGGAGGCTTCTCTACCAACCACACCAGCCTGCGGGAGTCACAGGACCCTAAAACAGGGGCATCTTGCTCATAATCTAAGTGCAATAGTTACCATATATTCAGCTCTTACTATTCTCCACGATATGATTCCTCTCATTTTATAGATGGAAAAAGCAAGATTCAGGCAGAAGGAACTTGCTAAGCAAAGCTAGGAATTCAGTCTAAGTTGGTCTGGATGCAACCAGAACACAGCTATTGTAGAAAACAAGAAATGCCAACGTTCCCATTGCTAATTGGGATTTTAAAAAACCTTAAAAATGTCCAGGCATGACGGCTCGCATCTGTAATCCCAGCATTTTGGGAGGCCAAGGTGAGAGGCTCACTTCAGGCCAGGAGTTTGAGACCAGCCTGGGCAACACTGTGAGACCCTGTCTCTACAAAAAATACAAAAATTAGCTGGGTGTGGTGGCATGCACCTGTAGTCCCAGCTCCTCGGGAGGCTGAGTTCTGAGGATTGATTGAGCCAGAAAGGTCGAGGCTGCAGTGAGCCATGATCATGCCACTGCACTCCAGCCTGGGCAACAGAGCAAGACTCTGCCTCACTAAAAAAAAAAAATAAAGTCAAAAATGGACATAACCCCGGGACTAAGTAATTCAAATTACCAAAGATATGATCAAATCAAGTGTGCAAAGATATATTAATGACATTCATCACTGCATTATTTATAACAGCAAAATCTAGAAACTACTAAAACGCCCAGCAGTAGGAGACTGGCCAATTAACCATGGAATATCCATGGAAGTCTAGGAATCACTTGTGGGAGAGGATTTGATGAACTACGAAAATGTTCACATCTATTAAGTTAACCAAAAAGCAGGTTACAAGGAAGCATGTAGAATACTGTTCCTTATTCACATTACATTTGCATATCTACACATATGGAAAACAGTGGTTATCAGGGGATGGAGTGGGACAATGAGTAATTTTAAATTTTACCTAATTTTGTGCTTATACTTTCCGGTTGTTCTGCAATGAATGGTATTATGTATACAATTTAAATCTTTAAAAATTTTTAATTACAGACTTTGTAGAATTTAATTGAAAATGCTGAAGCAGCGTCCACTCCCTTCCTCCCTGGAAGAATGTGTGATGGCCGGGCTTATGCCTGTAATCCCAGCACTTTGGGAGGCCGAGGCGGGCGGATCACGAGGTCAAGAGATTGAGACCATCCTGGCCAACATGGTGAAACCCCGTCTCTACTAAAAAAAGAAAAAAAAAAAAATACAACCGGGCATGGTGGCGCATGCCTGTAATCCCAGCTACTCGGGACGCTGAGGCAAGAGAATCGCTTGAACCCAGGAGGCAGAGGCTGTAGTGAGCCGAGATCGTGCCACTGCACTCCAGCCTGGCAATGAAGCAAGACTCTGTCTCAAAAAAAAAAAAAAAAAAAAGAACGTGTGATGTTTTGGGGACAGGACACCACTGTAGGGGGAGGGGTGTCAGTCTCACCTTCTCCCGAAGTCTCTCCTGACTCGGAATCCTGATGCCCATCGGGCTGCGGGTGTGGGTCCCACTCCAGGGGCGGCAGGTGCTGCTGGGCCAGGCGGAAGTCCTCTAGGAGCTCGGGGCTGGTGGCATTGGGAAAGAGTCTCTCTTCTTCCCAGCTTTGTGAACTACTTCTATCCACATCCCTCTTGTCCTCGGCCCAGGCCCAGCGCCGCCGCTGGGGGCCCTTCCCCAGGCCAGGCTCAGCCCAGCGGATCTCAGTCTCCGAGCTGGCCATTGGGGCTGGCCTGGGCTTCACCTGGGCCACTTCATCTTCAGGAGACAGAGCTGCTGCCAGGGGCCCCAGAGTCACCGCTGGTTCCTGTCAGCATCGGCCATCCTGCCTGTGCCCTGTCAGGGACACATTCAAGAGAGAACATTAATCAATCCTGATCCCCTCTTTTATTCGGAACAAGAAGTTACCAGCAGGAACTCTGGAATTAGCCCCAGTTCAACTCCTGGTTGTGTCCTCCCGAAGCTGTGTCACCTTGGGCAAGTCACTCTGCCTTCATTTTCTTCATCAATAAAGCTGGGATAATAATTCCTCTCTCTCTCCAGGGTTTTTTTTTTTTTTTTTTTTTTTGAGACACAGTCTCACTCTGTTGCCCAGGCTGGAGTGCAGTGGCACAATCTCGGCTCACTGCAACCTCCGTCTCCCAGGTTCAAGCAATTCTCCTGCCTCAGCCTCCTGAGTAGCTGGGACTACAGGTGCACGCCACCACACCCGGCTAATTTTTGTATTTTTTAGTTTCACTGTATTGGCGAGGCTGGTCTCGAACTCCTGACCTTGTGATCCACCCGCCTTGGCCTCCCAAAGTGCTGGGATTACAGGTGTGAGCCACCATGCCCGGCCCCCTCCAGGGTTTTATAAACTAGATGAGACACAGGATGAGGAGCCCAGTGGCCAGTGCACCAACGAACAGGTGTTGAATGCATGCTAGCTAGTGTTACTGCGTACTGGCTCTTCGTGTGGGCATGGGGCACAGGCCCTGCTCATGGGAGAACTGATGGCCCAGGAGGAAGCAGACGATCACCAGGCAACTACAAATCCAGGTGAGATGTGCTGGAGGAGGCACGGGGGCTGCCCTGACACAGGCCAGGGAAGTCTGGTGATCCCAGTTTAGAAGCCGGTTCCTCCAAGAATCCTCTCTGACCTCACTGGGGTAAGAATTCAGATTGAGAGGTGGGGGAGGATGATGAAAAAAGCATTCCAGGCCAGGTAGGAGAGCTCACGCCTATAATCCCAGCACTTTGGGAGGCTGAGGCGAGTGGATCACTTGAGTCTAGGAGTTCGAGACCAGCCTGGGCAACATGGTAAAACCTTGTCTCTACGAAAAATTAGCCAGGTGTAATTGTGCACACCTGCAGTCCCAGCTACTCCAGAGGTCGAGGTGGGAGGATCACTTAAGCCCGGGAGGTCGAAGCTGCAGTGAGCCATGACAGCGCCACTGCACTCCAGCCTGGGCAACAAAGTGAGACCCTGTCTCAAAAGGAAAAAAAAAAAAAAAAAGGTAGCATTCCTGTACCCAACATAATTGAAAAACAGGTGCTCAAATGAAAAGGCATGAAGTCCCAACACATGCTACAGTATAGATGAACCTCAAAAACATTATGCTAAGTGAAAGATGCGACAAAGGTCACATATAGTGTGATTCTATGGATAGGAAATATCCAGGCAAGGTAACTCCTTGGAGAGTGAAAGCAGGCTGGTATTTGCCAGGGGCTGGGGGAGAGGAGAGCGGGCACTAAATGCTTGCTGGGTATGGGATTTCCTTCTGAAGTGATGAAAATGTTTTGCAACTAGATGGAGGTGGCAGTTACACAACACTGTGAATATACTAAATGTCACTGAACTGTTTACCTAAAAATGGTTAGTTTTATGTTATGTGAATTTCACCTCAATTTAAAGAAAACGCCTTCCGAGTGAGGAGTGAGGCGAGCTGGGGGCGGGGAGCAAGCCTACCAGGGGCTTTCCTGGACCTGGGAGTGGTTTCGCCGCCGATGGCTGGGGTATTGAACACAGGGAAAGCCCATCAGAGGTGTGGTTTAAAAGTTCCCCTTGGGCTGCTCTGGGAGAATGAACCAGGGAGGCTGGCCACACGGGGGACCCGTCAGGCGGCTGCTGCAGGAACAGGGTAGCCAGAGAAGGGCTCCTCCGCTGCCTTCCCTCAACCCTCTCCTTCTTTCCCTCTTTCCTTCTCCCTCTCATCTCCTTTTGCCTCTTCCTTCTGACGCTCCTGCTATTTCCCTAAGCGCTTCCTCTATGCCAGCACTGAGCCAGGCCCAGGAAGTGCAAAGCTGACCCAGAGTGGGCACGGTCCCCCAGGGAGCTCCCTGCCATGGAGGGTTCAGAGAACTGCAGCCCATCAGTGCAGCGGCCCCCAGAGCAGCTCACACAAAGGCCTTCTTCCACAGATGGGGAAACTGGGATCCAGAGAGGGGAGAGGCCTTGCCTAAAGCCACACAGGGGTCAGGACAAGGCAGGGGTGAAAGTCAGCCTCCTGGCCCACAGTCTGGGCTTTCTCCCCTGCATGCTGTGTTGAAGGCAGTATGACTCCAGGCCTCCCAGGACAGAAGGTCTGTGTTTGTCCCTTTATCCTCATGAACACTTGGATCCTGCTTGATTTGTGTGGCTGAGAAAAGTCAGCAGGCAACTATTTTTGGACACAAAGTTCCCCAGGGAACAGTGCAGCCCGGGAAAGGCTGACTTCTCAAGGGCTGGAGGAGGGAGGTGCAGGGAATACCATTCTTCCCTCCTTGGCTGCGACTCCTGCTCTGTGGATGGGTGTTCGGGGCTTCTATCCTCTGTCCCCGCCCAGTCTTCCTCTCTACCCCCAAATGCAGAGCCCTACAATTTCCTCCAGATCACCCTGTGTATTGTCCTCCAGCCCCACAGTCCCTACCACATGTGAAGAGCCCACTCGGCGCCAGCCTGGGTTGAAGCTTTACTTTTAAATTCTCAATCTGCCCTCCTACAAACATGAGGGTAGAATTTGGCTAAGATCACCCAGCTACTTCCTGCCACAGCAAGATTTGCAACTGTCAATTCTGGCCTAGTGGTACCCCAATATTTTTTTAATCACACAATCCATCAGTAAAAATATATTTGCTCGAACACATCACGCTAATATATTACATGTATTGGAAAGAGTATTTTCAAAAGTGATCTTCTAAAAAGATGCAATCGAAAATGGGCCAGGTACAGCGGCTCACACCTGCAATCCCAGCACTTTGGGAGGCCGAGGTGGGCAGATCACTTGAGCTCAGGAGTTTGAGACCAGCTTGGGCAACGTGGCAAAAGCCTGTCTCTACTAAAAATAAAAAGGAAAAAGAAAATATATACAGGTGACCCTTAATGACAGTTTGAACCACACAGGTCTACCTATATGTGAATTTTCTTCTGCCTCTGCCACCCCTAAGACAGTAGATCAATCTCCCCCTTAACTCCTCCTCCTCAATGTGAAGATGACAAGGATGTAGGCCTTTATGATGATCCACTTCCACTTAATGAAAGTAAGTAGATTTTCTCTTCCTTATGATTTCCTTAATAACATTTTCTTTTCTCTGGCTTACTTTATTGTAAGAAAACAGTACATAATACATATAAGACAGAAAATATGCATTAACCAACTGTTTATGTTATCAGCAAAGCTTCCAGTCAATAGCAGGCTATTGATAAAGTTTTGGGGGAGTTAAAAGTTATAAGCAGATTTTTGACTGCATGAGGCACTCCTAACCCCTGTATTATTCAAGGATCAACTGTATTTTATTTTATTGAGACAGGGTCTCACTGTTACCCAGGCTGGAGTACAATGGCAATCAGAGCTCACTGTAGCCTTGACCACCTGGGCTCAAGCGATCCTCCCACCTCGGCCTCCTGAGTAGCTAAGACCACAGGTATGCGCCACCATGCCTGGCTAATTTTAAAAATTTTTTTTTGTCGAGATGGGGTTTTGCCACGTTGCCCAGGCTGGTTTTGAACTCCTTGTTTCAAATGATCCTCCTGCCTCGGCCTCCCTATGTGCTGGGATTACAAGCATGAGCCACCCACCCAGCTGGTCAACTATATTTTAAATAGAAGCTCTAATCCTTGCTTCTCATACCTTCTGCAGGGCCTGTACCCTTCTTGGAAATCCCTGCCAGGGATCTTAAGCTTCAGTGTGCTTAAGAATCCTCTAAGCGTGCAGTTTCCTGAAACAACCTGCAGAGAGCCTGACTCAGTGGCCCTGGGATAGGGCCCAGGAATCTGCATTTTAAACCAGGGCCTCAGGCAGGGCCTGCCCTTTGAAGTTCACTAGGCCTCCTGGCTCCTGCTGTTATGGCAGGTGGAGAAGAGGCTACAATTTAGCTGTTGCTTTTCTGATTCTGAAGCCTCTGCTGAGGAAGGGGCCGGGGGAGGTGTGCGGTTTTTTGACTTTTTAAAGGGCTTTTTTTCTAGCTCTGCCACAGAGCAGCCTGCCCAATCACAGAGCCCTCTGGGTGCACAAAGAGGAACATCCTGTCTTCTGGGATGACTCAGTCGTGGCAGAAATCTCACTGTAACCAGGGGAAGGTGCACGTCAGAGGCAGCTGCAGTGACTGACTAGAGTTTCGCACTTGCCCCCAGGCGCCTAAACCAGTGAGCCTTTCCTGAGCCAGGCCTCTGCCTTCCATGCGAGCCATGGCCCTCCTCACCACAAAGCCCCAGAACTGGCCAGTCAGCTAGTCAGTCAACAAACACACGTTAGTGCCAACTACCTGCCAACCTCAGGCTGGGACGATGCTGTGATAGAGAAGCAGGCTGGGCATCAGGAGACAGGTGCTAGTCCTGGCTGCTGTTACTCACTGTGTATAGCTGGGCTTGCATTTTCCTCACTGTAAAATAGAGAAAGTACCACCTGCTCTTGATATCGCAAGGGGATATCACCCTGCTAGGGTGGGTTGGGAGGCAGGGTATGGGACTCAAAGAGCTTTGAAGTCCCTGATTGACTCAGCTTCTAAGGGCAACAGCCTCAGAACTGTTAACCTCTCTCCTCCTCCCTGAGGTCACATTTCAAAGTACAAAGATACATACTGAGCACCCAGTGGGCGCAAATTAACTTTTTAAAAAAGCCCTATGACTTCCTACTATATACCAGGCGCTACGTAAGATGCAAAGAATATAGAAAAGAGTAAAAGTGTTCCAAGATTTTAAACGGTGGGGGGTAGTACAATACAGAAGTGTTACCAAAGGAAGCTTTAAGGTGGGCTTGAGAAACAATGAGGATTTGGGGGAGAAGACTGGGGAGGGCATTCCAGGCAGCGGGAACAGCACGGAGGCAAAGGCACGTAGGTCTGAAAGTATGGCCTGACCTTGAAGGAGAGCTATGGGCAGGTGTCCCTGCATGCCAGATAAAGGCAGAGTTGTTCCAGCCAGCCCTCGTTAGGGCAGCAGGGCTGCTCCTAAAAGGCAGTGAGTGGGGTTTGGTGAAGACTCCAGCAGTGTGAGCTGGGGAGGGCTATGGAGTTCAGGGTCCCCGCCATCCCTGGAGAAACTGGCCCCACAAGGAAGTAGCAGCCACTGCACCCTCCTTCTGCACATCTCCTTCTTACACCCAAGCCGCCACTGCCCCTGCTCTCTCAAGGGTCTAACAGACCCCTGAGGTGTCTATCTTCAGTTCCTGGGTGGGATGGACTCTTCTTCCCCACCACCCACACAGGGCTTCTCCGCCCGCTCAGTCATTCCACAGCCAGGGACCCTTCCCTTTATGGCTCAATCCCTCAGAACTGCCCAGACGCCCAGGCTCTCCTTTGCCAGCACAGCTACGCAGCCCGCACAGCCTCCCCGTGCCCTCTGCAGCCCCTTCCCATCCAGCCAGAGCTGTCCAGGGTGCCACCCTGCTTCTACCCCCACCCACACCCTGACACCTCCCAGATGAAGACACTGAGGCACAGAGACATGGCCTGCTCTCACAAGACCTCACAGCCAGGAAGCGCAGACAGAGGATTCAAAGCTGGGGTACCGCAACTCTGAAACCAAGGCTGTCAGATGTGTCAGGGAGATGGGGAAGGAAGACCACCCCCCAAATCAGTAACCAGACCTTCCAAAAAGGCTCAACCATACCCCCACCCACCTGCTGGCAGGGCACAGACTTGCTGTTCTCAAGGGGTTCCCACCAGCTGTGTGGACTCTAGTCCCACAAGGAAGCACCAGCCACTCCCTCTCTGTGTCCTCCCTGCCCCCAGCCCGCTCCAGCAGCAGAGGCCGAGGAGAAAGAGAAACGGTGCCCTGGCTGTTGCCAGCTCTGGTCTTGCCATCCTCAAGAGCTGAGCTGGGTCTGCTGGTCCTCGGACTGTCCTTGGCTCCTCTCCTTGCTCTTACGCAGCTGGCATAAGGGGCCACTCCTTCAATAGGGACCACCCCCCGGCGCCGTCGCTGCCTCCTGGCCTGCTGCCCATGCCTGCATCGTCTCTGAGACCCCTTAGCAACCAAGGACACTAACTCTCCAGGTGCAGACGACGACACCCCAGGCACAGAGATGGACCCGCCTACCCAAGTTCACAAGAGATCAGAATCAGAGCTAGGACTGGAATCTAGCATCCTGAGGCTTGACGAAATCCTCCTTAAATCCACCCTTGCCCTGGAGGCCGGGATCCCCTAAGCCAAGAGAAAAGCGGTGCAGCTCCAGCAGCTGCAACTTCCTGGCTGGGCTGGTCCGGCTGCCTGGACTGTCCCGGAGAGTCTGTGACTGGCCCGTCCAGAAGGAAAGCGGCCTCCCGGGCCCTCCTCCGTTCCAATCCCTTACCTCTCTCGGGCTCCACCACCGTCCTGCCGACCCAGTTTCAGGGGACCTGCCTGTGAATTCTTTGTTCCAAACCCAGGGAGCCCCCTGTCTCCATTGCGCCCTGGCCCACCTCCAGGCCGTTCTGCCAGCCCAAGCTGCTGCTCACAGACCAGCATCGCTCCCCACCTCTCCCCGCCCCTGCCGTGGTTGAGGCCGCCTCGCCTCGGCAGGAAGCGCCCAGCCTGATTTCCTACAAGTGTTTGTCAGAAGGAGGGGGTTTGTCTGCGTGCAGAGCAAGAGCTGGAGGAGCTTAACCCCTTGCAAGCCCTCCGCAGTCAGCGCTGCCCAGGAAAGGACTCAGGGAACAAACTCCTGACGTCCTGGGCTTGGGATCATCTCAGCCCAGGCCCTGCAGGTACAGATGGGGAGACTAAAGCACAGAGAAGGTCAGAGGCTTGGCCAAGGTCACACAGCATGCTGTAGCTCCTACCCTCTAGGCCCTCTTCAACCACGGCCTGACCTTAGCCGAGGCTCCTTCCCTCACTAGGCCTCAGGGCCCATGTGCACGGTGAGAGCTCAGACTCAACACCACTCCTGCCCTTCCAGCTCTGACTCTGCCAATGTGCAACCTGAATCTCAGGGAGACCGTGGTGATTCCTGCCATCTCAACCCACCGTCCTCACCCCGAGGTGGTCCTGCAGCCAGAGTGGGATGTTCGGGGCAGCATGGAGGTGTGAACCTGGCGGATCAGGTAAACTTTCCCTTGTTGTAAGAACCCTCCAAGGGTTCACCAGATGTTGGGAACAGATCGATCCTGATGGTCAGTCGAGCTATCTTTCCTCAAGCCCCACCATCCCATTCCTTCATTCGTAGGTACTCACTGAGCTCCTACTGTGTGGCGGGTGCTTTTAAATCACCTGGGAATATGGCAGGGCCGAAGACAGGCCAGTCCCCTGCTCTCCACTCTAGCAGAGACATGGACAATAAGCAAGCACATGTATAATTTCAAGGAGAGAGCTGTGAACAATGAGACTGGGTGACGATCCGTGTCCCAGGCCAGGTGGCACTGAAGCCTGGGGCTCACCCCAGGCCAACAGAGTCAGTCTCTGGGCATCAGACATTTTAAGTGTCCCAGGTGACTGGCCCTGGTAGAGAACACATGGGGCCAAGAGTAATGGGTTGGAGGAGAAGGGTTATAGGACGGTCAGGAAGGTCTCTATGAGGAGGTGACATTCAAATAAGGCACTGGAAGGAAGAGGGGTCAAAAGCAAGCCACAAGAAGGTTTGGGGCAGAGTGTTCTGGGAGGGCAAGTGGAAAGGCCAAGGTGGGGGAGCCAGCGGGCTTTCCCTGAGAACAGCAAGGCCTGTGTACCCGGGGCAGAGCGAGTCAAGCGGGAGAAGCAGGAGCTTCACAGAAAAGCGGGCACAGGAGCACAAGAGGCTCCCAACACTGGCCCCACCCAGGACCCAGAGACTCTGAGTCAGGAAACAAAAAGAAAGAGGAAAAAAAACAGGCCTCTGTATTGTCCAAAAAGCCCTCCAGGTAATTCTGATAAGCAGCCAGATTTGGGAACCACCCATGTAGGAGAGAAAAAAATCTCAGAGTCACTGTGGACCTGGGTTCAAATCCCAGCCCCATCTCCTGCTGGCCCTGACCTTTGAGGCTTCACGTCTCTAAGCCTCAGTTTCTTCATCTGTAAAACAGGGATAAGAAGAGTAGCCACCCCACAGGGGCTGCTATAAAGATTCAATGACATGATGCCTACCAAGGGTAGAGCGGGGGAGCCAGAACACAGTCATGTATTGAGCTATTTTATTATTGCTACTACAACTATTGCTGCTACTTAGGTATAAGTCTCTGGTCTCCTCTAAAGGCTAGATCTTAATATCTTTCCTGAAGCCTGGCACACTGTTTATGGCTGATGAATGTGTTCTGTGAATGAATGAATGAATGAATGAGTGGACGTTCCCAAGGTCAGCTTGTGAATATCTGGCGTAGCCAGGGCTAGAACCAGGAGCCCTCATCCTGGTAATCGCCCACCCCTCTATCCCCTTTCCTGCCTTTTACCCACATCTGGGTGGCAGGGCTCTCCCTGTAGCCCCCAGCCCCACATGGAGCAGAGCCAAACCCTAATGAGGCCCCTCCCTATCAGCTCTGGAGGCCATGTGTGCCATTGTGCAAGGGGCGGGCTCCCCTGACACCCTGTCACTCACTCACCCTCCCTCCCTGGTCATTAACCCAGGCAGCATTAACCCAGGTGGCTGCCATTGCTGGGCATAGCCTGTGGCCCCTGGATAACCCCAAACCCATCTCAGGGGCAGCCACCTAACACCAAGGAGAACCGCCTGCAGTGCAGTCTGTTCCATTTCCTTGCACCCCCAAGCATGACCAACCCTCCTCCCTGCCTTTGCTCATGCACTGCCCCCTCTTGGATCACTGTCCCCACCCACAGGCCAAATTCTACCAAACCGAAGCAGCATGTCTAAGACTGAGCTCCTAGTATTGCCACCCTCCAAACCCACCCCTCCTTAGTTTGGCCCATCTTTCACCCAGGTACACACTGAGAATCAACTGTGACCCTGGACACTTCCTTTTCCCTTACATCCCATAACCAATCCATCGTCAACTCCCAGTGATTTCATTTCCTAAATTTCACCAGAATCTGTCCCCGTTTCTGCATCCCCACGTGGGTCCCTGGATCGGCCTTGCCTGGAAAGCTCTAGGGTCCACTAATCTGTTCCCCACACTGCACCGATGTGGTCTTCCAAGATAAAAGTTCCAAACAAGACCCTTCCATGCTTCAGACGCACAGCTAGCTACTATGGCTCTGAGAAAGAAGATGAAACTCCACAAGCTGGCCGCTGCTGCAGCCTCTTCTCCCACCACCCTCTCTGCCCTTGCTCAGCATGCTCCTGCCATACAGGCCTCCTTGCTTTTCCTGGGACAGATGTGTCCTGCTCCTCCCCTCACCCAGTCCCACTTCTTTTCCCTGTTAACTTCTAGGCAACCTCCAGATGTCAGCTCCAGCGTGCCCTCCTTGGGGACTCCCCATTTGGAACTATATTTCATATGTGATTATTTGATTAACATCTGTCTCTTCACTCAGTTGGGAGCTCTGTGAGGCTCTCATCATCATATCCCCAGGACCCAGCACACAGGCCCTGATATACAATAGAAATACAATAAATATATCCTGGATGATCCACTCAACCTAGCTACTTGCCCAAGCCTGACTCATAGCCCTCATAACAACCCAATGAGGCTGATGTGACAACCCCATTTCACAGTTGGGTAAACAGAGGCCCCTAGAGCCCAAGCAGCTTGCCCAAGGTCACAAAGGTGATGAGCTGCAGTAGAGTTTCAAACACACAAAGACCTGGCTTCTAATAACCAAGCTTGGTGCTCACAACATTGCAGCCCGCAGAGATAATTAATACCTGTGCACAATAAAATCGAGAGTGGAGCTTCTTACCAACTAATTGCAATTCACAAAGCCAATGTTCCAATTTTATAGTGAGGCCCTGGTTCCACACAGAGCCTTTTGGTTTCCCAAAATGCTTTCTTCTCCTTTATAGCACTAGATGCTCAAGAACAGAACGTTTAAGTGGGGAGAACACGAGTATTATTCCATTGTATAGGTGAGGACACTGAGGCCCAGAGAAGAGAAGAGAAGAGATTCGTTCCTGGTCACCCAGAAAAGAAACAACAACAAAAACCTCTGACTCCTGGCCAGGTGCAGTGGCTCACGCCTGTAATCCCAGCACTTTGGGAGGCTGAGGTGGGCGGATCACCTGAGGTCAGGAGTTCGACACCAGCCTGGGCAACATGATGAAACCCCACCTCTACTAAAAATACAAAAATTAGCCAGGTGTGGTGGCAGGTGCCTGTAATCCTCCCTGTAATACTTGGGAGGCTGAGGCAGGACAATCACTTGAACCTGGGAGGCGGAGGTTGCAGTGAGTCGAGATTGCACCATTGCACTCCAGCCTGGGCAACAGAGCAAGACTCTGTCTCAAAAAAAAAAAAAAAAAAAAACACCAAAAACAAAAACAACAAAAAAAACCTCTTACTCCTACTGCCAGGGCTTGATGACTTTCACCCTTTTACCAGCAACAGTCATGTGCATGGCTGTGTCTGCAGAACCCTGCCAGCCCTTCCCACGAGCCTGAGGCACAAGAATCACTTGAACCTGGGAGGCGGAGGTTGCAGTGAACCGAGATCATGTCACTGCGCTCCAGCCTGGGCAACAGAGTAAGACGCTTGTCAAAAAAAAAAAAAAAAAAATCCACAGGGAGTCTGAGGGAAAGAGGAGGCAGGTGAGGATTTCCAGAGTGAACCAAGAAGAAATGATGAAGCCTGGCTAGGGAAGTAGAGAACCAAGTTCCAGCCTGAGTGACCAGGAATAAGCACCTTCCTTTCTCTGAGCTTTGGAACCTGCGGCTTAATGAGATTGTCTCTGAGGTTATCAGAGATTATCTTCTAATGCTAAACCTCCTGGATTCTTTATTCCATTTGCCCACCCAGGCAGAAATGCCATGCAGACAGGAGGCTGCAGAGCACAGGTGTTAAGGCACATGGGCTTTGTGGGCAAACAGAGAACTCCATGTTCTCCCTTGGAAGCTGTGTGGCCTTGGGCAAGCTGCTTAACCTCTCTGAATCCCAGATTCCACATCTGTAACATGGACCAATAATTATTTTACTGGGTTCTTGGGATGACGGATGAGACTATGTGCCAAAAGTTCTTGGCCCCAGTGCCCAGCTGGCACAGAATGACTGTTCACAAATAAATGGCCTTGCCTTTTCCGTGAAACGCCCTACAACCTGCTCCCTGCAGGACTGAGTTTAATTTTCCTCATCCACAGCTTCCACAATATCAACCCCAGGTCTAGCGATGAGTCCTGGACACAAAAAGGGAGAAGCAGTTTTCCCAAGTGGAGGGAGGTGCTGACATTTCCCTGTGACCCTCTTCCCTGCGACCCTTAAACCAGTTCCAGGGCTCACTGACCCAGCTAGAAACTCTGTCCTCACTCTGAGTAGTTAAGGAGCAGAACAAACAGCCCCTTCTCAGCCAACTGAGATAAGGGTTATGAGGAGGGTGTGGCCATATTGAGGAAAACACATACATAAATTCAAATTCATGCTCTTTTCAAAGAGTCAAACAAACCGTGCACGTGCCAGGAAGGGACTGCTAACAGCAAAACTATACTGAACACCTATTATGTGTCAAATACCTTATAAAAGCCTTTCCATGGACTCAGATCTCATTATTTAATCCTCATACTAATCCAAGGAGGGAAAAATTATGATGCCCATTTTATTTTATAGGTGAGGAAGCTGGTTTGAACCAAGCTGTTTGAATCTGGACAGTATAATCTTTTTTTTTTTTTTTTTTTGGAGATGGAGTCTCGCTCTGTTGCCCAGGCTGGAGGGCAGTGGCGCGATCTCAGCTCACTGCAAGCTCCGCCTCCCGGGTTCATGCCATTCTCCTGCCTCAGCCTCCTGAGTAGCTGCAATTACAGGCACCTGCCACCACGCCCAGCTAATTTTTTTTTTTTTTTTGTATTTTTAGTAGAGACAGGGTTTCACTGTGTTAGCCAGGATGGTCTCGATCTCCTGACCTCGTGATCCACCCGCCTCGGCCTCCCAAAGTGCTGGGATTACAGGCGTGAGCCACCGTGCCCGGCCCTGGACAGTGTGATCTTAATCACTTTGCAACTGAAACTTGCAATAGGTAAAATGGTTGGAAACAATAGCAGTGTCCCGTAACAGGTGATCATTGAAAGAAATTGTGATAGTTCCACTCAAAGGAATAATATTAGCTGCCGTTAACAGTCATGCTATTGAAGAATATCAAATAATGTAAAAATTTTGTTATGTTAAGTGGACAAGCCAGTTATAAAATAATATATATCTAGTTTGAGTCCACTTAAAAAAAAAAACAGTAAAATATGGAGGAAGAGGAGGAGGAAGAAAGGAAGGAGACAGGATAGGAAAAAGAAAGAGAGAGAAAGCAAAAGAAAGAGAAAGACATGCTTTAAAATGTTTACAACAGGCCATGCGCCGTGGCTCACACCTGTAATCCCAGCATTTTGGGAGGCTGAGGCGGGAGGATCACCTGAGGTCAGGAGTTCGAGACCAGCCTGGTCAACATGGCGAAACCCCGTCTCTACTAAAAATACAAAAATTAGCTGGGTGTGGTGACGTGCACCTGTAATCCCAGCTACTCGGGAGACTGAGGCAGGAGAACTGCCTCAACCTGGGAGGCAGAGGTTGCAGTGAGCCAAGATCGTGCCACCCCACTCCAGCCTAGGCGATGACAGTGAAACTGTCTCAATTAAAAAAAAAAAAAGTTTACAATCATTATCACTAGGTAGTAGAATTATAGGCAAGTTTTTTTGATAGGGAAGTTTACCATTTTTCCTTTTGGGTATTTTTCAAATATAACAGTTGCTTTAAAAATAAGAATGAAATGAACATGTACTATTCTTAAAAACAAAACAAACGAATACCACCTCACCTCTGTGTGGTGCTTCCTTCTGACCTTGGGCACCTCCGTCTTCAGTTGCCCCTCCTGTGAAAGGCGAAATGTATCGTTGGGTTCTTTGAGGCCCTTTACAGCTCTGACATCCTATAACATTCTGTAACCCCCACACCTTCTCCTCCTCTGTTTAAACTCTAATACAATATGTTGTTTTCTGCAATACAGCCATTATGCAACATGTGGGAACACATGAAAATCACTAAAAGGAAAGGAAGCAATCAGCGCCCAGCCTCAGCCACTTTTTGCATTTGGAGGCATGGCATGTGTTGCTGGATTGGATCCTCATAAATAATTAGGCATTTAACAGATGAAGAAAGGTTCAGAGAGGTTACACAACTTGCCCAAAGTCACACAGCATGTTAAGGCACAGTTGGGTCTGTACCCACAAATAAAGCATTATCCTCCAGATGAATCCTTAGTGGGGGACTGAGTGTGCCTCTTAGACCCTGAGACCTCCCCTCCTCAGTCCTGGTCCTTGGCTGTGGTCCCAAGACCCCGAGGAGACTGACAGCTGGACATCCCACTCTGGCCCTGATCCCAGGCTCCTTCCCCAGAAAAAGCTGAGCTGGCAGTGGGGGGGCTGGGGGGAGAATGCTGGCAAGGACCTAGGGGCTGGTGTGGGAGCGGCACTGGGCGCAGAAGGTCTCACTCGGCAATGGAGCTGGAGTTCGCCTGACATTTGGCAAGGAAGCCCAGAGCCAAGATGGAACAGCAAGCTGGGGTGCAGGAGGGAGGGAGGAGTGAGAATGTGAGACTTTGGGGGCAGGAAGCCTGGGTAGATCAGCCCTTTGCTGTTTTGTTTCAGAACTTCTCTGATATCCTCATCTACAGACAGAGGCTTCTCCTTCCCTCAGGCATGCATGTGTAAAGTAACAAGATAATGTGTTTGTACGCAGGACACACTCAGAAAATGAGGAGCTTCTGTTAGCCTCCTGGCTCCCCTGGCCAACTGCCGCACCTCTTCCCTATCACCCACCCTGACTTACCCCCCAATCCCTTGGCACAATGACAAATCTTAGGGCACCATCCTGTCAGGTTTTTCCCCTGCTTAACGACCATCCGTGGCTCCTGTCACTTTCAGGTTAAAGGCCAGACATTTTGGCCTGGAATTCAGGCTCATACCAACCTGTTCCCAAGTCAGGGGCTGCTGCACTGCATAACTCACACCGTACACTACAAAAGCCATCTCATAAAGGGTTTCTTCCCAAATCGCATACTTTAGGGGAGCTGCAGTGGGGCGCAGGCCTTCTGGCCTGGCTCCACTTGGCTCTGCCAAAAAGCCCCCAACTCCAGGCTGCCAAGCAGAAGCAAGGCTGGTCTTCCATCCCCCAACACCCTTCACCTGCAGCTGTCTTTAAAAAAAAAAAAAAAAAAAAAAAAGTAAGAAAAAGCCCTGATTTGTGGTGGTTACTAATTTTGATGGTGTTAAATACCCTTACTGAAATTGGCCATGCCAATTTCAAGCTATTGATATCACTGAATGCTGCACTGGGAAGAGATGGGCACAATCCACTCTCCCGAGCTGACACCAGCACACCCTGCACACCCCAAAGTAAGGATGCGCTAACACCAGTGAGAAGCTGTGTGACTCTCGTCAAGTGGCTTTACCTCTCTGAACCTCAGGCTTTCTATCTGTACAAGAGGGACAACAATAACACCCACTTCGACAACATCACGTAACTGATATAATCTAGATGATCAACAACAATGTTTTGAGCACCTACTCTGTGTAGGGCTCTGTACTAGGTAGACACTAGGGAATAACAATGGTGACAAAACAGATAAGAGCTCCTGCCCTCCCAAACCTCACTTCTTGCAGTAAAAGCCCTGGCACAGCGGCTAGAATGTCGCACTCAATAAATATTACCTATGATATTAGCTAATAATACCAATGGTATTATTGTTGTCATTATTCCTTCCTTTCTTTGAGCCTCAGTTTCCTCATTTATTTAGAATGTGGACTGAGCAAAAGTTTCTTATGATGCCACCTCACTCAAGCCTTAAAATGGTGGTAAAGTAGATGGGCGCGGTGGCTCACGCCTGTAATCCCAGCACTTCAGGAGGCCGAGGTGGGAGGATCATGAGGTCAGGAAATCGAGACCATCCCGGCCAACATGGTGAAACCCCATCTCTACTAAAAATACAAAAATTAGCCAGGTGTAGTGGCACACGCCTGTGATCCCAGCTACTCAGGAGGCTGAGGCAGGAGAATCGCTTGAACCTGGGCGGCAGATGTTCCCGTGAGCCGAGATCGCGCCACTGCACTCCAGCCTGGAGACAGAGCTAGACTCCATCTCAAAAAAAAAAAGAAAAAAAAAATGGTGGTAAAGTGGGCATTACCAACCTCATTTTGTGGAAGGGAAAACTGAGGCACTCAGAACTGAATCCAGGCTGGGGATCTAAACTCAGGTCTTCTTACTCCTGGTCTCCAGATCATTCCCACCTTCCAGGACTGAGGAAACATAAAAAGGACCAGGAATTCGACTGGGGATGTGAATGCTTTAAAAATACTTTTCCTTCTCCACGCCCCCACGGGGGGAAACTGAAGTGTCCATGTTGTGCACCAATTTCCAAAACACCCTCTCAGTATGACGGCCCTGTAGCTGGGACCATTCCCAGTCTCTCTGGAAACCCCTATCCTAGCGCCTCTGGCAGAGTCTGCAGGACGGTGGGAGCTGATGAAATCCCCTTGCAACAAACAGCCCCAATCACATGTTTTAAATGCAAACCGGCTGGACTTTAGGAGGCAAAGGCCCCACGTGGACATCGCCTCCCTCCTGCAGAAGAACTGTGAGACGACTGCCCCAGGAATAAACCCAGAGTCCCAAAACACCATAGGTTCCGCTCCCCTGTTTGTTAGTAAGTAAACCAGACTTAGGCCCTCTCTAACAGATGGGCAGCCATTGTTTTATTAACAAAACAGCCCCCAAATAAAACCCACCAATTCCAGAGAAGGCGCCTGGAAAAGTCGTTTGGGAAGTCCCTGTATGTATCTAACTTTAGTCTTTCATGCTTCAGTTCCAGCCCATTTCTTCTCCTTCTGTTCTAGAGGACAGGAACAATGTCTCTTTTCACTGCAGCCTGTCTCAGCTTCTCTCTGCTCCAACATAGCCCAGGTTTGTTATCAGCAATTTTCCCTTCCGACTATCTCAGAAGCAGGTCTTTAAACATAGGTAATGATGGACTCCAATCCGTCATTTCTTTCAACAAAAGCCCGGGAAAGGAGCTTTGGAAGTGTCGTCTAAGGTCACGCAGCAAGCAGACTCTGGTTCTGCCTGTGCCAGCCCCATCACACTGGGGAGAGCCCAGCTCTGCGCCTCCCTGCTGTGCACCCTTGGGCCAGTCGCGCCCCCTCTCTGGACCTCATTCTCCTCCGCAGGTGTACCAAGAGGGAACTGGACTTATTTTTGCAGCCCGTTCAGTTCCTACCATTGTCAGGGCTGCCTACCCGACACTGGCCCTTGTTCTACCTTCCCCCCCGCGACAAAAAGAGGAAAAGAAACTTGCGTTAGGCGTCCGGGAAGCGCGCGCGGCTCCGAGGGCCGCCAGGCTGCGCGGATTGTTGCTGGGTGAACGAATCTCACACAAATCCCAGACAGAAAGCCTCACCTCCCCAGTAACCACAGCAACCCGGGCCACGCCTCCAGCCCAAACACAGCCCGAGGCCCCGCCAAGGCCCACCCCCGAGCTCCCCCGGGACCCCTCCCCTCCCTGCCACCAGCCCCAGCTGGAAAGAGAAAAAGCCAACGCCCCCATTGTGCAGAGGTGGAGACTGAGGCCGGAGGGTGGAGACTGAGGAACCCCGCGGCCGGCACGGTTTGGACTGGGGCCCATACCGCCCGTCCAGGGCTCCCTCCCATTCCCGGAGCGGTGATGCGTCTCCTTCCCCGTGCGCGTGGGGTTTCCACGTGGAAAAGACCGAAAGCAGCGCCGTCCCAGTGGAACGGAGCCCACTGGCGCTGTCCACTCTCCCTCCCCATTCTCCCGACGGAGAAACTGAGTCCCAACGAGGGACAGGGACCACCCCGGACGCCCCGCGAGCCCCTCCCCGAGTCTCACCTGCTGGCGGCCGCCGAGCGCGGGTGGTTTCCTGGAGTTGAGCGGCAAACAAAGGCCTCCAATCCGGGCGCGGGGCGGGGCGGTGGCTCCTTTGCATAATCCCTGAGGCCCGCCCGCGACAGCAGGGGGCGGCCCGGGGGGGGCGGGGCCTCTGGGAGCGCACCAATCACCGAAAGGCCGCCGCCACGGCCCGCCCCCAGGAACTCGGACATAGGGAGCGCAAACCCTGCTGCAGGATGAAAATCTCAGACCTGGGAGGCTGTGTGTGCCTACTGCAATCAGCCCCACCGCAGACCCGGAGATCGAGGCCCGGTCTGCGGAGGGTAAGGCATTTACGCAAGATCGCACAGAGTGGCTCACGCCTGTAATCCCAGCACTTTGGGAGGCCGGGCAGATCACCTGAGGTCAGGAGTTCGAGACTAGCCTGGCCAACATGGTGACCGTCCCCCCACCCCCACCAGTCTCTACTAAAACTACAAAAATTAGCTGGGCGTGGTGGCGCATATCTGTAATCCCAGCTACTTGGGAGGCTGAGGCACGAGAATCGCTTGAACTTGGGAGGCGGAGGTTGCGGTGAGCCAAGATTGCGTCACTGCACTCCAGCCTGGGCGACAGAGCAAGGCTCCATCAAAAAAAAAAAAAGAAAGAAAAAAGAAAAAAGAAAAAAAAAAGATCGCACAGAGCCACAGTGAGGAGGAAATCACAAACTTCCATGGCTGAAACGGCCTGCTTAGTAACAGTAATAATAAACTTTTCTTGATCACAAATTATGGGTCAGACCTGTTGGAAGCTCTTCTGCTGTTCAGTCGTCTCCTATGAGGTAGGTAGGTATTATCACCACCGCCCCCAAGTATATTCTTGTCCAACTCCCCATCAGGCAAGCATGGAAACCCAGCCCGAAGACGGACAAGAACTTTTCCAAGGTCCCGCTGTGAGTGCAGCACAGACATCATACCTTGTCCACCACACACACACCTTGAAGGATGCACGGTGTCCAACTCACCTGGGCTCTTTGCCCCAGCTCTGCCACTTGCTGCCAGTGAGCCTCAGGCAAATGGGATTCATACCCACATCTTATGCGGTTGTTGAGAGTAAATAAATAAACATAATGGCAGGCCCGTCAGAAATAAATCAGTGGTACTAATTTAAAGAGCACCTTGACCGACCCTATTAACACAAGAGGGTTAATAAGTCCTGATGCAAGAAGAGACTTGCCCAAGGTCCCTCATCCAGCTGCATCCAAAGTTGAATGCTTTGGAATTTTTCCTCCAGGTAGAAAGCACTTGCCAGTTCCCCAGGTTGCCTGCTACTCCCTAGACACATATTTAGTAGTAAGTTTAGCAGCAGCTTCTACCCACTAAGGGCCTGCTCTGTGAAAGGGGCAAACATTTTAGCTAATCCTTCTGGGCTCTGGCCCTGGAATGTCAGTGTAGGAAGGGCCCAAGGTGTTTTTCCACACAGGTCATGGAAGTGAAGTGTTTTTCTGGGTTTGAGCAGCATGGCGGTCCTGACTCTTGAACAGAATGGGGAAACCGAGGCTTGGTGCATTGTGTAACCTGCCCAGCATTCTCCAGCAAGGGAGAAGCAGACCCTGAGACTCCATTCCCCCCAACCCCCACATTGGCATCATGAGTAAAAATGTCAGGGTCACAGGTACATGTGGCCAGGATGGACCTCTGACAACCCTCCCCCCACTCTCCCAGTACTTGAAGCTGCCTTAGCCTACCACACTGGGCCCTTCAAAAGACACCAGGACAGGTGCAGGAAAGAGCAGACCCAGGCTTAAGGCAGCTGTGGGTCCAAACTTGTCCTCCTTAGCTGTGTGACTTTGGACAACTAACTGGACCTTTCTAAGACCACTTGCAAAGGAATGTTTTTAGGTTAAAAGTTCTACTGGGAGGGGAACCCATACACTCAATGGGCTACAGCCTCAGAGTCAGGCCCAGGAATTCCAGAAGCAACAAGTCCAGAAACTCATTCCTGTCCTACTCCTTCCAAGTACAGACATGGGGCTGTGACTAACAGCTGCTGGGGGTGGCAGCTCCATTGTTAGTTTCCTATGGCTACTGTAACAAATTAAAACGGCACAAATACCTTCTCTTACAGAGGGCAGAAGTCTGAAATGAGTCTCTGGGCTTCAGGTCCAGGTGACAGTAGGGCAGCTTTCTTCTGGAGGCTCTTGAGGGGAGAACCCACTGCCTTGCCTTTCTCTGCTTCTAGTGGCTGTCTACATTCCTCAGCTCGTGGTCCCTTCCTTCATCGTCACAGCACATCACTGCAGCAACCTGTTTCCATCATCACACACCTTGTCTTCTTCTGTTAACATCTTTCTCTGCTTCCCATTTATAAGAGCCTGGTGATTATACTGGGTCCACCCCATGTCAAGACTTTAATCATGTCCGCAAAATCCCATTTGCCATATAAAGTAACATTCCAAAGTTCCAGGGATTTGAATCTGGGTATCTTTGGGAGCCATTATTTAGCCTACCAAACCCATTTTATAGATGGGGAACTAGAGGCTCAGAGAGGTAAAATTACTTGCCCATGACCACACAAGCTTTGGAGTTGAATGCCAGGAGATCTGAGGCCTAACGAAGCCCTCCTGCTGCTAGGTGGGAGGGTCATTCCCTGCAGAGGGTCAACAGCACCCTGTCAGGGGATGGCAGGGGTGCCTTCTGAAACACCAGCTGCCTCAGGGGAATCCATGGCTCAGGTCTCAGGTGGTCTGCCCAGGCTGGAAAGAGAACAAGGACAGCCAAGAACAGGATCTGGGACAAGAGCATGGAACCAACTGTCCCTAACCCACCTCTGGCAGAACTCTGGACACAGAACTGGACAAAGCAGGATTTCTCAAACTCTTCCATCTTCCAGACAAATATTGAGGACAGAAGGAATAAGCACTGGGGCCGGGACTGAGGCCGTACAGTAGACCATGTTTGCAACCTTTTCCTCCGAGCCCATCCCATATGTTTTGCTCTGACACCCGCTGTCCTAGGCTACTGGAACAGCTTGACCCACATAGGTAGAGAGCAGGAAGTGATTGGGAATTTATGGCCTCTCTCTGTAGGCTTTGTCTAAAGACTGACAGGCATCAAAGTCCAGCCCTCTGGCCTTGAGTGGAGACAACTCTAGGCCTAGTGTACGCCCTGGGATCCTCCTGGGATCAGGCTGAAGCTGCCTTCTGCAGACTTTGCCTGAAATCTCACCTTCGCTTGGCTTCCTCCCCTTCCCTGTCCTGCTTCCCCACTTCCTTGCTGGTCTGCCCTGAGGGCACTTCTTGACGATTGATTGGGTACAAATCCTTATCTCCAAGGCAGCTTCTGGAAAGGAATGGGCTGCATCTGAGATTTAAAACATTCATGCACATTGTGCATTCTGCCTCATAATATACTTGTGGGTTTTAATCTAAAAATATTATCTGTAAATAGTCAAGTTTTGCCTTCAAGCCTTCAATTAAGAGGCTCCAAGATGTGAGTGTGGCTCAAGCACCCCTGCACGCCCCACCGTGTATCCCAATTGGAGCCATGCGGGCAGTCGGGGTGGTGGTCTGTGGTGCTCTGACTGCCCCCACCTGTCCTGCCCACCCCTCCCCACATGGAAACCCCAGCCACCCAGGTAAACCACACAGCACGCTGACGTCTAACCTTGTTCAGATTTCTTTATTGAAAAATTAAAGTCATAAGCTCTGTATATAAATACAATGACACTGCTGGTCACCTGCAAGGCCTCTGGGATAGGCTGGGGGTGCAGAGGGAAGCTGGGGCCTTGGGGTCCCCAGGGGCATGGGGAGGGAAATAAATAATAAACACCATGGGGGATAAGGAGCCAGGAGGAATGGGGGTGTGAATGGGGAGGTGCTCGATGCTTATTTGTGGCACTAAAGGTCTTGCAAGATGCCCCCTGACTGGGGGCCGTGTCCATGAATTCTCGAGTGACCTCACTTTGGACAAAGGCTCAGGCATCTGGGGATGGGCTGGGTCCTAGCTGGAGGGGGGACAGCAGTGCCCCCAACCCAACCTGGAGAAACCAGCACTCTGCCCTTCCTTTTCCTTTCTTCCTGTCTTGCAACCCACTTGTCCTGGGCGCCTACTGTGTACCCAGTACAGCACCAGTTCCTGACCTGACCTTCTGTCTGCCTTGTCCTGCTCTCTTCCTCTCCCAGTTCTGGTCCAGTGGGCTGGGATGGAGGGGGGATGTCTTCCTGCCACCCTGGCCATGCAGCCCCAACCCCGCAAGGAGCTTGATGAAGCCAACGGTGGAAAGGGACTGGGACCAGGGGCTGGGCAGTGGTGGGAGGCCCTCAGGCCTTGGCCTCTAGAGCATCACATTGAACTCAGTGACCAGAAAGTCAATGTAGTCACGGTCCTTAGTCTTGAAGGCCTCGGCGATAATGCGGGCGGCCTCCCGGTGCTCCTTGCCCCGAAGCGTCAGCCCATTCACTTCCAGAATCACGTGGCCCACCTTGAGCTGCCCACAGTTGTGAGCTGAGCCGCCTCTCTGCAGGGAGGAGACACAGGGCATGGGGTGCCCAAGGGTTAGACAGGCCTGGCTTTGACCACCAACTGGGTCAGTCCCAACACTGCCAAGCAGGCAGCTACAATCTGAGTGTCCACTTCTCGGATTAGGAAAGCTGAGGCCCGGAAGAGCAAAGGTGACATAAGCCTAGGTCTGCCCTTGAGTGCCGTGTTACCCATGGGAGTCGCAAAACCCTGGAGATGCTGAGAAAGGGCCTTTCAGGGGTAGGGAGAGATGGCAAGTGGGGCCCCTGGGGACATACCTGAATAGTGACAATCCTAGGCAGGGGCTGGCGGGTGTTGGCGCCACCCTCGATGGCGATGCCCAGGGTGGCCGCACTTTTCTTCACACGGACCAGAGTGGACGTGGGCTCCAGAAGTCCAGGCTGTGGGTATTAGGAAGGACACCACTGAGGCCTTCGCAGTTGGCAGGCCTGGCCAGGGGGCTGGGCCGGGCCGTGACACCACCCTGGGTCAGCAGAGCTCAGGCTCCAGCCCTGTGTCGGGAGCCTCAGGTGTGCAACGCACTAAGCCAAGCACTTGTGTTCTTGGCTCTTTAATCCTCACCAAAATCCCCGAGGCTCAGGAGGTTAAGGAGCTTGCCTAAGGCTGTCTGGTGGTGGCATCAGGACTTGAATCGAAGCCTGACTCCGAAGACTGTCTCAGCCACCTGGCCATGTCAAAACTGAGAGGAGCTTAAAGATTCCCAAGACCAATCTCAGCCTCAGCCCCTAGTGTCAGTGCAAAGGCAGAGCTGAAACTGGGCCTCCAGATTCCTAATCCAGTGCTCCTCCAGGACGTCCAAATCCCTCCAGTTATAGGGAGCTCACTACCTCCCTTTGTGGTCACTTGCCAAGCTGAGCCCTGGTCCCGGGACCTCCCATTCTGTGCCTGGGGCCCGTGTTCCTCTCAGCCCTCTGCATCCTCCTCCTCCTGGCTCACCGGTTTGTTGGCCCCATCTGTGGGCCTCTCGTTCCGAGGCAGCTCCTTGCTACTCCTGCTCTTGGTGGACACCGACTGCCTTCCTCGGCCTGGGGCGCTGGCCTCTGCCTCGCCAGCATCCACACCACTGTCCTCGCTTAGAGTCTGCCCGCTGTCCGAGAGCTGGGAGAGCGTAGAGGCTGCTGGAGAGGGGAAAAGGAAGAGAGAAGCAGCTTATATAGCTGGGGTCAGGGAGGGCTGCCTGGAGGCAGTGACGGAGATGGAGGCTGGAAGGCTGGGGGAATTCCCCAGGCAAAGATGGGGGAAGGAATGAAGAGATCGTGGGGCCAGAGGGCAGGTCCACTCCCTGCCACCCTCTCCACCTACTCAAGACCTGTCCTTTCAACCAGACCTGGTCTTGAAGGCTGTGACTTCCAGGACATCTGCCTGGATCTCCCAGTTCCCAGCCACTGGCATAATGATAAAACAGAGGTCAGGAGGCAAACCTAGCCCACAGATGTGGGTGTTTTCTTTGTTTTAAAACTCACATAATGCTACCAATTTTTAATGATGAACCAACACATTCAAATTAGAAGATTTCATATAAGTAATTTCTAGTTTCCCAAGAATAAAAGAGAAATTCCACCACACCTAGCCTGAACCCCTGCATGGCCCCTGCCTGAGCCGAGTGGTGGGCACATGCCCTCCAGCCACCAGTCAACTTCACTATGTGTGTAACAGCCTGGCCCCTGAGTTTGAGACCCTAACTTAAGAACACACACTCTGGAGTCTGGCAGGTCAGGTTTGAATTCCCACTGACCAGCTGTGCAAGCCTGGGCAAGTAACAGAGCCTCTCTAAGCCTCCTATGTTCTCCTTCTAATACAGAAATGATGGTGCCTAACCACTGGGGTGATTGTAAAAACTCACAGATCTGATGTATAGAATGGAGCAGTCCAGGGAATAGACTTGTGCTAGACTGCCTGGCTCCAGGGTGTGGGTTCTTAACCTAGGGTTTCAAACTCAGGGGCCCGGCTGTTATACACATAGTGAAGCAGCGTGGGTTGACTGGTGGGCTGGAGGGCATGTGCCCACCACTCAGCTCAGGCAGGGGCCATGCAGAGGTTCAGACCAGGTGTGGTGGAATTTCTCTTTTTCTCTTGGTAAGCTAGAAATTACTACTTTCTCTCTCTCTCTCTTTTTTTTTTTTTTTTTTTTTTGAGACAGATTCTCACTCTGTCATCTAGGCTGGAGTGCAGTGGTGCAATCTTGGCTCACTGCAACCTCTGCCTCCTGGGTTCAAGTGGTCCTCCCACCTCAGCCTTCTGAGTAGCTGGGACTACAGGTGCCCACCACACCTGGCTAATTATCGTATCTTTAGTAGAAATGGGGCTTTCAGCAAGTTGCCCAGGCTCCTGAGGTCGAAATCCTGACCTCAAATGACCTGCCCGTCTCCGCCTCCCAAAGTGCTTGGATTACAGGCATGAGCCACTGCACCTAGCCAGAAATTACTACTTTGTATGTCTCAGTTTGTTCATTTGTAAAATGGAGATAATAATAGTACCAACCTCATAGGGCTACTGGGAGGATTAAATGAGTTAATACTATAGGCAAGGCCCTTTGAACACTGGCACAAAGTGCTTATTGTTAGTACGGCTGTTAGCTCTTATTATCCCTGCATGTCCAGCTCAGTGCCAGCTCTAGAGACAGCAGTGATCCATCTGTGACAGCCCTGGGTCTTCTCACCACGTCTGCCTGCTCTCCCTCAGCTGCCTCCCCTCACTAGGCTGCGAGCGCCAGAGCCCTGCATTTTGCATCTTGGTCTGTGCAGGCGCTCAGGGAATGTCCTACGGGGCCTATGTATCACTGTAGCCGCAAGATGGCAGCAGAATCCAACAAAATGCTCCCAACTCACTCACAGGCGGGAGCTCCACAGCTTTCAGGGTGGGGAGGCAGGCTCTGCCCTTCCCTCTACCCCACAGCCCATGTCCTCTAGCAAACCGGGGCACAGCGTCAGCTGGCCTCCCCAAGATTCTTCCTGCACCCTGACCCTAGACCTGCCAGGGGTCCAGAGACTGCCACTTCAGTTTCCAGCATCTACTCCAGGCCAGGCCATGGCGGACAGGAAGGGAAGCCACCCCTGCCCTCCACGAGTTCAGTCCTCCTGGTGAACACAGGGTGGCCAGGGTAGGGGGAGCTGGAGAAGGCACCCCGACGCTCGCAGCAACCTGGCAGGACTGTCACTGTTATCTCCATTTTATGATGGGGAAAGCAAGGTGTAGACGGCAGCTTGTCCACAGTCACACAGCCAGTCAGTGGCAGAGCCGGGATTCAAACTGGGGTCTCCAACTCCCTTCGCCACTCTGGCCCTGAGCCCCCTCAACAAGTAGCTGGTCCCCCCCTTCACTGTGTCATCAGGTAGACTGACCTGAAGAGGACAGGGACCCCCAAGGACCACAGAGCCTGGCCTTGCTGTACTCACTGCGCGTCTGGGGCAGCGCCCTCACTTCATTGACGTCTGGCTCGCTGTCGGGGCGGTGGACCTCCACCATGACAAAGTGCTGGTTTGTGCCTGTCTGGTCTGGGTGGCCAGAGGGTGATGGGGGCAGAAGGCAGCCCCCAGCCACTGTGGCCTCTGCAGAGGGGCTTTTCAGGTGCGGGGGTGACTGGACCCGTGGGAAGGGGCCGATGGGGTGTTGGTTGACCAGGGCCAGATGGGCGTCCAGCGGCCTCTTGGAGCTGGGGTTGGCAGGGGAGACGGAGGCATAGATGGGGGAAGAGGGCAAGTCCTGTGCAGAGGAGGTCCCTGGGGTGGGTGCGGTGCCCGCTGGCGGGCTGCGGTTCTGTGGAGCCGAGAAGACAGTGCCCGAGCAGGAAGGCATGGAGGAAGGTGGCTGGAGGTCCTCTCTCCCCAGCTTCCTTGGCTGGCCTAGTGGGAGGTCGTTGCCTTGGGCCAGAGGTGGTGGGCGAGGCAGTGGCTTGAAGCTTGACAGCCCCTGGGAGGTGGATCTGACATCATCCTGCCAAAAGACCCAACAGGCGGAGAAGGAGTCAGACCCCATCACGCCTGGAAGAGGGGAGGCCGAGCAGCTGAGTGGTGCCAGGCCCAGCTGGAATTCTGTCCCCACTCTAACTGCTCTTGGCCACACTGCTCTGAATAATGCAACACCTGAGTGGAAAACTTCTCCCCTGCATCTCGGCAGCTGATAAGCGTTGGGATCTTGGCGGGTGTCTCTGGGGACAGCATCATTACCTTTGGGAACTGAAGTTCTTGGCATCAGCCAGAGCTTGTCACAGGGAACAAGACTTCATTAGAGACACGATGAAGAGGATGGAAATACAAAAAATGCATTTATTTGGCTTTTCTTTTTAGGGGGTGATCTTGAGTACTAGAGGCAAGAGGTATGAAAGGACTGGAGAGAGAATGGACAGGAGGAGATGGATACATGGGCTGGGGTGCTATGTGGCCCCAGGCAAGGCACAACACCTCTCTGAGTGCACCTCTGGGCAATGGGGAAAAGCACATCTACCCAGCAGAGGTGGTGTGGTGATGTCAAAAGCCACGTGAATACTGTTAGCACAGTGCCTGCGCCACAGCAGGTGCACAGTGAGGGGCAGCTATGGACACTGTGACTACCACTCCCCTCTGCCTAGGTCAACACCGGACACCTGCACAGCTCCAACAACCTTCCAGTCACCATCCTAAAGGCTTTACTTAATTAATTTACTCCATGCCACGAACTTATGGGGTAGGTATGCTATGATCATCATCCCCACTTTACCGACGGGGAAACTGAGGCACAGAGAGGCTAAGAAACTTGGTCATACTGTGGCCAGCCAGCCTGAAGGCCCCGCCTGAAGTCACCAGAGGCAAGTGATCCTGGTGCCTGCTAGAGATACTAGAATGGTGAGCTTGTGCACAGACCTGTAGCTGGGTGTGAGAGCTCATGGCAGAGGCCTCTGTCTCCTTTGCCACCCTGTGCCCTTTCTCCGTGGCTGTCATGGAGAGGAGAGAGCCACCAGGACCTGAGCACACCAGGGAGAGCAGAACCAAAGGGCCAGCCAGGGCCTTACCACGGACACATCTGGGAGGGCGTTGATATTGCCCTGGACAGCCTCGCCAGTTTCCTCCAGGTCCAGAGTGTTCTAGAAATGGACGAGAAAGCAAAGTGAGCAAACAGAAGCTGAGAAGGGAACACTGGTTTGTTCTCCAGCACACCAAAATTGAGGAAGTCTTAGGACACCTCCATGTGGTTCATGTGAGCCCTGACATACCTCACTTCATCGAAATTCACTTTACCCATTAAAATGAAGGTCAATTTGCCTGCTGGTCACTTTGAAGTTAAGTTTTCTTTGGGACTTTCTGATCATTTTCAGGCATCCCCTGAACTGCCAGAGATGCTGGGGCATCTCTAGCCTGGGCTGGGAATTCCTGGGTTTGGCCACGAGCGCTGTGCTCCACAGTCATGCCTCCAAAAGCCAAGGCCTCTCTCCACCACTTGCTGATGAATCCCAGGAAGGTGTGAAAATGGCAAGAGAGAAGTGGATGGGGAAAGTCTCTCCCTTTTTAAAATTCTAATGGTTTTAATCCCAAGGTGGTGGTTTAAGGTTTAAATGGACCTTATTTTGCAAAAAACGTCTATTTCTTTCTTCCCTTCCCAATTCACAAGAAGAAACCCAATGCCTCCTTAAGTGACACTGGGCTGCCAAAAGGCCATTTGTGGGCCGTCTATGGGGGGCCCATCGGAGCTCCTCTCTGAGCTGGGCTCTCTTGAGGGCTAAGGGAGCCAGTTCTCTCGGCCCTAGAGCCCAGAATGGAAAAGAGCTTCCACCACTGTGATGATTAGCTTCGCGTGTCAACTTGACTGGGCTAAGGGATGCTGAGATAGCTGGTAAAACATTATTTCTGGGTGTGTCTGTGAGGGTGTTTCCAGGAGAGATCAGCATATGAATGGGTGGACTGGGCAAAACTCACCCTCCCCAATGTGGGTGGGCCTCATCCAATCCACTAAGGGCCTGAACAGAACAGAAAGGCAGAGGAAGGGCAAATTTGCGCGCTCTTCTAGAGCTGAGACATCCATCTCCTCCTCCCTCAGACACCGGAGCTCATGGTTATTGGGCCTTTGGACTTGGACTAAAACAAAACCACCAGCTTCCCTGGGCCTCCGACTTGCAGATGGCAGATCAGGGGACTTCTCAACCTCCATCATTGCGTGGGCCAATCCCACACAATATAGTATAACTGATTGCTTCTCTTTCTCTGGAGAACCCTGCTGGCTACATCAACACTTGGCTGAGGTCTCAACTGCAGTGCTCATCAGTACTGAGCAGTCTCTGAAGCTCCAGGCTGATAAGGGGCTGGGGACACAGAGGTGGGACACCAACCCTGCCATTGGTAGCTCAGAGACAATGGGGTCAGTCGACAAGCAAACAAGCAACAGGGAGACTGCAGAGAGAGCATCCAATGGGCAAACACAGGCATATAATGCAATCGGGGGAGGGGTTACCACGGAAGGCTTCCTGGAGGACGGGGCACAACTCAAAGCTAGGTCTTATGAGTGAGCAGAGCAAAGAAGGGAACGATAGGTGTTTCAGACAGAGGAAAGGGTGTAAAGCAGGAATGGAGATAGGATGTTTGAGAACCCCCGAGCAGCTCCACAGAAGTCAAGCATGGAGCTCTTGCACTTAAGCCTGAGGGCAGTGGGTTGCCATGGAGATGTGGTCAAGTTTGCCTTCTACGAAGATCCCCTTTGCTCACATCCTCTCCAGCCAGGCTGGAACACCACGGATGTGTCAGCCTTCACACTGGCTGTTGTCTCTGTCTGCGACTCTTCTGCTTGGCTATCCATCCACAAGGCATGCTGTCGCTCACCTCCAAAACCTAACCCACCTGTCACCTGCTCGACAAGGTGTACCCTCACCACCTCAGCTAAAATCGTAACCTTCCCCTCACCCCACTCCACCTTGCTTTATTTTTCTCCTTCTCATTGATCACCATCTCCACCCAGCAGCTAGGGAGTCATGCCAGAAACACATGTCAGGTCTCTCTGCAGCTCAGGACCCCCAAGGGCCTCTTCATCTCAGTTGGAGGAAGTTCCAAACCCTACTCATTGTGCCTACATGACCGGGCCCTTTCCTGCTACTCCAACATCACGAGCTCATTACTGCCCCAGGGCCTTTGCACCTGCCGCTCTCACTCTGCACCACACTGTGGTTCATTCCTTCACTTTGTTTAGTTCAGACCTCAGCGAGGCCCTCCCAGAGAAGCCCTGTCTAAAACAGTACTGCCCCACCCCCATCCCTGTCTATCCCGTTCCTGCTTTGGTTTTCTGTGTAACACCTATCACCATCTGACTTTATACTCTTTGCATACTGTCTGTCTCTCTCAATAGGATATAAACTCTGAGAAGGCAGGACATGCAACTACTCGGTCCTCACTCTCTCCTCACTTTTCAGAACAGTGGCTGCTGGATAAATGTTTATGAAGCAAACTGATGAATCCATGAATGAATGGCAGGATGGATGAATGAATGAATCAATCACTCTAGCCATCATTGGAGGAGGCCAGAGCAGGCAGGGAGTTGAGGGGGGTGGTGCTGCAGGTCACTGCAGTGAGCAGTAATGAATGTCTGAGTGTGAAGGCAGCAGGTGGGGACAGAAGGCACTCCTGACGCCATACCCCTAAGACAGAGAGAGGCCAGTCATGCCACACATATCCCCATCTCGACCCACAAGATGCTGGCTCGGGCCTTCCGGGTCAGAGCCCTGCAAACCCAGAGCTCCTCATCTGGTCCCATGATGCTTCAGGGGCATAGTCAGGCAGGGGCAACTGCCCCCATTTCCCCACAAAGTTGAGGTTTACATGCAAACCTTGGTCCTGACCTGTTAACTGCACACTGCCTCACAGGAATCTGCTGCTGACAGCCCCTGTGATGCAAGCGCGGTATGTGGTGGTTGGGGGGATTCTTTCAAAAGGGCGAGGGTGATTGGGCTGCTCTCTCACTCACTGATTAGTGACACTGGTTCTGGCTCTGCCAACTCTGAGGCTTCTTTGAGCTCACACCCAGTTCTGCCGCTTGCAGCTGAGTGATGGTAGGTAAATCCTTCCTCTGTAAAATAGGTTAACAGCAATACCTGCCTTAGGCAGTGGACATGTTAACACTTACAAAGCACTCAGAATAGGGCCTGGCACAATGTACGAGGAAGGTGACTGTTACGTGCATTGGGAGACTGGGAGGCCTTGCAATCTGCCCCAGCAAGAGAATGAACCGCGAGACGTGTCCTGGCCCATATGACAACTAGGATGGAAAGGAATGGCAGCCCTCTCACACCACCTCCCTCCTCCAAGACCATAATGAGTCCAATGCTCCCTGGAAGTAGTCCAGCCAGGCGCGTTAAGGTGAACAGTGAGGCAGTGATTGACATGCATTCACTTCCTCAGGCTCAACATTCATAGTCCTGGTGTCAGCAGGAGGCACAGAGAGGGGTCAGAGCCTCAGAGGTATCTACAGCAAAGACAAGGGGAGCCTCTGCCACATTCAGGTGGAGCCACTGCCCCCTGCCCCAGGAATTCAACCTGCAGCTGATCCTGGGGGAAGCTGGGGTTGGACTCAGATGACAGTACATGGTAGGACCAATGCCGTGGGATCCTGCCCTGCTCTGGCGCATCAGGGGCTTTGCACATTCAGCTGTGCAGGAAGCTCTTATCAGGCAGCCATGACTTTCCAGGGAAGCTCAGGGAGGGTGTGACTTTTTCCCAGAAAGGGTATTAGAGAACTACAAAGGACCTACTGTGCGCCAGGCCCCGTGCTGGGTGTTTTACTTATATTATCTCATTTGATCCTCCCAATGACCCTGTGAGGCAGGCACTAGGACTGTCCCTTGTCACATCGATTACACCTGAAGTTCAGAGAGGGAAGAGACTTGTCCAAGGTCATCTGACCGTTCTACAGAAGGTAAGGTTTCTAACCCAGGTCTGGGTCACCCCAACGCCCATACTACACTGTCCCAACCCCAGAAATGAACAGGGCCTTGATGTCATAGGAACCTGAGGCCCCCATGAGCAACCCTCTTGGAAATGAGAGAGAAGGCAGCCATAGCTGGCCCTGTCCTCAGCCTCATTCCCTGCTACTAACTGCATCCTGGGGACATGGCAGGTGGAGGTGGAGGGTTGGGAGGGTGAGGGGTAGACGAGGGATGAATATCCAGCCCTGTCAGGGAGGCCTGAAGTGGAGCAAATGGCAGACGGGTCGGAGCCCAGCCCTCTGAGCCCAGCCCTGCCAGACTCCATCTGCTGAATCCAGACGCTCAGGAGTCCCAAGTCCCCGAGCCATGTTCCTTATGCATCTGAAATAGCTGCAGACAGCCGGCTAAGAACCCGGGGGATGCATCAGCAGAAATGCCTGCGGAACAGGCTTCCAGAGGAGGCTCAAGGTCAGAGCTCATGCAGGAGCTGGGCCTGTTCACTTTCACCACCACCCACACACAATCACAGCCACCTGGGCCCCCTCCCCCTGTACCCACTGAGGCCAGAGCCTCAGTGAGGGCATAGACCTGGCGGCTCCATTAATCCTGCCAGATGGGACCCTTCACCCACTCTACAGCTGAGGTGACTGAAGATCAGAGCGGGAAGGTCATCTGTCCAAGGTCACACAGCAAGGACAGGGCAGAAAGCTGAACTCTATTCAAGGCCCGACTCCATATCCCCGACAAAAACCTGCTTCCCATAAGAGCCAAGATGACCTGCTGTCATTGTTCTTCCACCTCCTTCCTCAAACCTGTGGCAGTTCAGCAAATTCCCTTTTTTTCAGAGAAAAGAACCCCTTATTTCCTGAGTTGGCCCAATCAGGGCCCAGGTATCACAGAAGTGTGGTCTTGGGGAACTGTAAGGGGATGAAATGAAGAGGGGCAACCTTTGCGGGGTGGACTCAGGGGCAGGTAAGGCTCCCCTGCATGATGTCAAAGCCTGAGGCTGCCTGGGCACTGCGGGGCCACCTCAGCAAAATGCAGCTTCTCCCTCCTAGCCCTTCTCCTCCCCTCAGCCCAATTCCGGGTTTCTAGGCCTCCTTCCCCTCATTACAATGGGAGGGCTGTTACATAAAGGTGCTATTTCCAGCTCTTTGTTCGTTGGGCTTCTGTACTTCTGTCAAGCCAACAGGGTCCCCCAACTCCCATCCCAAAATGCACCAGAGGCCTAAGGCTGAGTGGTTCTTTCTTCATTCTGTATGTGGGGAAACTGAGGCACTGAGTCACAAAGGCCTCTGGATATTCGCCAGTGGGGGCCTAGATTTTGCCTGAAGGGGCTGCTGACAGGAAGGGAGATAAAGGCAGAGGGAGAAAGAGATTAGAGGGAGAATAACAGAAAAGAGAGAAAACAGAAGATTCAGCAGAAAAGGCACAGGCGGAGAGCAATGTAGAGAAACTGAAGAAGCAAAGAAAAGAGCAGGGCAAGTCCGGTGGCACGGCCAGAGCTGGGCTGGGAAGAGGAGCTTGTGATCCCAGGAAAGGCTACGGGGGTAGGGAGATGGAGGGACAGGGATGTGAGCCAGGGAGAGCCAGGAAGTCCTGGCATTCCTGGGGGGCAGTGGGGCTCCCCAGAGTGAAGGGTCAGGGGCCAGGGAGCCAGAGATTTGTGGGACAAGACCCTGGAAGTGTCAGTCATGCAGGTGGCGACGGGGAATCATTGGACCTGCAATCTCTCCAAGCACAGGGTAGGGGTGTAAGTCTGTGGGCCAAAGGGAAAGGTCAGAGGTGCAGAATGGGAGAGAAATAATCCTGAAAGCAGCTAACTGGGCCCCGCACTGGCTGGTGTGGCTGAGATCACAAGAACAACCTCAACACTGGGCCAGCACTGTGCTTTTCTACCAGCCTGTCTATTCTGGCTATCATATTTGACCACCAAATCACAACATTAGGGAGCTCTCTGGGAAGCTTCTGCATGAAGCCTTCCTGAGATGGGGCAGAAGTCACTGCCTCCTTGTAACCAGGCCTGTGCCCTGCTGAACAGACCAGGCTTCCTCCTGCTAAGCTGAAACCTGCTCCACGCCTCCCTCCCTGTGGTCTTAAGAAAAGGACGTCAGTGGAAAGAGAGAGTGACCCAGAATCTCTAGAAGGTTAAGGCAAGCAGAGCCCTCAGGATAAGGCTGGAAACCAGTGCTCCTGGGAGGGAATGCAGGCACCCGAGAACTTGGCTGGGGGAACTGTTACATCTTCATTTCCATTAACCTCTAACTGAAAGGCCACGTTTCCTTTCATTGCTAACAGAAGCAACAAAGCCTCAGAGGAACTGGTCATGGTCACCCACAGAGAGCACTGATCTTTCACGTCACATTCCAGCTGCTACAGATGTCACAAAATCCCATTTATGCACTTCTTGGCTTCACAGTTACAGCAGTTACTGACTCACTGCTCAACCCTGTTATTGCTGTCCTAAAGTAGCATGTTTTACGTTGTGTTTTCATATTCTGAAAATTATATCAGGTATTTCCTGATGTAATTTGTCATCCTATGTATTGTGTTTTATTTTAAACATTTAAAGCTTTATTCTAAGAAGGGGTCCCAGCACTTCACCAGCCTGCCAGAGGGGTCTATGGCACAGAAATGAGGAAGACCCCCAGTCCTAAGTCAGTGCTTTGTCCAAGTTCCCCTTTGATAGCTTGGGAAGTCCTCACTCAGAGGGCAGCTGGGGCCAGCCCATGTTCAAACAGGCTCTGACCTCCATGGGCTTGGCTCTGTTTGGTGGAAAGAGCTTCCAGCAATCCCAAGTTGTCACAGGGGAAGGCAGGTGTTCCATAAACCGCTACAGAGACAGCAAAGCACTGGCTGAGAGGAATGGTCCTATTCAGGCTCCAGGTAAAGCTGTGGCCGGCCTGAGAGGCTTTAATGCCTCTGGGCAAACTGATGATTCTGGAAGGTGCAGGGGGCACATGCTGAGGCCTCCCTGGGATGGAGTGGGCTCTTCTACTCAAGGAGAAGACACCTATCATCCTCGATATGCCCTCTCTGGGCACTCAGCAGCTTCCTGGGGTGGGGGACAGGAGGTCATCTGGACAGGAACAACAGCCTCTCCTGGTCACCCGCATCCACCTTGCACCTCTGGGCTCTCTCCACACAGAAGAGGCAGCTTAAAAAATGTAAACAGAGGGCTGGGTGCTGTGGCTCACACCTGTAATCCTAGCACTTTGAGAGGCCAAGGCGGGAGGATCCCTTGAGGCCAGAAGTTTGAGACCAGCTTGGGCAACATAGTGAGACCCCCATCACTACAAAAAAATGTAAAAATTAGCTGTGCATGGGAGCATGTGCGCCTGTGGCCCCAGTTACTCAGGAGGCTGAGGTGGGAGGACCACTTAAGCCCAGGAGTTCAAGGCTGTAGTGAGCTACCCCAACAGAGACCCTATCTCTTAAAAAAAAAAAAAACACAAACAGGATCACATCACATCCTTACTCAAGATTCTCCAGAGTATCCCATGGTTTTAGGGTTAAACACAAACGCCTCCCGCTCCTGACCCTCGCCCCTCTACCCCTCACTCCTGACACTCCAGCCCTACTGGTCTCCTTCCATTCTTCTGAGTGGCCATGTGCCAACCTGCTCAGGGCCCTCAGACATGCCCCACCAGCTCCTCAGCTGTCTCACCTCATCTATTGCCTGGCTGTAGCCAACAACTTCAGATCTTAGCTTCAACCTCTCTCCCCAAGTACCCCAGACTGGTCGGGGCCCATGTATGTTCTCACACCACCCTTCAGCCCGCTTTATCAGAGTGTGAGTTATGGAGATGATTTGAGTTGAGGTAGCCTCCTCCACTGGACTTGATCAGCTTCAAGAGCACAGGCTCAGCCCCTGGCAGGCAGGAGATGCTCCACAAAGGCTGCTGCATAGAAGAAGGAGTGGCTGAACGCATGACTGAAGGAATACATGGAGTTCCTCTCTTACCCCGCTCATGGATGGAGAACGATTCTCTAAACCATCCAGGTTGGACCAAAGTCAGGATGCAGGAGGAAAAATAAGGCCCTTTGACAGTTTTCTACTTGTTTCTGAAAAAAAAAAGCTGGTTTGACAGTGAGGGGTCCCTGCAGCTGGAGGGGCCTGAGACAAGCCTGAGCTTCTCCCAGTTCACTGTGCTGCAGACAAGGAGGGAGGCACAGAGGCCACAGAAGGAGGCCAATGCAGAGAAGCACTGACAGCCACATCTACTGCCCCCTATTCACCTTCTTTTTGGGGGACAAGAGGAGGGAAGAAGGACAGTAAGGCCTTCAGGGGCAGGGATCCTGTCCCCAGCATCCTTGGGCAGGGGCTGGGAGCCTCCTTCCAGGCATATGACAGGGCTGGAGCACAAACTCTCTCAAATCCAGGTGGAAAAAGCCTGAGGTCAAGTCCAGGGCAAATCCCAGCTGCTGCCACCTGACCTCAAGGGCATTTGCTCCTTGAGTACAAGGCTGGCCTTGACCTCTCCAATCCCCTTTTCTCTACAATGCTCTGCAGTGCCTGAAATGCTTTGGCTATGTATCCTCACCCAAATCTCATGTTGAATTGTAATCCCCAGTGTTGGGGGAGGAATCTGGTGGGAGGTGATCGGATCATGCGAGCAGATTTCCCTTTTGCTGTTCTCGTGATAGTGAGTAAGTTCTCATGTGATCTGGTTGCTTAAAAGTGTACAGGACTTCCCCCTTCTCTTCCTCCTCCTCCAGCCATGTAAGATGTGCCTGCTTCCCCTTCAAACTTCCACCATAATTTTAAGTTTCCCGAGGCCTCCCCAGCCATGCTTCCTGTACGGCCTACAGAACTGTGGGTCAATTAAACCTCTTTTCTTCATAAATTTCCCAGTCTCAGGCAGTTTCTTACAGTAGTGTGAGAACGGATTAATACAGGGCCCTTTTCCAACCTTTGGAGTAGAAACAGAATGGGCTCCTCCACACTCCACACCTGCATATCCACTCCTGATCTCACTGAATCTTCAGAACAACCCAGACAGCTGGTCTTATCAGCCCACCGTACAGATGCAGAAATGGAGGCCCAGAAGACACAAGTCATCTGCCCAAGGTGACAAAGCTACTACTCTGGAAAGCAGAACCCAGCTGGTAGGATCCCAGAATCTGTGCAATTAAGCCCCTCTGCCACAGGCATGCTGGCACTAGATGAAGAATTCAAGAAATAACAGGCAGGCCTTTCTTCTTTCACTCTGCTCTCTCGGCCAACATCTTTATGGGGGAAATGATATTGTGTGAAGGCAGCATAAAATGCTCAGGGCTGGCTCTCTGTTAGACAAATGGAAAATCAACACAGTTTGTGAATGGGGGAAAGCTGGATCTGATTTCCTTTGATTGACTGTGTCTGCTTTGAGGGGAAATGGCTGCAGAATGAGCCACATTTAACCTGGGATCAATAACCACACAGCATGATCCGAGGAATTCAGGCTAAATGGAAACTGGCTCCATTTGGGGCCAGTGTCTGGGGCATCTCGGTCATCGATAGCCAGCCACCTGATGTCATCTTGCCCAACTGAACACTAGAACAAAGAACATTTTCCTACCATGTGGGAGGCGAATGTTTAGAAGGCCGCATAGTAGAAGATAATCCTGCAAGTGGCCGGGGAGTGTGTGCTTTCCTTCCAGTTTCTGTTCCACACTTTCTGGGCCTCCATTTTGCACCAGCTCTCGCTGTTTATTGGGGAAGGGAAACCCACGAAGAGGTTAAAGCAATGTGACAAGTGATTTAGCAGAGGTATGAGGAGTGTGTGAGCTCCATGCAGGAAGGGATTTTGGCCATGTTATGTTTTGGGTTGTTGTCCACATTTTAGGGTTATTACTCAGCATTACTGCAGCAAAAGCTTACTAATATGTGGTGTTGTAGACCACACAGCGGCACTTAGTGGTGAATAAAGGTGATTATTTCAAGCTCTTTCTCTCTCTGGAGGAATGCTGCAGTCCTTGTTCAAATATACACAGAAGAGGTGGGAATATAGAGTTGTCATTCCTTGCTGTGCCTCCCCCAAATATTTTCCAGCACCTCCTGATGCAGAGAAGACTCTCAGAACTGGAGGAGCCATGGGGGTCTTCCGTGGTTGTACAGATGGGGAGACTGAGGCCAAGAGTGAGTGAGGGGCTTTCTTGAGAGCACACTGCCTGGGAGAGACAGAGTGGAGTACCGGTGTGGGGGTCCAGACTCCTAGGATGGGTCCCAGTGCCCTGCGTACTCTGCAGGAGGGCTTCCACGTGGAGGAGGTTTGTCCTGTGGCCACACATGCAGCCAACATGGGTGTGCATGGCTAAGGGACTCCCACAGTCCCCACCGGCAGGAAGGGTGGTACCTCCATCAGGTCTATAAACCACAGCAGTCGCTCCTGAGGAAGGGTGAGCAAAAGGCAGTCGCTCCTGAGGAAGGGTGAGCAAAAGGGCCTCCAATCTGAGACCTGCTGTGTGTGGGGGTGGGGAGAAGAGGGGTTCCCAGGAGACAACAGGGCAGGGGCTGACCCAGCCACAGGAGGAGCTGGTGCCTGCAGAACCCATCATCACATCTTTAGCAACTCAGGCTGCATGACCTTCCCAGGCCCTTCGTGGCCCACAGACCTCTGGGTGTGGCTGGTTCCTAGGAATTAACCAGTTCACCTTGGTACAAACCCACTCTTACCTATTCTCAATAATCAGGGGGACCCTGTTAAATCGAAGTCAGACCACATCAGTTCCCTGCTCTTACCTGCCAAGGACTCCCATCTCACTCAGAGTCAAAGTCCTCAGCATGTCTGCCCCCGTACTCCCTCTGCTCTGGCCTTATTGGCCGCCTGGAATTCTCTGACATTCTCTTACCTCAGGGCCTTTGCACATGCAGCTGCTTCTGTTGGAAATGCTCTTCTCCCAGATGTTGGCATGGCTCTCTCCCTCACCACCTGCAGGTCTTGACTCAAGGGTCACTCCCTAACCACCCCACCCCTCTCCAGTCTCCCTTGCCTGCTTTATTTTTCTCCCTAGCACTTGTCATCATTTAGCTTACTGTGTATTTCAGTTATCTATATCCTGTGTTATTGCCTGGCATTCCTGCTGTCTGTTCAACTCCATCGTGGAAAGGATTTCTTTGGTGTTCACCACTGTATCCCCAGAACCTCAAAATGTACATAGCACACAGTAAATGCTCAATATTTGTTAACAGAAAGGAAGGACAAGAAGAAGGAAGGGAGGAGAGAGGCAGATAGATGACGAAATGATGCTTAACAGGGAGCTGGTGAGATCCTTCAGGGAAGAATCACAGCCAGATGGCAGGGGTAACAACAGAGCTCAGAGTCAAGCAAGCCTGGGTTTGAATCCTGGCTCCATCACTCACTAGCCATGCAACCTTGGGCAAGTTGCTTCTCCTCTCTGAGCTTTGGTTTTCTTCTTTGTAAAATGGGGATCACAGCAGTACTCACAACTCCTAGCTCCTGGGATGGTCAAAGAAGATACGAATGGAAAGCACTACCACAGTGTCATAGAGAACATTCAACAAATCTCAGCCACTATTGTTATTAATAAAGGCCCAAATTATGGGCTAGGGTCTGTGCTGAGCACTAGGGATAGGGACTCAATGGTAACCGCACGTGCGATCGCTGCCCTCAAGCAGTCAGCAGTCACATTGGGTAACTGGGAAACCTGTACAGGCTTTTATAATAGGACATAATGAGGCAAGAGCTGTGACCAAAGGAAGCCCGGGGGCAAGAGGAGCCGTGGCCTGAAAGTCACTCCCCTTGGGAGGATCAGGGAAGTCTTCTTGGAAGAGGCAGCTTCTGAGCTGAGGGCTGAAGCACACATAGGAGAAAGTCAGGTCATATGAAGTGGGGAGAAGAACATTCCAGACAGAAAGCACATGGCATATGCAAAGGCCAAGGGGTCTCTCAACATCACGGGACAGAAATTACCATCCTCATTTTACAGATCCTAAAACTGAGCTCAGAGAGGTGAAACCACTTCCTGAGGTCTCACAGCAAGAAAGTGGCAGAGCTGGGATTTGAATGGACGGGATTCTCACTGCAGAGCTCAGGAAACCTGATGACCTGGAAAGACAGTCAGCACCAATAAGAACCCCTGGTCCCCACCAGGACTGGGTGCAGACATACGGGGGTGGCAGAAAAGGCCACAGCCCCCTACCCCGGCCCCTGGTTAAGGGACTCCCACAGTCCCCACCGGCAGGAAGGACGGTACCTCCATCAGGTCTATAAGCCACAGCAGCCGCTCCTGGGGAGGAAGGATGAGCAAAAGGCAAAAAGAAAAGATACATCAAATAAATATTTAGGGAATGGGTGGGTGCAGCAACAACCCCTTCCCCAAATGCACACGCGCACACACACATGCAAAATCCACACGTTCTCCAAACCCCTTTTCTATTTACCTTGAATGCTTTGGGCAGGAATAATGGAGAGAGGGGAGGGAAAGACCCCACTGCCATGACCAGCATCCCTTCATTCTGCCTGCCTCCTTGAAGGAAACAGGCGAGTCCCCACTGCTCTAAAGAAAAGACATTTGTCCCTGCTAAAGGGCCTTCAGGAGACAGTCATTTACTTTGGGGCGAGGCTGGGATCCGTATTCCCAGAGAGAGAAACAAGCTCAGAGAAGGGAAGTGAATTGTCTGAGGTCACACCTGCTAATGAAATGCAGAGCTTCAAGGAGGGCCCTGTTTGGAAGCCTCGGTTGGAGAAGGCCTGGACTTCAGGGAGGCCCAAGCCCTGTGATGTCAGAGAAGCTGAATCTGTGGAAGGGAGCTCTGGACTGTGCATGTGGAGGGTACCTGGGTGGGATGAAGGTCAGGGGGGCGGTGGCAGTCCTTCAGCCTAGCACTTTCCAGACCCTCCACGAGTCCCCAAGGCCCTGGGTACAATCTCCAGGTAGTTTTCCCCAGCCAGGTGGGCTGGGTCCAAAAGAACCGAGGCTTCACCTGCCCTCAGGGTGTGGCCAGCATTTCTGGGATGCTGGTACTAGCAGGTTACTCACCCTGGGCCCACAGGCATCCTCTCATTTAATCCTCCCAACAAGCTGGAGGAAGTAGTATCACTGTCCCTCTGCAAAAGAGGAAATCAAGGCACCGCGAGCTCAAGTGCCCCTTCCACGCTGCCTTTCCTGCTTGCACAATTTTCTCTTAGAATCACTTCCAGGGGCTCACCCTGGTCTAGGAGAGTCCTAATCCTGACATGCATGTGCCACCTGGTGGGCCATGGACTTTCACAGTCACAAATTCTGAGTCCTTCCCACCTCAGAAACTTGGGGAAAACCTTTAGGACCACTCTTTTCATCTGTCCCAAAAAACTCCCTGTATAAAACCACCCTATGGCCTTTCTGAGGCTTGCCTTCCCCAGGGTGCCCCAATTTGCAGTGAGAGCCCCTCTGGCAGAGCAGGGCCAACTTCCACAGCTGGGATCTGGACTGGCCCCAGATGGTGCTTCTCAGGTAGGGGAGAGCCCCCTGAGCTGGGACAAGGTTGCTGTGGGCCAGTGCCGAGCTGGGGGCTCCTGACCCCTGCCCCAGAGCCCTTGCCAGGCAAGATAGTCACCTGACTCCTGGCACTCCAGCCTGATTTGCCCTCAGGGCTTCGGGCTGCTGAAGTCAGAGCCAGCAAGGACCCCAGGCCATTTTATCCAGAAACTGAAGACCAGAAAGGCTGGGGCTCAAACCTAGACCTCCTGCCTCCCAGACCAAAACACATCCCACCCCATTCACTGGATATTTCATCTCTGATTCTAAAGGGACCACTGTAGAAGCACAGTCTGCAGTTTCCCAGGTTTTAGAGCAGTGGCTCATGGCTGCTGAGGCCTGAACATTATCAAGGCCAATCTCAGTGGAGCCTATCTTAGAGAGAAACAGTCATCAGGCCAAGGACCTGCACCCTTAAACCAGATCCTCACCTAAATGCCATATCAAAGTATGTGCTCAGAGCCTGGGGTGAAGGACAGCCTCTTCCCTGCCCCAGAAGTGATCTGCTTGTCCCAGAACATGGAACTGCCTCTGCTGCAGCCATGTCCAGCCCTAGAGGAATGCAGGGCGACTTGTGGGGACATCCCAGGAAGGGGATGAGCACCCTTGGAAATGATGGCAACTCAGGATGGGAGGGATAGGGGTAAAAGAGTATAAAGGAATCACCCCCAGAAACCCAGAATCCCAGGGCTAAAGAAAAGCCACACTAGGAGTTGGAGCTTGCAAAAGAGAAGGGTGCATGCTCCTGGGCCATTTTCTGGTGGCTGCAAGCTCATCCTCACTCATTAACCATCTGTGTTTATAACCATGGCCATCACTGCACACCTCTGAGCTCCTGCTCTCCCACTTAACAAGACAGCTAATACCGTATCTACCTCCAGTCTGAGATTCCTCCAGAAAGAGCTCTCAGTTCAGCATCTGGGAGCAACCGCCTGCTTAAGAAACATTACTCTCCCCACTGCCTTTCCATAGAAGAGTGGTGATGAATGACCTAACGGTGAGAAACAAGGGCATAGAGGAGAGCATGGGGCCAAGCCAGCTCTCCTGACCTCCAGCCCTGACTTTTCCACTGCATGGACCTTAATAACCAGTTGTTTCCCAAGACAGGTAACAATGCATATGCTCCTGCTCCTTCCTTGCAAACGTCTCCTGGGATTCATTTGCCTCCAAGCATCCAGGGGGCAGAACCATATCTTGAGATGGCCAGATGCTTTGCTGGGGGGCTGGTGAGTCTGCAAGAGAGTCACGCTGGGGCCACGCATGGTGATTCACACCTGTAATCCCAGCACTTTGGGAGGCTGAGGTGGGTGGATCTCCTGATGTCAGGAGTTCGAGACCAGCCTGGCTAACATGGCAAAACCCCGTCTCTACCCAAAAATACAAAAATTAGCTGGTTATGGTGGTAGGCACCTGTAATCCCAGCTACTCAAGAGGCTGAAGCAGGAGAACTGCTTGAACTGGGGAGGTGGAGGTTGCAGTGAGCCAAGATTGCACCCCTGCACTCCAGCTTGGGTGACAGAGCAAGAAGCCATCTCGAAAAACAAAAAGAAAGTCAAACTGGGCTTGGGCTCCAGAGACAAAAGGGTGGCCTCTTGGGGAAAATAAAAATCACAGTCCAAGTTACCATGCCCACTACCATCTACTGAGTGCCCAGCGGGAGTGGGCACCATGCCAGAGGCATTCCCAAGGATTCTAATGATCTTTTTCTATTTGCCTAATTTACCTACTTTTTTTTTTTAACCTTTCTCCCCCAGCTTCCCAGACTGCAAGCCCCAGGAGGCAGGGCCACATCTCTCCTGTTCACCTGTTGTCCCCAAGAGCCCATGCCTAGCATGCAGTAGACATTCAACAACTATTAGGTTTTTACAGAGGAAGAAACTGAGGCTCAGAGAGGCAAGGCACACAGCTGGTAAGTGGTGGTGCTGGGATTCGAACTCAGGCTGGTCTCACTCCAAAGCCAGCATCTTAACTCTGCCCTGGCTACTAAGCCAGGGACAAGGCAGAAGAAGCTCACCCTGGCCGAGCTGACGGTGGTGGAGGTGCCGTGGCTGCCTGTGGATGAACCCGTGTCACTGTAGGAGACCATGGAGTAGGTGTCCCCAGCCCCGGGGCCTGGGGGCTGCCGCGCCTTCATGGACTCAATCTCACGCCTCAGCACCAGGTGGTCGAAGCGTTCTAGGTCTTGCGGGGAAATGGTGCCTCTCACCTCAGAGAGGAGTGAGAACTGGAGGCGGGGACAAAAGGGGCACTCAGCAGGGAGCGCTACTAGAAGGTGGAACAGGGGCCCTGCTACCCCCAAAGGACTGGCATGCAAACTTGACCCTGCCTCCCCTCCTTAACTGTCTGGCTCCCCAGTGCTCTCAAGAGAAAGGCCAAACACCGTCACCTGGACACCAGGCCCAGCATCATCTCACTCCTGCTTCCCTGTCATCTCCTCAGCAAGCACATGTAGCTGTGACTCCCTGGACACACTGCAACATTTCATGCCACAAAGCCTCTGGCTGTCTGAACCTTCCACCCAGAATACCCTTTCCAATACTCATCTCCAAATCCTATTTCCTCTGTTAAGTCTTCCGAAACATAACCCCTCCCAGTGGATTTCACCACCTCTTCCTTTGTACAGTTTCTGGACCTCAAACAGTTTGGAGCAGAGTTCTCAAAGCTGGTGGCACAGCACAGTCACCTGGAGGGCTTGTGAAGATGACTGACAGCTGGCTCCCATCCCCAGATATGAGGCGTTAACCAGCCTGGAATGGGGCCCGAGCACTGCTTTTAAGAGCAATCCAGGTGATTCTGTGCACTCAGCGTTGGAAGCCACTGCGACAGGGACCCAATCACAGGGCGCTTTAAATGTCTGTTTCCCCCAGGAGTCTGTGAGCATCCTGGGGGCAGGAGGCTGCCTCAGTCCCAGGTCTCTGCCCAGTGTTCAGTTCAGGCCTGACCCCTTGTAGGTTCTCAGCAAAGGAGCGGGGGCAGGGCAGGATGCAGAGCCCTGGAAATGCTGAAGCCAGTTGGGAGGCAGGGCACGGGTCACCTTGGCGTGGGTGTTGAGCAGCTTGAACAGGGCCATGACGAGGGCCTCCACAGAGACGCTGCCACCACGGTACTCATCCAGGTAGTAGGCCATGGTGGCGTGTTCCTGCTCGTTCAGCAGGTGCCGAGCCTGCTCCTCCAGCAGCACTCGTGTCTGGTTCCCCAGGCTGCTCAGGGTCACCTGGGAGCCGGCTGGGCCCTTGTAAAATCCTGGCTGCAAGACAGAAAGATAGAAGCCCAGGAATTCTTAGCTGCTCTAGAGCTGAGTGGCCATGCCACTCCCCCTCTGCCCTTCCATCCTGTCTAAGTGTGGTGTTTCATCTGTTATTCTCCCTCATAACCCCCAGCACCTTGCCTTGATAGTACTATCTTTCTTAATTAGAATTTGTTTTGTCTTTACATCTCCTTCACTGAGTAAAACCCGCATGAGGGCAGGGACCTGGTCTGCTCTGTTCATTGCCATCAACCCTGGTGCCAGAGGTAGTGCCCAGAACCTAGCAGTCAGTCACAGATAAGTGGGCTGGGGGGTGGGCAGATAAGGGGCTGCCCAGTTGGAATGAGGTAGTGTAAGTCACTCGGCACCCTCTGGCTGGCCAGACCTCCTCACTCAGGGAGCTGTGAGGAAGCAGAGAATACCCCTTAGAGGATGTCCTACCTTGTTTATTCCTTCTGTTGTGAGATCGCCAAGAAACCTGTGGGGAAAGACACACATCTCCAGTTGTGCATTTGAGCAGATCAAATGGGCGTGGGCAAGGGACAGGGTGACTTGGGGCAGGAAGAGCAAAGCTTCAAGAGAACCATGCATCGTGGCCTCCACTCGCTGCCAGTTCAGTCTGGGGGCTACTCAGGGGTAAAGGAAACTCCGGACAGACTGGCAGCGTCCAGCCTCCCAATCAGCAGTGTGCACGGCACCTCCAAAACCACCCGAGGTGGGCTCCTGAGTTGTTGCCAACCCCGCAGGACCAGGCAGGTAACACAAGGAGTGGAGGGAAGAAATGGTGATTGACAGGCAACCTCAGGGTCAGGCCAACCCTCAGGAGCTTAGGGGCCGGTGAACTGGAGATCCCAGATGCAACTCGCAGGTGCGGCTCAGCTCCAGCCGATGTGGGCTCAGGCTGCCAGACTTCCTGATTTTTAAGAAGCATCCAGAAATCCAGTTTTTTTTTTTATAGAAAACCTGGTATCTTTCTAGATGTTGGCAAGTAACTTTGAAAATGTTTAATACTATGCAGGTGAAAGGAAGGGAAGGGGGAGACACACACACACACACACACACACACACACACACACACACACACAGAGAGACACAGACAGACAGACAGACAGACATGCTCTGCAGTGTATTTGGCCAGGTGGCCACCAGCCTGAGATTTCTGATGAAGATCAAAAGGTGACACATTACACTGTTGGCAACTATGCAGCCACCTGGCAACTGGATCTCAGTTTATGACTTTAAGACCCTCTCACCCAGATTTCTTCATGGGATCCAGCCTGGTGGCCTCTGGCCAAATACACCCCAAAGCATCTCTCTCTTTCCCTCTCCCTCCCTCTCTTTCATCTGCACAGATCTGGGATGAGGGCAGGGTTATGGTCCCCACTTTTTGGATGAAGCAACTAAGGTCTATAGAATGAGTTAAGTAATTTGGGGACAAATAAAGAATGAGACAGTTGGATGGTGTATTTCAGCTTTCCATGGGGAAACTGAGGCCAAGAGAGGAGAGGGATGTGCCCAGGTCATGTCCTGCCAATGGAGGGCCCTGGTGTGGGGACTGCAGGCTGAGAGGAGAGCCAGGGCGGTGGAGGGATGGGAGGCAGCTATCACTGGCTTTCAGAAATGGCCCTGGGGTCTGGAGATTGGAGCGAGCAGAGTGGCCAGACCCTGCCGAGTTCGCCATGGTCTCCCTGATCCGGGAACTGGCGATCCACTTGGTCTCGTCCACAGTGGTGCGGGCATGGGGCAGCCTCCCGACGTCCTTCACTGTCAGGATGAGGTGCCGAGATGACTTAAGCAGCCTGACAGCCTCGTCGTGTAGGATGTTGAGAAAGCTCCGCCCATTCACTTCTAGAATCTGGTCCCCAACCTGCCAAGATCACCACACAATACAGTCACCTGGGCTGTTTGCAGGATTCACACTAGGGACTTCACAGCCCAGATCCCAATTCTCCTCTGGGCCAGCCTGTCAAGGAGGTCATCCAGGATCAGAGAGGATGTGAGGATGCCTGAGGGTCACACAGCAAGTCAATAGCAGTGCTGGCCTTCTGATCCTGACCCAGAGTCCATGCTCTTGTCATCAAAAGGGGGCATGTCCCCATGACTCAGCAATGGCTTTGAGGGGTGGGTCTACGATGACATTCCAAGGGTCCCCTTATCTAGAAACAACAGTCATCTCAGGGCCAAGGTGGGCGTGAAGCTGGGGTAGGATGAGGCAAGCCATGAAGGTGGACATCCGTAATTTTCCTCCTACACTTGTACTTTGTTGAGGTTTTTACCTCAACCATGCATTCTTATATTACCTTAAAATGTAAACAAAACTTTAATCTACTAAAAGAAACAGCAATAAATGAGAAAATTAGTTTTCCGTTAAAGCAGTACATATGGCTTAGATTCTTACAAGGAGGCAGCTTTATTTTGTAATTAAAAAAATATTTCTGGCAGGTACAGTGGCTCATGCCTGTAATCCCAGAGCTTTGGAGGAATAAGGTGGGAGGACTACTTAAGCCCAGTAGTTGCAGACCAGCCTGGGCAATAGTGAGATTCCATTTCTAAAAATAATAATAGCCGGGCACAGTCGTGTGTGCCTATAGTCCTTAGCTACTTGGGAGTCCGAGGCAGGAGGATTGCTTGAGCCCAAGAGTTCGAGGCTGCTGTGAACTGTGATTGCACCACCATACTCCAGCCTGGACAACTGAGCAAGATCCTCTCTTTTTACAAAAATACTTTTAATGAAGGAATGTAAAAACAGAGGCAAAAAATAAAACTAGCCTTCCAATAAAAACAAATATGTGACAGAAATAGAAGGGGTTGAAAGGGAAGATGCTGCAGGGTATGATGGGACCGCACCTTTAAACTCGGGGTTCCTTTCACAAATGGGTCAACTGAGGTCCAAGGACGGGAAAGGGCTGCCCAGGGTCATGTGCCACTGAGGCCTTGAAGGGCAGCCTCACAATGCTGGTTATTCTTGGCTGTTTTTCCTTTTCCCCAGTTTCCCAGCCTGCTGAGAGCACATGATCAACTCCTGTAGGTTTATCCAGCATTTTTCAAAGATTTGGAAAAGGTAAGACAAATGGGAGCTTGGGAGAAAAGAAGATGGGATTACCAGGCTGAGAACCAAAACCCTGCTCCCCAGTTCCCCGGCTTTTCTTGAATGCCTCACCCCAGTTGGGAGTTTCCAGTATAGAAAGTGGTTACAAAGACAGACTTTACCTCTCTCCTCTGCACCGGCTTTGACACTCAGGGGAGGCTTGCTGCCTCTGCCTCCATGACTCTAACAGAGTGGGGTCTGTGCTGCATTTCAAGCATTCACCACCATTTACTGCAATGCCTACTGTGTGCTGGGATGTTGTGCTGAGCAGGATAATCTGCTCCTGTTCCATTTAGCTCACGATCAAGGGTGAGCTCAGCTTTGCGTGATGACTGAGTTTCCCCATCAGCCTCTCCACACTGTATCCCCAGGGCCCAGCACACAGTAGGAATTAAAAAAATCATCAGATGAGGCCAGGCATCGTGGCTCATGCCTGTAATCCCAGCACTTTGGGAGGCTGAGGTGGGCAGATCACTTGGGGTCAGGAGTTCAAGACCAGCCTGGCCAACATGGCAAAATGCTGTCTCTACTAAAAGTACAAAAATTAGCCCGGCGAGGTGGTGCGCCTGTAGTCCCAGCTACTCGGGAGGCTGAGGCAGGAGGATTGCTTGAACCCTGGAGGCAGAGATTGCAGTGAGCCGACATCGTGCCACTGCACTCCAGCCTGGCTGGGTGACAGAGCAAGACTCTGTATTAAAAAATAAAATCAGATTAATAAAAAGACACGCATTTCCATCTATTCCAACTCCAGGACCATCTCTGCTGCAGCTCAGAGATGCACATTACACCAGCCTTCTTTGTCCCTTTATATGTTTTCTCCTTAATATCACCAACATCCTATAAAGTAAGTATCATAGCTCTCCATTTCACTAGAGAGGAAACTGAGGCTCAGAAAGGTTAAGCACATAGTTTGTGGTCACAGTGCTAGTGAAAAGGAGTGCTGATTTGCACATCCAGGTCAGGCCAGCACCAAGGCCCCTCTGCTTTCTACTGCTGGGCTGCTGCCCGGAGCGCTGTTTGGGGACCACGTGATATCGCTTCAAATCCAGCGTGTCCAAAGCTACTGTGCTGCCATCCTTTCCCTGACCCTGCCTGCAGCAGCCAGATCTGAAAACTTCATCTCATCATCAACTCTGCCTTTACCCCCCTGAGCAGATCCTTCAGCAAATCCCGTCCTCCACCCCCATCAGCCCCCTGACCTCGGTTCCTACCTGCTCCCTCCCACGTGAGCGAGCTAGCATCCTCATCACTGTGCATTTACATCTAAACTGGCCAGACATAGTACCAGATTAATTTCTTTTTTTTTTTTTCTTGGAGACTGAGTCTCCCTCTGTTGCCCAGGCTAGAGTGTAGTGGCGCAATCTCGGCTCACTGCAACCTCCACCTCCTGGGTTCAAGCAATTCTCATGCCTCAGCTTCCTGAGTAGCTGGGACTACAGGTGCACACCACCACGCCCAGCTAACTTTTTGTATTTTAGTAGAGGTGGGGTTTTGCCATGTTGCCTAGACTGGTCTCAAACTCCTGAGCTCAGGCGATCCACGCGGCTTGGCCTCCCAAAGTGCTGGGATTACAGGCGTGAGCCACCGCGCCCCGCCAGTGTCAGATTAATTTCATCAACTTTTTGCTTTGATGACATCTCTCCCTGCTTAAACACCTCCCATGACCCCTCATAATCTAGGAGGAAGCAAAGCACTATGGCTAATGGTTTCAAAGACAATCAGATCTGGGTTCAAATGCTAACTCTATCACTTCCGTGCCACATGGCCCCACAAAACCCACAATAGCTTTTGTGCCTCACTTTCGTTGGGAGTAAAAAGGGAGTCCTAGCCCAGGATTGTCCTTCTCCAAATACCTAAAGTCAGCAGCATCTCAATGCCACATGCTTTCACCATGCCCCCAGCAATATCTGCAATTCTCTTTCTCCCTTTTTATGTCTCTGAGCTCCCCGGTTGAGAAGCCAGGGCCCCTGAGAACTTCGGCAGCCCTGGCTGGTCTCCCTGTAAAGAGCGTGAGACAAGACCCAACACCTGGCTCGGGGCTTGGTACTCAGCAAGCACTCAATCAGTGCTTATGCATGCAGGTGTGGATACTGCCCTTCCCTATCTCGCCTCTGCAGCTCCCTCCTCCCCTCTCTCTCCCAGCTGGCTTTCGCTGATGCTAAGAGGCAGAGCTGTGCAGCTCTCCCAGGTACTCAGGCCTTACTGAGAGTGGAGGAGAAACTCATTCCTGCTGGGCTCACTGGCACCCAACTTGCTAAACCACCTCCCCACGTGGCAGCTCCATCTCTCATCTCTGCTGGGCAGGAATCTTCTCCATTTCCACCTGCTGCTCTGAGCTGGAGCTGGCTGCACTCTTCATCGCGCAAGGGCTTTGTTTCCTTAAGTATGCCCCTCAATAGCTTTCGCTTTCGTTGCGCTAAGGGCATCAATTTTAATCTTCCCTTTAACACACTTTATATCATCCCTGCAGTTTAGTTAAAGGAACGGGCATCCAAGAGACCAGCTACGGAAGGGCATCCTTCTGTATGCAAGCCTCTTTCTATGGGTCCAGGCCAGGAGGGCAGTGAGGGGAGGGAACAACTCAATTCTATGAGCATCGACGTGGCCTTCTATGAGGCTGGGGGAAGGTTGCCGGATAAAATATAGGATGCCCAGTTAAACTTGAATTTCAGAAAAACAAATGCTTTAAAAATATACATATGTCCCAAATATTGCATAGGGCATATACATACTAAAAAACATATTCATTGTTTATCTGCACTCAAATTTAAATGAGCATCCTGTGTTTTTATTACTGAAAATCTAGCCACCCTGGGGTGGAGGTATCAGTCACCTCTGGGACCAGTGGCTCTTATGGGGGCTGATTTAGTGTTGTGGCTTCCAAACCTAGGTCACTTCCCTCACCCTGAGCCTGGCACCTGGCACTTATGCAACCTGAGTCGCAGGAATTACCCAGCATCCCACTTACTTCAGCCTCATCCTAGGCATTAATATGCGTGAAATCCCAGGTTGGCTGTGCGAGTCACATTGTCCTCATGCCTGTTAAGTAAATATATCCCTACCAGATTTGAAGAGGCAGCATAGATTCCTGTGCAATCTGCCTGGGGAACGGCTGTGAAATGGGAGTCACACTTGGGAAACCCTGACTTACTGGGGACGTGTAAGCCCATCTTCCCAATCTCTTTTCAATCCTCTCCTGTCTCTTCTTCCTCCAGAGCCTGTGTTCAAACCAAAGTGCTAGGTAGGACTGGCTTCAGGGTCTCCACAGGGCCCTCCGCAGCATGTGAGTTGGTTTTGAGTGGCTCCCATTTTTCTGTGTCCAGCTCTCTCCCTTTTCCTCTACTTGTTGGAAAGCTTCCCCAGGTCTAGGAGCCCTGTCAGAAGAGCTGTCTACACGATCACTGTGATGTAGAGTCCACAAACCACTTTCAACCAAGTCTGGTGTCTTCTCTGCTGCTAGTGTCCTAGTGTCACCCCGTGTGGCCAGTGGAGTGTGGAGTCCCATCCCTACATTGCAGCCTCTAGTTTTAAAGCCAGGCAACCGTGACATAGTAGCTGAGTGGCCCCGCACAGCTCTCAAGTACAACCTGAGTCTCAGTTTTGTCATCTATAAGATGGGCATGATACTACCACTAGTTCCCAGGTAGCTGTGAGAATCAAATGGAACCACCCTGCACAGAGCCTGAGACACATCAGGCTTTCCATGGCTTCTCATGTGCTTCTCTTCCAGATACAGGAGACAGGTTCAGAGATGTTGAGGGACTTGCTCAAGGTCACTGGTCGTACTGGAAGTAAACAAATGAACCAGCCTTTGAGCCTAATCTTCTCATCTTCTTCCTACCAGCCTATGCCACCTTCACCCCAGCACAGCACTGGCATGCGGGAGATGCTTAGGAAATAGTGAATGGATGGGGGGACCCGGCCTTCCTCCTCTCTTGTTCTCACTTCTGTTTGTTTCCCCTTTCCCGTCAGTTGGTGTGAGTGAATTTGGAGGCAGCATGTTTAAAGATCTTACTCTCACTCTTTCCCAAAGAAAACTAAGAGCTCTGTTTGTTTGTTCATTGCAATGTGGCTTTTTCCTACCCACTGAAACCAACTCAGAGTTAGACGGCACAGGAAAATAAAGCAGAAAATAGAGGCAAAGATGCTGTATCCATCGGGGCCTTCCAAGGCGTCTCTTATAGATGCAGAATCCAAGGCTCAGAAAGGACAGGAACATGTCTAGGGCCACAGAGCAAGGCAACAGCAAAGCCCAGACCCACAGCTAACCGTGGAAACACTCATATCCCTCCACCAGAGCTCACTGGGACAGGACGTGCTGGAGATAGGAGAGACAGGTGCCAAGTGTGATCGAGTGTCTAATATTGCTCAGCTTGCTTGCAGGGCACTGATGGGGAGGACAAGGAAAGATAAACGAATAAAGGCAGCTTTATTTTATTTGTCACCATGGGAATCCTATTTGTCACCACTGATGGAGGAGTGGAGGGTGGACCATGGAATGCCCTTCATTTTAAGGCAGAGGAAAGACTCCTCCATCATCCACAGCCCACTGAGTGACTGGCTCATGTTCAGACACTTTGAGAAGAGCACGGCGGGGCTTCAATAAGGGCAGGATACCGATTTCCCTGAAATTGGCCAACCACCAGTAAGCAGAGAATTCAATTCCCTTAGGTCTGGGGCAGGCGCAGGAGCCCCAGGAGGAGAGGGGACCCTCGTAACAGCGGAAACACTCAGTGGACCTTGCTGGGTTAACGGAGCCCTCTTACTCTCCAAGAGACCTGAGGAAAATAATTTCATTGTTCTAAGCCTTCCTTCCCAAAATGGGAACAAGACCACTAACAGCTAGTGTGTTGTGCAAAGTACACCAGTGGCCATCTGGTGTGTGTTTCTGAGCACAGACCCAGGAGTCTCTGACTAATTCTACACTCTGTCACTTACTTGCTGTATGACCTTGGGTAATTGACTTCACTTCTCTGTGCCTGTTACCTCCTCTGGAAAATAGAGATCATATCAGTACCTGGTTGACAAATGAGTTAATACATTCCCCAGTGTATCACCAACACTTAAAACAGGGTCTGGCACATAGTAGGTGCTCAATAAATATTTACTGAATGAACAAGTATAAAGCACATAAACAAGTAGCTAACATACAGTAACTGCATGGGTCTCCATGGGGCCATAAATGCAATAAATGCATTTTTGAAAGCCATGCTTATCCCTGAATTCACCTGTTGATCACTCACCAACCAAATCTAGCAATTCTACCTCCAGGGTGTCTCTCAGCGCCACCCTCTACCTTTCCACCTACCTTCCCCAGGGCCCTGCCTCTGGCTTCCACTGACCTACACACATTGACCACACCCATGAAACTCATATTTTAATCCCATTTTACAGATGAGGAAGCCGAGGACGGGAAGTAGAGTCATTAAGAGCTGGGATCTGGCCTTCATTCTACCAGCCAGCAAGGCCCCTGCACGAACCAATACCACACTCTCCTTTAAGAAAAGCCAGCCTGCCCTTCCTCTACTTCTTACCCCTCCCAGCCCTGGGCTTTAGGCCATGCACTCAGTAGGTGCTGTATTCGTGCCCGATGAAGGGAACTGGCAGGAAGAACCTGTGGCGGAATGGCAGTAGCTTCGAGCTCCCTCGCCAGAAGTTGTTAGGAGAGAAGGCTGCCAACAACCTGATCCCGAGGCTGAGCTGGGAGACGGGAATCCATCCTCTCAGGCCGCGCGTGCACCTGTACCAGCCACGCTGGGAAGGGCCCGAAAGAAGCCGATTTCAGAGTTGCCTTCAGCACCCTCCCAAGCCTGTGTTAAAATGGATCTTGCGGCTTCAAGGGAGGTCCCTGTTGGCTACAGCATTATCACAAGGAAAATTCAAATTCTATTAAAGAGTTTTATTGCAATTATGAATCTTTAATAGTTTTCCATGTCAGGTGTAAAACTTTAATGGGCTGTTTTTTTTTCTTTCATTACAAGTAAGCAATACAGTTTTAATGAGACATTAGTTTTTCCCAACAGTTCAAAAGTCAGTAAAGCTTGTCCATATTTTGAAAAAGAAAATAAAAAGATGCAGGTAATTGCTAAGACAGTTCCTGGAGCAAGCTCAGGGTATGGGCTGGGTCTGGGTGAGCTCTTCACCCAACCCTCTCTGGTTTAGAGCTCTCACAAGGCAGAACCTAACCAGAAATGCTGTGGATGGACCCGGCAAGGCTAATGCACACTGACTCCCAATATGGTCTATGCTTCCTTCCGGTTCTCTCTTCTGACATTGGCAGATCCGTTGTTAGTACCTGCTTACTCTATTCACCACACAGGAAGCCTCAATGAAGGCCTGCTCTAACCCAGCCATCAATCAAAACTGAGGCCAGAAAGGGGAAAGAACTTGCCCAAGGTCGTACTCTGAGTCAAGGTCAAACCTGAGTTCTTCCCAAAGGAAAATCTGGCTTCCAAAGTAAACAGAGAAATTACAGAGGTCAAACACAGAAAGAATAACAATTACCAACCCCAAGTGCCTTGCTTAGGCCAGCTACCTTGTACAGTTTAGCTCTAAACTTAATAGGCACCGCCTGAGACATGGAAGGGTCCGTGTTTCATAGATGACAGCAGTGAGGCTCAGAGAGGTGAAGCTACTTGCCCAAGGACACCCAGCAAGCAAGTAGCAGAGTGGGATTTGAAGCCAAACCAATTGCTATTCTGAGACCCAGACCTGCAATAATGGAAATGTTCTATAACTAGGCTGTCCAACAACTATTATTTACATTTAAATTACAATAAAATTAAAAATTCACTCCCCCAGTCACACAAGTTCCACTTCACTAGCCACATGTGACTAATGGCCACCATCCTGAACAAGCCTAAACACAGCCCCAGATCAAACCCCTGACCTTTCCTCCAAGCCTGGTCCTTCTCCGGGGCTCCTCATCTCATTGCTCAATCCTAAAATTCCAAACCCACTGGATCTATCATCAAGCCCAATGCATTTTACTTTCCCTTCCAAAAGGACCCTCCATCTTCACTAACTCCACTCGGATCCCAGCTGTCCTTGTCTCTCACCTGGACCATTACCACAGCCTCCTAAGGGGCCTCCCTGCTTCTACTTTCACCACCTTGCCCGATACTTTCCTTATGTAGAAGACAGATTCATTTAAACTGCAAACCTGATCTCGTCACACCCTCCTTTAAAATGCCCCAGTAGCTTCCAAGCTCCTCTGCCTACCCTGAGAGGGGCATTAGCATCCGAACCAATCTCGCACCTTCCTCCCCTACTGCTTTTTTTCCGATCCAACCATACTTGCCATCTCTCAGTTCACTCAACAGATGGAGCCCTTTCCCCACTCCAGACCTTGGAGACCAGACCATTGTTCCTCTGCCCAAAACGTATTTCCCTTCATTCCTCACCTGGATAACACCTACTGAACGTCCAGGTCTTGGCTCCAATGACACCTCCTCCAAGAAGCCTTCTCCAGCTCCAAGGCAGATATCACTAATCCCCCTCGCCCAGGGCACCGTGCAGCACTCACTCCCCACAGTTTGAGATCGTACTAGACTACAGACAGAGAGTTCAAAGTCAGTGCGCTGCACCCCCTTGAATGGCACATGGGAAACACCTGACAAATGCCTGACGGAATCCATGAATGAATGAATAAACAATTAAATAAATGGATGAGCAGGCATACAAACAAGCTAGTCCCCTCCCCATTCTGGTTCCTGCAGACAGGCCGGAGACATTTCCCATTTATGTAAAGGTTGCATTTGACAAGGCCAGGGCATGTAGGGAGGCTGGGTACATGCAGCCCAGCTCTACAGGCTGCAGCAGGGAAGGAGCATTTGATTTTTACAATCAAAGGGAAGACAAAGAGGTAAAAACACAAATCAGTTTTGTTTTTACAGGAATCACACTCTGGGAAATGGTGTACATTTAATCCAGCCCCTCATTCTGAAAGAAAGAAAACTAGGGTGAGAGGTAGAGGAGGGGTGTCACTGGTCCAAGGCTTCCTGGGCAGTTGGGGCAAAGCTGGACCAGAATCCAGTCTACCACCTGCTTCAAGCTGCTCTGTAGACCTGCAAGAATCAAGTTCTCAAGCTCAAGTCCACAGCCTTCACAGACACAAACAGTGACCAGCTGGAAGATAAGATGGAAGGAAGGGGAAACCTCATTTATAGTAGCAACAGAAGAGAAAAAACTACCAAGGAATAAACTTAACAAGAAATGTTAACAACACCTATATGAAGAAAACTTCACACACTTCTAAAACACTCTAAAACACTCAAAATTACTCAACAAATAAAATATCCCCTTTTCTTGGAAAGGGTTCAGCATTATCCAGACATCGGCTCTCTCTCAGCTCACTTATGTATTTAACATTATCCCAACAAAAACATCAACAAGCTTTTGTTAGAAAAGTCAGCAAAAATTCATGGGGAAAAATAAAAATGCACAGGGAAAAGCCTTAAATGCATACTGCTAAGGGGAGGAAGCCAGTCTGAAAAGGCTACACACTGCATGGTTCCAACTATGTGATATTCTGAAACAGGCAAACTGATAGAGACACTGTAAAGATCAGTGGTTGCCTGAGGCTCAGGGAAGGATGAGAAGTAGAGCACAGAGGATTTTTAGAGGGGTGATACTCTTCTGTATTACACTATAATGTTTGATACATGACATTATGTATTGATCAAAATCCAATGAACTGTGAACCCTTATATAAAGTATGGACTAATAAAAATATTATCCATATTTGCTCATCAACTGTAACAAATGTACCCCTTGTACACTAATACGAAATGTTAATAATAGGGGAAAATGTGTTGGGGACGGGTTGGGGCAGAGGAGGTATAATGGGAACTCTGTAGTTCCCACTCAATTTTTCTGTAAACCTAAAGCTGCTCTAAAAAAATAAATCTATTGGTCCGGCGCAGTGGCTCATGCCTGTAATCCCAGCACCTTGTGGGGCCGAGGTGGGTGGATCACCTGAGATCAGGTGTTCGAGACCAGCCTGGCCAACATGGTGAAACCCCGTCTCTACCAAAAATACAAAAATTAGCCGGGCATGGTGGTAGGCACCTGTAATCCCAGCTACTTGGGAGGCTGAGGCAGGAGAATGGCTTGAACCTGGGAGGCAGAGGCTGTAGTGAGCCGAGATTGCGCCACTGCACTCCAGCCTGGGTGACAGAGCAAGACTCCATCTCAAAAAACCAAATAAATAAAATAAATAAATCAATTTTAAAACATAAAATAATTTTATTATTTAAATATAATGAAAAATAAAAAACTTTTTGCTATTTAAAAATAAAAACAATTTTTAAAATCTAAAAGTATAAAATGCACGAATGGCTATGAGAAACCCTGATACAGAAAAGCTACTAGAGAAGCTACCAGACACTAAAGCCTGCTCTAAATCCTCCGTAATTACACCAGTGTAGCACTGACTCATGAGTAGACAGACAGGCGGTGAAACAGACTAGAAATAGGCCCAAGGACACACAACATTTTAGTGTATGATAAAGGTGGCACTACAAATCACTGTGACAAAGACAGACTTTTTAATATGCAGTAGTAGGATAAATGAGTAGCTATTTAGAAAAAGATAAATCATGCCCTCTATAAGACTAAATGCCAAACAGATCAGAGGTCTAAAGGAAAAATGTATTTATAGGCATTAAGAGAAAAAATAGATAAGTTCATCTATACCCTGGGCATAAGGAAACATGTAACCTGACTCAAATTCAATAAAAGAAAGGATTAATAATTAAATTAGATTTAAAATGTATAAAACTTTTGTATTAAAAAAACTCTATAAGCAAAGTCAAAAGAAAATGACAACCAGCATGTTATGGGCTGAATGTTTGTGTCCCCCCCCAAATTCCTACCCTAACCCTGAATCTGATTGTATTTGAAGATAGGGCCTGTGAGGAGGTAAATACAGTTACCTTCTAATCCAATGGTGGGGTCCTAATCCAAAAGGGTTGGTGCCCTTTATAAGAAGAACAAGAGACACCTGAGTCCTCTCTTGGCCATGTGACAACACGGTAAGAAGGCAAGCCATGAAGATAGCCCCTATCAGGAACTGAACTGGCCAACACGTTGACCCTGGCCTTCCCAGCCTACAGAAATGTGAGAAAACAGAGTCCTATTGTTTAAGCCACCTTGTCTTTGGTATTTTAGTCAGCCTAAGCTGACTAAGACACATGGAGAGAACACTTGCAATATATACCACAGATAAAGGGCCAGTTAGCTCTAATATTTAAGGAATTCTTAAGTTTTAGAGGAAAAAAGATCCAAAATCCTGAGAGCAAAAGGATAATAAAAGACATGAACAAGTTACAAAGAAGACATTATAAATGGCCATTAAATATATGAGAAGATGTTCAACTTCACCCATAATAAGAAAATTGCCCAGCCTGGGGAATATGGTGAAACCCCATCTCTACAAAAAATACAAAAAATTAGCCAGGTGTGATGCTGCATGCCTGTAGTCCCAGTTACCTGGGAGGCTGAAATGGGAGGATCACTTTAGCCTGGGAGGCGAAGGTTGCAGTGAGTCGAGACTGTGCCACAGCACTCCAGCCTGGGTGAGTGAGTGAGACAGATTGGGTGCTGGGTGAGTGAGACAGATTGAGATCCTGTCTCAAAAAAGAGGGGAAAAATTGCAAAATAAAGCTACATCAAGGTACCATTTCTCATCTATCAGATTGAGAAAAAAATTTAAAACTTTACAGTGACCGTCAGCTATGGAGAAACAGGCACACTTTTACACAGCTGGTGGGAATTCAGGATGGTCCAACACTTAACGGAATCCCACTTTCTTTTTTTTCTTTTTTTTTTTTTTTTGAGACAGAGTCTCACTCTGTCACCCAGGCTGGAGTGCAGTGGCGCAATCTTGGCTCACTGCAAGCTCTGCCTCCCGTGTTCACACCATTCTCCTGCCTCAGCCTCCCGAGTAGCTGGGACTACAGGTGCCCGCCACCACGCCCAGCTAATTTTTTGTATTTTTAGTAGAGATGGGGTTTCACCTGTTAGCCAGGATGGTCGCTATCTCCTGACCTCATGATCCGCCCGCCTTGGCCTCCCAAAGTGCTGGGATTACAGGCATGAGCCACCGCGCCTGGCTAACGGAATCCCACTTTCAAAAATTTACCCTGAAGATATATTTCCCAAAGTGATAAAATACATATGCACACAGTTACTCACTGAAGCACTGTTTGTGACTGTAAAACACTGAAAATAACCTAAATGTCCATACAGAGGAGAACGGTTGGATAACGTATGGTACAGCCACACAGCAGAGTACACACGGCTGTCGAAAAGAATGACAAAGACCTCTGTGCACTGACATAACAGGATTTCCAGGATACGGTGAAGAAAATTAAGTGCAAAAGAGTATCTATAGCATGCTATCTTTTATAGAAGAAAGAAAGCATATAGATATAAATCTGCTTATTTTTACAAAAAGAAACAGAGGAATAAACCAAAAACTTATTTGGTTGCCTTTAAGGAGCAGGTGAGAATGGGTAGAAGGGACATGGGGAGTCGTACTCGGAGTGTACCTTTTTGTATAGTTTTGATGTTTTAGTACTTAGAAAGTAAAATTAAATCAATAAAGATGGGGGAAACCCTATTCAATGCCAGCAAAAACAAATGAACCTTGTTCATATGAATAACATAATTCAGCTGAAGTGGGAAACAAAATAACTAACCCAAGTAACAGACTGCTTTGACCATAAACCCTCAGTTTAAGGACAAAATAAACTGCAAACAAATCAGAAGCTCTACTTCACATGGCAATTCTGAAACTACTTTTGTGTCTTGTAAAATTGGGCAAATGGGTAAACACTTAAGGTAGGTTCTTGATTTCTCACTGTTGAAGAAATGGGAGAAGCTAGGAAGAACCATGTAATGTTGGCCTAGAAGAGGAGGTATCAGTATGAGTGAACTTACGTTTTAGACAAATATTGAAATATTTATATTTCATGTATATCTGTATGTACACACACATAGATATATGTGTGTACACACATGTATGAATATGAGTGTGTATTATATGTATACAGTTGACCCTTGAACAATATGGGTTTAAACTGTGTAGGTACACTTATATGCAGATTCTTAAATATACTGGAATTTTTTTGGAGATTTGTGACAATTTGGAAAAACAGATGAGCCATGTAGCCTAGAAATATTGAGAAAATTAAGAAAAAGGTATGTCATGAATGCATAAAATATGTGTAGATAGTCTACTTTATAATTTACTATCATAAAACATACACAAATCTATTATATTTATTTATTTATTGAGACGGAGTCTCTCTGTCGCCCAGGCTCCAGTGCAGTGGTGTGATCTCAGCTCATTGCAACCTCCGTCTCCCGGGTTCAAGCGATTCTCCTGCCTCAGCCTCCCAGCCAGCTGGGATTACAGGCATGCGCCAACATGCCTAGCTAATTTTTGTATTTTTAGTAGAGACAGGGTTTTACCATGTTGGCCAGGCTGGTCTTGAATTCCTGACCTCAAGTGATCCGCCCACCTTGGTCTCCCAAAGTGCTGGGATTACAGCCGTGAGCCACTGCACCCAGCCACAAATCTATTATTTTTAAAAGTTAAGAAGAAATTTTTTTTTTGAGATGGAGTCTCACAGTGTTGCCCAGGCTCAGTGCAGCGATGCAATCTTGGCTTGCTGCAACCTCTGCCTCCTGGTTTCAAGTGATTCTTCTGCCTTAGCGTCTCGAGTAGCTGGGACTACAGGTGTGCACCACCACACCCAGCTAATTTTTTTGTATTTTTAGTGGAGATGGGGTTTCACCATGTTAGCTAGGCTGGTCTCAAACTCCTGACCTCAGGTGATCCGCCCACTTCGGCCTCCCAAAAAGTGCTGAGATTACAGGTGTAAACCATCCTGCCCGACCTAAAAAATTAAGATTTATCAAAACTTACATACACAAACCCTTGCAGATAATACATGGCACCATTCACAGTCAAGAGAAATATAAACAAACATTAAAATGCAGTATTAAATCATAACTGCATAAAATTTACAGAAGTACACATGGTAGTACTGTAATAATTTCAAAGCCACTTTCTGTTGCTAGTTCAGTGTGCTCAAGTTTTGAAAGTATCAGCTTAAAACGCCGTGTGCCGCTCATCATCTCTGCATGAGCAGTCTGTCTCTACAGTAAATTGCATATCATAGTAAAAAGTGGTCTCTCGTGGCTCTCATATATTTTTCAACATATTTTGTGCACTACCATAAAGCTTGAATAACACCATAGGATCCCTATGAAGTGCCACTAGTGATGCTGGAAGTTCTCCCAAGAAGCAGAGAAAGTCATGACATTATAAGAAAAAGTTGCATGGCTTAATATGTGCCACAGATTGAGGTCTGCAGCTACACTCGGGCACCATTTCAGACAGACGATTCATCTGGTAAACAGATGATGTAAACTTACGGAATCAATAAATTCAGTAAGGCACTATAAATGTATTTTCTCTTCCTTATGATTGTCTTCATAACATTTTCTTTTTCTAGCTTTATTGTAAGAATATGGTATATAGATATATAACATACAATATATGTGTTAATTGGCTATTGGTAAGGCTTCAGGTCAATAGTAGGCTATCAATAGTTAAGTTTTTGGAGAATCAAAAGTTATATGTGAATTTCAACTGTGTGGGAAGGTTGGCACCTCTAAGCCCTGCATTGTTTAAGGGGTGACTGTATGTACAAATGCAGGCATGTATATTTCCTAGCTTTGTCCACTAAAAGCCCTGTTAGTAATGACACCTCAGTAGCAATAAGCCCATCTAGCCCCCAGATCTTGATATCTAAATGCCATTCCCCATTGAGAAATATCATGGCCTAGTGGAGAATGGCTGGTTCCAAGGCTGGGCAGGAAAAGTACAAGATGAGCCTGAACCATCTTCTTGAGTCAGAAAGTAAGGAAATTCTCTAAAAATGACAGATGCATGTCAAATGGACACAGAAGCCAGGCTGAAGGCTCTGCCATATCCAAATCTGGGACACTCTGAGTATCAAAGTAAATAATGCCAATCATAAATAACAAAGTAAGAAGGCATGAATCCATATTTGTACTAAATAAATAAATCACAGGATAAAGCTCCTCTCTACAGTAAAATAGCAAGTGAGTTTTTTAAAATTTTGCAAAACAACTGAATCAGGGAAAACTAGTAGGTAAATTTTGACACAGAACAGAATATTTACAGTCTCAAAATATCACCTGCAAATACGTTATTATAAAAGGAAAAACAGTACAGAAACCTGGCAGACATTACTTACCCAAGTGATCAGTGTTACCCTCACTAATAACGGGACAAACTAACATCACGGGACCCACCAAGGACCTGACATCAAAGCTAGCATGATCCTGCCAAAATGCATAAACTAATCCAATCATAGCAACCATCAGATATCCCAAATAGAGAAACATTCTACAAAATAATGAGCCAGAATGTTTCAAAAATATCAATGTCATAGGAAGATAAAGGCTGAGGAACTGTTCCAAATTAAATGAAACTAAACAATCATAAAAACAAAATGCAACACGTGATCCTGGGTTGGCTCCTGGACTGGGAGCAGAAAGAATTGCTACAAGAGGACATTATTGGGACAAATGGCAAATGCTGGGGCTATGCAGATTGGATAATAGCATTGTACTGATGCTAAATGTCCTGATTGTGACCATTGTTCTGTGATTATGTTAAGTGAATGTCCTTGTTCTTAGAGAAAAAAAATACTGAAGTATTTAGGAATAAAGAGGCATGAGATAGACAACTCCAATGCTTTAGACGGGAGAAGAGAAAAATAGATAAAGCAAATGTGGCGAAACATGAAAAACTAGTGAATCTGGGTGAAGGGCTGATATGGTTTGGATATTCGTCCCCTACAAATCTCATGTGATCCCCAGTGTTGCAGGTGGGCCTAGTGGGAGGTGTCTGGGTCATGGGGGTGGATCCCTCATAAACGGCTTGGTGCCCTCCTCACGGTAATGAGTTACCAGGAGATCTAGTTGTCAAAAAGAGTCTGGGACCTCCCTGCTCTCTCTCTTGCTCCCTCTCTTACCATGTGACAAGCCTGCTCTCCTTTGCCTTCTGCCATAAGTGGAAGCTTCCTGAGGTCCTCACCTAAAGCAGTTGCTGGCACGGCCTGCAGAACAGTGAGCCAGACAAAACTCTCTTCTTTATAAATTACCCAGGCTCGGATATTCCTTTAGAGCAACGCAAAACGCACAAATACAAGGGTATATGGGAGTTCTTTGCAGTATTCTTGAAATTATTTCAAAATAAAAAGATTTAAACAAAACAAAACAAAAAAAAACTTCTAGGTCCAGTCCTTTGTGAGGAGTATCAGACATCAGAATCTAGAGTGTGTTTCCACTTCTGTGCTTCATAGCCATAAAGAAAGAAATTGACCTGCTCTTCCAAATACATGGGAATCCTCCAACTCCTACCAAGAAGAAAGCAGTACTGTTGCGGCCAGCACCAAACAATGGAAGAATATTAGACAAGAGCCAAGTGCCTCCCAAGGGGAAGAGCTATAATAGGTGTTGGCAATATTGTACACATCATATGAGTATTCTACACTGCTGGACCAATCACCACAAACTCAGTGGTTTAAAACAACACGAATTTATTATCTTACAGTTCTGGGGTCAGAAATCTAACATAGGTCTCACTGGGCTAAAATCAAGATGTCAGCAGGACAGAGTTCCTTTCTGGAGAGTCCGGGGGACAATCCAATTCCTTGCCCTTTCCAAGCTACCAGAGGCCTCCTACTTTCCTACTTTGGTAGCCCCTTCCTCCATCTTCAAAGCCAGCAACCTCGCACCAACAAGGCCTTCTTATACAGCCACCTCTCTGGTTCCCTCCTTCTGATTCCCACCTCTACTTCAACAACCCTTGTGATGACACGCGACCCACCAGGATAATCCAGGATCATCTCCCTACCTCAAGGCCAGCTGAATAGGAGCTTTTATTCCCTCTGCCATATAACCTAACATAGTCACAGGTTCTGAGGATTCGGATGTAGACATTTTGGAGGGTCCATTAGTGTGCCTCCCATATTTGTGGTAACAAAAACATGGTGGGCATTCATGAATAGCCAAACAGAACAGAATACCAGAAGGTCCCTGTACTAGTCCATTTTCACACTGCTGATAAGGACATACCCAAGACTGCATAATTTATAAGGAAAGACAGGTTTAATGGACTCACAGTTCCACGTGGCTGGGTAGGCCTCAAATCATGGAGGAAGGTGAAAGGCACGTCTTACATGGCAGCAGGCAAGAGAGAAATGAGAGCCAAGCAAAAGGGGAAACCCCTTATAAAATCATGGGCACTCATGAGACTTACTACCACGAGAGCAGTATGGGGTTTCCCCCCACCACCCGGTTCAATTATCTCCCACTGGGTCCCTCCCACAGGACACAGGAATTATGGGAGTACAATTCAAGACGATATGTGAGTGGGGACACAGCCAATCCATATTAACTCCCGTACCCCATCTAGATGAGGAAGGGTTAGTGGGGCATCTGGCACTTCACCAGCTGGAGCATAACTTGGTTGAAACTTGCTAAGAAGCATTTGACAAAATGGTGCAAAAACTTTTGCAATTTTACTGCTAGGAATTAACCCCAACCAAATAACCATGGTTATACAGAATTTAAATTTACAAAAAGAATTTGAACCCCCTCCAAAAAGTCTATGAATTAATGTTAGTCAAATACTGCATGGTATATCCATACAGTAATTATTATACTGCCATTAAAAATGATATATAATATTTAATCACATATAATTATTTTTTCCAATTAAACTTAAAAAAAATTACAAAACCAATATAATGACATAGTACAAATAGTCAAACAGTAAAAAGGGGGGTATATACAAACTGTAAAAATCTCCCCTCCGAAACCCCCTTCTCTTAAAAACGCATCTCCATTCCTGAAATCTAAAGCCCCAGGATCAGTTTCTTGGTCATTTTCTCAGGGATTCTCTTCACATATACAAGTATGTACAAATAAATATATTCCTCTTTTTAAAAAAGCAAAAATGGAATTACATAACCATACTCTGTAACTTGCTTTTTTTCACTTAATATTTTGCAAAGGTCTTTCTCACATGAAGGATCTGAATGCTATATATATAATATATATATATATGCACACCTCTACTGGCAGGATAAATGCTAAAATGTTATGGAAGGTGGGGGAAAGAAAACAGTCTGATCCCAGTTTTGCTGAAATATTTTATCCATATTATATTCCATGTAGACATTACACACTGAAAGGTTATACAACAAAATTGTGGCACTAGTTTTCCCTAAGTGTAGGGTTTTCTCTGTTTTCTACAGTGAACATACTTTACTTTTGAACTCAGGTTTTTTAATGTTATTATTATTATTATTATTATTAGACAGAGTCTCACTCTGTCACCCAGGCTGGAGTGCAGTGGTGTGATCTCGGCTCACTGCAACCTCCACTTCTTGGGTTCAAGCGATTCTTGTGCCTCAGCCTTCCAAGTAGCTGGGATTACAGGCGTGCACCACCATGCTCAGCTAATTTTTGTATTTTTAGTAGAGATGGAGTTTCACCATGTTGCCCAGGCTAGTCTCAAACTCCTGACCTCAGGGGATCTGCCCGCCTTGGCCACCCAAAGTTCTGGGATTACAGGCGTAAGCCACCACACCTGGGCTCTAATATTATCTTAATATTGCCTATCTAATGTGGTCTTCAACTGTGTTGAAGGGACTGGGAAGAAATAGGCCAAACTGTTCATAGGAGTTGCCTCCAAGTGATCAATTCCAGGCAATTTTAATTTCAAGTTCTTTATTCATGTTCTGCACCTCTTCAAATTGTATACAAAGACCAGACTGTCAAGTGTATAAAGAAAAAAATTCCACAACTAAATGAAAAAATTGTGGGGAGACAAGCCATAGCACAGGCCACCATCATCTCTCCCACCTTCTCTAACACCTCCCTCTATGTTTGGGGGTCTGGGGTAGAGTGGGTCTAGGCCCTCGGTAGATATGCCGTGCCACGCTGGAGAAGAATCTTCTTTATCTCACCCAGTCCGTTCCATGCCTCTTAGTAATTTGGGATAAATCATTTCTGCCCCACACTGGGCTCTGAAGCCTGCTGGCATAGATAGGCTTGGAGGCGTTTAATCTCCTCTGGAAAGGTCCTCTGAGGTTTCTCTCATTTGTTGCTCCTTTTAAATCCTGATTTCAATTAGAAACAGCTAAATGCCTGACTTCAAGGGAATGGTTAGGTAAATTATAATTTAGCCCCAAGATGGAATATGATTATGCAACTATTACAAGTTGTACCCATAAGTTTTTATTTACATGGGAAAATGCAGATAAGAATGTGAAATGCAAAGCAAGCTATATGATAGAAATCATGTCAAAGAATACAGAGAAGAGAATGACAGAAACTACATCAAGATGCCAACAGATGGAAACAACCCAAACGTCCATCAACTAATGAATGGATAAACAAAATGCGATATCACCATACAACAGAATACTATTGTCATAAGAAGGAATTTCCTGGTAGATGCTACAATATTATGCTAAGTAAAAGAAGGCAGACACAAAGGCCACATATTCTATGATTCATTGATATGAAATGCCCAAAATAGGCGTATCTAGAGAGACAGAAAGCAGATTAGTAGCAGTTTTCAGGGAGTGAAGGGAGGGAGGAATGGGGAGTGATGACTTCGTGGGTACAGAGAGTTTTTCAGGGGTGATAAAAATGTTCTGAAATTATATAGCAGTGATAGTTGCACAACCCTGTGAATATCCTAAAAACCACTGATTTGCACACTTTAAAAGGGTGAATTTTATAGCATATGAATTGTATCTCAAAAAACAAACGATGGTAATAAAGGCTGGTTTTAGAAGGTAGGATGTCTGGGTCCTTCTACTTTCTGCATGTGTTTGTGTGTGTATTATGTATTGAACTTATTACTTTAGTAGCTGGAAAAATAAAACTCAAAACAAACAAAGGGTCTGGCTCAAACCCTTTGAGGTTTTTGGGCCAAAAGCTCTAGTGCAGAGCACCACTCAGTTCCCTGGACATCCCAAACTCTGAAAGCTCTTGCCTCCTTCCATCTGCCTTAACTCATAGCTCCTTGACTTTGGAAGTAATACCCTCACTCACTCCTAGTGCCACGTGCATCCCTAGGTGCGTCTAGCCAGCCAGGAGCTCTTGGAAAAGCTGTTGGAGCATGTCTCCTTCCCTACCCCTTCCCCCTCCCTCCCCAACTCTCCTCTCTGTCAGCCCCTCAGTCCCTCTCAGCCCGCCTGTCCGTCCCTGACCCCCATGCTTCTATGTCTGTGCTCCTCCCAATTCTTCCTGGAAGAGCTCTTCCTTCACTTCTCTGCCTGGCATAATCTTCCACATTCAATGCCCCAACCAGACCGCACTCTTCACAGGGGCAAAAATCATGTGTTTTCTGGCTCATGTTTACATGTCAGGCACATAGAGAGGCTCAGCAAGAACCTGCTAACCAAGAGAAGTCCAGCTCAAGATCCACTTCCTCTCTGCAGCCACAACCAGCCCCCCTCACCTGGACTGACTGCTCCCACCTGAGGTCCCAGCACAGGAAGGGCCGTGCAGTGGCCACAGGGACTTGGAAGCAGCCTGCCTGGCTCCACACGCCCTGGCTGTGTCACCTTGGGTAAATCATTTAAACTCTCTGAGCCTCACATCGGTAAACAAGGGATGAGCACCCTTACCACAGGGTTGCTGTGAGGGTAAAAGGACTGATATATACAAAGTGCCCAGAATACTGCCTGTACATCAGAGATGTTAATTGTTATCCAGTTATCAGGTAGTACTCCTATTAAGAGCATGGTACTTCTTAACAGGTCTGACTTTATTACAGTTTGCTATTTCCTCCTCCCTCTTCCTCACTAGACTGTCAGCAATTTGAAAGCAAGACCCCATGTGTTGTCCATGGACCAACTGTGCTGTGGTTTGAATGTGTGTCCTCCACTAAAACTCATGCAGTATTAAGAGATGGGACCCTTAAAAGGTGATTAGGCCACAAGGACTCCACCTTTCCAACTTTGTCTCTCTCTGTCACTCACTTTCTCTCTCACACACTTTCTCTCTCTCTCTTTCTCTCTGTCTCTCTCTCTCCCCCAGCCTTCAGAACTGTGAGCTAATAAATTTATATGCATTTTAAACTGCCCAATCTCAGGCACTCTCTTATAGCTGCTAAAATGACAAAGATGAGTACTATCAGCAAAACCTAGGAGCCTGTGAGAAACGCAAACTCTCAGGCTCCATCCCAAATCTACTGAGGCAGAGTGTACTTTTCCAAAAATGGCCACAGCAATATTTCGAGTTTCATGTGCCCCCTAGGGCCCTGTCATGCCATCACAGAGTAGGTCAAATTGTGTTCCCCCAAAAATATGTCCAAGTTCTAGCCCCCAGTACCTGTGAATGTGACCTAATTTGGAAATGGGGTCTTTGCAGGTGTCATTAAGTTAAGGATCTCAAAAAGAGATCATCTTGGATTTAGGGAGGATTCTAAATTCAGTGACTTCTGCCCGTATAAGAGAACGGACAGGGAGATTTGAGCCACAAAGAAACATGCAGGGAAGAACACACGAAGACAGGGGCAGAGACTAGAGTGACACTGCCACGAGCCGAAGACCACCAGGAACCAGCAAAAACTGGAAGAGCGGTTGGAGGGATGAGTGTGATCCTGCTGTCACCTTGATTTTGGACTTCTGGCCCCCATAACTGAATACATTTCTGTTGTTTTAAGCCACCCAGTGTGTGGTCATTTGGTATAGCAGCCCTAGGACACTCACATAGAAAGAAGGGCCTAGTCCCCTCTCCCCCTTGAAACTGCCTGGACTTGTGACAGCTTTAAACAAGAAAGCCCAGCTGAGGGATACTCTGTGCCTTCTGAAACTGGGCCATCAAAAGAATACAGCCTCCACTCACCTCTCTCCCAGCACCTATCCCCTGGAAAGCCCCCCTAAGCCACCATTCTTAGAGGCAGCCCAAACTAGCACTGTGGAAAGATGACAGGGAGAGGTCCATGCAGGAAGCACTAGGGCCTCCAGCCCATAGCCAACATCAACTTCCAGGCACAGGAGGAAACAGGCTTCCAGATGATTCCAGCACCCAGATGTTGAGTGTTCCAGCTGCGGCTGCAGACATCATGGAGCAGAGACACATCACCCCTGCTGTGCCTTGTCACTTCCTCACCCACAGTACCTGGGAGCATAACTTGTGGTTACTATACATCCCTAAGTCCTGTGGTGGTTATGCGGCCACAAGAACCACATTTGCTGAATCATAACTGGCACTGGAAAAGGTCCCTTGGGAATCTGTATGCATGGTCAAGTGCCCAAAGCACTGCCCCATATAGTTACCTACCTCTCCCAAAGCCCTTCATGTTTCTATCCCACAGCAGAGGCTGAAGAAATGCTCACTGGTAATCATTTCCCTTATGAAAGAGGGGACCGTGCTGACCTCAGATTCAGTAAACCATATGTACCCACAAGCAGGCATTTAATTTGGCATGACCACATGTAAAGCCAGAAGGGCAACCAATGACATTTCCGGGGCCAGTCAGCTCTTCATGCCCCTACCCTATTCCAGGACCTTTGTTCAGCCACTTGGGAATGAGATGAGAAGGAAAGCCCACAGACATCCCCAGCTAGTAGCCTCTCTCTGGTGGACAGAATGGTTCACAGGGACCCTGAGCACACGAACAAATGATCTCACCTTTTCCTGTGGCCAAGCTGCAAGTGAGCTCTGCTCTAATGGGCGTGCCCAGAGAAATTAAGTCTTTTTGGCAGCAGCCTGCCTTGGCGCAATTACCACCCTACCAAGGGCCGCTGTAAAGACCAGGCCAGAGGACTAAGCATCTCGAATTTCTGCAATTGATTAAACACTCATTCAGAGAGGCCATTTCAAAAATCCAACTAAGAGAGTATCATAAGGAAGGACTGAGAAGGTGGCACAGCTGGGGGCGGGTGGGGAGCAGAGGCTACAGCAATCACTCAGCCTGTGGCAGGTTCTTGGGAAATAAATCACCTTCCGGCTCCTTGGGAAAGACGTTCATCATCAATGTCAATTCATCAGCTATCTGAGCATCGCAGATGTAACTGCAGATCAGTCTTGCCACAAGCCAATCGCTTAGACAATTACAGCTACCATTTCTTTTTGGTTGCTTATCATGTGCCAGGCACTGGGCTAGGGATTTTATATGCATTAGCTCATGTTGTCTTGACAATATAGTACCTAGGATATAGGTGGTACTATTATTATCATTATTATCAAAAACTGGAATCTACAGGAGCTTGGGAAGCACTGCTCCTCTATAGTCTCTACGAAGGAAGCAAGAGCCAACTCTGAGGCTTAGGACTTGTGGACCCGCCCAGGAGTGAGAGGTGGCTACTGCACCTCAGGGATAGGCACTCCCGAGGGCATGGCTCATTAGAAAAAACCCACTCCAGCAAAAGGGGCTGGTGGGGAGGCAAAGCCCAGTTATCTGAGCTGGACCTCAGCAAGGACAAGGAAATTGTCATCCTACCTTCTGCTGAAAAAGCCTGGGGATTTTTGAAGCCCCAAAGCAACCAGGTGCTGGAGAGGTTGCTGCTCTGCCACAAGTCCTCGAAAGCAGGGGCAGTGTGGGGCCAGGGCTGGAGTGCCAAAGAGGGACAGGCAGGATTAGCCTCGAGTTTATTCCATCCCAGAGGGACAATACAAGACTGTCCCCTAGCCTGGGAGGAAGGCCCCACTGTGAAACTGCCCTGGCTGGGTGTTAGAGGACAGAGCCAAGCCTGCAACCTTGGCCAGCCCCTTCCTGGTAAGTGGCCATGGGCAAATCACTTCCACCTTCTGAGCCTCAAGCAAGACTCATGCGGTTACCTTACAAGGTTATACTGAAAATCAGGAATAATTTTTAAAGCTAATTAAAAAAATACTTTTATCTGCATCAAGTGCTTGCTAGAGATTCTCTGGCTACATCTTCACCATGTCCCAAGAGGTATTATTACCCCAGCTTTACAAATGAGGAAACCGAGTCTCAGGGTGATAAAGTGACAAGACAGGTTTTACACACCATGCAACACCACCAGGGAATGTCATCACCGCCCCGGCACACAGTAGGTGTCAGAAGTAGCTGCTATTGTTATTATTATTAGTTTCCCCCCCCGCAAAAAAATACTTTCTGCTGAGATACAGCTTTAGTCATACATTCTCAATTAAATAATTTTAAAAGTTGAGCTAGGCCCATGCTCTCATGTGGGAATGACAGACATTGAATCATCTGGGCCACGGGTCCCCCTTTTCTGCCCCATGGCAGACACAGCGCTAAGTGACTCTTAGCATTAGCTAACTATCCCTTCTTGCAGAGCCCGGCTGCAACCACACAGGTACAAACATGTGTACAGGCGCACTAATGAAATGGCATTGGCATGCAAGAGATCGGTGACTTGCTGCCCTTGGGAATGGAAAAAGCACTGGATTTGGGGTCAGAAAAACGTGGGCAAAGCCCATCCAAGGTAAAATAGAAAGTCCTTTGCCAGTCTGAGGCACTGTGACTTTGTGCTCAGCTGTCCCTGTTGGCATCAGCACAGAGGTAAGGCATGTGGCCTTAGGGAGGCCTGCCTTTGAATCACAGCTTCTCTGCCAACTAAAAATATGTTTTGGGGCAAGCTGCTTAATCTCATTGAGTCTCGGGTTCTTTATCAGTGAAATAGGCATGATGAAACTCAGGAGATCCTCCTGGGGCTGCCAAGAGGACGGAGCAAGATGATTTCAAGGAATCACCTGGACAGGGCTGGGCCTGCAGCAAATCATCAATAAATAGTTGCTTTTATGGCATTGTTATTATGGAGACATCAGAAATATCACTGTGGGGGTGTGTGCGCATGAACGCACACACCACACACACAGGAAAACCCCAAGTGAAGACCATTCGCTCCTCCCTAATTTTCACAAAGCAGTAAATTCAAGCTGCCTACAGGGGAAGGCCCTGCCCTGTGTCCCTCCCCCAGTCTGCCTGAGAACCACTTCACAAAGAGAGGACCCATCTAAGTTCTGTAAGAACCTCTGGGGTTCACCAGAGAAGGTATGAGGAGAGGGAAGAGATGAGAATGGGACTTCTGTGACTAAGTGCTAGACCCACCTGGGTTTGAATCCCAGCTCTTCTTCCTATTAACTGTGTGACCTTGGGCAAGTTACTTAACCTCTCTGGGCTTCAGCTGCCCATCTGTAAAATAGGGATAATACCAGAGCCTCCTTGCAGGGATGCTGGGAGCATTAAATGATTCACTGTAGGCACAGTACTCACTAAGCACCATGGTGGGACAGAGGGCGGACTCCCAAAATGCTGGCAATTGCTGTTGTTATTCCTGCATGTTAGAAATAACTAGAAGACTGCTCACCCTAATGACTTATTTCTGTTACTACTATTTCCTCAGCAACATAGGAAAGGTAAAGAATAAAAATTAAAATTAAAAAATGTATCATTACTGTTTCCTGTTATCACCACTACCCTCATGCTGCTGTATCTTCTGCCATTTTCACCATGCTTTTACTTAAACACATCCTGAATGGCCAGAAGAATCCTCCGGGTTCCAAATCTAAAAAGCAGAGTGTGCAGAAACATCGGGCAGGTGTCACCAACATGCTGACGGCAGAGAACCGGGCAGAAGTGGGGAGAGCTGGCTGGCCGGCTGCCAAGGGGCGTCAGCCTGAGTTTCCATCACGCAAATTCAGGGTTATAGGGCTAACAAGGACAGCACCTGGCACACAGTAAGTATCCGGGAAATTGTTCTTGTCTTGAAGAAGTGACTGTGGAGAAGGCAGGCCCTGAGCCAGGTGTCTTTGACTCCAAAGCTCCTATCTTGAGCACTATCTCCTTTGCATCCTGGCCTGAACACAGCACAGAGCAGGCATTTTTGTTTGAGAAGTGTGAGTGGTTTTCCCACTCACCTAGGTTGTGCATTGAGCAATCAGACCCTGTCTCTCAGAGATGCTTGCCTTTGGGCTAAAAGAGGCTGGGTAGCAGCCTGGCCCACAGTGAGGTTTGCTCATCACAGGTGCTCTCTGGACATTAGGTGCCATCTTCAGCTCCTCCCTGATGGAGGGCAGATGGCGGGAATCAGTCTACACTCACAGATCTCAGCTGCCAACCCTCCATTTCACACATGGGGATGCTGAGGGCCAGAAGGAAGGAAAGGACTGGCTGAGAGAAGGGCCCAGAGCTCTGGGCCCCCAGCATAGAGCCCCGTTGCCATCAGGCAGTTTGGCTTTGTCTGCTGATTCCATCCTGATGCTTCTGCTGGGAGGCGAGAGCAAGCCTGACAGACTCTCCACACCTGCTTCCTGTTTCTTCATGGAGGAAGGGGTGTGGTTACTGTGTTTGTTTTGCATTGCTATAAAGGAATACCTGAGGCTGGGTAATTTATAAAGAAAAGAGGTTTATCTTGGCTCATGGTCCTGCAGGCTGTACAAACAGCGTGGTGCTGGCATCTGCTTCTGGTGAGGCCTCAGGAAGCTTTTACTCATGGCAGATGGTGAAAAGGGAGCAGGTGTGTCACAAGGTGAGAGAAGGAGTAAGAGAGGTCCCAGGCTCTTTTAAACAACCAGCTCTCACATGAACTAATAGAGCAAGAACTCACTCATTACCTCTGGGAGGGCACCAAGCCCTTCATGAAGGGTCCACCCCTGTGACCCAAACACCTCCCAGTAGGCCCCCTCCAACACTGGGGATCACATTTCAACATGAGATTCGGAGAGGACAAATATCCAAACTACATCAGTTACTATATAATATTTGTTTAATAAGGATCCTTTAAGTGTATTTCATTCTGTGATTATGGCTGATTTTATGGTAGTCCTAATGAAGGTGACAAAAATAATGTCTTAATATTTATATAATTCCTGACAGTTAAAAAAAACTCACATAATAAGGGCACCTTACAAGCAATTCTCTGCCTTTAAATTCCACAACTTGGATGAATGGACCAATTTCTTGAGAGACGCAAACTACTAACACTCAAGAAAGAAAAATAGATAACCTATAGATATCCTATATATTACATGTCCAAAAAATGGAGTTTATAGTTAAATCATCTCCCCCAAAAAAACTCAAGCCCAGACACTTTCATGAATGACTTCCCAACTCATTTTGTGAAGCCAGCATTATATAATACTAAGACTAGATACATTATAAGAAAAGAAAACCCAGACCACTATCCTTCATGAACACAAATGGAAATATCCTCCACAAAACATTGGCAAATCAAATCCAGCAATCTCTATAAGGGATAATTTATCACAACCAAGAGTGTTTATACAAGGAATGCAAGGCTGTTTCAACATTTGAAAATCAATGTAATTAACAGATTAAAAGAGAAAAGCCATATGATCAGAAAAATACTTTAAAAATTCAACATACATTCAGGATACTCTCTAAACAAAGTAGGAATCAAATCTGATGAAGAGTATCCACAGAAAATCCCACAGCTAACATACTTCATGGTGAAAAATTAATGCTTTCCTTTAAGATAGAAATAAGGCAAAATTTTTCTCTCAACTGTTCTACTCAGTATCATACTAGACATTGTAGTCAGTGCAATAAGTTAAGAAAAAGAAATAAAAGGCATACAGATCCAAAAAGAAAAAATAAAACTCTGACCATCTGCCTAGAAAATTTCAGACTCTGCAATAAACCTCCCAGAACTAATAAATGAGTTTAGCAAAGTCAAAAGATACAAAAGCCAACATATAAAAATCAATTCTATTTCTAACAATGAACAACTGGAATCCAAAGTTAATAAAAACAGTACCATTTATAATAGTGCTGAAAATACTTAGGTATACATAGCTAACAAAATATGTGTAGTTTCTTCAGGCTGACAATTACAGAACAAAAAAAAACCTAAATAAATGGAGAGATCTGTATTCATTGATTGCAAGACTGAATAGTATGAAGATGTTAAATCTTCTAATTTGATCTAGATTCAACACAATTCCAATTCCAATCCCAGGAAGCTATATTTTTTTTTTAGGTATTTACAAGCTGATTCTAATTTTTTTTATGGAAATACAGAGAAACCAGAGGAGCCAAAACAATTCTGAAATAAGAACAAATTGGAGGACTCTGTACCCAACTTCCAGACTTACTGTAAAGCTACAGTAAACAAGATAGGGCAGTGTTAATGAAAGGCTGGGTGCGTAGATCAGTGGAACAGAATAGAGTCCAGAAATAAACCCACACAAATATACCCAAGTGATTTTTGGCAAAAGAGCAAAGGCAATTCACTGGAGATAGGGTAGTCCTTTCAGCAGATGGTGCTAGAACAATTGGCTGTCTATAATGCAAACAAATGAACCTCAATCTCACACTTTATATGAGAACTCAAAATAAATCATAGACTAAAATGTAAAATGCAAAACTATAATACTGTTAGAGGAATATATAATACAAAATCTATGTGACCTTGGGTTAGACAAAATATGGCTAATAAAAGATTGACAAAATAGACTTTATTAAAATGAAAAATTCTTGCTCTGCAAAAGATACTTTTGTTTGTTTGTTTGTTTTGAGACAGGGTCTCACTCCCGTTGCCCAGGCTGGAGTGCAGCAGCTAGATCTCGGCTCACTGCAGCCTCTACTTCCAAAGCTCAGGTGATCCACTTCAGCCTCCCAAGTAGCCGGGACTATAGGCATGCACCACCATGCCTGAAAAGATGAAAAGATACTTTTAAGAGAAGACAAAGACAAGCCACAGAATGAAGATATTTTCCAGCCAGGCATAGTGGCTCATGCCTGTAATCCCAGCACTTTGGGAGGCAGATTGCTTGAGCCCAGGAGTTCAAGACCAGCCTGGGCAACATGACAAAACTCTTTCTGTACAAAAAATACAAAAAAAATTAGCCACATATGGTGGTGCATGCCTGTAGTCCCGGCTACTAGGAAGGCGGAGGTGAGAGGATCACTTGAGCCCAGGAGGTCAAGGCTCCAGTAAGCTATGATCATGCCACTGCATTCCAGCTGGGGCAACAGAGCAAGACCCTGTCTCAAAAAAAAAAAAAAAAAAGAAAATATTTTCCAATCACATTTCTAACAGAGAACTTGAAAAGATGCTCCTCAACTTATGATGGTGTTATATCTCAATAAACCTATAGTAAGTTGAAAATATTGTAAATCAAAAATGCATTTAATACACCTAATCTACCAGACATCACAGCTGAGCCTAGCCTGCCTTAAATCAGAACACTTACATTAGTCTACAGTTGGGCAAAATCATCTAACACAAAGCCTGTTTCATAGTGAAGTATTGAATATCTCATATAATTTATTGAATACTATATTAAAAGTGAAAGAATGGTTGTATGGGTACTTGAAGTATGGTTTTTATTGAATGCATGAAGTTGAAAAATCGTAAGTTGACCCATGATAAGTCAGAGACTGTCTGTATTGAGAATGTGTAAAAAAAAAAACTCTAAAAAAAAAAAAACATCTCCAAATGGGCAAAAGATCCAGGAAACTTTTGTGTTGGAATTGCAGTGGTGGATGCATAACTCTGCATTTGTCAAATTCGTAGAACTGTACATCACAGAGTGACTTTATATAAATTTGTAAAACTCAACCAGGATGTGTATGGGAGGGGGCACGTGTCGGGCACAGGGAGGAAGACAGAATGCAGACTGAGATGAATGAAGACAGCAGAACTCTTACAAATGATTTCCATAACCACACTGCAAGGGGATAGAAGAAGAAAGGAACCGACTTAAGTAGCTGGGAAACATTGGTTCAACCGATCTTATAAGACAGAAACCAAGAAGAGTCGTATATAAACACTGTACTTCAGCTGGGAATTTTTCTCCCTCCTCAAAAGTATATGGGTTAGGGGCCAGGTGTGGTGGCTCACGTCTGTAATCCCAGCACTTTGGGAGGCTGAGGTGGGCGAATCACTTGAGGTGGGGAGTTTAAGACCAGCCTGGTCCACATGAGGAGACCCAGTCTTTACTAAAAATAGAAAAAAATTAGCTAGGTGTGGTGATGCATGTCTGTAGTGTCAGCTCCTTGGAGGCTGAGGCAGGAGAATCGCTTGAACCCGGGAGGTGGAGGTTGCAGCGAGCCGAGATCGTGTCACTGCACTCCAGCCTGGGTGACAGAGCAAGACTATCTCAAAAAAAAAAAAAAAAGTATATGGATTAGGAATTCTGAAATGACTTTGTTTCTCCTAGGGTGGAGAAAGTATGTAACTATGTTTTAGGTGATTCTTACTCTGGGAAAAAGCTATAAGTAAGGAAAGGGGAAAGATAGAATAAACCCTTTGATTCTGGGATTAGAATCAGCCTTATTAGTGTGGACTCATTTACCAAAAGAAAAAAATACTGTGTATGTATATACACAGAGATGAATACATACAGATACGGGTATGTGTGCATGCATGAGTCATTATACATATTTACTGTTCCTCTATCCATTGAGAAGGAACTGTAGGCTGGGACACCCCAATAAAAATGGGTACACCTAGCACCTGGATCTTGGTTTCTAAATACTGTTCTTCAAATAAAAGGAACCAGTGCTCTTTGTAGGGGTGGTGGATTCCAGGTCTAGGGCAGGGAAAACAAACAAGGTGAACCTGGGATTTCTTGTGCCAGAAAGTAAAGACATGCTGTAAAGTAAACAAACAAATAAATAAGCATATCAAATGTGCACAGAAGCCAACCTAAAAGCACTTCCTATAGGCAAAGGAGAATAAAATAAGCATCCATGAGGCCATAATAGTGTCATTACGTAATTAACTGAATAAATAGATAAATGAGTGAGAAGGGACAATTCTTCCTTAAGGAAGAATGGGAATTTTCCTTTCCCATTAATAAACATAGAAGGAACATGGGAATAGAAAATCACCCTTAGAACATTACATTTTGGTAATCATTTCTGTGGGCAAGAATCACAAGTAGATGCTAAAAAGTAGGCATCAGTTGGCCAGGCGCGGGGGCTCACGCCTGTAATCCCAACAGTTTGGGAGGCCGAGGCGGGTGGATCACTTGAGGTTAGGAGTTTGAAACCCGCCTGGCCAACGTGGTGAAACCCCATCTCTACTAAAAATACAGAAATTAGCCAGGCATGGTGGCAGGCACCAGTAATCCCAGCTACTCGGGAGGCTGAGGCAGGAGGATCGCTTGAACCCAGGAGGCAGAGGTTGCAGTGAGCCAAGATGGTGCCGCTGCACTCCAGCCTGGGCAACAGAGCCAGACTCTGTTCAAAAAAAAAAAAAAAAAGTGGGCATGAGTTTAAGCAGAAAAAGGATTTTCTGTGTGTGGTTTCAAAATATCTCTATCAGTGTACTTCATAATTATAAAGGGAAAATAGTAAGTTTACAGTGGCGGATTCTGGCTGTCACCCTTAGCAGAGCGTAATACATATTTTTTAAAATCTTTACTGTGTTTTCCAATTGCAAAAATAATACTTGCTAGTTGTAGAAAAGAGAAATAATTTACCGGGATGTGACAGCTGCCAGCAGGTGTCATGTCCTTCCAGATCTCTTTTGGTCTGACCTACTGTACACAGTGGCTTGGGATCCTTCTTGTTTGTTCTGTTCCTTTTATGATTCAACCATCGAGTTCTTAGATAGTTGCTTCCCTTCTTCAAAACCTGACATCTCTAATTTATAAGATTTTGACTAAGTTGTTGCCATTTTAGAGTATTGAGATGGGCCTTCTCAAAAGTAGAAGCACAAAAATGTAGCAAATGTGTATTTTTGCGGGCTTCATATTATCATTTTTTCCTATTGTGATTCAAAATCTATAATGTTGTCCCTTCTGCTGTCAGAGAAAAAAATGCGGGAAGGAGAAACTACAAAATGTCTCCTGAGCATGCTTGTGTTTTCATTTTCCTTGAGCAGCGGGGCTTGGAGAGAGCTGTTTGATGGCGGCAGAGGGGGTGGCCCTGTCCCTCCCTGGGTGCCCCAGGGCCCAGTGAGTCTTTCCTGTTGTTGGAGCACTGCAGGCACTTTGGTGGGCACCAGGTGCTGGCAACCCATGGACAGAGCGAGCATCAGCACCTAGATCTGTGTCTGCATCATGCTCTGCATGGAAATTATGTTGAATGGGGAGGGTGGGAGTGGGAGACAGAAGGCAGCAAAGAATCCTGGTGCCCCAGGTGTTGTGCTGGTAAGAGAAATGGTGGCAGCCAATATCCACTGAGTGATTATTCTAGGCTGGGCACCCTGCTAAGCACTTTTTATGTTCCACCATAACAAATCCCTGAACAGTCTCCGTGGTAGGTGCCATACCATCCTTCACTGAAAGATGAGTAAACTGAAGCTCAGAGAGGGCATCACTTGCCCAAGGTCACACAACAAGGAGGTGGTGGAGCTGGGATGGGGATCTGGCTCCAGAACCTCCCTTGGGCAGGGGATATGATGTGAAAAGAACATTCATTCTTTACCTCATGTAGCCATGATCTGGGAGAAGAGACATTCACTAAACAAGTGCTCCCAATTTATAGATGGGTTAAGAGTTTCAGCCAGGCATGGTGGCTCACATCTGTAATCCCAGCACTTTGGGAGGCCAAGGCGGGCGGATCACTTGAGGTCAGGAGTTTGAGACCAGCCTGGCCAACATGGTTAAATCCTGTTTCTACTAAAAATACAAAAAAAAAAATTAGCCAGGTGTGGTAGCAGGCACCTGTAATCCCAGCTACTCAGGAGGCTGAAGCAGGAGAATTGCTTGAACCTGGGGGTGGAGATTGCAGTGAGCTGAGATCATGCCACTACACTCCAGCCTGGGCAATAGAGCGAGAGTTCATCTAAAAAAAACAGAGTTCCTACCTCCTAGAGCTGGGTAGACAGAGATGGCACATATAGATCACCTGCTGCTTGGTACATACTTAGCACAGGGGTGCTGTCCAGAGACTCAGTCCAGAGAAGGCAAGTGGGGAGAACAGACCCTGGCAGAAGCCAGTACGTGGAGGGAGCAGCCCCAGCTTGGCTGGCTTCACCAATGAAGTCGATATGGTCAGGCTCCTGGCAAAGTCCAGCACCCGTGATAGACCTGTAGAGCAGCAGGTCATCCACACAGTCACTGAAACATTGTTTCTGCACCAGACACTCGATGGGCCTTCATTAGGACTGCCATAAAATCAGCCATAATCACAAAACGAAATACATTTAAAGGATCCTTATTAAACAAATATTATATAGTAACTGATGTAGTTTGGATGTTTGTCCCCTCCGAATCTCATGTTGAAATGTGATCCCCAGTGTTGGAGGTGGGGCTGGGAGGCTACCATAGCCACAAGCATAGTAGTGACCCCAAGATTGGGACATTCATGAGAACAGAGATCCTGTTCCAAGGAGCCTCAGCCAGGATGGCAGTTGGTCCCCAGGAGCAGAAATGAAATGTGCTCCCACCCCTGGGGAAACTCAGGTGTGGAGGCCGTGGGCCAGGCAAGATCCAGGAACCACACTGGGCTTGGGAAACTTGGTGATTTCTAAGAAGACTCAATGTCCTTTATTTCCTCTCTCTGCAGCCTTTTGATATTTAATCAAGTTAGGGGTGCTAGGAAGGTGGCAGAGCAAAGCGTATGACCTTTGGAGGGCCTTAAAAGGCCAGGTACTAGATCCCTGTGTAATCCCCGGGAAGCTACTTCACCTCTCTGAGCCTCAGTTGTTCATGTATTAAATGATGTTATTAATGTCCGCCACAGGGCTACCGGTAGGATGAAATAAAAGTGTATCTAATGTGTTGAGTACAGTGCCTGATTCATAATAACTGGTTAATAAATGGCAACTGCTATCATTATGATTAATTTCAAATGCTAGTCAATCTCAGTTGTCCTTAAAGGAACAAAGGAGGTTTTGTGGTCCATTCTTTGGTGGGGTTTGAAGCTGGGGGGCAGGTGCAAAGAAATAAGAGATCCGAAGATAAACTCTCAAAGGGCTGTTAGCCCCCACTGGGGGAGTGGGAAGGTGCCAAGTTCCATGGGGCCTTCCCAGGGCAAATGCTGAGAACCTGCCTGACCCCCCAAGTGCTTCTCCACTTAGGGCAGTGCCGTCCTGACATCCCCCGCCCCAGACTCAAACCAGGCCCTTCAGGAGCTAAGTGGGCTGAGCAGCTGGAAGCAAAGCAAAAGGCACATTTTCTCTCCAGGGAAGCTCTGCACAGCAGCAAGGAGCCCTATTTACAAATAAAACCTTTTCTTGGCTCCACTGCCCACATAGCCAAGCCCCTTTATTCCATTTCAATATGCCTAATTCCACTGAAAGTGCATTGGCAATAAACAGAATTAATCAGTCCTGGATGCCCAAGTGAGTGTAGGCAGGTGTTAGCATATCCAAGGGGCCCTGGAAGGGAAAGTACAATAAACAGCAGGAATATAAAATGCTTTACTGCGGAGGGGATTGAAGATAGAAAGGACTTTACTGAAGGCGGGCATTTTATGAGCAAATAAAGCCTTTGATTGCCTGCAACTGAGAGGCAAACTAAAGTGAGTGGACACTTCTACGGAATATTTTTTCTCTGCCTTGTTTCCGAACGGAAATCACTTTATTGTTGCTGTTTTTAAGATTATAAAAGGAATATTTGCTCCATTCAGACGCCGCCTAAGGACATAAACAAAGTGAAAATCATCCCTCATCTTACCACCTGAGATAACCAGTGTTGACACTGTGGTGTGTGTCCGGCATAGATGTTTCTCTATGCATATTTTTGCATTCATATAGAATACAGATGAAATCCTGTTAGCTATGTGGTTTTGCAGCCCACGTTTCCCACTTAATAACAGCCCACAGACATCTTTCCACATTAATAACTGCAGATCTTGATCATCGTCTTTTCACAGCTGCACAGTCTTGGGTGCATTACATCTCCCGTGCAATCAGGCTGTTTCCTCAGCAGCATTGCTAAGGCATCTTCTCCCCACCTGGCTTTCCACGTTCAGCCACATGGGCCTTCCTCTGCACACTGGAACACTTCTTTCCACTTCAGGGACTTGGCATTTGCTGTTCTTTCTGCCTGGAATTCTCACTTCCTCTTTCACATAATTAGTTTTGTTCTCTTTTAAATTTCAACCGAAATGCTTCCTCCTCCAGGAAGTCTTCCCAGATATCCAAGACCAGGTTTGGTCTCCCCTGGCATACACTCAATTGGTTCCATGTGCTTTGCCATCTTGGTATTATTACAATTGTAACTAAATACACAGTTGTGTAATTTGTTTTTGTTTTTCTTACTAGAATATAAGCTGAGGAGGTCAGAGACTGTGTCTGTCTTGCTCAGAAGCTGCAAAGTACAGTGTTAGCTTATAGGAGTCATGAGTATATATACTCACAGACTAAATGGAAAGAGGAAAAGCAAGGGAGAGCCACAAACACGTGCTTACATGGAATGTCCACATCCTTCCACACAAAAGAGGGATCTATCAGCTGGTTACTGGTTTTGGCATCTCTTTGTAAATATGAAAACTATAGGTGAAACAGAGTGAAGAACATTCCTGGTGTCTGGGCACCCTCTTTGTGCTGGCTGCCAGGAAGCTCAGAGCCAAGTCTGTGTCCTGCCTGTAGCTGGGTCTACAGTCCCACAGAGCAGGGTGTTCTGGAATATCACTCATCCAGGCTTCATCTCTTTTCCTGTCCCCCATTTTCCTTCGCCCCAATTTCCTCCACTCATTCAAAATTTTTGCTCTATGTAAAGAGAACTCTCTGCAACTTTTCAGGCCAGGAAACTGTACAGATCTAGGAGAAGTCCTCGGAGATCATCTAGCCCAAGTGTCCAAGCAGGGAGACTGAGGCCCAGGGAGAGGAAGGACATGCCCACCTTCACACAGCCGGTCAGTGGAGGCCCCAGGGCTCCAGTCCTTCCCTGCTCAAGGAAACCCCAGGCTCTGTCAGGCCTCGGTTTAAATAACAGCTCTGATAACAGAAAGAATTTGATCTTGGGCAACTCAGTTTAAGTCTGTAAGTCTTGGTTTCTTCAGCTGTAAACTGAGGACTGACAGGCGCTATACCATAGTAGTTAAGAACGTGGACTCAGAGTTTGCTGGAGTGAGTTAAAATCTCAGTTCTAGCACTTAGCTGGGTGGCCTTGGACAAGTTGCTTAACATTGCTCCTAAATCTATCGTCTATAAATTGGCGAGAAGAACATTCTTTTTTAAAATGTATCATTGCAAAAATTGTGTAATAATGAATAAGAAGTATTTAGCTCAGTATGTGACATAGTAACTGCTCAATAAAAGGGTAAGAGGATAATAAAAGACACTACTCATCAGTAATCAGAGAGAGAGGGCGAGATGCTCAGTGCTCGCAGGCCAAGACCTAATGTGTTGTCTCTCTGGAATGCTCCCTCTCTCCCTTTCTCTTAATGTGGATTTAATCAGAGGGTACTCACCACCAACAACGTTACGTAAGCTGTTCATGCATTTATGTCACCAAGGACACTATGGCACCACACAACACCTCTCAAGGAGGGACCAGAGGAAAACTGTTCTGAGGCCTCCGAAGGAGGAATAACTAGGCTTTTCAAACACAGCTGGTCTGTTTTCCTCTTACAGACATCACTGACTTGCTTCACTCTCTGTGTTGGCTGCCAGGAAGCTCAGAGCCAAGTCTGTGTCCTGCCTGTAGCTGGGTCTGAACCCCCATGCAGCAGGTGTTCTGGGAAATCACTCATCCTGCTTCATCTCTTTTCCTCTGCCCCCATTTTCCTTCTCCCCAGTCTCCTCCACCTATTCAAAATCTTTACTCTGTGTTTAGAAACTGTCTCTAATCTTTACGTTTCTGGGGAAAATAAATGGCATTTAAACTTCATACAGACTAAATGCAATGTGGTATGCTGGATTCACTGGATCCTGGAACAGAAAAAAGACATGAGTGGAGAAACTGTGAATAAGGCCTGTAGTTTGTTTAACAATATTGTACTGATGTTAGTTTCTCGGTCTTGACAAATATACCACGGTTATACATGATGTCAACACTAGAGGAAGCTGGGTGAAGGATAAACAGGAACTCTCGGCAACTTTTCACTAAGTCTAAAATTATTCCAACATACATTTATTAAATAAAAATTCCATACAGAATATTATCAGATTATTTCCCCCTGGAGTCCAAACAAAGCATCACTCCTACCTGCTAAAAGCAAAGCAAGCACCTAGATCCAACACATTTCAGAATCAACTAGACCTGGCCGACACCGTGGAACATCTCCTACCCATCTGGCTGGCCTGGTTATGGGCACAGTTCTAGAACCAGACTCCTCATTCCTGGATGGGAATCCTGGCTTTCCCTCTCATTGGCTGTGCAACTCTCCGAGCCTCACCTACTGAGCCTGTAAAATGGTGCTCACCAAAGGGTAAATGCTTGAGGGGATGGATACCCCATTCTCCACAATGTGATTATTACACACTGCATGCCTGTATCTAAACACCACATGTATCCCACAAATGTACACACCTACTATGCACCCACAAAAATTAAAAATAAAGACATAAAATGGTGCTAACAACAGAACCTACTTTCACGGGAGTATCATGAGGTCAAACAAGTTAATGACATAAAGCACTTGGAAGAGCATCTGGGAAAGAAGACACACGATCCATGTAAATTACCATGTCTATAACAATGATGATAATGATGTTTGTCTGAGTCAATCTGGGCTGCTATAACAAAGTACCACAGACTGGGTGGCTTATAAGCAACAGAAATTTACATCTCACAGTTTTGGAGGTTGGAAGTCCAAGATCAAGACGCCAGCAGGTTCAGTGTCTGGTGAGGGCCCACTTCCTGGTTCATAGACTGTGCCTTCTTACTGTGTCCTCACATGGTGGAAGGGGCGAGGCAGTTCTTGGAGCCTCTTTTATAAGGGCACTAATCCCATTCGTGGGGCTCCACCCTCATGACCTAATCATCTCCCAAAGGCCCCACCTCCTAATACTATCAGCTTGTGGGTAAGGATTTCAATACATGAATTTTGGAGGAACACAATCTGTGGCAATGTTTACTATAATAATAAGAATTCCCCATTTGATCTTTGCAATAACCCTGAGAAAGGAATGTTACCTATTATTATTATATAGTAAAGGGAAGCAAGGTTAAACAAGTTAATGATGTAAAACACTTGGAAGAGTAACTGGGAAAGGGGAGATATGGTAGATGTTAATGATTATGTCCATAATGATGATGATGATGATGATGATGATGATGATGATGATGATGATGATGATGTCGTCTGTCTGTCCCTTTGGGCTGCTATAACAAAGTACCATAGACTAGGTAGCTTATAAACAACAGAAATTTATGTCTCACAGTTTTAGAGGCTGGGAAATCAAAGATCAAGATGCCAGCAGGTTCAGTGTTTGGTGAGGGCTTACGTAGTGTTATTATACAGGAAAGGGAAGCCCAGACAGGTGGAGGGACTCTCCAAGATCACACAGCTATGAAAGCAAAAGCAGCAAAACTGGGACTTGAACCTAGTCTTCCCTACTGCAAACCCAGAGCTCTTCCCACAATGCCTGTTTCCTAAGAGAACCTGACAGACGTATCGTCTCTGTACTCCAGCCTGTCTGCCATGATGTGGCTTGGTGGCCACATGTGACCTTTTCTTCTTGTCTGCATGGAAAATGAAATCTCCTGATATTAGGGCATGCAAGGAAGGCCCTTTGTTACAAAGATACAACCTCATCATGTGCTTCATTCCCCTGGCTTTGCACACAGACTAGGCATCCATCTAGTCAGTCACCAACAGTCAGACACGCATGGTCCTTTGGCCAGCCACTCCCATCCTTCCCCTTTACCCATCCCTCTCTCTCACACTCCCCATGGCCTGGCTCAAAGGCCACCTGTGCCATGGTCACCACTCCACATCACTGCTGCTGTGGCATCCCTGGCATCAGGATTTAGCCCAAACACATGGTGCTCTTTAATTTGGTGATGGGTGTCCTGGGTCCAGCATCCTCGTGAGCAGTCTTGTCTCTCTGAGCAAGTTCCCGGGCTACCCTGCAGCGTGCTAAGTGAGGGTTTTGAAATTCAGACTGCCTAAGTTCAAAGTCTGCTCTGCAACCCACCAGTTGTGTGGCCTGGGACAAGTCAGTTTAACCTATGTCTCAGTTTCCCCAACTGGAAAATGTGGGTAGTAATACCCTACCCCTCAGGGTCACGTGAGGAGTCAACTAGATGACATGTGAAAAGTAGATCACAGACGCTGGGCACACAGTTAGCCCTCTTTAAAATGGGAGCCAGTAATATTTCAATAACTGCTGGTTGTCTGGATTGAATGCCAGGCCTGAAGCTGCCCAGGGCACCCCCAACCCAGCTTATCACTTTCTCTCCTCTATCCTCTCCACGCATCGTAACAAACCCTGAGGTCAGGGCCACCACAGGCCATCAGCAGTGTTTGCAAAACAGCAGCACGACAAGTTCGGGCTGGCCTGCTGCCCACACTGCGTAGGCGGCCACCCCGCTGCTGCTGTGAGCTGTGAATTTAGAGGTACAGCAGCCAGGGAGGGCTCCCCAGCTGGGACCAGTCCTCAAGGTGGAGTGCTGATTGCTCTGCTGGAGGTCTATTTAAAATCAGCAGCAAAGAGCTCCATGCACAGAGTTTTCCCTCCCTCAGGCCCTCCCTCACCTTGAGCCCGCTGCCTTCTGCTTCAGAGCCTGGGTCCACGCCAGTGATGTAAATGCCAAGGCCGTACTCAGCTCCCCCACGGATCGTGAGGCCCAGGGACCGGCCGTCCCCCAGCACCAGGTTCACCTGTCAGAGGGAGAGGATAACATTAGAGGGACTGGAGGAGCCATCCCTTCCGGGGACAGCAGGCTGCAAAGCCCCCTCTCGTACTTTGAAGAGCGCATCTTATCCGACTGGCAAGGAGGCCCAGGCCAAGGCCTGGAAGATACCCTAGAACATTCCAGTTCCTGCCCCAGCTCTGCCTCTGACTTGATGGGTGACCTTGAGGAAGCCCCTCACCCCCTCTTGGTCACAGCTGCAAGTGTAGTGGGGGGAAGGTGCTGAGGGAGATGGCCTCCGGGATCCCCTCAGGGCCAACACCCGGGACTACTCAGACACTTTGCTCATGCTCTTCACGCCACAGTGGCCACGTTCACCTGAGGCTTCAGTCGGGGGGTGACTGTTCGCGCCCCGGGGTCTCAATTAGGCTCCATCTGCCCTCCTTAGGATCAAGGCTCAGGCCAGGTCACGGCAGCCACCACCCTGCTTCCCCAGGGGTCTCCTGTCACCTCAGGGGTCTCCCGTCACCTCAGGGGTCTGCCTCCCCAGGGGTCTCCTATCATCTCAGGGGTCTCCTGTCACCTCAGGGTCTCCTGTCTCCCCAAGGGTCTCCTGCCTCCCCAGAGTTCTCCTGTCACCCCAGGGGTCTCCTGTCACCTCAGGGGTATCCTGTCACCCCAGGGATCTCTTATCACCTCAGGGGTCTCCTGTCACCTAAGGGTCTCCTGTCACTTCAGGAGTCTCCTATTTCTCCTGGGGTCTCCTGCCTCCCCAGGGGTCTCCTATCACCTGGGGGGGTCTATTTCTCCTGACGTCTGCTGTCTCCCCAGGGGTCTTCTGCTCTGCCATCCATCCTGAGGGACCATGATGGTCCCTGGCTCTACATACATAGGGTGCACCCACTAAATGCAGTCCCGGTGCTGGGGCTTGGAGATGAGACAGACACAGTCCTGCTCCTGAGGGGCCCGCAGTCTAGTGGTACAGACAGTCAACAGGCCTTCACGGTACAGTGTGAGCAGCGCGTGACAAAGTGGCTCGAGGGCCACATGGGTACAGAGAAGGGGCAATGGTCCTGACTGGCGTGGGGGGGTGCTTCCTGGAGAAAGTGGCATCTCTGATGAGACGGGAGGGTGAGCGAGAGTCAGCCGGCGGGGGGGAAGGGAAAATGGAACATTCCAGAATATGGGACGGCTCAAGTCAGTGCTCAGGAGAGCAAGTCCCGCCCGGGAGGAGGTGAGTCGCAGTGGCCACAGCAGGTGCTGGGGGACAGGGTGGGGCTCACAAGGACACGCAAGGGGTGGCTGCGGGCAGATTCTAGAACGGTTCCTAATCCATGAGGGAAGCTGCAGGAACATGCAGGTTAAGTGTGTCTCCGGTATGAAAGAGGGATTCATGGAAAAGAAAGCAGGGGACCAGAATAGCTGAAACCTAGCCCAAAGAGACGAGAAACACCTGGCCACAAGACCCAGTGACAGGTAAGGGATCCAAAGAGAGCACAGTGTGACTGCCCACGGGACAGGGAGCGGTGGGAGAACCTTCAGGCACCAGGAAAGACACATTTCATTAGGGAAAGCCATCCAACCAGATTTCTATTTCGGAAGTTATTCGTCCAAGAGTTATCAAGTGTTCTGTGCCCTTTAAATGTGTTATCTCATTGAATTCTTCAACCACCTTGGGCAGAGGTGGTGAACAAGAGAGACTCAAGTCCCAGCTTCCCAGGGGAGGGCACAGCTGTGTGACCTTGAGCAAGTTACTTAACCTCTCTGTGCCTCAGCCTCCTCACCTGAAAATGAGGACAATAATATCTGCCTGTCTTATAAGGTTACCATGAAGAAGATCAAATTAAGAGACAAGTGAGAGCATGTGGCCACTCTCTGGCCCCTAGCAGATGCTCAGTAAGTATGAGCTACTGTTGGTTCTGTTGCACACATGACAAGTCTTGTTGGGAAACCTGACAATGTCACACAGTCGCAGCCAACTCATGGCCAAGTCAGACCTGGGTTCTGCCCACCTCTGGAACTCTGAACTCTTTAATTTGCTGCTTCTCTCTGGGACCCTATCTGGGACCACTGCTTGGGAACAAAAAGCGGTGGCTTTGCTCCTACTGGTTGCCAAATGATGTCAGGAAAGAGTCCAATAGACAGTGACTCTCCAGGGTTTCGTTCCAAGATGGCAGACTCTGCGGTTTGTCAGGGTGGTCTATCCCATGTGGGATGGTGCCAGGAGGGCACTGCTCTGTGGGATGGGCCCAGCTGCCTTAGTCCAGGACCAGCCCCAGTTTTCTCCTCAGACAGAATGACCACATTAGTAAGGAGGGCCCTGGTGAGGCCCACAGGGCTCTGCAGGAAGCAAGCAGGAGACCCACATGCAGCCACTGGTTAGACAGATGTTCTGGAAACAGCAGGCTCTGCGGACACTTGGGAACAGTAACCCAGCCCCCATGATCTGACCCATCCTGCCCCAGTGCTGTGCCAGCTCCAAGGCTTGAGCAGATCTGAGGGCACCTGGGTTCAAGGCCCACCCTGGTCCCTTGTCACAGGCAGCTTTGCATATTTGGGAGGAAACCACATGGTGGTTAATGCATGTTCAGGCTCCGGAGCCAGACTGCCAACTTGCTAGGTATGTGGCCCCGGCCAAGTTGCTTCACCTCTCTGTGCCTCAGTTTCTTCATCTAGAAAATGGGGAAACCAGTCACGCTCACTTCCTTGGGCTGCTGTGAGGGATGAATGGGTCCATTTGTGTAGAGTGCGTAGGGTCGTGGCTGGCACAGGGAAGCACTAGGAAACAGTGGCTGTCGTTATCCTCACAGTGGCATCTCAGCCAAGCCAGCAGGTGCGACCTGGAAAGCAGGTGTGGCCTTCCTCAGGGGAGATGATGACTGTGGGCTGCTGTGCAGGCTGGGACCACCATGTGGACGTGAGCCAGGCTGGAGTTCCATCTACAGGCTTTCGAGCCTGGAGTCTGTGCTAGGCCTTGTGCTGGGTCACTCCAGAAGCTCAGGAGTCACCGGGTGGTAAGAGAATGCTGAGAGGAAAGAACAAGGCCACCCAGGACGGGACACTGCTCCCCCTCCAGGACCAAGGCGCTCCTCCTCAGGGCAGCGAGTCTCTCCTCAAGAACTGCCCTAGGCCAAGGGAGCACCTCACCAGGGTCACAACCCTCCCTGGAGGCAGCTCTGTGGCTAGTGGCTGATGGCGGTGGGTAAAAGCCAGCCCCAGCCTCAATTCTGGACACCTCTGCAGGCCATCCCAGCTCCAGAGCTCCCTGTGGGACCTGCCGAGATCCGTGCTGAGAAGGCACGGCAGCCCTGCCCTGTGTCTCTCACTCCTTTGCCAGTGTTGACCCCAGGGCACTGCCGCCGCTGTAACAAATCACCACAGTCAGAGCCTAAGAGCAACATAGATTTGTTATCTGACAGTTTGGGAGGTTGGAAGTATAAAGTGTGCCAAAAGGACCACACTTCTCCTAGAGGCTCCAGAGGAGAACCCGCTTCCTTGCCTCTTCCAGCTTCTAGGGGCCACCTGCATTCCTTGGTTCATGGCCCCATCCTCCATCTTCAAGGCTGGCAGCACGGCATCTTCCAATCAGTTGCTCTCTGCTTTTTGCATCACGTCTCCCTTTCTCTGACCTCCTGATTACATCTTGCAAGGACCCCCGTGATGACACGGGGCCCACCCAGACAATCCCCCACGTCAAGACCATCACGTACTCACATCTGCAACATCCCTTTTGCTATATAAGGGTTCCACTCACAGGTTCCAGGGAGGAGGAGGTGGATACCTTCAGACTTGAGGATACACTTATAATCCTTTTTCAGGCAAATCTTTGTCTCAGAGTCTATTCCCAGGAGCCCAGCCAAAGGCAGAGCTCCCCAGAAATACGACCAATGAGACTTGAAGGCTGGGGCGGGGTGGGGAGGCAGCCAGGGACAGAAGAGGGAAGATGCCATTCCAGGAGCAACAGCATGTGCTAAGCCCACACACAGGACAGCGTGCAGCCCCGAAGAGTCACCACACGGGTCCTGTATGGCCAGAGCGTGGCAGGAGAGTGGGGGAAATGGCTGAGATTCACCTCCCTGGTGAGGGTGCCATGAGCCAGGCTAAGAGGCTGGGCTATGAGCAGGACAGTGACAGGCTCCAAAGTGGACTGCAGGAAGACTCCTGGAAACGGGAAGCAGGAGAGGGGTG